>NC_000014.9:43361713-43986713 GCF_000001405.40 Homo sapiens | reverse complement strand
CCAATTTGTTGAAAGACTAATGACAATTTATATTTTAAACAAAATTATTTAGTGATGGAAGTTATCTTTTTGACTTTATCACTTCCATTTTACATAGCAGGTAAAAATGTTAATTTCCCTTGTCAACTTGAAAAATGCAACTGTTTGGTGTCACATAAATGAAAGGCATAGTCTGTGTTTTTGTATTCTTGCACTATAAATTGAATATTATGAATAAATTATATATTTTTTAGTTTTAGTGCAAAGACAAATCATAGAAAGTTTTTTTGTCTCTGAGACAAATTAAGTAACATGGGCAAATTTAAAAATAGTACAGAGATTTAAGACACCGAGGTCTATTTTAGATTGAATTTCAGTATTAGTTTATGTTCCATGGGCTGGATCCTGATCAGATATACCTTGTTTTTAAATACTGAAAGTAGAGAGCCTTAAATGTTACCTGGCAGCTAAAAATCTTGATTGGACCAAAACTGCTTTTAGGATATGACATTATCTGTAATTTGTTCCCTTTTCTTCGCTCACATAAAGAAAAGGTATTTCTCTAAATGTCTTCTTAATTTGCTGTAAGGGGAGAGGGTATAAGGGTTAAGATGGGTGAGAACAAAGGGGAAAAAACAACTAAAATATGTTTACTGATAAACCAATTCAGTGAGATGAGATGTCTTCAGCTAGTAAAACCTCAAAAAAATAAAAACCAAAAAAAAAAACAAAAACAAACAAACAAAAACATATACACAAGAAAGAAACAAAAGAAAACACTCACGAATCTTCTGAAAAGAAAATCTGACTTTATTCCTGAGTCAGTATGCATTCAGGAAGTTTGAAATCAGAAAATGAGTGAGAGCGTGTCCAGGGGATTGCTGTCAAAATATGAACATGTCCATAACAATAAAACAAACAAAAGGCTTAGATAGTAGTTTTATTTTCTCTAAGCATCTAATAGAATCTTACAAGAGGATGATGATTTTCTGTGTCTCAATAACAAGCAAAAAACCAAAAGCTTAAACGGCAACAGAATGAATTTGTGTTAGTCATAACAATTATTTTTTCCTTACTTGAATTATAAACCACTGAAAAAATTAAGCAAGAATAATTTTTGAAATTTCTGGTTTTTGGTTAAAAACAAAGATTATAATGCATTACATTTGGTTATAAGGAAGAGTCAGGAATAGTAAATTTTTGAGATTTGTAATCTGCAATTATAGCCATATCTATATCAATTAATTTTATACTGGTTCATAAATCTCAAGACCAAGATTTAGAAAGTAATTATTTGTTTTAGTGCACTAACTGGTTACAAATAATTTTTAAATCTGTTTTATATTACTTTCGTGTCACATTTCAGGATAAAGTACCTGGGAAGTATAGGAGATGGAATATGTAAGAAAATATATGTGTTTCAGTAAGACTTTTAATGTGTTCCACATTGGCACATGCCTTTAGAGAATAATGTAAATTATTTTTATCTTAACAAACAAAAGGAGAAAGGCTTAACTTGCAGAAAAAAGTTTGCGTCAAACATAAAAAAGCCTTTTATTTCCTCCACTGCTCCCTAAATATAAACCCATTATTATAAGATACTCCCTCCCACAACCATTCTCACTTTTTTTGTATACACCCCAGAGGAAAAAAAAATGATTTATATCATTGAAAATATAAAGTATACGTGAAATGAGCTACAAAAATGTACCAAACAAGTCATGAATTCACTGACTCTTGGTGAAAATAAGAATTAAAAACGAAAGCAAATATATGTACCAACTTTAGAAAAGTCTCCACAATGATTTGATTAACAAAACTCTGCACTGAAATAAAAGGATTGACAAAATAGAATGAGATGTTGGAAAACTTTTTGAGGGATCATTATTTCTTCTCTCATTTGGTGTAGGTAGACATCAGAGGTGAAAATGAGAGACAAAGATAAAGAAAATAAATTTCTTAGTCATCTACTTACCACAAGCCTAAGGGAAAGTCAGTGGTTTATATAATAGAACTAACACTGTAAGTCATTTCTAATACCTGTGCTGATGGAAACCACATGCAGTTTAAAATAGTCCTTATTAGAAGGGTTTACTTGGAAATGAAAGGTCAAAATTACAAAATGGAAAAAAGCAATAGGAGATTCATTATTCACAGTTCCTTTAGACATTTATAGCACAGAGTCAGGAAACTCAAGTTTGGAAACAAATGAAAAGCCGATGAAAAAGAAAAGATGGAGCACTTTTTAACAAATTACCCTATTCTGTCTCAGAGGCAAATAAATAAGCTGAGGATATACAAGATAGAACAGAAACTGTACTGCCTGTTATGGACTTTATTCAAAAGTTAGTTCTAATTTTTAATGCAGTGAATATCTTGAAGGAGAGTCGGAAAGTAAGCCGGTAATGGATGTGAGCATGCTATGTTCTGTTTATACAGCTAAAAGAGCAATTTTGCTCTAACTTTGGAATAATTTTTATGGTATTCAGTGAATCTTTATACATAATATATGAGAAAATATAAAAGGAAAATGGGAGTTACAGGAAGGTCATCTTAAAAAGAAAGAATAGGCCGGGTGTGGTGGCTCACACCTGTAATCCCAACACTCTGGGAAACCGAGGTGGGCGGATCACGAGGTCAAGAGATCGAGACCAACCTGGCCAACATGGTGAAACCCCATCTCTACTAAAAATTCAAAAGTTAGCTGAGCCTGGTGGCATGCTGGCCTTTAGTCCCAGCTACTCTGGAGGGTGAGGCAGGAGAATCGCTTGAATCAAGGAGGAGGTGGTTGCAGTGAGCCGAGATTACCCCACTGCATTCCAGCGTGGCAGTAGAGCGAGACTGTGTCAGAAAAAAAAAGAAAGAAAGAAAGAATAATGAGACTTGACACTTTTCTTGCAAGCTGACATCATTGTACTAATAAAGTTTGGTATCAAGAAGTTATTTTATCTTGCCCTTGGATGACCTATTCAGCAGAAAGTTGAGAAAAATATACTCAGTGTTGCAATGTGGAAAAATTATATTTTTTCCTGTCCAGTAAAAAGGTCATTATAATATTTATTCCACTATTAAAAGTAAAGTGAAGCACTGTGATTTATTAAAGTAATATGAGATTGAAACATTAAAGTGTAAAAATGGGGTTTTGTACTAGCATATAGCACTCGCCTTAAAATAGCAGCTCTAGTTCTTGTTTGCCTCCTTTGTGCTCACAACTGCTTATCTTCTTCCAAGAGAATAAACTCTTTGGGCTTCATATACATAAAAGAGTGTTTACAGCACTCAAATGAGTATCCCTTTTCCATATGACTACTCATCCAGCATTCATGGCTCCTTCTTAAATTTCTTTATTTGGCATTTACTGAGCAATATAGGGAAAGGCACTCCCTTTGGCTTTCATTACAGATTTACAAAGTGATGAAATTTGAATTCCTATTCTAAACAAGTTTAGAAGCAACCATAATTAAAGTCCTCCTATAGTGGCCACTGTTAGGAATATATATTGATTGTTATTTTCCTGAGGAGAAGGCAGCCATTAATTCTGACCGTTAAGGTTCTGAGAAGGCGGAAGAGCAGAGCTAGTGTTGCAGCCAATTCACAAAAAATGAATTGAGGGTATATAATGAAAAACTAGAGGAATATAAAAGAAATCTTATGAGCAAACATTCAAAGGTATAAAAATTCATAGAATATTTTAATTTTATTCGACTCAAAATATATTTACTTGCTTGATCCTGTGCATGAGGAATAGTTAGAAGCCTGAAATTTATAATGCAGTGTGCATTTGGACTGACATTCAGTTTGTACACACTGATATAGCCATTCTGGGCATTAAAATATTGAAATGCTGTGACTATCCTTGGTAAATAATCATAGCCCTTAGTCCTTCAAATATGCCCCTTTGCTGTGTCCACCCTGGAAGCTTCCTCAGGTTTCACTATCTCTCCAGGATTGGGAATATCTAACAGTGAAAACAAAAACCTGCCTGGTACAGCAAGCACCTCAAGGAACCCTCTTCAGACCAAGTTTTCTAGTGTTAATATTTATCAGTCAGTGAACTTAACATAATGGCTCTGATGTATTTTGAATTTAATCCCCTAGGTACAAAGAATACAGTGGAAAATATAAATGAAAAGAAAGATTTGGAACATACTGTGAAGAACCTTGGCTATGATGCTCAAGATTCTGAGAGGCTTTAATATGTTTTTTTTTTTTATGAGAAGTGGGTGAAATGATTAAATGCTGTAATTTAAAAAATAACTCACGTGGTAAGGTGGTATATGAACTTGATATTTTATATGTGTCCAATTTGGCTAGGAGAAAATTATAAGTAAAGCAGAGCAGTTGAATCAAATAGAAACCGTCCAGCGTGATTTTTTGAAATCCATTCTGGTTCTTTGTGTGTTTGGTCTGTACTGTTCCTAATTCTACTGAATAGAGCTTCTGTTCACATTAGGAATAAACTTATGTAAAACACAGTCAAACCAAATTTCCTTTATGGGAAGACTGCTGGGTAGAGTGGACTCAAGTACAACAAATTTAAGGTAAGGCACCATGGCTGTGTTCATTTGTACCCTCTAGGGTTATGAAAGGACAAAGAAAGGAAAGAACAGCAAAGCGAGAGAAGTGTTACATAATGAATTCCATCTATTCCTTTCCTCAGGGG
This sequence comes from Homo sapiens, assembly GCF_000001405.40. Classification (NCBI taxonomy): domain Eukaryota; kingdom Metazoa; phylum Chordata; class Mammalia; order Primates; family Hominidae; genus Homo; species Homo sapiens. The sequence goes on along the minus strand of NC_000014.9, from coordinate 43,982,071 downwards.
TCCATGTCTAGTATTCAGAATTTTGACAGATGAAATTCCAGTTGAAGGCCATCCTTGACAAAGACTTCTACCATTTTCAATAATTAGTACTCCTTGAAGAGTTACTTTTCACAGTTCTGAAACTCAAGTAGCCTAAGTTAAGACTGCATTAATTTTGTTTGATTGCTTCACCTCATATTACTATACCCTCTATTACCCACAATTAAGCCACATTGCTTGAAATTATAATTCACTTTGTGATTATGCTTTCACTGATGTAGTTCTTCCTCCTTTCAACAGTCCATCTGGGAGTTATTTGACTATCCTCAGCAACTACCTGCAAGTATTAGAGCAGTGATCAGCATTGCTTTAAGCTGGTGGATTGACAAGACTTTGGGGAATAACTCCTGCCTAATCTATTTCATACTTATTATGGCTTCCAGGTTAGGCTGCTTAATTTAAAAAGCTGACTTTGCTATCTGTGAGATGAGCAAATCTCAGAGTGACGTTATGTTGACATTTTGAAAGCAAAGTACACGTTGAAAGAGAGGGCTGCCAGGGAAATTCTGCCTAGCAAGCTGGCTTCCCAGATCCTTCAGAATGTTATTGTATCACTGAATTAAGTAGGTCTGTAGTCTGAAATTCCACCTTGTAGGTCTAGGAGCAGGATTTTATCAGTATACTCAGATGCCAAATACTAAGCTGGATGCTTCTTGGCGATCATGGCAGTAGCCTCCTGAATGATAGTCTTGAGAAGCATTTTGACTAACCCAGTGGTTTTCATTCTATATTCTAGAAAGCTCTAGAATTTAACTGTTCAATATGACAGCCTCTAGCCATATATTAAATATCAAGCAATTGAAATGTGTCTAGCAACTAAGGAACAAAAATTTTTAATTTTAATTTTAGATTTCTAATCTTAAATTAAAATTTTAAGGTACTTTAACTTAAATAAAATTAAAAACCAATATTTAATGTAGTTACTGAAAAACTTCTATTTAGAATAACAGCATAAATATATTGTTTAGAAAAATATACTTTTTCAACTCTAATTTCTTGAAATCTTTATACAGATCAAGTGTTTCCAAGGAAAATTTAGCATCTGAATTGAAATGTGCATTAAGTATAAAATGCACACTAAATGTTAAGACTTACTAAGAGAAAAATAATGTAAATATTTCATTAATAAAATTTATGGTTAAATATATGTAAATGATTATATTAGGTAACATATAATAATAAAATTAATTTTACCTATGACTTTTACTTTTTTAAAATGTGACTTCTTGGAAATTAACAATTTCACATGTGGCTCACATTATGTTTTATTGGACCGAGCTGGTCTAGAATATGGGGGTTTTGTTATTCAGATTATTTATCCACTCAGGTAATAAGCATAGTACCAGATAGGTAGTTTTTTTATCCTCATCTTCCTCTCATCCTCCACCCTAAAGTAGGCCCCAGTGTATATTGCTCCCTTCTTTGGGTCCATGTGTACTCAATGTTTAGCTCCCCCATATAAGTGAGAACATGTAATATTTGGTTTTCTGTTCATGAATTAGGATAATGGCCTCCAGCTCCATCCATGCTGCTGCAAATAACATGATTTTATTCTTTTTTATGGCTGCATAGTATTCCATGTTTTATGTTTACCATAATTTTTATATCCAGTCTACTGTTGATGGGCATTTAGGTTGATTCCATGTCTTTGCTATTGTGAATAGTGCTGCAATGAACACGTGTGCATATGTTTTTATGGTAGAACAATTTATATTTCTTACAGTATATACTCAATATTGGGATTACTGTGCTAAATGGTAATTCTGCTTTAAGTTCTTTGAGAAATTGCCAAATTGCTATACAACATTTGATGTAGTTGTAGATTCCAGAGGTTTTAAGAATCTTCTTGGGGTTTTTTTTTTTTTGCATTTCTTTTATAGATTTGAGGATATATGTATTTCTTTGTTACATGGATATTACTTGTGTGGTGGTGAGGGTTGGGTTTATATTGTACTCATCAGAATGGGAGAAAATATTTACAAATTATGACTCTGACAAATGAATAATATCTAGAATATACAGGGAACTCAACTCAAGAAGAAAAAATCAAACAACCCCATTAAAAACTGGACAAAGGTTATGAACAGACATTTCTCAAAAGCAGCCAACAAACGCATTTAAAATTATCAACATAACTCATCATCAGTGAAATGCAGATGAAAACCACACTGAGATATCATCTTATGAATACATCAGTCAGAATGGCTTTTATTAAAAAGCCAGTAAAACAACAGATGTTGGCATATATGTGAGGAAAAGAGAATGCTCATACACTATTGGTGGGAATGTAAATTATTACCACCTCCATGGAAAACAGTATGGAGATTCCTCAAAGAACTAAAAACTGAACTACAGTTTGACCCAGCAATTCCACTGCTGGGTGTCTATTCAAAGGAAAATAAATCATTTTAAAAAGATACCTGCATTTTTATGTTTATCACAGCACGACTTACAATAGCAAAGTCATTGAAAACACCTAAGTGTATTTGTTTTTGTCCTCTCTGATGTCTTTATGCTTCCCTAAGTACTCCTTCTTAGATAGAGTCTGTGTCTTACAGCTCTTTCAGTTATAATCCATTGTTAATAATTGATTCCCATGGTGGATGCGGTAAGATATGGGGAACAGAGACCACGTTGTAAACTTATAATTATATCTCAGTGTTTATGTGAGTCTGTTTCTCTGGACTCTGGCCTTTCCAACTATTTCTTAGCTTTCCCACTCCTAAAGATGATGCAGGAAGATTAGAGGGTTCTGAAGACTAAGAAATGCCCTTATCTCAGGTGGGATGAGGCTCTGATAAAATCTCCCTAGCCGTCTTTCCCAGATAAAATTTTGTTGTGGAAAAAGCTGTGGGTATATTTCACAATGACTATTCTTCCTTTCCCCCTTCCAGTGCGATAAAGAGAGTATTCTTGGTTCTTCACAATAAGGAACCTGTTAGGGTTCTTGGAGATAAAACTAACCAAAGTGTTGGGCATCCCCCTTAAATAGTGATCTGCAGGAGTTTCTCATTCTAATGCTAGTCTGCAGTCAGTCTTCAGCAGTTTTTGAAAATTACCATTTAAATGCTTCAATTCGTTTATTGTTCTAGAAGTTTCTGTTCTAGGTAAGCAGATCCCAGCTGCTAACATCTGACTATCTTGTCTCTCGAGATTTGGATGGCTGTCCTATGACCTCAGTTCTCTGGTAGATCTAAGAAAAGTTATTGTTTTCCAGTGTGTTTAGTCTTTTTATTGTTATGAAGATGAGAATGATGACTTCCAAACTACTTGTCAGAAAAGATAACCTGTATAATACCATTTGTAATTACTCTGGATAATCATGGTCACATTATATAGTTTTTTGCCCTAAAAGCCTTGTCTTTCAATTGGTATATCCATTTTTAAGATATGCAGTATCACTTTATTGTATTCTAATCAGGATACATTTTGCCTCTTTCCATGGGTGTTAATTAAATTAAATCCCATTTGACTACATTTTTCATAGAGTGGTACTTAAGAAAAGCTAATATTTACATCTTTAATTTTTTAATGGATCACAAACTACTAAACTTGGTGTTCTTGAAGTTACAAAGAAGGGTAAAACAACATTTAAGCCCCAGTGAAGCTTATCATGTACTTGGAGAAACAAAGCTAATCTTGAAACAAATAGAAAAAAAAAAACTTTTTGATCAAATTCAGAGATTGAAAAATGGCTTTTAAAGCCAGGTCAAGGAAATAAATAATATCCACTGGAGTCTAGGTAAGCATGTAGCACATGAGACCAGAACAAAAGTTGAAGGCATTTAATTAAATTATTTTACAAATCCAAAAACTGACAGCAAATACTTTGCAAATAGTTATTGGTGTAGCTGAAGCAAGCTTCTAGTTTTCTAATAGTTATTACTTTGCCTAACACATGATTTAGAATTTAAAATAAATAATTTGTTGTTGATTTAACACTTACATGCATGCTAGCATTTTCAGATGGCATATCTCAGCTATAGGAGGACAATTTAGGAGTATCATACAGTATTAAATATTTAGAGATGACTTTACTCAGTATCCCTAGTGATGTGTCACACTGAGGTTGAGATTATAACCCCAGTCTTCATCAGGTTGATTGAAAGTGTTTCATGATAATTCTGGAAACTAACACATTTTATTACTCATGCTCTTCTAAGCTATAGCCATTAGCAAATAGTAGTTCCTAAATAACATTTAAAAAAAATTTTTTTTGCAATAACTCAGTCTATTATTGCTACATTTTTTCCTCTCAGAAACTGAAAAATTTTCAAATAGCACTTGAATATGTGGAGTTATTTAATGGAAGACATGTTCAAGATATTAATGTATTTTATATTATTGTAATAAAATAATAATATATAACACTTAAGATCTCAGCAAGAATTATCTTCAATTTCCTTTTAAATTTATATTTATGAGCTAGAATAAGCTTCCTGTAATATCTGAGTCAAGTATAGATAAATGAAGAGTTTAAATGTAGTGGATTTTATGTTACATCTTAGTATAAAAATACAACCTATCAAACCTACCTCTTATTATTTCCTATTATGCATCTTCTGCTCATTTTTACCTCTGCTTCTTACAGTCCTATCATGGAAAGGGGGTATGGAATGCTTATTTGAAATGTAGGCTTTGAGCCCAGGTATAAATCTGAATTGTAATTGTTTTTTTTTTTTTTTTTTTTGAGACAGAGTGTCACTCTGTCACCCAGGCTGAAGTTCAGTAGCTCTATCTCGGCTCACTGCAGCCTCGGCCTCCTGGGTTCAAGCGATTCTCATGCCTCAGCCTCCAGAGTAGCTGGATTATAGATGTGCGCCACTACACCAGGCTATTTTTTGTATTTTTTTAAGTAAAGACAGAGTTTCACCATATTTGCCATGCTGGTCTCGAACTCCTGACCTTGTGATCCACCTGCCTCGGCCTCCCAAAGTGCTGGGATTACAGGCCTGAGCCACCGCACCCAGCCCTGAATTGTAATTCTTATTAGTTACTGATGGAGGAAGAGCTATTTAAGATTTCTGTCAGCAATTTTATTTTATTACAATTAGGATTAAAACATATCTTACAGGGTTTTCAAAGATAAATTCACATAGTCACTACACAATTATAACCTGCTTACTATATGTCAAGCCCTATTTTAGATCCTAGATATATACCCATAAAGAAAATAGATAATACCTACTCTTACAGAGTTGAAACAATAATGAAAATAGATAAATGATAAATACATATGTAGCATCCAAGCTACTGATACAAGCTGTAAAAAAGAATAAGCAAGGTAAAGGGACTGCAACTAAACAGGTCTGCTAGATTAGATGCGGCTATCATGGAACATTTTCCTGAGGAGGTGATATTTAAACAGAGACCCCAAACAAGTGAAACCAGCCAAATGATTATCATATGAAAAGGGTTATGTCTTTAAAAAGAGACCAGAAAGTAAGTGCAAATGTCTTGATGCAGGAGTGTGCTTAACATATTTAAAGATTAGCAAGGAGGCGGCCAGGTGCGGTGGCTCACGCCTGTAATCCCAGCACTTTGGTAGGCCGAGGCTGGTGGATCACAAGGTCAGGAGATCGAGACCACCCTGGCTAAAAGGACGAAACCCCGTCTCTACTAAAAATACCAAAAAAAAAAATTAGCCGGCTATGGTGGCAGGCGCCTGTAAGTCCCAGCTACTTGGGAGGCTGAGGCAGGAGAATGGCGTGAACCCGGAAGGCGGAGCTTGCAGTGAGCCGAGATCGCGCCACTGCACTCCAGCCTGGGTGACAGAGCGAGACTCTGTCTCAAAAAACAAACAAACAAAAAATATTTAAAGATTAGCAAGGAGGCAAAAGTGGCTGGATCAGAGTTGGCAAAGAGAGAGTGGTTGGAGATTACATAAGAAAGGTAGTAGGGAAAAGTGCCAAGCCTTGTAAAGCCATAATATGGATTTTTCATTTTAATCTGAATCAGGAAGAGAAGTCTTTAAGAATTTTACTGTAGAAAGGTAACATGGTTTGCCTTGAGATTTTAAGGAATTGTTCCTTTGGTTGCTTGTGGAAAGAACAATAGGAGACCAAGGTTAGGTGCAGCAGGATCAAGTAGGAAACAATAGGAATGGCCCAGGAGGGTTATAATTGTAGCTTAGACTAAGCTGCTGGAAGTAGAGGTGATAAGTGCTGGATTCTGAATATATGTTGAAACAGAGCTCATACGATTTTTTTAAAGATGGTCCCGAGAATTTTTACCTGAGTACCTATACGAATAGACTTGACATTTAGTAAGATGTAAGAGATCAGGGCAAAGAGTAGGACATTTAATGAGGAGGGGTATGCATAATCTGGGGATGACAGTTAACACATGCAAAGTACCCAGACACAGCCTGTCTCTTAGAAATGATGAAATAATTATCAACAGTTCTTTTCCACCACACATGTTATTTCCATTCTTGTGTAACATTAACTTTGCTCTTGCTCCTTGCCATATCAAATTCTTCCTTTTTGTAAAAAGTCAATTTTAAATTCATTTCTAATCTTACCCCAATAAAGTTATTTTCTTTCTATGAAAATCTTAAATGTGTGTAACCTGCACAGATTTTCTCACATGTGATTCTATGTTGCTTATGTATTTTTCTCATTCAAGGTACTTTAACATTGTGAATGTGCATGGGTGAGTGTAGAAAGGCATATTTCATGCCTCTAAAACTTTTGGATGATTGGCATCAAGCATAACAACAACTAAAGCCCAAAGCAGAACAAGAGAGCAGTCATAATTTTCATAACGGAATTTATTTCCCTTTGGGAACACTTGCAGATGTTTAAATGTCAGGTGTGCTGATAGCTATGTTTTCGTATATCCACTAAACGATGCTCTAAGGTAAGTTGGAAAAGGATGATCCTCTCTGTGGGAATGTTTGTTCAATATTTCTGATATTCATATATTTATATTATATGTTGTGAATTTATTGTCTCTTTCAGTGTAGATGTTCTCTGAAACTCATATATGTGATTCAAGATGATCATACTTTTGCCCTCTCTCACACTTCCACCCATAGTTTCAGGCCCCTGGCCAGGTAGCCAGTTCTTTTGCTGCTATTAGGACCACTCTTGGAACCAGCTGTCTCAGATGTAGAGATGCGGCCTCGCATGCAACTATCTTCCTGGCAAGGAATAAGAAAGGAAGTACTAGAAAGAATGAAACAGGGAAGGAGGGAAAGCTAATTCAAGGTACATCATTGAGCTAGTTAACTTGTATGCTTTTCTTCATTTGTGAAATTAAAATTCTGTTTCTGTTATCAGCATTCAGTGAGACAGCTGTCTCCTAAAGCTCATTTTCTAGTGTTTTTCTAATTATCGGGATGGCTAATGAATACATGGATTAAGGTGTTAAAAGTATAATTATCACAGCTTAGTGTTCTATGTGTCATCAAAGTTCGTTTTAGCAAGAATGGTCTATGTCAGCACCTTGGAATCAAACTCATTTCATTTGCTTTTAAGAGATATATAATTGGCTGCATAGGTTGGTGATTTTAGATGGAATGAGAGGAGATCATGAGTTTACTTTCCCAAAGAGTTCCCCCATCTTTTCAAGGCCTAAATTCTATCATTGAGATTCTTTTTTTGTGGCCTAAGGCTTTTATCCTCTATTAAAATGCAAATAATATATTCTTTATACCTTAATGAATTTGTGCTAATTAGGTACTCCATTGAAATCAAGTTTTGATGTTGACAAGTAAGGATGAGGGGGTACATGAGAAGACCCTGGTATCATAAGCTATGAGTTGGATGTTGATTATGGAAAATGCCTGCTGACGTTTCAGTGTTTCCTAGAGCTCCCATTAAAGAAAGGCAATGTTACTTCAGCTCTTGAGAAATTAGAACAAATGGCTCTTAGGAAGGGAGAGAAAAATGAGAAAAACCTTCTGATGCTGTTGAGTAATTAACCTGAAAAAAAGAGTAGTTTAAAGAGAAAACTCTAATTCTTAGTTTCCTGACTTATCCTACCAAAAGAATTTATTGTTTTATTGAGCACCAGATTTAAACGCAAGGCAAGTTTGGAAGAAGAAGAAGCAACAATGCTACACATTTGCCAGCAGGAGACCGTGTAACACAAGTTCCTTTCTCGATTGGCTAAAATATCTTTCAGAACCAAATCAAATATACTCTAAAGAAAGTCTATTCTTGTTCATAATTCTTTAAAAGAGCTTCATGGATTTTTTTTTTTTTTTTTTTTTTTGACAGAGTCTCACTCTGTCGCCCAGGCTGGAGTGCAGTGGCACGATTTTGGCTTACTGCAATCTCCGCCTCTCGGGTTCAAGCTATTCTCCTACCTCAGCCTACTAGTAGCTGGGATTACAGGCATGTGCCACCATGTCTAGCTAATTTTTTTATTTATAGTAGAGACAGGGTTTCACCATGTTGGCCAGGCTGGTCTCGAACTCATGACCTCAGGTGATCCGCCCGCCTGGGCCTCCCAAAGTGCCTGGATTATAGGCATGAGGCACCACTCCCGTCTGTTTGTTTTTCTGAGACAGCATCCTGCTCTGTCGCCCAAGGTGGAGTGCAGTGATGCGATCTCGGCTCACGGCAACCTCTGCCTCCCTCCCCCTCATGGATGGTTTTAATAACAGTTGGTCCTGGCTTTGGAGAACAACTAAGCTGACATTTTGAATGAGTCTTAGAATTAACATTTCTTCAGTGACAATTTTGGTATGTATTTTTTCTTATACACTTTAGCAATATGTTTGGAGACAGAACCAGTTTGAAATATCAGCTCTACAACTTACTAAAAAATTTACAAAGCTTCTGCAAGCCTCATTCTCCTTATCTGTAAAATTGAACAAGAGTAACTCCTTGCTTTAAAGTTAAATGATTATGCATATCACATATTAGCTACTTCGATTATAATTTTATTATCTCAGATTGCATCAGAAGATTAGGTATTTTATAAAATGATCATATTTATGGAGGTATGGAAATTAAAATTTATAGCTCAATAATACATCACTGTAGTAGACTTGTGTATCAGGTACTACAGTCTCATATAGCACTAATATTAGAAAAATGAGAGGAATCAAAACATATTTACCAAATTTATGCAAAATGATTAGCATGTTCCTACCATATTCTCTCAAGACCAAAGTGGTGTCTAAACATGAAGATAAATATTTCAGGGTTTTTTTAATATAACAGAATAAAATATTGTATCTTGATGTTTTGAGAAAGTTAACAGTTTGCAAAATTCCTATCTCTCACTCTGTTTTATTTCATTTACTAGGTCATTTTTTTCAGAATCTGGTTACAAAATTCATTCATTTTCATATTATTCTATGCAGCAGAGACATTTGTAGTCTTGGAGGCAATATGAATGAAAGTTATTTTAGTGCTATCTCACCGGGATTATTTTAATAGTCTCACTGTGCTCAGTTTTTCACTCCACTTTAACCCTTTCTATACCTTTCCATGCATGTTGCACCATTTGGTTTTCTAAAGACTGATTAGAATCTTGTCCTTTCTACGAAAGTTTTCTATCATTTTACCTGTTTCCTAGTCTTTGAGGTAATTCCACACAACTAGTATTTGCCCAGGCAAATTATTGACTGCTTCCCTGCACTCCCTACAACTTTCTGATTTTATATGTGGGACTCGTTACTCCTATTTCTACATCCCATCAACACATATGGCATTGTAAAGGGAAAACTGGCCACCCGCCTCCCGACTGCAACCTCACCTCACCAGGGCAACATTACCGGCAGAATCAGAAACTTTTGAAGTTAATGTTGAATTACATGAACCTAACGACTTTAGAAAATGGGTCAGCTGCTTCACTAATTGATAAATTCTATGATAGTTAATATATGTACTTAGAAACATGCATAGGCTTAACTGAACAGGATCTTTACTAAAGTGAACTGGCGTATCTATACCTCAAATGGGTGAGAAAATTTTTTAAAAAAGAGATCCTGACCGGGTGATACATCTTGTTCTTGGAAAAGGGGTTGTAGAGTTCCTGGCTCATCTTCAAACTGGGGAAGCAAAAGATAACACTGATGAAGTTCAGGGGTTCCAACAACTCAGAACTGGCAAAGAAGGAGAGGGTATCAGGGAATAGAGAGACTTAAGGAACAAGATTTCCACCTGTCCATAGGAGAAGTTATGTTTCCAGGAATGTTACTGGAGATATGAATGAAGAGACCTGAAAATAAGATTGCCTTCGGAAAGAAAAAGTAAAGCTGAGTAAGTGGAACCTTGGTAGAGATGGGAGAAGCAGACATCCGGAAAAACTTCCAAAGGTCTCTTTCCCTTGGAGATCTAGAGTTCAGTCCACAATTATGAGAGACTAATATTTCATTTTTATATTGTACTTCCCTTATGGAATTGTTACATTTGTCTTCACAACTTGGTTTGATTATCTCTTAGGAGACTGAAGGGACAGAAAAGAATAGGGTGGGAAACCTCACCTGATCTGCTCACTGATTCTGGTAGAGAAGCAGCTGTCTATGAATCTGAGTTCTGGTTGTTGATCAGAAGTACAGGAAGGTCGATCACAGAGAATTTGGCATCACTAGCAAATGAGTATTACTACATAATTTAACATAAGAAGAGAAGCACAGTTAAACTTTATTTTCATGCCATATGCCAATGGGAACTTTCCTTGGCCAGGAGAAAAAAGCAAACAAACAAACAAACAAACAAACAAAAACTCTGGCGATAAGAGTTTATGGACTCTATATTATAAAGACTCCACCATCTTCTAGCAAGAATCTATCTCCTTCTCTTTTTCTCTTTGAACCCACATGGCATGTGTCACTTTCTAACTTATAAAAGAAGTATATTGTTATAATACCGGTAAATTTATAAATCATTGCCATATCATATTTACAACTAGGAATCTGGGAATGCATTGGATGTTATTTTCTTTGATTATATAGTCTTATTTTATCATAATGTAGACATTTAAAATAAATGGAAGAAATTTGATAACATTTGTATAGTAAGTTGCTGAGAATTGACTACCAGTGATAAAATAAAAAAATTTTTTTTTAAAGGTACCCTATTGACCAGGCACGGTGGCTGATGCCTGTAATCCCAGCACTTTGGAAGGCCGAGGTGGGTGGATCATCTGAGGTCAGGAGTTTGAGATCAGCCTGGCCAACATGGTGAAACCCCTTCTATACTAAAAATACAAAAATGAGCCAGGCGTGGTGGTGAGTGCCTATAATCCCAGCTACTTGGGAGGCTGAGGCAGGAGAATCACTTGAACCAGGGAGTTAGAGGTTGCAGTGAGCTGAGATCACACCACTGCACCCCACTGCACACCACTGCACACCACTGCCTGGGCGACAAGAGTGAAACTCTGTCTCCAAAAAAAAAAAAAAAAAAAAAAAATGGCTCTATCTGTCATACAAATTGTTCTCATACAAATTGTTATCCCCCAACAAACAAGGCAGTTTATAAGTATACACATAAAAGCTACATAAAATAAATTAGCAATAGAGTGAAAATTGCTGTTTTTTTCAGTTTGACACACTTTCTCATGTCACATAAAGTTTGCGTGTCTTTTTCTGCCCAACAACTCTCTCTCTCTTTCATTTGGCTAATTCTTATTTGGGAAAGGAAGGAGGTGGCTATGGCTCAACAAGGGTGGCAAAAGGTATCCTTGTAAAGGAACTGTTCTGTATCTTGAATGTGGTAGCGATCACATGAATCTACACATATGATACAATTGCATATAAACAAATATATTCACACACATAAATGAATGTAAAACTGGTGAACGTGAATAAGGTAAGTGGGTTTTATCAATGCCAATTTTTTGGCTGTGCTTTTACTATAGTTATGCAAGATGTTACTGTGAAAGAAAAGAGTGTAGGGTATACAGGATCTCATTATATCATTACATATACCTGCATTTTAATCTACAATTATTTTAAAATAAAGTAAAATGCCCAGATAGCCATCAATATTTGTATTGCTTGTATGAAATTAGCAGTGTCTTTTTATTAAAGAGATTGCATTTTTTCACAGATATATAGATAAGTCCTGTTCGGTGCTCATGAATTATTAAACTCTAAGGATAAATCTTTACTATTTAATTTAAGTCTAGTTAAATTCCTTATAGTTTCTACATCTTGCTGGATCTAGTAGCTAATAACCTATCTAAACACTTGGATAGTGAAAGAGCAAAAAAGACCTTTTACTTGAAACATATATTTTAAACATAGGATTTCATTTTAAAGAGTAAAATTAATTCTTCTGGTTGTGCTCCCATCTCAATGTCTATTTCTTCTTCTTCTCCTTTTCTGGATCTTCCATTTCTCCTGACCTGTACATGTTGGCTAGTCCAAGATGTTGCTCTTTTTTTTTTTTTTTCTTTTTCTTCTTCGTTCACATTGTTAAGAACTGTGAAGGTTCTGAACTTCTACTTTACTTGAAAGTTAATAGTTACCCTGCAATAGTTCTATAGATGCTGCCAGAAGACTGGCAGAGGCTCCTCAGTCAGAGGCAAAAAACTTTATTGTTCAAGGCACAACAGGTAGCATCAGCTTCATGTTTCCATTATTTTCATTATTTTCCCCAAGATCCACAGAAATGATGTGAAGTGATTGATGAATGCTATGACACAAATCTATCTTTTCAAATTAAAAATATTTATGCATATGTAAGAATTACATATATTTATGGGGTACATATTTTGGTACAAATATTCAATGTATAGTGATCAAATCTGAGTAATAGGAACATCCATCCCCTAGTACTACTACTACTAATAATAATAATGATATTTCCCTTGCAACTAGAGGACACCATGTAATATGTAAATAGAAGTATTGTGTGGGAATTCCATAAAGCCTATTTGAAGGGAACTTGACTGAGCAAGAAAGATGGCTTGTTTGTTTTTTTTTATTTTTTAATCCTCTTTTCCCTTTCCTGAAATACACAATAGGATGCCTCAGGTGGAGAAGTCATGTTAAGCAACTTGCAATACCGGGGACTGAAGAAAGCTGAGAACCTGACAGCTCCATGTTTCAATTTGGAAAATGATAGGTAACTATAGACAGCCCATCTGGAATTGTTTTCAATCTTGTAAGCGTGAGGAACTGACAAATTTTCAATTGTTTCCTCTCTCTGATTATAAGAAATCAGCCAGTGAAGATAGAGTTTAGGACAGGGAATGATGGGACCGTTAGTAATGTAACTTCAGAGCATTTAAGATACTCCCACTTGTTGATAACTCACATTCTGGCCTGGTATCAAAGATACTCCTTTATTCATTCACTAATTGCCAGAAGGATACGTATGCCTGATTTCTTCTCTATGGAGTCCCTATCTCTACAACCAAAGGGGAGGGAGAGGCAGTGAGGCTTAGTCCATGTTTCAGCAAAAAAAAAAAAAAAAAAAAAAAGGCCTTTTAACTGACACAACCAATGAAAACAATAAAGAAAAAAACTTATTGAGTGCTAAAAATAGTGAGTTTACTTTAGGGATTAGATACTAGCCTGAGCACATTGCACCACAAATACTCAGTTCAAATTCTTTCTTTCTCTTTTCTTTCTTTTTCTTTCTTTCTTTCTTTCTTTCTTTCTTTTTTCTTTCTTTCTTTCTTTCTTTCTTTCTTTCTTTCTTTCTTTCTTTCTTTTCTTCTTTCTTTCTTTCTTTTTCTTTCTTTCTTCTTCTTTATTTCTTTCTTTCTCTCTCTCTCTTTCTTTTTCTTTCTTCCTTTCTTTTTTTTTTTTTTTTTTTTTTTTTTTGAGACAGAGTTTTGCTCTTGTTGCCCAGGCTGGAGTGCAGTGGCATGAGCTTGGCTCACTGCAACCTCCACCTCCCAGGTTCAAGCAATTCTCCTACCTCAGCCTCCTCAGTAGCTGGGATTACAGGTGCCTGCCATCATGCCCAGCTAATTTTTGTATTTTTAGTAGAGACAGGGTTTCATCATGTTGGCCAGGCTGGTCTCGAACTCCTGAGCTCAGGTGATCCACCTGCCTCGGCCTCCCAGAGTGCAGGGATTACAGGTGTGAGCCACTGCCCCCGGCCTCAAATGCTACTTTCTCTGGGAATCTTTTCCAGATAAAATACAAGGCCTGAATTAAATGCATCTTCCTAATTAAAGCCAAGCACATGCAACTATTATAATACTTAATGCTCTGTATTGTAATTTGCCTTTTAAATTGTATCTTTTTTAGTACACTCAAATCCTCTTAAGGCAGGGCTTACATTTTATACTCCTAAATCTTGAGAGATAGTGCTAAGCCTGGTACATATTATACACTCAATAAATATTTATTGACTAAATGAATCAATTAAAAATGAAAGAAAAAGAAGAATGGGTGAATTATTTGTTTTAAGATAGAATAGCACAGATATTGTGCACAAATAATTGTGAATTGTTTAAAGCTACACAATGATTGACTGATAGAAGAAAGACATTGATTATTGTTTGAGTAGTAAACCAGGATGCCTGTGCATTTTATGAAGTTCTACAGAAGCCTTTGAAATTAGGTTATGTAACATGGTCCCAGAATTCCAGGTTTCTACTCTGTAAAATTGGCAACATTTTAACTATACTACAGGATTGTTATTAAAATAAATAAAATGATAATGTTAAAGTTCTTAATGTATTATGTGATTTGCAGTAAGTACATAAAAACATTTATATTAAAAACATTCATTTTAGCTTTAGGTTTTACAGTTAAGTCTTTATCTCAAGTTGATTTTTGCATATGGTGAAAGGAAGGGGCCCAGTTTCAATCCTCTGCATATGGCTACTCAGTTATCCTAGCAACATTTATTGGATAGGAAGTCCTTTCTCCATTGCTTGTTTTTGTTGACTTTGTTGATGCAGTTGGTTATAGGTCTGCTTTATTTTGGGGTTCTCTAATCTGTTTCATTGGTCTATGTTTCTGCTTTTGTACCAGTATCATGCTGTTTTGGTTACTGTAGCCTTGTAGTATAGTTTGAAGTTGGGTAGTGTGATACTTTTACCTTTATTCTTTTTGCTTAAGACTCTTTTGGTTATTTGGGCTCTTTTTTGGTTCCATATAAATTTTAGAATGTCTTTTTTTTCTAATTCTGGGAAAAATTCATTGGTAGTTTACTAGGAATAGCATTGAATCTGTAAATTTCTTCGGGCAGTATGGCCATTTTATTGATGCTGATTCTTCCTATCCATGAGCATGGAATGTTTTTCCATATGTTTGTTATCTCTGATGTTTTTCAGTAGTGTTTTGAAATTTTCGTTACGGAGGTCTTTTACCACCCCGGCTAGCTGTATTCCTAGTTATTTTGTGTCTTCTGTGTGTGACTGTTGTGAATGGGACTATGGTTTTGATTTGGCTCTCAGCTTGGATATTGTTGGTATATAGAAAAGCTGCTTATTTTTTGTACATTAAAAACCCTAGAAGACAACATAGGAAATACCATTCTGGACATAAGGTGTGACAAAGACTTTATAAGGATGAAGCCAAAAGCAACTGCAATGAAAACACAATTTGATAAGTGGGATCTAATTAAACTAAAGAGCTTCTGCACAGCAAAATAAACTGTCAACAGAGTAAACAGACAACCAACAGACTGGGAGAAAATATTTGCAATTTATGGATCCAACAAAGATTTAATATCCAGAATATGTAAGGAACTGAAACAAATCAACAAGCAAAAATCAAACAACCTCATTAAAAAGTGAGCAAAAACCATGAACAGACATTTCTCTAAAGAAGGCGTACACTCAACGAAGAAGAGTATGAAAAAATACTGAACACCACGAATCGTTAGAGAAATGCAAATAAAAACTACAATGAAATACCATCTCACACAAATTAGAATGGCTATTAATAAAATGTCAAAACGTAATAGATGCTGGTGAGGTTGTGGGGGAAAGAGAATGCTTACACCAATAGTGGGAATGTAAACCTATTCAGGCACTGTGGAAAGAAGTTTGGAGATTTCTTAAAGATCTAAAAACAGAGATACCATTCGACCCAGAAATCCAATTATTGGATATATACTCAAGGAATATAAGTCATCTTACGGTAAAGACATATGCGCACGTGTACATTGCAGCACTCTTGACAGCAGCACAGAAATGGAATCAACCTAAATGCCCATCAATGATAGACTGGATAAAGAAAATCTGGCAGATATACACCATGGAATATTAAGCATCCCTAAAAAGAATGGGATCATGTCATTTGAAGCAACTTGGATGGAGCTGGAGGTCATTATCCTACATGAGTAAATGCAGAAACAGAAAACCAAACACCACATCTTCTCACTTATAAGTGGGGGCTAAACACTGAGTGCACATGGACACAAAGAAGGGAACAACAGATGCCAGGGACTACTGGAGGGTGGAGGTAGAGAGGAGGGTGAGGATCAAAAAACTACCTATCTGTTACTATGCTTATTACCTGGGTGATGAAATAATCTATACACCAAATCCCTAAAACACACAATTTACCTACATAATAAACCCACACGTGTATCCTTTGAACCTGAAATAAAAGTTGAAAGAAAAAATGAACATTGTATTCAGATAGCTTGAGTAGTCACTGTTTTTATGCTATATAGATAAGCATTTAATAGAAATTATCCCTGACAATGTGTAGTTTGCAGTTGGGTAGTAAGCATAGGCTTATGTGTAATGTATTCTAATATTTGTTCAAAAATTAAAAGCTATTTAAACCATCTATTTGATTTGATGTTCTCCTCTCTAATTAAGTGGTAGTATCATTTTTAAATGTTCATACATATCAAGGATCTGTTTTTTTCCATTTTTTAGAGTAAGTATAGTTCAAATATATGATGCATTTAACGGTATAGTTCAAATATATGATACATTTAATGGAATTTACTTTATTAAGGCCCTCAGAATTATATAGTAGAAGATGCATTCTAGCAATCACAATTGTAAGAACAGGAAAGAAAGCTGTGCTTCCAACTGCGTTTTTAGAATTCTTTCAGGTACGCTTATGCTCTCAGTGTCTGTGGACCATGAGTAGTTGTATAGGTATGTGGGAAGAAAAAAAAATGTTCAAAGAAAGCTGTAAGTGGAAATGAAACCTTATTGATCTTCAGTAAGATTCTTTTTATTACAAACTTTTCCACTCTTCCAAAAATCTGAGCCAATTGAAGTGAATTCAGAAATGACATTTCTGGTGGGTTTGCTTTGTTCAGTAAGAATAACAAGTGAAAGCATTTCTACTAACCTAAGCTATAGAATGACATATTACCTTTTGTTGATATTGTGTTTTTACGTAGCATTGGAGATAAGCATTGTCCTATACTTCATGGGATATAATATAAACATATATGCTGGATGTGAAGAAATAAAATACCATAATGTTCATTCAATAATATTTATCAAACATCTATTATATGTATCACTTTATGAGTCAGGTATCTGAGGGGATACAAAGCTATCAAATCATAATCCTCAACTTCAAGAGCTTACATTAAATTAGAACTGACAAGGAACAATGGAAAAATAAGAAAGGGCTACTGATAAAATGTTTGTAGAAGTGGAGAGAGATTGCTTTTGTCTGAGAAATCTATTGAGCGATTAATAAAAAAATATGTAGATGTAGATATATATGAACTCTAAAAATATATATTATAAAAAGTACAATTGTTTGCAGTTTTTCTAGTGTAAAAATTGCAGCTTTATAATGTATATTTTCAGAAAACATACTGCATATTTTCAGTTAATAAGATATTAACAATTAATGAAATATTAATGAATAATGTTAATATGATTAACGATTTGTATGTTAATAGAGTTATTTACTGCATCATAATGTTTTCAGCATATTATCACATTTAAGTAACATAACCACTGTGCCTGTGTGACTGGCATTGTTTTTTTTCTCGCTCTCTTTTACAGGTAAGGAAAATGAAGCTCAATGAAGTCACATTCACAAAGTAGGAAAAAGCGTATGTGTCTCTTCATGCCAAATTTAGCATAATAGAACTGCTATGTGACCTTAGTTATGTTGCCAGTTTCCTTTATGATCAAATTTTCTCATCTGGATACTGGGGATGAAAACAGTAGTTGCCTCACAAAACAGTATATCAGTTAGGATACCTTCAACTACCAATACCAGAATGGTGGTTTAACTAACGTAGACATTGATTATTTTTCACTCCGATGGCTTAAAGATACATGGTTCTAGGTTTAACTCTGCAGCCCAACATCGTCATCATAGTCCCAGAGTTATTTTATCTGTTCACTGTGTCATTATCAGGGTGTTTATGACATCTTCCAGTCTGCCCACATAGAGCATCATACAAATCATACAAGCATCATGCCCATATACCTTGTAGGAAAGGGCTGTACTGCATATCATCCATTTGCTCTTTTGCTCTTCCAGATCCCCCCTCCCTTTTTATTTTTTATTTTTTTGGACACAGAGTCTCGCTCTGTCATCCAGACTGGAGTGCAGTGGCACAATCTTGGCTCACTGCAACCTCTGCCTCCTGGGTTCAAGCAATTTTCCCATCTCAGCCTCCCAAATAGCTGGGACTACAGGCACACACCACCACGCCTGACCGATTTTTGCACTGTTTAGTTGGGATTTCACCATGTTGACCAGGCTGGTCTCAAACTTCTGGGCTCAAGTGATCCGCTGCCTCAGCCTCCCAAAGTACTGGAATTACAGGCCTGAGCTACCACCTCTGGCCCCAGATCCTCTCTTGACCCTTCTCTACCCATTCTGTACCACAGGAGGGTGACTGGAATGGACTACTTCTAACTGTGACTGATTTCTGATTCATTTTAGCTAATGAAATCATGAGTTTAAAAGTAGAAAGGCAAGTGGTGTTGGGATATTTATTTCTCATTCCTTCCTCCTTGCCAGGTCATGTGGGTTGGATGTTAACAGCCCCCTCAACACAGCTATTCTTACCGGGAACTAAACACTGGGCCCTCCTTTGCTGCTTCACAGCAGCTCTTTTCTTGAAAACCTCCGGTTACTTCACTATCTCTTGTTCATAATAGATTATTTAAAAAACTATATTACTTACTATGCCAATGATTTTGTGCTACTTATACTGGGTTGTTCTATATCTATATATATCTATATCTATATAGTCTTAGAGGCTATTACTTAAGCAATTTCTTCTCAAATGATTCACAATTAAGAAGAGTTACCTAAATTCTCATAAAATAGCCATGAATAGACATAAGACAGTTTTACACCATTAGAAGCAGTAACAGGCAACCAAATTATAGAACCAGAGATAATTCACAGTTAACTATGAGATAGATTTATTCTGTATATACAGATAGATATAGATCTATCTATATCTTTCTATCAAAAGCCAGAGAGAGAGAGATAACTCCTGGAATTTATACTTCATAATATAAAATAAAGACCACCTAAAATGCAAAATGAGCTTTATCGTTATCCATCATTAGCCCTGTGATTCCAATCTTTAGGTCCTACACAAATTTAAAACTAGATTGCCCACCAACTTTTTTGAAGAGTAGCTTTATAAAGTAGAGTACTATTTAACTCATTCTAGTTGCCTTTAAAACTGGTAGCAACATACTTTTCTGTCCCTGTTTTAAACACTACTATTACCAGGCAAAAGCAACTTAGCAATTTGCGTTAAACAACTCTTGTTATCAGAAGACTGGGAAAAATAATTAAAATAGCATATTTTTTAAGTCCAAGAACTTGCTCATCATCAAGACTTGCTTCAAGACTCACCTTGCCACATCCACTAGGTTAAAGCTACTATCTTGTAAATTTCTTAACGATAACCAGTTTTATACCTTACAACATCCACCTTAAAGTCCTTCACTCCAGTCCTTAAGACCCCATGAGTGTACTCCCCTGACCTTACCCCTCTCAGTCACTACTAAGATTCAGTCAATATGGTGTTCTCTTTCATTGCAGTGGGTCTAATAAACTTAGTTTTGTGTGATCAATATTTTTTTCTGGTGAATTTTTGTGGGGGAGGGCATGGTGTCAATATTTGACAGCCTTCTCCTTACTCTAAGCAGTGCTAGCATCTTAGTCCACCAAGATGGAGACTGTAAATCCTAGAATAAAAGTGCACAAGAAGTAAGGATTTTGAGGGGTTGGATCAATACATTCTGTGGTTTTAGATTTTGTGAGTGGGTCAAGTACAGTAGGGAGTGTTGGTTAGAAAAATAACCAGTGTAGCAGTTTACATGTGTTTGAAAGTACAGGTTTTCATGTATTAACATTGTCTCAGAGCATCAAACCAAAAAGAGCTCAGGGATAGGATGAAAATACAACTCTAATATGTTTTACTAGAAAAAGAGAATCAGACTAAGATATGTGTACCTCAACCTGATTTCAAAGTGTAGATCTAAAAGAGGTACTAACCTACCCACTGAGTGGCATATAAACAGAGGGATCTGCAATACTCTTACACTTTTCTGACACATACCTATTGAGCTTAGATTCATATTAGTTAACAATAGAGAGGGGAGAAAAACACTAAATTTTTAAAAATGATATTGTTTCCGAAAAGATTAGCATATTAACACTGAAATCACCCAGAAAGTTTTAAAAATATAACAAAACACAGACATGTGAGCAGGGATTATGATTTAATTAATCTGGTTTAGGACCTACTTCCAATATGCAGCTAGGATGGAGAAATCCAGAGCTGGAACAGAGGTCAGCAAACTACAATTCATTGGGCCAGATAGATCCTATCACCTGTGTTTGCACAGCTCATAAGCTAAGAATATTTTTTAAAACTTTAAAGTGTTGAGGGGGAAGAGACTATTTCAGGGACACATAAATGTTATAAGAAATTCAAAGTTTAGTGTCAATTAATAAAGTTTTCTGAGGATGTAACCACTTTCATTTGTTTACCTATTGTCTGTGGTCACTTTTGAGTTAAAACGGCAGAGTTGAGTAGTTGAGACAGAGATTGTATGATCTGCAAAGCCTAAAATGTATAATTTATAGGACTTAACAGAAAATATTTGCAGATCTAGAAGATTCAGAGGAAAAGCATACCTCTAGGGAGGATCTACAGCATAATTCAGAATAAAATTTTGGAAAACTCATTGATGTATTAACACAGTATGACTTAACCGTTATACATTGATAACAAATTATGTGGAGAAAGACTACTAACTCATTATCAAAAGGCACAAAAGGGAAATAAAAAGAGAGGTGACTACATTAAGAAAGGCAGGTAAGTGAAATGCAATAGCAATGCTGGACATATTTCTGTCCATGCTTTGACATTAGCAAATCAAAATTTTACTCTTCCTCACTGTGGTTTCTGTTTTACAACAGTGGAAGTATAGAATAGGAAAACACAAACAGCAAAGACACATCCAGCTGGCAAACAAACATGTATTTTCTAATAAACCTGCTTCTGTTCAAGGTTCTAACATTCTGGAAGCTGAATCCAATGCCTGCATTGACATTCCTTGGGTCACTTACCTTATCCAACCACACCAGTTTGTATTTTGTGTGATCTGCATTAAAGTAATGTTATTAACTTGGTACGTCACTGCAGTTCGAAGTCATCATTTCAGCAGTAAACATGAATGCATTAGGCTGTTTAGGACCAGTTTTCACCAGCAACTCTCTGTGGCGCCCACAGATACAATGGCAGTGACTAGCAGGTCATGCAACAGTATAGATTAGGTTTTTGTCCTCTTCACATTTAGCAATGGATTTTCTAATTTGATAGTAAGCCTGCAAGTACATGGAAAATTTGAAGGTGGGGAGAAGCAAAAGACCTTATAAAACAGTAGATTCGCTCTTATTTTATAGAAATGTAACTTTAAGCAAATATTTTTTTTAAATTTCATTATTTTTATTTTTATTATACTTTAAGTTTTAGGGTACATGTGCACAACGTGCAGGTTAGTTGCATATGTATACGTGTGCCATGTTGGTGTGCTGTACCCATTAACTCGTCATTTAACATTAGGTATATTTCCTAATGCTATCCCTGCCCCCTCCCCACACCCCACAACAGAAGTTGGAAACCATCATTCTCAGCAAACTATTGCAAGGACAAAAAACCAAACACCACATGTTCTCACTCACAGGTGGGAATTGAACAATGAGAACACATGGACACAGAATGGGACAACCCATTCTGTAGGTTGTCTGTTTACTATGTTGATAGTTTCTTTCACTGTGCAGAAGCTCTTTAGTTTAATTTTTGACACCGGGGCAAATAATTTTTTAAAATGAAAAATATATAGCTATCTTTATATATGTTACTTCAATTGATGATAATTTATATATGCCATACTATATTGTAAAGTTTTTTTCTGTTTACCTCTTTGTCTGCTGTTATGAAAAAAGACTTAAATGAATATATAAAATATACATCTTTTGTAAATGCGTTTATGGATTGTAAAAATGAACAAATTGATTTTATCTATAAAAATGTATAGTTTAATTGAGACAAAACCATATATTTGATTTGATTTAATTTATAAGTTAAATTTTTTTAAAGTTTAGTGTTAAATTATAGTGTTTTTTCTGGCTGACTTCATTAAATGCCATAGCTGTATTTTCTTGTCAGCTATAATATTGAAACACATGAAAAGTGGAAAATTTGTATTTTATAATTCACAATGACTGCCTGATTATGAAACTATAAAGACTGTATTAATGTATTTCAAAAACCAATATTCTATGGAATATTGCCATGGAAAAGTAAAAGAATGATTGTCAGAGAAATGTTGGTATGACATTTTGTATAACTTTAGGTGATCTTTCAAAGAAAGTCTTACAAAGACTTTTATTCTAACACTAATTACTACTCACAATTATTAAATTTTGTAATGTTCTACATGAATATAGGCTAAAAATCCTGACTCTACAGGGTAGGAAATCATCTTACCACTATAATATTTTATTTTGATTTTTATTTTAAGTACAGGGGCCAAGTGCAGGTTTGTTATGTAGGTAAGCCTGTGTCATGAGGGTTTGTTGTACAGAATATCTTACCAGCCAGGTATTAAGCCTAGCACCCACTAGTTGTTTTTCTGGATCATTTCCCTCCTCCCAACCTCCACCCTACAAAAGGCCACATTGTGTATTCTTCCCATCTATGTGTTCTCATCATTTAGCTCCCACCTCAAGCAAGAATATACAGTATTTGGTTTTCTGTTACTGTATTAGTTTGCTGAGGATAATGGCCTCCAGCTCCATCCACATTCCTGCAAAGGACATGATTTTGTTCATTTTATGGCTGCATAGTATTCCATGGTGTATAGGTACCACATTTTCTTTATCCAGTCTATCATTGATGGGAATTTAGGTTGATTGCATGTCTTTGCTATTGTGAATAGTGCTGCCATGAACATATATGGGCATTTATCTTTATGCTAGAATGATTTCTATTCCTTTGGATATATACCCGGTAATGGGATTGCTGGGTCCAATGGTAGTTTTGTCTTTAGGTCTATGACGAATTCCAGTGGCTGAACTAATTTGACTCTCTCCAACAGTGTACAAATCTTCCTTTTTCTCCACAACCTCACTCTCATCTATTATTTTTTGACTTTTTAATAAAAGCCATTCTGACTAGTATGAAATGGCCTCACATTGTGGTTTTGATTTGCATTTCTCCAATGATCAGTGATGTTGTGCTTTTTCTCACATGTTTGTTGGCCATATATTTATCTTCTTTTAAAAAGTGTGTTCATATCTCTTACCCACTTTTTAATGGGGTTGTTTGTTTTTTTCTTATAAATATGTTTAAGTTTCTTACAGATCCTGGATATTAGACCGTTGTTGGATGAATAGTTTGTAAAAATTTTATCCCATTTTGTTGGTTGTCTGTTTACTATGTTGATAGTTTCTTTCACTGTGCAGAAACTCTTTAGTTTAATTAGATCCCATTTGTCAATTTTTTCTTTTATTGCAATTGCTTTCAGCATCTTCATCATGAAATCTTTGCCCATGCCTATGTCCCGAATGGTATTGCCTAGGTTGTCTTCCAGGGTTTTTATAGTTTTAGGTTTTATATTTATGTCTTTAATCCATCGAGAGTTGGGTTTTGTATATGGCGTAAGGAAGGGGTGCAATTTCAATCCTCTATATATGGCTAATCAGTTATCCCAGCACCATTTATTAAATAGGGAACTCTTTCACAATTGCTTGCTTTTGTCAGATTTACTGAAGATCAGATAGTGTAAGTGTGCATCTTATTCCTGGGTTCTCTATTCTGTTCCATTGGTCTATGTGTCTGTTCTTGTTCAAGTACCATGGGGTTTTGGTTCCATACTAATTTTAAAATTGTATGTTCTAGTTCTGTGAAAAATGTCAATGGTAGTTTAATGGGAATAGCATTGAATCTGTAAATTGTTTTGGGCAGTATAGCCATTTTAATGATATTGATTCTTCCTATCTAAGAGCATTGATTTTTTTTTTCCATTTCTTTGTGTCATCTCTGATTTCTTTGAGCACTGGTTTGTAGTTCTCCTGTAGAGATCTTTCATATCTCTAGTTAGCTGTATTCCAAGGTATTTTATTCATTTTTGCGGCAATTGTGAATGGGAGTTCATTCCTGATTTGGCTCTCAGTTTTACTATTATTGGTGTATAGGAATGCTAGTAATTTGTGCAAATCGATTTTGTATCCTGAGACTTTGCTGAATTTGTTTATCAGTTTAAGAAGCTTTTGGGGCCGGGCTTTTTTTTAAGAAGCTTTTGGTGGCTCACGCCTGTAATTCCAGCACTTTGGGAGGCCTAGGCAGGGAGATCTCGAGGTCGGGAGATTGAGATCGTCCTGGCTAATACGGTGAAATCCCGTCTCTACTAAAAATACAAAAAATTAGCCGAGCGTGGTGGCAGGTACCTGTAATCTCAGCTACTCGGGAGGCTGAGGCAGAGGAATCGCTTGAACCCAGGAGGGTGGAGGTTGCAGTGAGCCAAGATTGCACCACTGCACTCCAGCCTGAGTCCTGGGTGACAGAGCGAGACTCCATCTCAAAAAAAAAAAAGAAAAAGAAGAAGCTTTTGTGCTGAAACTACGTGGTTTTCTACACGGAATATCATATGATCTACAAACAGAGATAGTTTGACTCCCTCTCTTTCTATTTGAATGCCCTTTATTTCTCCTCTTGACTGATTGCCCTAGCCGAAACTTCCAATACCATGTTGAATAGGAGTGGTGAGAGAGGGCATTCTTGTCTTGTGCTTGTCTTGGTCTTCACGTGGAATGCTTCCAACTTTTGCTCATTCACTATAATGTTGGCTGTGGATTTATCATAGATGGCTCTTATTACTTTGAGGTCTGTTCCTTCAATACCTAGTTTATTGAGGTTTTCAAAATGAATGGATATTGAATTTTATCGAAAGGCTTCTCTGTAACTATTGAGAAAATCATGTGATTTTTGTCTTTAGTTCTGTTTATGTGCTGAATCACATTTATTGATTTGAATATGTTGAACCAGGCTTGCATCCTGGGGCTAGAGCCTACTTGATCATGGTGGGTAAGCTTTTTGATGTTTTCCTGGATTTGGCTTGCCAGTATTTGGTTTAGGATTTTCACATAGATGTTCATAATGGATATTGGCCAACTTCTTTTTTTGTTGTATCTCTGCCAGATTTGGGTATCAGGACGATCCTGGCCTCACAGAATGAGTAAGGAAGGAGTCCCTTCTCCTCAATTTTTTGGAATCGTTTCAGTAGGAATGGTATCAGCTCTTCTTTGTACATCTGATAGAATACAGCTGTGAATCCATCTGGTCCTGGGCCTTTTTTGGTTGGTAGGCTATTTATTAGTGCCTCAATTTCAGAACTTATTATTGGTCTATTGAGGGATTCAATTTCTTTCTGGTTCAATCATGGGAAGGTGTATGTGTCCAGGAGTTTATCCATTTCTTCTAGGTTTTCTAGTTTATGTGCATATAGGTGTTCATAATATTCTCTGTTGGTTGTTTGCATTTCTGTGGTGTCAGTGGTAATATCTCCCTTATCATGTCTGATTGTATTTATAACATAGCACTAAATGTAATTAAACATTGATGGCAATTATCGATATATGCAATAAAAATAATTTAAAAGTCTTGGATTTTTGCTACTGGGTTATAGTTGAGCTTTTTTCCCAATGTATTTTAGAAATATAAGCCTTCAAATCAAAGAAAATTCCAATGTAATAATAAAAAAAATTCACAACAACCTTAGAATATGACTCAAGTAATTAGTACCAAAAATAGCTAGGTAGGTCTCTACTAAAAATACAAAAAAATTAGCCAGGCGTGATGGCGGGCACCTGTGATCCCAGCTACTCAGGAGGCTGAGGCAGGAGAATGGCGTGAACCTGAGAGGTGGAGGTTGTAGTGAGCCGAGATCGCGCCACTGCACTCCAGCCTGGGCAACAGAGAGAGACTCTGTCTCAAAAAAAAAAAAAAAAAAAGCTAGGTAGGATAAAGAAGAAAAATCTGGCTATCATTTATATATGTAAAAACATGAGAAGTTTTAAATCATATTCTTAAGTTAAATTTCACTGCTTTTGGAATATAGTCTCTAAATTGAAAACAATAGCCATGAATATTTTAGGCAAATTTCAATATTTAAATATTAAATTACAGAATGAATTTATATACTTTATTTATTTGTTTGCTTGTTTGTTTATTGGGGGTAAATCCTTACATTCTATTTTCAAAGACAGGTTTGTAAGTGAGGATTTTGTCTTTCACAACTTTTGCTGACCTTATTCTTTCCATTTGTGGGCGTTTGAACATTACTATTTCATAATACCAAAGTGTAAAATATTTACACTGCTTCATTTCACACAACTATTTTTTTAAGATGCTTCAGAAATGCTCTGGTGCTAATGTTTCCTGGAATGCTCACTACAGATATAGAACTATTGCTTTAAATAGATTATTGAGAATTCTCTTTGATCATATAAATTATACACATTTCATTATACAATTTTAAGTTAAATGTTTTAGAAATTAAGTTATCCTTCATGCAATCCGTAATATGCTGTAAAATTATCACTACAAACCCTAAAATATTTCACATATTTATATTTTGTGAAATCTAAGTTGCAATCTATAAGAAAAGCCATTCTTTTATGTATCAAAAAGAACAGTAAATCTATTATATAAGAATCATGAATATAAGATTCTACCATTTATAGAGATGTTAAAATGTAAAAAAAAACCCTGTGTCTTAAAAGTTTTGACTATAAAAATAAAATATTTTATCAATATTTTAGTTATGACCTACTTGGCTGAAAAATATATCATCTTCAATATTTGTTTAGCAACTTTATTTTTTAATTCATGTGCTTTATTTTTTATTTATTCTGAATTTTTGATTAGCATCATATGTTACTTCTTATATGTTAAAGCAAGCTCATATTATCTTCAGCTCTACCATAATAATCAGTTTCTTTCAACAGGCCTCTTATTGATGGAAATGCAGGGTTTATCCTTTAGTTAGAACTGTGTTTTCATGTATCTGATAAATGTATGCAATGGTAAAGCAAGAGCCTTTCTATGAAAATCATGTTATATTTAAAACTGTTAAGTGCTGAATGGTGGCTTTAAATATGACTCAAATTGGCCCCCTCTGTAAGTAAAGTTCTGATAAACAGGCAGAATTAACCATATACAATGTATTTAATTTGGTTATAAATTGAGTAGCATCCAGGCGTGATCTAACCATTTCGTCAGCAGCATAGCAACTATGTCATTTCTGCATTATACCCAGAAAGGCAATTCGTATTCTAAAATAAGATGAAAAAAATTATTGATAAATTCAGGGTATTCCAAATAGAGAGATCTAACAAATACATATGTGCATCCGTGACCTATAAATCACTGTGCTGCTAAAACTAGACTCCCCAGCCTCATGGAGCGTACAAGTTTATAAGATGGAGAGCATTTTGAAAGAATGGTGAGAGAAGGGAATTGAAATTTTCTGGAAAAGAAAATTCATTTTGGAAAGTGATAGGCTATTATATTCTAGTGATAGATGGGGTGAAGAGAGAGATTCCAACTGGGTTTTATCTTATAGTAATGATTAGAAGTTTTTGAGCATGAAGTTGAAACAAAAAAAAGGAAGTCTTTGGGAATGTAGCAATGTTTAAGAAAACCATGAACTATTGTGTGGTTCAGGTCTAAGATAATGAGTTTGGCATAAGGAAGTAGAGATGAGTAGGAAAAGAAAAACTTTAATTTAATAGTTATTTGAAAAAAGCTTTGTAGAATTTTAAGACAAGTAAATTATATTAAGACACTCTAATATATTTGACGAGGTAGTCAACAAACATTTATAGAATTTATCCTGGTTTGCCATTTTCTTCACAATACACAGCAAAATCCTCACTGAGAAATATAACCTTTTCTTTTGTGTTATTGGAGTGAAGAACAGTTACAATATATTCTGTATTTTAATATTTTTAAAAGGTATCTCAATATCTTTTGTTTGTAATTTCACTACAATTTTAAAGATATAAGTATTATCCTGTGATAAATCTATCAACAGAACAGCTTATGGCTTGTGATAAAAATTTAGAGTAAGCATAAGACAAAATTATGTCTGGACTGGGAGCTAAAAACTCCACTTGTGTTATACAAAGTTGAGAATTTAAAGCAAGCTTGACTCATAAGATCTTTAAACTATAAGTAGTGATGATGAGGCTGTCAGTGGAAAAGACTAGCACATATAAAAATATCCCTGCTTCAATATTATTTCTATTGTCAAAATGGGATTTATAAAAATGTTCATTTATGACCAATTACTTACAAATCACATCTTCTTGGTAAAATAGCAACTTAAATTTTCATTAACAAATGACTAAATCAGAATTAGAACTAAAATCCATTTGCATTTTTCAAACCATATTGGGGTAGTTCATGTGGTGGCCACAAACCAACCCCAAATCTTTGTAGCCTGGAACAAGGGTATACTTCTTGCTCACACTGAATATTCATTTTGACTTTGTTGGTGTTCTGTTTTATGTTAAGCTCACTCATGGAAGCCAACTGAGTCATCATAAAGAGCAGCTGTCATTATGGAACTTGGAAAGAGCAGAAGAATCATGCACTGTTTCCTAAAAACTTCTGTCTAAAAATGACACCTATCAAATCCACATGTAGCATTTGTCTAAAATCAGAGCAAGCTCCAGGGCACAGCATATTCATTCTCCATTAATAGCAAACCGCTTTTATTCATACAGGTCTTAGAGTACAGACAACTTTCGTTAGATTTGTTATATAAATGGCCTAAAGATGGCCAATTCATATTACTCCCTATGTTGTTTACTTCCTCACAGCAATTGAAGACTGGGAGCAAATAGCCAGCCAGCACTAAACTCAAATCCCTACACATCTAGTTGCTTTAAATATAGTCCCATTTAAAATGTGTTTATCCATTTAGCACCTGCCTGCTTTTCATAATCTGCGAAACTGCACCCAACATCTGCTGGCCATAGATTAGACAAAATCTGTAGCTGTAAATGACCCCGAACCACTGCTGCCTTTCAGAGCTCTCTGATCCAGAGACTCCCCACCTTGCTGCTGAATGACATGACCTGTCTCCCTTTTCCTGGGAGTTGTCCTCCCCACTTCCCTTTCAGGATGGTGGCCCCATTCCACTATCTCTGAAAGGTCTCCCAACAAAGTTTGGGTAAGATAATGTTATTTTGTGTTTATTTTCCTTGATTGTCCACAGATACTCAAATACTCAAGCTCATCACAAGATTCTCTTACTTTACCTTGAAATTTAGGCACCCCTTGCACACCTGAGTCATGATGGAGGTCTCCCTCAGATCTTCTGTCATACTAGTAGTAGTACTCCCAAGCAGTCTATGGAAGACTGTGGAAGAGAGTTGGTAAGCAGGTACAGAGTCTCCTTGTTTCTGGGATCTCAGGGATTTTAAACTTTCATACTAGCCACTAGCCTCCACTTCATCTTTAACAATGCTAAAAATTCCTTCTTATTTGTCTCTATGTGGCTATCTCTTCCTTTCATACGCTACCAAGGTGAAACAATCTATATGACTGATCTCAGTGGAGAGAAGCAAGACACCTTTTGGGTTTCATTTCATTATTTGCTTTGTTTTCTCAGCTCTCTGATGGATTAAACAAATATGGTTTTATAGATTATCCAAGTTTTTCTTGTTGTTAAGGTTATTAATATTTGATTTTTCTCTACTTCCAAAGAAGAAGTAGAAATAATTCTAGATTTTAATTTGATTTAGTAGTTGAAATGACTGTTTCTATGACTGTGAGATGAATGTGCTGTTCTTTGAGCACTAATGCTGAACAACTTACTAGTTGCGTCTTTTGATTTAGAAATCATACCGTAAATTTCTTATACTTAAATGTACACATTGTAACTTTTGAAAGAAGAGCTTGTGATTGTTTGGGTTAGCAAACTATTTTAAAGCTAATATTTATCCATTTACTTTATGGATACCATTTACTTTATGCTCAGGAATAATATACCATTTACTTTATGCTCAGGAATAATAACAAAAGAAAACTTACAGGGTAGATACCCAGTTTTATGGTTGAGGAAACTTATGTCAACATGTGGTAAATTAGACTTTAAACTAGGGCTTTGAAACTCCAAAGACGATTACTAAATTATCCTGTCTCAAATCATAATAAAAATAAAATTATGATGTCCCAATATAATAGTTTACTATAACCCATACTTTAAAAAAGTATCTTTTAAATTACATAAAGAAACCAGAAAATCAAGTATAAATTGATGGTTCATCATTATTCTCATTTATAGCACATATATTTCATTCATAAATATATATTTACATTATATATTTGAGTTATTGTATATGTACATTTTAATTTTAATTTAGTATAATTTTATTTCCACAAGTATATAAAGCTCCAAATTTAACAAATTTATTTAAAAAATCATAGCTAATAATGACATTCCATTGCAATATCAGTGATACACAAGAATTATTCTTGAAGATAGAGATATCACTAGGCAGTTGCTGCTGTGCGTGTGCATAGCATTGACACTAAAGCCAATCTTGTAGAGTTAGAAGAGTTAATGTATCACTGAAAAAACAGCAATCTGCCTTAAACTCAGGCAACTATTTCTATGTGTGTGACCTTGTAAGAAAAGTCAGCATTTTAATCAGGGTAACTATAAAGTCACCCAAATTTTGAAGTTTCAGTGGGAAAGTAGAAATTAGTTAGCTTAAAAAGGCACAACTAATTTTTGGAAGTCTTTATATTAAATAAGATCACCAAAATCCTTCTTTTAGGTAATCTTACAGGATAGTGGTTTTTCAACATTTGAATAATTACACATTTAGTGTTTAGATAAGGGAATTTTTCTACATAGGAAAACAGATGGTATCTTACACTATAGTCATATTTTAACATTAAAATTACTAAAATAATGAAAGTCAAAGACCAAAACTTATTTGCAATAATGATTATTTCTGTATTGATCTGTTGTTTGATATTTAGATAAATTAAAAATTTATAGAACAGAGCCCATGTAAATATCCCACGCATTGTTGCTCATGTTATATACTTACAAAAAAAACCCATATAGCAATTTGTGGTGAAATTCTAAAGTCACAGATGGAAATTCTCTTATTTCTTGAATAGCAATTTGATTCCAATGTTGGAATTTTACAATTTCAAGTGAATACAATTTAATTGTTTTAAAATGCTGTCTCACAAAATTAATCTATTCAAACTTAGCCAAATATACTGCTACAAATATGTTCTTGTCTGGCTTCATATATGGAAACAAACCATACACGTAGATATTTTCTAGCCAGTTTCTGCTGGCATATGGGAAATTTATGACTTTACATGTTGTGTAGCTATACTTGATGTTCTTGAGTTTTTTCGGGCTATAATAAGAATAATATTTTTGGTAACTCTCTTACTTCATCTTTCCCTATTTCTCAACCTGCTTCTCTGTTTGCTTGCAATTCACAATTTGGGAATCTGTGAAAGGAACAGAGCAAATCTCTTGTGGAGAAGGGGCTGGGGCTGTGACAAATGAGAAATTCCTGAGGTCAGGAAGAATAAGTAGGAATAAGAGTTACAAGTGTTCATACTGTTTTCTTCAGCAGGCTGATTTGGTCGTTGGACTGAAGATTGCTGCAAACATGCCCTGATATGCTGTTAGGACCAGTGTGTCACATAATCCAAATATGTATTGTGGAAAAGAGTTTATGGGATAGAGGCAGGAGGGACAAATAGACACTTGTGGACTGATCTCCTCTTTAAAGTCAGGGGTTTTGCTAAATAGATAGAAGGGGAAGAAGAAAAAAAGCATTCTTTCCCAGCTCCTATGTAGAATACTAGCACGAGTGCCCTGCTGGGAAAATTTGGACAATAGTGGCACAGGGAAATGTGCAAGACAAAGACTTAAGTAGAACTTCTCACTCCACATGTCTTAGTATTCCACATAGAGAATCAGGAAACAGTCACATTACCGTTAGGGGACAGGAATTTGCTAAGAGAACTCGTGGACCAACAGAGGCTTGAAGTTGGAACAAAGGGGCTTTTCTCTTGCAAAGAGAGATACACAGCTGGGAACATATACATAAGTAGTGGATAGTGACACATTGGTCCTAACAGCATATCAGGACTTGTTTGCAGCAATCCCCAGTCCAATAACCAGATCAGCATGCTGCAGAAAATAGTATGGACCCTTGTAGCTCCCATTTTTCCTCCCAGTTATGGAATTATTTATGCTACTTACTCTTACAAATACAACCAGGTGTCCTCTTGGAGAGGGGGAGTTGGGTAGTATTTACCTTACAGAGGCTGAATTTTCCAAAGGAGAGCCTTTAAACTAGACAAAACTTTAAGTTTCCAATGTTGAAGCTCAAAATGTTCTTCTCTGATACCCAACAGGAAAAGTGCTTACTTGAAAGATTTGATTTAATTTGTCATAGAATACAAGGTACAGTATTTTTTTTTTAACTTTTTTTGTTCATTTGAGTCCTAGAGAGAAAAATATTCTTCTCTATTAATAGTAATATCGGATCATTTACCTATTTTATAATTTTTTCTCTGTTCCAGTATATACACTTATTTTCATTTAATGTCTGTTTGCATTGCTAAAAGACACTGAATAGAAATGATAATAATAGTGTTAAGTTGGCTCTTATTTGAAGTGGGAAACTTCCATAACAGAGCAATACATGTCTTTGTTTATGAGTTGTGAGCCCTCATATTCCCTTAGATAATATTCACCTTGATACCAACCTCTTGGATAAATTCAGTTCTCCTTGTCTTTGTTCTCATAGGCCACCGTATATACACAATATTTGGGCTTATACTACTATACTATAAATTGGGAATTTTAGCCTGTGCCTTCCACTGGGACAGTGACTCCCTGAGAGTAAAACTTTGGTTTTCTGCGGTATTCAGTCCCTGATGTGGTGTTTATCACATGATGGATGCTCACTTTATATGCTTAAGAATCCAACAAATTGGTGTTTTGAGGATATGCATTGGATTCTAAAGTGGCAGTGTTGTCTGAAAATAGAATTTATAAATATACAAGATTATTATACTGTCATTTGAGATTACATTAGAATATAATTAACAAGAAAGATGATGCACATAATGCATTAATCATCTCTGTATTTGGTGTATATATACAAAGGAAACAGAAAGTTAATAAGTACTTTAACTTAATGAGAATTTCCCTAAATTCAACTGTACTTTCTCTGACTGATTTAAATTTCACTTCAATTACACATCATCTTTTCATTTTATATGAATTCCCAGTTTGTGACATTTCTAAATTAAAAATTAGATGAGAATTTTAGATGATTTAAGACAATATTTTTAAACATGTTACATCAATCTTCTGAGTTGTTTAAAAGCAAGACATTGTCACTCTCTACTGCTGAATATGATGCATATAATTTATGATACGTTCAGTGAATAAGGAGGAGAATACACAGAGGTTTTTAAATAAAATAAATCTTATTTAAATTAAAATCTATATGTTGGGTTGAGTTTAGGAGCAACTGAATAAGTAGTAGAACGTAATTTGGAGAGCATAATGGCAAATTCAGGAATTATTTCAGTTGCTAGGTACTATATAAAAGGTGCCGAGAACAGAGACATTGAAGAACTGTGTAAAGGCCAGTTACTTTAACCATTTAGTTTTTAGTATGTAAAGTAAGTAGATTGCACAAAGAATATTTATAAATTACTTTTCAAGTTTAAGCATTTTATTCAATCTGTGGGAAAATTATAAACTCTTGTCATGCACTAAAGCAAAGAATATTAAAAAGAACAAGCATATTAAAAACTGTAAAAGCCTACATTATTTTTTAAGGAAGGATCGCATCTTGTTTACTCTTTGTTTTTTGTGGAAGCTATTATAAAAGAAAATGAATGAGTTAACAAATTGGCAGATATTATATATATAAAAATTAATGAGCTATTTAGCAATTAATTTAAAGGAAAAGCTTATTAATAACTTCAGTGGATTACTTATAGTTTTAGAATTTGAAGGTTGACAAATTGCATCTCTAATTCAAGTAAGAAATAAAATTTATAATGGGAAGTTATGTCTTTGAAGAGTCAGTATCTTACTGTTGTGTGCCCATAAAAAGGTTCAGTTAACAGAGACAAGAGAAATACTCCTTTGATTTTTCCCATTATATGAGCAATGCATGCTCATTATCACTTGTTAAAACTACATGGTACATAAAGAAAAAAAAGTTAGATTTATAGATTAATAGTAACATGGAATAAATCCCTAACATTCTCTCTTCCGTATCCTTCTCTGAAATTATAAAATGGAGATGAAGAAGTTTCAACATCGGGACCATAATTCAATTCTCTCCTAACTACTGATTACAATTGTGGTGGAGAAAAAGGTGTTCCTGGAGAAAGAAAGAAGACCAGGTGAGCTGGTCTAATCTCTTTGTAAACAGTCTGATAACTGATCTTATGGTAAATAGACCAGTGATATTTGCTAGTAGGAGAGTCCTCATCTATAGGATAGTTTGAGCAGAATATCCTTAGCTTAGGATTGCTTATGGTAACCAAACCCAAGATCTATGGATTAATGAAGCAAGGCTTCCTGACAAATGTTGTATAATCTGGGTGTACATATAGATATGAATGGACATGTTTTATATTCTAAATGTTCTTCTTGTTGTGAGAGGACCTGCAAACCTCCTTTGAAGTATCATCTATTCTGGACCAGAGAGTGTGATGCAGAAAAGAAGGATCTGGGAGCCATATGTGATGTCTTTGACCTCTCTTTACTTCATGTATGCCTCCTCATTTCTTCTATCCTTGAAATTATTATAAAGCTTGATAGTGTATAATTCTAATTTGACACTGATTCCTCTCCTTTGATTTATGGAAACATCACCTCCAGCACAGTTCAACACAGGATTTCCTGGTGGTGGCAGTGGTGGTGGCTCTCTACCTTCTCCAATTTCAGATTGGCTGCAATCAGACTGTGGGTAATTTTTAGTGTTAAAAATATGAAGGATGACAATTCCACTTATCAGTCAAGTAAGAAAGAAAAATAGAATAGGAGGTCATATGTTTGAGGAGTCAGTATCTTCCTGTTTTAAGCCCATATCGAAATTCAATATTGACAGGCTTAAAAAAATTTTGTTGATTTTTCCAGTTCTAGTTATATGTGCAATATGAGATGTTTTTATATATCAATACTTTTGATGAGTTTGAAAGAGCATGTTGTATATAAGGTATAAATTAGCTGACTAATGCCAAAAAGAGGGAAGAAGGTGTAAAATAAAGCTCTTAAATATGAAGAGATATAAAACTGGGGGTTAAAAATGTAATAGTGAACAAATAGGATAGGAAGAATGATTTGACAAAAATAATCTGAAGTGAAGCACAGTTGTTGGTATTTATATTAAAGCCAAATTGTAAATGTGCAAAAAATGATTAACTGGGCCAGTTAGGGCTGCTTTTTTTTTTTTGAGACAAGGTCTGTCTCCCTCTGTTGCCCAGGCTGGAGTGCAGGGATGCGATCTTGGCTCACTGCAACCTCTGCCTCCCAGTTCAAGTGATTCTCTTGCCTCAGCCTCCCAAGTAAATGGAATGACAGGCACATACCACCATGACTGGGTAATTTTTGGCATTTTTAGTAGATACAGAATTTTGCCATTTTGGCCAGGCTGGTCTCGAACTCCCGGCCTTAAGTGATCCACCCACCTTAGCCTTCCAAATTGCTGGGATTACAGGCATGAGCCACCACACGTGGCCAGGGTTACTTAAACTCTGCACATTCCAAAGAAAAGGATGGAACTTGGTAAGGTCTTGGGAGGTAAGTTCTAAGCCCTTGAAATCATCTGCCTGGTAGAAGAGTTTTTGTATACCCAAGACCTTGGGCAAGTCTGATAGTTTGTGCTAATCATGTGATTAATGATGAATGCCTATTTTTGTATGCTCGAGTATTTGAGTCTCTCTGTATCAACCTGACCTCTGGAGGCCTGGAGACTGAGTAGTAAGGTTAGTCACATGGGACTCTGCATGCCTATGTGACTGTTTCTCAATTAAAACCCTGGATGCCAAAGATCGAGTGTGCTTCCCTCGTTACTCAAACGTGTTGCTGGGAGAATTAACCACTGTCTCTTAAAATCTACAGAATTGCTCTTGATTTCTTCTGAACTTCACCCATACACCTTTTCACTTTACTGTTTTTATAACTTATTTTTTGCTATAATAAGTCACAAGTATGAATATAGAAGCTTCTCTGAGTTCTCTGGGTCCTTACAGTGAATCATTAAACCTGAGGTTGTTCTTCAGGATCCCCACACAACATATATCTTATTCTATTAATTAAATAACCCTTTTTTTTCTATCTAAGCAATCGGTTCACAAGGTAAAATATTTAAAAATATTGAATATGATATAGATGAATAATTACATGAAAATGTGATGGTTTCCAATATTGATAAAAAATTATTAATATATAGCATGCTACGACTGAGCTGATGTGTGTGTGAATATATATATAAAGGAGATACGCATATATCTCCTTTAGGGTTGGTTTGCAAATATTTTGATGCATGCCATATCTCTTAATGACCATATGCAAATAAAATAAATAATACAGTGTGGACCTGCTTTCATACCTATTGCTCTGATACCTGCAGTATCACCCTATTAGTTACTTTGTTAATTGGCATTGCCAAGAAACATCTAGAGCTCTGCAAAGCAGATTCTGAAGAGGAATCATTCATGTTAAGGTAGAAAAGAACAAAATTAAGTCAATAGTTTGGCTTTTGATAGTTGCTGTAATGAGAAGCAAGTGCTGCACAAAAGTAAATGTGGAGGCCATGTGCGGTGGCTCACGCCTGTAATCTCAGCACTTTGGGAGGCCAAGGTGGGTGGAATATGAAGTCAGGATTTCAAGATCAGCCTGACCAACATAGTGAAAACGTGCCTCTACTAAAAATTCAAAAAAATTAGCCAGGTGTGGTGGCGGGTGCCTGTATTCTCAGCTACTCAGGAGGCTGAGGCAGGAGAATCTCTTGAACCCGGGAGGTGGAGGTTGCAGTGAGCTGAGATTGCGCCACTGCACTCCAGCCTGGGTGACAGTGCAAGACTCTGTCTCAAAAAAAAAAAGAAAATGTAAATGTGGAACCTGAAATAAGGGTGATAATGTCCGATCTGATTCCAAAGTTTGAGAAGTTGTGTAGTGCTCAAGAGTTGCTTGCACACCTCCCAGTAAGCAGTAGATGTTAGTTAATAATGAAATAAAAATTTTTTTCAAACATGTCTATTACTTTTTCAAATGTCAAGTTTTTAACGACATAAACACTTATTAAATTTTTCAGACCCACCACTGAATAAACTATTAGGCATTTAATAGGCCTAAGGGTGTCCTGAAAGAAATGAAAACTAACCACTATGTTTCTGTGAAAATAGAAAGTTTTGGAATATCTTATCTATGGCATTTGAATAATATAAAATATCAGGCCTCTCTACCTCTGATGTATTGAACCAGAATCTATATTTCAAGGGACCCAACAGAAATTTAACCATCAATTTATTTTGATGATGTAGATTCACATTCTGATGATGTAGCCTGTGATTGTTTGGCTTATTGAATGTAGATCTCATGACGTTCAGCTTAGTGATATTGTTTATATTCATTATGGTCAACTGATAAGGTGTTTTACATCAATATTTTTCTTATTATAATTATTATTATATATCAGTATGTTTGCAGCAGACCACATGTTTCAAAGAAATTGTAATCTTAAGACTCCCCATTGGAACTAATTAGCACTTAAAATGTTTATTATGAAAACACTTATTGTTCGTTAATTCATGCATGCTCAGTTAAATTTTAATGAGGCTATTTATTTAGTTATTTTGACAATAGGCCCTTTATATTCTACATGTGCCTTTGATGGTATCAATGAATTACTGTAAAATAGTTCTGTTAAAAGAAAAGAACTTCCATGTGATTCTTTGATCTATGAAAGCATTGCAATTTTGTTTCTTATTAGCTTACAAATGTTGAGAGTAAAGGGCATCATTAACTCTCGCAGAGAGATGTACTCCTGGCCCAAGTGTGGGAAAAGGAAAAGATTACAGAAGAGTGTTAATCAAAAATTAGCTATATAGATAAATAATTCTGAGAGATGCTGTGAGAAAAAGTTATATAATAAAATTATTTGTAAAAAGCAGAATACAACATTTTTTAATGATTCCACATTTTCATATTAAATGCTCTGGGTACTTCTGAGGTAAATAAAAAAATTGAATGTTATTAAACTCAGTGAATGACTACTCACCTGTCCTCAATGAGTGTTTATTGAGTGTCCACTATGTATCAGTCACCACGTAATGGTGAAGACAAGAAGATGTCATCATTATCCTTTTGGAGGGAGACAAGTCAGTTCAATGAACTTTGTGACAAAGCATGAGCATATTTTACTGCCACAGTGTGATTTGAACATCATGGATCGGGTACAAGCTGATTCAGTCTATAGGTATCAGGAAAAAAATAATTAAAAAGAAAAGAACTGGCTGGACATGGTGGCTCATGCCTGTAATCCCAGCACTTTGGGAGGCCAAGGTGGGGGAATCACCTGAGGTCAGGAGTTCAAGACCAAGCTGGCCAACATGGAGAAACCCCGTCTCTACTAAAAGTTCAAAAATTAGCCGAGCTTGGTGGTATGCGCCTGTAATCCCAGCTACTAGAGAGTCTGAGACAGGAGAATCGCTTGAACCTGGGAGATGTAGGTTGCAGGGACCCGAGATCATGTCACTGCACTCCAGCCTGGACAATAGAGTAAGGCTAGGTCTCGAAAAAATAAAAGATCTAAGATCTGATATATGTGTGTGTTTTTGGCTGACACATGTGCGTGTGTGCACTCATGAGAGAGAAAGATGGTGAGAGAGAAAGAAAGAAAGGGAGGAAGGGAAAGAGAGAGGTTGAAAAGGGAGCTTGGGGATTTAAAGAGGTATGGAAGAAGTAGGGAGGGACACTGCATTTAATAATGTATTTGTTGTCTTTCCCCAGTAAAATTAAAGCTTTATAAAATAGAAAGTGTTTGGTTTCCTTTCAGATGTTTCCTCAGGTAATAACTTTGCCTAGAAGATTACGGATGCTTAAAAAATACTTTTTGAATAAAATGAACATGCAACTATTCAGTCAAGTTCAGCATAGATTGAAAGATAAGTGATAATAAAGCAAATTAGGGTGGATAGTGTAAACCAGCTCTCCTTATTACCATGTATTATAGACTGAATGTTTGTGCCCCTCCAAAATTCATGTTAAAGCCCTAATATACAGTGATTTGGAGATGGGGCCTCTAAGGAAGTAACTAAGTTTAAATGAGATCATAAGTGTTGGGCCTTGATCTAATAGGATTAATGTCCTTATAAGATGAGACACTGCACAGTTCTATCTCATCTGTCTGTCTCTCTTCTCCTTTCTCCCTCTCTCTCTGTCTCCATCTTTCTGCCTACACACTGAGAAAAGACCATGTGAGGACATATAGAGAGTGCAGCTGTCTACAAGCCAAAAGGAGAAACCTCATTAGAAACTGAATTCGATGACACCTTGATCATGGACTTCTAGCCTCCAGATCTATAGGACGATTTTTTTTTTTTTTTTGTATTTTAAGCCACCTAGATTGTGGTATTTTTGTATAGCAGCTGAGCAGACTAAGACATTATGTTTCATAATTTAGTATATATTCTACTGCCAAATGGGAGACCATTGAAAAGTTCTAGGCAAGAGAGTAGTAGAAAATCACTGGCTGCAATGTGGAAGATTGTAGTAGGCGGTTATGGAGTTGTGGTTGTGGTAAAGTTTAGAAGTATTTAAGAGGAACATTGGGCCAGGCACATTGGCTCATGCCTATAATCCCAGCACTTTGGGAGGCCGAGACGGGCAGATCACCTGAGGTTGGGAGTTCGAGACCAGCTTGACCAGCATGGAGAAACCCTGTCTCTACTAAAAATACAAAAAAATTAGCCAGTTGTGGTGGCACATGCCTGTAATCCCAGCTACCCGGGAGGCTGAGGCAGGAGAATTGCTTGAACCTGGGAGGCAAAAGTTGCAGTGAGCTGAGATTGCGGCACTGCACTCCAGCCTGGGCAACAAGAGCGAAACTCCATCTGAAAAAAAAAAAAAAAAAAAAAAAGAGGAAGATTGACATAATTTTATATCTAATTACATAGAAAATGAAGAACTCCTACATTTTAAATTTGTTGATTAAATGTTCAACAGTAATGTTCAAATTCGGGGTTTGGGGCAAGCTGAATGGCTCTGTGTTGGTCATGTTGAATTTGATGTTGTTATGAGGTATCCAAGTAAAGACCCCTGAGAAGCAGCTGAAACATATGTCTGAAACTCAGAAAGTAAGGTAATTGGATATATACAATTACTCCTCTTCTGGATATATATATGAATTCAAGCCATAGATTTTTTAAAAAGAGTAGAGAAGAGGAACTAAAAGAGATCCCTAAGACCAAAAAAAAAATTAAAATATTAAAAGAGGACCAAGCTGGCACTGAAACGTGTCCACTCATGGATTCAAAAGATAAAACAAGGGGACGTTTGAGGAAGGATTCATTTAAGATAATTTTCAAAAATGGAAACATAGTCAATGTTTTCAGATTAGACATAGTATATTTCTCCAAAAATATGAATACAAATACTTCTTCTTTTTGATTCTATTGCAAATTGAAAAATGTGACAGTCTATATTTCAATACATATTCAACTTATTAAAATTTAATTTCAAAGACAAAGAAAATAAAGCTGCTAGGAGTATCCACCTTAGCTCTTCATATGTAGAAATCATTATAAGATGGCAAAATATTATTTTACTTTTCAGGGTCATTCATTATCCAAAATCTCCTTAGCTTACAACACTGACCTTCTTACTAAACATGATTTTATGGGCCCTATACAGTTGCAGGAATCGCTTATTTGTGATGAAGGACTATGTATGAGATAAAATATTATCAATTATTTAAAAACCAAATATTTTCTTATTGCAGAAAAATAAAGCTATAATAAATTTTTCTTTTTATAGATATTAGAGTGGGAAAGAAAAGAACATTGAATTAAAACAAACGGTGAGTAAAGCCCTGATCCTACGTCAACCTAATCACATAGTAAAACAAGATGAGAAAATGACAGACTTTACAATAACAGTATAGTGATTTGAGTATTGAATTTTAAATTTCTGATTATCTGAATATATTTAATTCTTTATACTTTCATAATTTATGTAGAGAGACTTCATTTTTAAAAACTGTTCTATGCAATTCAGATGTATCTTAATTCCCGTCATTGATAAGACAAAAAACATGCAGCAAGATTTTTTTTCTTTCTATTTCAAATGCCACATTGTCACAGGATCCTTAGGGTGTCACTTTTCCAACCTCTGTGGTCTGTAGTGCCTATGCCTGAGTTTTGCTTGGGCCCACTGGGCTTGTTCCACCTATTCGGCCCAGCAGGCTTTGCTCAGCCATACTACCGGCCTGGATCCCATGCCTGACAAGGGTGTGAGCCAGGTGCAGAGAAGCAAAGGGTGTGTGAGCGAGTGAGCGTAGGGTCCAACCACTGCGCACAGCCTGGCACGTTGGCTGCTACATTGGGGTGGGCAGCTGTAGGTGCTGCACATGTGCCAGCTCCGTGTAAGGCTGTGGCGGGATCAGATGTGATGCAAGTGTCTTCCACCGTGGGCACCTGCATGTGGATGAGGGGAACACGATGGAGCTCAGACGCTTGGAGATGCCAGGAACCACAGAGTCCCAAAGAGAGTGTCACAGCCCTGGCTTGGAGAGCACCTAGGTCTGGGCTTTCCAAAGGGCCGCAGCTCTTCTTTCTTTTTTGTCGCTCGCCTGCAACGTTGTGAGCAGCGGGGCTGGTTGGGGGGTGAGGTGACTGGGGGGAGGAATTTCAGCTCATTTGTGTTACAGCTCTTTAAGTCCCACCATTCGGTGAGTCCCAAGTTCTTGACCTGCATCCGGGAAGAATGAGGCATGCAGACAACTGGAGGGTGAGCAAGGCAGGGAGGAGCTTTATTGAGTGACAGAACAGCTCTCAGTAGACCTGAAGCTCCTTTCTGCAGGCAGGTCATCCTGACTAGTGTCCAGCTCTCAGCAGAGAGGAGACTCCTAGTGGGTAGCTCCTTTCTGCAGGTAAGTCGTCCCGCTGCGTGTGTGAGTCTGGCCAAGTCTGGGAATTTGATGTGCTGAGAACGAAGAAAGTGCGTGTTGATTGGTCTGCGGGAGGCCATGGGAGGGTCTAAAAAAGCACCATTCGACTGGCTGAATGGTCATCAGTGAAGTTCTTACTCCAGGCTGTGTACTTCGCCCAGAACTGGTAGCCTGGCCCCCAGGCTTCAGGCCGTTCCTGGCCTGAAGGAACGGTTTCACCAGCGAACCACCCCTTCGCGCCTACAAACCTGTCTGCCTCCCACCACCGTCAGCATGCCGTCCAGAGCACGCAGGATATCCGTGCTGAGGGATGCCTGCAGGCCGGTGCTGAGCCACCCTTAGCCCCACCCAGCCCTCTCCAGTGCTGGTTGGTGCCCAAAGTCTGAAGGGGCCTAAGGGGGTGGGTGTGTCAGCGTCGCCCTGAGTGCACGCACACCTTGTCCCTTGCCGTGTTACAACAGTGCCTGCACTCAACCACAACTTTGCTCCGCCCTAGAGCAGGTGCCGGGCACAGGAAGAGGCCCGACAGGGGGAGCAGGAACTTTCAAGCCTGCAGGAGCAGAGGGCTTCCTGGGTCGCTGAGAGTGCAGGAATGCTGGGGTCTGGAGTGATGTCTGGGCAGCTGCAGCTGTGCCGGGGAGCGTGGGCTCCTGTCCTGTCCACTACGTAGGGTGTGGGGCTTTCGCATGTTCCCAGCTTCCGCTGGCTCTACAGAGCATGAAGCCCCAGCCATACTTTACCTGCTACAGCCAGCATCCTCCCAGTGATCACTCCAGATGGGCCACCACCGCTATTAATGTAAGATTCCTTACTGTCACATGTCTCTGAAGATAAAATGCAAAATATTAACGTAGGCAATTAATAGCATTTTCCCATATGAACTGAATAGTAAACACAAGAAAAGGAGTTTCAGTGGAACAAAAGAATGTTGAGTAAAGGGGAAAAAAGACTTCCAGAAAAATAACATTTTAAAGCACTATGATCGTGTAACTAGAATCAACAAGCTTGGAGATTTTGTAACAAGACATACCTATTTTGTGGAGTGATTTAAGGTCTACTTAAAGGTTTTCTTTTCTGGCTTAGAAAAACTATATGAGGTTATGATATCTTGTATAATAAAATTTATATACATCATGCTGTATGCAAATAATAGCAAGAGAAATAATGTTGTTTGTTAATATTTATGGGAGGAGATGCATGCATTCATTAAAAGCTACTTTTGATAAATATTCTCCCAAACCTATTTTGCCATTCTCAAAATTTCACAGAAATTGAGTGATATGGTTTGGCTGTGTCCTCACCCAAATCCAATCTTAAATTGTAGCTCCCATAATTCCCATGTGGTGTGGGAGGGACCTAGTGGGAGATAACTGAATTATAAAGGCAATTTCCACCATAGTCTTCTTGTGATAGTAAGTCTCACGAGATCTGATGGCTTTATAAGGGGTTTCCCCTTTCACTTAACTCTCATTCTCTTTTCGCCTGCCATCATGTAAGATGGGCTTTTTGCCTTCTGCCATGGTTGTGAGGCCTCCCCTGTCATGTGGAACTGTGAGTCTATTAAAGCTCTTTCCTTTATAAATTACCCAGTCTCAGGTATGTCTTTATCAGCAAAGTGAGAACATACTAATACAGTAAATTGGTACCAGTAGAGTGGGGCGGTGCTGTAAAGATACTTGGAAATGTGGAAGCAACTTTGAAACTGGGTAACAGGCAGAGGTTGGAACAGTTTGGAGGGCTCGGAGGAAAACAAGAAAACATAGAAAGGTTTGGAACTTCCTAGAGACTTTTTGAATGTCTTTGATCAAAATGCTGATAATGATGTGGACAATGAAATCCAGGCTGAGGTGGTCTCAGATGGAGATGAGAAACTTGTGGGGAACCAGAGCAAAGGTCACACTTGTTATGCTTTAGCAAGGAGACGAGCAGCATTTTGCTCCTGCCCTAGAAAACTGTGGAACTTTGAACTTGAAAGAGATATCTGAAATTAGAACTTATGTTTAAAAGAGGCAGAGCATAAAAGTTTGAAAAATTTGCAGTCTGACAATGCAATAGAAAAGAAAAACCCACTTCCTGAGGAGAAATTCAAGCTGGCTGCAGAAATTTGCATAAGTAATGAGGAGCCAAATGTTAATGGCAAAGACAATGGGGAAAATGTCTCCAGGGAATGTCAGAGGTCTTCACACCAGCCCCTCCCATCACAGCCT
The DNA here is from genome assembly GCF_000001405.40 of Homo sapiens. Taxonomy (NCBI): domain Eukaryota; kingdom Metazoa; phylum Chordata; class Mammalia; order Primates; family Hominidae; genus Homo; species Homo sapiens. The sequence continues at coordinate 43,937,218 of NC_000014.9, read as the reverse complement.
GGAGGTCTAGGAGAACATGATGGTTTTGTAGGCAGGGCCCAGGGCCCCCCTGCTGTGTCCAGCCTAGGGACTTGGTGCTCTGTCCTCCAGTTACTCCAGCCATGGCTAAAAGGGGTCAAGGCACAGCTTGGACCATGGCTTCAGGAGGCGCAAGCCCCAAGACTTGGCAGCTTCCATGTGGTGTTGGACCTGCAGGTTCACGGAAGTTAAGAATTGAGGTTTGGAAACCTCTGTCTAGATTTCAGAGGATGTATGAAAACTCTAGGATGTCCAGGCAGAAGTTTGCTGCAGGGGCTGGGCCCTCATGGAGAACCTCTGCTAGGGCAGTGCAGAGGGAAATGTGGGGTTGAAGCCCCCACATAGAGTCCCCATTGGGGCACTGCCTGGTGGAGCTGTGAGAAGAGGGCCACCATTCTCCAGACCCCAGAATGATAGATCCACTAACAGCTTGCCATAGACTCAACACTATCCTATAAAAGCAGTTGGGGGCCAGGTGCAGTGGCTCACGTCTGTAATCCCAGCACTTTGGGAGGCCAAGGCGGGCACATCATGAGGTCATCAGATTGAGACCATCCTGGGCAACATGGTGAAACCCCATCTCTACTAAAAATACAAAAATTGGCTGGGCATGGTGGCATGCACCTGTAGTCCCAGTTACTTAGGAGGGAGGAAAATCACTTGAACCTGGGAGGCAGAGTTTGCAGTGAGCCAAGATTGTGCCACTGCACTTCAGCCTGGTGACAGAGCGAAACCCCATCTCAAAAAAAAAAAAAAAAAAAAAAAAGCAAGTGGGAGTGAGACTACCCTGTAAAGCCATAGGGGCACAGCTGCCCAAGACTGTGGACACCCACCTCTTGCATTAGCGTGACCTGGATGTGAGATATAGAGTCAAATGAGATCATTTTGGAGCTTTAGGATTTGATTGCCCTGCTGAATTTCTGAGTTGCATGGGGCCTGTAGCCCCTTTGTTTTGGCCAATTTTTCCCAGTTGGAATGGGTGTCTTTACCCAATGCCTATACTTCCATTGTATCTAGTAGATAAATAATTTGTTTTTTATTTTTACAGGCTCATAGTTGAAAGAACTTGCTTTGTCTCAGATGAGACTTCAGAATGTGGACTTTTGAGTTAATGCTGAAATGAGTTAAGACTTAGGGGGACTGTTGGGAAGGCATGATTGGTTTTGAAATGTGAGGACATGAGATTTGGGAGGGGCCGGGGTAGAATGATATGTGGCCTCACCCAAATCTCATCTTGAATTAGAGCTTCCATAATTCCCGTGTGTTATGGGAGGGACCCAGTGGGAGATAATTGAACCATGGGGTTGGTTTCCCCATGGTGTTCTCATGGTACTGAATAAGTCTTATAAAATCTGATGGTTTTATAGGGGGTTTCCTATTTCACTTGTCTCTAATTCTTTCTTTGCCTGCTCCCATGTAAGATGTGCCTTTCACCTTTTGCCGTGATTGTTATGCCACCCCAGCCATGTGCAACTATGAATCCATTAAACTTCTTTCCTTTATAAATTACCCAGTCTTGTGTATGTCTGTATCAGCAGCATAAGAATAGACTAATACACTGTGAGACCCATGTGTTTCCTAACACATCCAGGAATATGAAACACTCTGCTTGTTACAGGCAATATGTGAGAATTTTACATGAAAGACTATATTTGGGACAAATTAGATTTGTCATGGTTTCCCTGACTTTCAGACTTCCAACACAATAGTCTTGTTTTGGAAGAATTCATAATTTCTAAAGTGCATATTAAATATTTATTTGTTCAAGTGTAACAATTAATTGCTTACTAAGAGATAATCCAGGTGTTCTGAAACCTAAGGGTTTTACAACTTTAATGGCCTCTTTTAAAAAGAGTGTTTAAAATTATGAAGACTAAATTTGGTAATTTGTGTCCACATTTTTCATTAAGAAATAAAATGACAACAAATTACAAATTGTAAGATGTTTATTAATACCACAAGCATCATGAAATCTGGAAAAAGTAATTACTACATGAATCTCCTAATTTCCAGTTGTTTCTATATTTTTGACTTGCATCCTCAGATTTCCTCTTCATATAACAGTGATTTTTTTTTAAAACTTTATGTATTTATAGCAGTTTTAGGTTTATAGCTAAATTGAGTAGAAGGTACAGAGATTTCCCACTTAACTCCTGTTCCAATGTATGCATAGCCTTTCCCACTGTGAACATGCCTTATCAAAGTGTTACATTTGTTACTATTAACTAACTTAAATTGACATCATAATCATCCAAAGTCCATAATTTTTTACACTAGGATTCACCCTTGGTGTATATTTTATGGGTCTGAACAAATATATAATGAAATGGATACATCATTATAGTATCACATATAATGTTTTTTACTACCCTAAAAATCTTCTGTTCTCTGCCTTGAATCTTACCTCTGTTCCCCTAAACCCTGACAGTCACTGATCATTTTTTCTGTTTCCAAATTTATTCCTTTTTCAGCATGTCATATAGTTGGAATCCTCTTGTATCCTTTATGAACTGGCTTTTTTCACTAATTATATTGATTTAAGGTTCCACAAGATCTTTACATGGCTTGATAGCCTTTTTAACCTTAATAATATTACATTGTATGGATGTACCACAGCTTGTTTATCCACTCACTCACTGAACGGTATCTTGATTGTGCCCAAGTTTTGGCAATTATGAATAAAGCTGCTAAAAACATCTTTGTGCAGATTTTTGTGTGAATATTAGTTTTCAAATGCTTTGGTAAATGTCAAAGAGCACAATTGCTGGATATATGCCAACAACATGTATAAATTTGTAAGAAACTGTCAAACCATCTTTCAAAATCGCTGTACAATTTTGCATTTCTGTCAGCAAAGGATAAGAGTTCCTGTTGCACTACATCCTTGTCAGCACTTGGTATTGTCAGTATGCTAATGTTTGGTCATTCTAAGTGTGTTATGGTATGTCATTGCTGTTTTAATGTGCATTTTTTTCCTGATGAAATATGATGCAGAGCATCTTTTCATATGCTTATTTGCCATTTATATTATCTTCTCTGATGAGCTGTCTGTTAATGTCTTTGGCTAACTTTTTTTAAACCAGGTTGTTTTCTTATTGTTGAGTTTTAAGAGTCCTTTGTATACTTTGGATACAAGTCCCTTATCATATTTGTCTTTTGCAATATTTTGTCCCATTTTGTGGCTTGTCTTTTCAGTCCCTTATTGTCTTTTTCAAAGGAAAAGTTTTTAAATTTTCATTTAATACTTATTGAGTATTTCTTTAATGGATTGTGCCTTTGGTGTCATATCTAAAATGTCTTAACCTAGATAATTCAAGGTTATCTAGGTTTTTTCCCGTGTTATCTTTTAGAAGTTTTAAGTTTCAGATTTAACATTTAGATCTGTTTCATTTTGTGTTAATTTTTCTGAAGCATATATCTGGATTCACTTTTTTTAATATGTCCATATTTGTTGAAAAGACTTCCTTTGACCTGGTATTGTCTTTACCCCTTTGTCAGAGGTCAGTTACTAGATTTATATGAATTTAGTTGTGGTCTCTTTATTCTGTTCTATTAATTTATTTGTTTGGTCTTACACTCTCTTGATTACTGTAGCTTTATAATAAGTCTTCAAGTTGGGTAATTCCAGTTCTCCAACTTTGTTCCTTTCCTTCAATACTGTGTTGGCTATTCTGGGCCTTTTGCCTATCTCTATAAACTTCATAATCAGTCTGTCAATGTTCACAAAAATAACTTGCTAGAATATTCATTGGCAATCTATAAGTTGAATCTATAAATCAAGTTTGGAATAATTTACATTTGATAACACTGAGTTTTCCTATCCATAAATATGGAATAGCTTTCCAATTATTTAGTTCTTTAATTTGTTTCATTAGGGTTTTAATTTTCCCTTGTAGCTCTTGTACATATTTTCTTAGATATATGCCTAAGTATTTTATTCTTGGGGGATGCTAATATAAATGATATTGTGTACTTAATTTCAGCTTCAACTTGTGCATTGCTGGTATGTAGGAAAACATTTGACATTTGTATAGTAAGATCGTATTTTGCAACTTTGCTAAAATTACTTATTAATTCCAGAAGTTTTTTTGTTGATTCCTTCAGATTTTCTACCTAGATCATTGTGTCATCTGCAAATGAAGGTAGTTTTAATTTTTCTTTTCCAATCTGTATGCCTTTTCTTTTTTTTCCTTTCCTTTTTTTTTTGTCTTATGGGATTTGGTAGTACTTTCAATATGAGATTGAAAAGAAATGGTTACAGGGGACATCCTCACAATGCTTCTAATCTTAGTGGGAAGGCTTCAAGTTTCTCACTATTAAGTATGGTATTACCTGTAGTTTTTTGGGTTTTTTTGCGGGTATTTTTTTAAGCAGGTATTCTTTATCAAGGTGAGAAAGTCCTCTGCAACTTTTAAAATTATGAATTAGTGCTGAATTTTGTCAAATTCTTTTCAGCCACTGTTGATATAATTATGCAATTTTTAGCCTGTTAATGTAATAAATTGCATTAATTTATTTTTAAATATTGAAACAACCTTATATACTTTGGATAAATCCCAATTGGTCATGGCATATAATTTTTTAATGAACTTTGTTGTTGATGGATTTGCTATTTTTTTTTGAGAATTTTTTATTTGATGAGTTCGAGAGATACTAGTGTTTAGTTTTATTTTCTTGTATATCTTTGTCTGGTTTTTGTGATTATAGTAATGCTAGTCTTATAGAATAACTTAGCAAGTAGGCCTGCCACTTCCACTCTCTGAAACAGATTATAGAGAATTAGTATAATTTCATTCTTAAATATTTGATAGAATTCATCAATAAACCCATCTCAGCCTGGTGTCTTCTGTTTTGGAAAGTTATTTATTATTTATAGATATAGTCCTTTTCAGACTATTTCTTCTTGTGTGAGCTTCTCGGCAAATTGCATCTTTTAAGAAATGGGTTCATTTTATCTAGGTTTTCAAATTTGTAGGCATAGAATTGTTCATCATATTCCTTTATTATCCTTTCAGTGTTCATGCGATCTGTAGTGATGCTCCCTCTTTTATTTCTGATATTAGCAATTTGTGTTATCTCCTCTATTTCTATTTCTATTCTGGTTAGAGACATAATTTATTGACCTTTTCAAAGAAACAGCTTTTGATTTTCTCTATTGATTTCCCGATTTAAATTTTATTGATTTCTGTTCTAACTCTTGTTAATTCCTTCTTCTTACTTTGGATTTAATTTACTCTTCTTATTTAAATTTAAATTATTAATTTTTTATCTTTTCTAATGTATTTTAATGTTATCAATTTCCTCTAAGCACTGCTTTCACTGTATCTTACAAATAGTGAAAAATTGTGTTTTTATTTTTATTTAATTCAAAATATTTTAAAAGTTCTTCTTTGACCCATTTGTTGTTTAGAAATGTGTTGTTTTGTCTCCATGTATTTGGTGATTTTCCAATTATCTTTCTGTTATTAATTTATTGTTTAATTCCATTGTGCTCTCAGAATAGACATTGTATGATTTTTATTGTTTTAAACGTGTTAAGGTGTGTTTTACGATACAAAATGTGGTCTATTTTTGTGAATGTTACTTGTGAGCTTTAGAAGAATGTGTATTGTGCTGTTGTTGGATGAAATAGTTAGTAGATGTCTATTCTATTCAGTTAATTGATAATTTTGTTAGTTCAACTATGTCCTTACTGATTTTCTGACTTACAGATCTGTCAATTTCTGACAAATGGGTATTGAAGTTTCCAGTTATAATAGTGGATTAATTTATTTCTTTTTTCAGTTCTATTAGTTTCTGCCTCATGTTGTTTGATGGTCTGCTTTTGGGTGCTCACACATTAAGAATTGTGATGTCTTTTTAGAGAGATGACTCTTTTATTATTATGTAACACTCTTCTCTATCTCTGTTAACTTCCCTTGCTTTGAAGTCTGCCTTGTCTAAAATTAATACAACTATTTCTGCTTTCTTTTGATTGATGTTAGTATGGTATATTTTTCTCCAACCATTTACTTTTAATTTATATGTGTCTTTATATTTACAGTGGGTTTCTTGTAGAATATATATAACTGGGTCTCATTTTTTGACCCTCTCTGACAACCTCTGTTGTTTAACGTGTTCAAAGTGATTATTGATATGTTTAGGTTAACAACTTCCATATTTGTTACTTTTTCTATTTGTTTCCCTTGTTCTTTTTGTCTGTTTTTGTTTTCCACTCTTTTTCTGTGCTTTGTGGTATTCAGTTGAACACTTGATATAATTCGATTTTCTCTGTCTCTTAGCATATCAGTTATGCATCCTGTTCTTTAGCTTTTATGGTGGTTGCTGTGGAGTTTGTCATAGGCATTTGTAAGGAACCCAAATCCACTTTTAAATAACATTAAAACACTTTATGTGTAATGTGAGCACCTTCTAATAACAAAATAATCCTGATTCCTCCCCATCCCTTGTATCATTGTGGTCATTTATTTCATTTGTGTATATATACACATACACATAAACATATATAAGTACAATATACTTGATTATTGTATTAGTACATTCTCACTGCTAATAAAGACATATCTGAGACTGTGTTAGTTTATAAAGAGAAAAGGTTTAATTGATTCATGTTCAGCATATCTGGGGAAGCCTCAGGAAACTTACAATCATGGCAAAAGTGGAAGCAAACACATCCTTCTTCACATGGCAGCAGCAAGGAGAAGTGCAGAGTGAATGGGGAGAAAGCCCCTTATAAAACCAACAGACGTCATGAGAACTCACTATCATGAGGACAGTATGGGGGAAAACGCCACTGTGATTCAATTATCTCCACCTGGTCCTGCCCTTGACATAAGGGGATTACTTCAATTCAAGGTCAAATTTGGGTAGGGGCACAGGGTCAAACCATATCAATTATGTATATATCAACATACATAATAGAATATATAATTGAATTTATTGCCATTATTATTTTGAACAAAATTTTATTTGTTAGATTAAGAGTAAGAAAAATAAGTTTTAATTTTACTTCATTTATTCCTTCTTTGATGTTCTTTCTTCATTCAGGTTTCTAACCTATAAAATTTTCCTTCTTTCTAAAGAAATTTCTTTACTATTTATTACAAGGCAGCTACTGGCAACAAATTTCATCAATTATTATTTGTCTGAGGAAGTCTTTATTTTTCTTTCACTTTGGAAAGATAATTTTTATGGTACAGAATTCTAGGTTGGTGTTTCTTTTCTATCAACAGTTTAACTATTTCAATCCATTCTTTTCTTGCTTGCACTGAAAAGTGCAAGGGAAGTCAGATGTAATTATTGTTTTAGAGGTAAAGTGTCTCTATCCTCTGACTGCTCTCAGGATTTTTTCTTCTTGTTTGTTTTTTTATAGTTTAAAAATGATATGCCTAGGCATCATTTGGAGTTTTTGTTTTGTTTTATATTTATTTTGCTTTGTGTTTTCTGAGCTTCTTGGATCTCTGGTTTGCTGTCTTACATTCATTTGGGGAAAATCTCAGTCATTATTGTTTCAAATATTTCTTCTGTTCCTATCGTTTCTTTTCTCCTTATGGAATTTTCATTAGAGAGATGTTAGAGATTTTGCAGTTGTCCCACAGTCTTCAGATATTCTGTTGGTTTTTTTTTCAGTGCTTGTTCTCTTTCCTGTAAGTGTTTGAAATTTTTATTAATATACCATCAAGTTTAGAGATTCTTTCACCGGCCATGTCTCGTCTACTACTAATACCTTCAAAGGTACTCTTTTTTCTGTTTTTTTTCTCTAGCATTTCTTCTTGATTCTTTAAGATTTTTTATATTTCTGCTTTTATTGTTCATCTTTTCTTTCATGCTGTCTACTTTTCATTAGAGCTATTCGCATGTTAATCAAGTTTTTAAAAATTAGTCTGAAAATTCCAACATCCTTGCCATGTCTAGTTTTGATACTTATTTTAATTCTGATTTTATTTTTTATTTTGCCTTTCTGTGTGCCTTGTAATAACCTGTTGTAAATATTAATGCGATTGCAAATTGGGGGAGGGGTGTGCAGAGGAAGCATTTGATAGTCTTTTCATAGTCTTACTTTTTTCGTGAGTTTATACTTCTGGACTGTGAACTTCACAAGTGTTTCTCAGTTTTGTTCTCCTCCCTTAGGTGAGAAAGGATGGCTACAGTGGGCTGAAGTTGGGTCATTCCATTCTCCCAAATGGAAAGTTAGAACTGACTAGAATTGGGCATTTCCCTTTCTCGAGGTCAGTTAGGCTCTGATAATGCACCAGCAGGTTAGGCCTTGGTTAACTACTTTCTCCTGAGGTCAGGCCTTGTTAAGAAACAGCGTGCTATCGTATATTTCAAAATGGTTCCTTTTCTCCTGTCTCCGCCTGAACGAGGGGGATTTTTCTCTGATATTTACTTTGGGAACCTGCTTGAAGTTCTGAAGGTAAAACTCACAATATTATGCTCTCTCCCTGTGACTTGGTCCTCCTGGAACTTTTAACTCTCAGAGTTGTCTGCATTAAGCTTAGAGCAAATCTTCAGTTACAGTCGAAGTTTTCCTAACAGGCACTGGTCCCTATAGTGGTTTTTTGCTGATGAGTCTCTGTTCCTATAAGCCATGACTTTCTGCATTTGCTTGTCTGTCTAATCTTGGGGATAGCAGTTTTCCCTGTGTTGTCATATGTTATGGATCCAAGAAAAGTTGTTGATTTTGTCTGTTCAGTTTATTACTTGTTAGAACAAAGTGTTCACTTCCAAACTTCTTATATGTAGAACTGGGAGTCTATGACGATGATTTTATATATTTTTCTATAGAGAAAATAGAAAGGTAATTCAGTGTTTTCTCTATTGTGTTTGGTCAAAATTTGTTTTTTATTATTGAGATTTGAATCTGCGTATGGAGTTGTTCACAGTTTGTAACACTACTACAGATGTTTGATGCACAAACTAAGAATTCTGATAATTTCTTTCGTATATAAAATTTCCCATTTAACAATGTAAAAGTACTGTGCAGACATAGTACATACATTGCATTATTTAATATATTTCTACCAGGATAATTTGACTAGGAGTTGCTTAGAATCAAATCTTCAACTTTTAATTTTGCTCATAAAATTATTGGAAGAATTTCAGTTATTAACTTCTCATCCTATTCATTTCAAATCTTATTTCGCTTCCACTGTGTACATACATGCAATGCAAAATGTAACAGGGCACATTCCATTATGATAATTCTCAGCCCCTGTGCCTCCATCTCCTGATGCTAGGTAAGGTGGCATAGAGGAAGCCATCTCTACCAGATGCTTACTAATGATCTAACTTTATATGAAAGTCACTGAAATTCACATTAGGACATTCATCTACACCTTAAATAAATGTAGCATGAATTCAGCTTTCATTTCCTGGATCTTCAAAATTTCCAAAACCACTCTAGCCATGTGTGATAGTTTATAGTGGACAGGAATTTCACTTGATTGCAGTTAAAAATTATCCTTGCAAAACTTTTAAAAATATAGATCATATGAACACATAACTATGATTTCTTCCAGGGTGCTGGAGGGGTTCTATGAAAGTGAGAAGCCCTGAAAATTAAGCTTCAGTAGCTTCACATTAATCTACCTCTATTTATTCTTAACCATAGATTTTTAGTTACTAAAAACAGCTTCCTAGTAATAATAATATGTGATATCCCTCAGTGACTGGCAAGGTGCTTAATTATAGGCTGAAATATGGGTTATTTTGTATGAGGAAATAATTGCTACAATTATCTTTAGAACTAATAAGCATTTAAATGAAATATTTTTTAAAAAATGTTCTAATTGTCTTGATTTTGAAAAATTTCCAAATCTCATTCTTATGGAAATCACAGCTCTTACAATACATGCTCTTAAGAGAAATCATTTTAGTGATGACTAATTGTTGGAATGTCAAAGATGATGTTTGCACTTTATATTTTCCATTTATAAATAATGTTTTCCCTAAGAAACAAAATTATTGTGAAATATAAAAACTATCATAAATTGTAAATTAAAACATATGTAAATTTTATTAAAAACAGGACTATACCAACTTTTATTTTTATAAGGATAGCTTTATTTTACATAAATTGCTCAAGTACCAACTAGTATAGTAGATAGTTTTCAAAAAGTTATGTTGCTTGAGAGTACAATCTGACAGTTTCTACACACCAAAACCTATTTGTCTGTTACCACTTTCATGCACTCACTGTTATAAATAAGTAATGGGAGGTGAATTCATATAATAGACAAAAAGACTTTGATAACACTAACATGTAAACAGAATTTTAGAGTTGGCACCTTTTGGCTGTAACAATCTGAAATAAATCCTTAGTGACTTGGAACATATTTTCACTTCAGCATTAAAGTTAGTGAAGTTTTCTCTTCTTATAAGCTTTAAGGTTGAACTTAGTTGTTCATTTATTTCTATTCTATAGTGAATATTGAGAGCTATTTTCGGAAATCAGACCTACACTCTCCAAAGAGAAATATTCTAAACAGACACAAGTAGACTTCCAAGGGAATCTTGTGGCCTCATAATAACTAGTTGTGAAAAATAAATAAATAAAAGTAGATAGATTAAACAAAAACTCACTTCTATTGAAGATTTTTCTTTGAATCCCTAATGACTTCCTCATTGTGATTTATAGTTTTAAAATATGTCTGAAAAGGAACAAAATATATTATAAGCATAATTCTTTTTTAAATCTGACAGCAGTGTTCAGGCTTTCTTCTTAGTGATGATCATGGCATTAGGGCATAATTTCTTCAACATAAAGAATTTCTAATATAATTTTAAAATATACATTTTGCATCTAAACAATTAATCTAAAGTAGTCCACATTATTGGAAACAATTGGGCATACAAATTAATTTTTATATACAATAACTTAAAATGTGTAGAAAATATATCAATAAGAGATGTATAGCATCCAAGAGCTATATTTCATAATTGATTTATCCCATTGGAATGTTAAAGGGAGGTGGTCCCAATGCCTTTATTTTATAAAATATTTGTCTTTGAATCAAATGAGAACATTATTATGTGTGGCCAAAGAGCAGCATAAACAATCAAATCAAGTGAAAGACTTTATAATCAGAGCGATTCATATAGTACAAAACAAAAAAGGTGTAGTGACATGAAAAAAGTATAAACATATTCAATCATATAAATGCTATATACTAACTTTAGATCTGAAAAGTATTATATTATTAAAAATATACTTAAAGTGGTGTACATTAAGTAGGTGATACTAGGAAGCCTTCATAATTATATGCATGACTACATCAGTGAGTCTAACATATTTCTTTGAATTTTTGAATGAAGACTATTGATCTCCACTTGCAAAATTATTAATACAAAGCACAATCTAAGCCTAGGTGAAAATTACCAGGATGAGCAGCACTATAAAAATAGATTGTTCTGGTTTCTAGAATTTGGCATTTGAGTACAGCAGTGGGTATAATCTAAAAATAGCCTGCCAAAATGCAAGGAATCCCTATTACAATGTCTTCAGTAGCCAAAAGAATAACATGAATGTGTCAAGACAATAAGTTTTTAAAATGAGGAAATTGTGGAGACTGTGGTACAGAGAACCTATCCCAACTAAAATATATTTAAATACATTATTTTAAATATTGTATTGCTGAAGGCTAAAAATAGACCACGTGCCTGGAATTTGTTATTCCTGCCATGATGGCTCATTTAAGCATGGGGAATGTAAGTCTGTTTCCCTATGGATATCTTCTACAGGCTAGAGAACATATGCATCCATGTTAAAAATTATTTTAAAATCAATTTTTGAGGCATAATTTACATGTATTAAAATGTACTGATTTTAACTGTTCAGTTCAGTGAGTTTGACAGATGTATATATCCATGTAACCATCACACAATTAAAAAAGTATATACCATTTCCATCACCTCATGCTAAGTAAATTCCCTCATGCTATGTTCAGCAGATGCCTACTTCCAATCTCTATTCTTAGTCAAAAAATGATCTGTTGTCTGTCATTGTAAATTAGTCTTAAAAAAAATTTTTTTTAGAGACAAGATATTGCTCTGTCACCCACGCTGGAGTGCAGTGATACAATCATATCTCACTGAAGCCTCAAACTCCTAGACTTAAAGAATCCCCATGATGCAAGATTTTTCTTGGCCACTTTGCCAACTGGGACTTCCACGGCTGGTGATGCTCCCCACTCCCAGGCCTCGCTTCTCGCTTGGCCCAGGGCCTGCTGCTGGTGGCACCCCACCCACTTGGTCCACCTAGGCTGGGTCTGTTATATTCACTGGCTCAGACCGTGGCTGGACCGGTTGTGCCCCAGCTTGCCTGTGTTACAGGCCGTACCCACCTTTAATGGTTCCCAAGCTCTCGACGCGTATCGAAGAAGAATGAGGTTATGCTGACAATTTGAAGAGTGAGGAGGGTAGAGAATAATTTTATTGAGCGAGGGGACAGCTCTCGGCAGTGAGGGAATGCGGGGGTGGTCCCCCACCCCCACAGTCAGGTGGTTTCTCTCCCAGTGTGGCTGGGTCGGGGACTTTTTACGGACTCAGAATATGGAGTGTGTGCTGAATGGTTTCTGAATATGCAATAAAAGGTTAAAGCAAAGACACCACTCAAAGGTGGGCACGACAGTGTAGAAAACCAATTAGGAAAGGATAGGTATATGTAAAATTGGTGAAAGGTGGGAATCAATCAGAGGAGAGTGTGCCTAAAAGGAAGACAAGTTCTCAATCCAGCTGGAAGATTTAACTTGTAGTTTAGCTTTCAGGCTTTAAACTGTCTTCAGCTTGGAGGTGGGGTTTTACTGGGGACCTACCCCTATCTGCCTAGCCATTTGACTGCCTCCTGTCACTATCATTCTTGTCTCAGCCTTCCAAGTAGCTGAGATGATAGGTTTGCACCACCACTCCTGGCTATTTTTTTAACTTTGTTTTTATTGTTTAGAAACAGGGTCCTACTACGTTGTGAGAGGCTGGTCACAAACTCCTGGGCCCTGGCTATCCTTCCTATTCAACCTCCTGTGTAGCTATGATTACAGGTGCGAGCCACTGTGCTAGCTAGATTGGTCTTGTCTTTCTACAGTTTCAGCTTGTACCTTTTTTCTTTGGCTTCTTTTGCTCAGTGCCTTGTTTTCAAGATGTTGTTGAGTGTGTCAGTAACTTGTTGAATTGCATTGCTGAGTATTATTCCAAAAAATAAGCACAATGCAGTCTGTTCATATCTTCTCCCACTAATGGACTCCTAGTCTATTTCCAATTACAATCTATAGTTAAAAAAAATAGTTGCTATGGTCATTTTTATACCAGACTTTTTGTATATGCGGTTTTTTTGGGCAGGGTACATACCTATGAATGTAGAGTCACCTGTTAAAGATATGAACAACTTTATTTTTAAAATGGCCAAACCGTTATACAAATGATTGTTCTATTGAACGATGCATTAGAGTTCGTTTATATCTTCATCAATGCTTGATGTTGCCTGTTTATTAAAACAATTTACTATACTAGTTGATGTCGAGGAGGTTCTGATGATTTAATTGTATTTCTCTGATAAATAATAATGTTTAACATCTTTTATGTGCTTAATAGCCATTTATATAAAAGCAACTATTCAGAATGTAATCATTGTACATGAACTATTCTTCTTGATTCAGAATAATTCCATAGAAAACCATCCACATTGTATGTATCTATAGTTTGTTTTTACTGCTAAGCAGCATTACGTGTTATTACTATGTGTGTTCCACAGTTTGTTTATGCACCTGTTGAAGGGTTTCCAGATTATTTCTAGTTTTGAGTCATTACAAATAAAGCTACTATGAATATCTTTGTATAGGTTTTTGTATGAGCGTAAGCTTCAATTTCACTAGGATAAAAGCCTAAGATTCAATTATTGAGTCATATGTTAATTGCATGGTAAATGTTATAAGAAATTGCCAAACTGTTTTATTTTCAGTTTCCAGATATTATTAATGTATTAAATTACATTGATTTTTGTGTTTTGATCTTGTATTCTGCCACCTTACTGCACTTATTATTTATTTCTGGAACATCTTGAAAATTATTTGATAATTTCTTGCAAAAAATTATCTCATCTTCAAATAGGAAAAGTTTTAGTTCTTCTTTCCAATCTATTTGGCTTTATACTTTTTTTTGTTTCTTATTTCAGTTGCTAAAATTTTCAGTGATAAAAATTTGCTGAAGAGTGATGAGAGTGAATATCTTATTCTCATTCTTAGAGGGTAAGAAATCAATCTTTCACCAGTATTTATGACATTAATTGTAGGTTTTGGGGTTTTTTTTTAGCTGATCTTATTAACTTGAGGTAATTTATCTCTATCCCTATCTTGCTGAGTTTTTATCATGAATCTGATATTGAATATTGTCATTTTTTCTGCATTCAGTTAATTGATATAATCTTCACATGTTTCTTCTCTAGTCTGTTTATATGGTATGTTATACTGGTTGATTTTTGAAAGTGTTGCTAGTCTTTCATACCTGGAATAAATCCTACTTGGTTGGTCATGGTATATAATTTTGTTCATACATTGTTGGATTTGGTTCCTAATATTTTGTTGAGAACTTTTTGCATCTTAATGAGAACTATTCATCTATGCTTTTCTTTTTTTTGTTATCCCTATTTGTTCTAATTGGTTTTTGTACCCATTAACCATTCGCCCTTTCATCCCAACGCCCCCAAGGGCTACACTTCCCAGCCTCTGATAACCATCGTACTACTCTCTATCTCCACAAGTGGAATTATTTTAAGTTTTGGCTCCCACAAATAAGTAAACATATGTGATGTTTATCTTTCTGTGCCTGTATTATTTCACTTAACATAAGTATCTCCAGTTTCATCCATGTTGTTGCTAATGACAGGATTTCCTGCTTTTTCATGGCAAAATAGTACTCCATTGTGTAAATGTACCATGTTTTCTTTATCTATTCGTCTATTGATGGACATTCAGGTGGCTTCCAAATCTTGGCTATTGTAAATAGTGTTCTAATAAAAATGAGAGTACAGATATCTCCTCAATATGCTGATTTTCTTTTTTTTAAAGATATATACCTAGCAGTGGGAATGCTGGATCATATGGTAGTTCTATATTCACTTTTGTGGGACCCTCCAAACTATTTTGCATAGAGTTCACACTAATTTACATTCCCACCAACAATGTACAATGGTTCCCTTTCTCTGTGTCTTCACCAGCATTTGTTATTGCCTGTCTTTTGGATAAAAGCCATTTTAACATTGGTGAGATGTTGTCTCCCTGTAGTTTTGATTCACGTTGCCCTGATGATCAATGATGTTAAGCACCATTTCCTATGACAGTTTGTCATTTGTATGTCTTCTTTTGAGAAATGTCTATTCAAATTCATGTTTTGATCAGATTATTATTTTTTTTTCTATATAGAAATTGAAGTTCCTTATATATTCTGGTTACAAATTGCTTGTCAGATGGGTAGTTTGCAAGTGTTTTCTCCCATTCTATTCTATTTCAACAAATTCAAAACAATTTGTTGAAGAGACAGCAAATTGTCTCTTCAATTTGTTGATCGTTTCATTTGCTGTGTAGAAGTTTTTTGACTTGACGTGATCCAATTTATCCATTTTTGCTTTGGTTGCCTGTGCTTGTAGGGTATTGCTCAAGAGATTTTTAACCAGACCAGTGTTCTGGAGATTTTTACCCCATGTTTTATTACAGTAGTGTCATAGTTTGAGGTCTTATATTTAAGTCTTTAATCCAGTTTGATTTTTTATGTGGCAAGAGATGGGGTTTAGTTTCATTTTTCTGCATATGGCTTTCTGGTTTTCCCAGCACAATCGATTGAAGAGACTGTCTTTTCTCCAGTGTGTTTTTGGCAACTTTTTGAAAATGTTTTCACTGTAGATGCGTGGATTTATTTTTAGATTCTCTCTTCTGTTACTTTGGTCTATGTTCCTTTTTTTACCCCAGTACCATGCTGTTTTGGTTACTATAACTCTGTAATATAATTTGACATCAGGTAATGTGATTCCTCCAGTTTTCTTATTTTTATTCAAGATAGCTTTGGCTATTCTGAGGTCTTTCATGATTCCACATACATTTTAGGATTTTTTTTCTATTTCTGTGAATAATGTCATTGGTATTTTTGCAGGGATTGCGTTAAACATGTAGTTTGCTTTGGGTAGTATGGATATTTTAATAATATTGATTATTCCCATTCATTTCAATTTTTTTGTTCTTTTCAGTTTCTTGGATCAATATATTATAGTTTTTTTTGTTTTTGTTTTTGTTTTTTTGAGACAGAGTCTCACTCCCTCCCCCAGGCTGGAGTGCAGTGGCACGATCTCAGCTCACTGCAAGCTCCGCCTCCCGGGTTCACGCCATTCTCCTGCCTCAGCCTCCGAGTAGCTGGGACAACAGGCGGCGGCCACCACACCCGGCTAATTTTTTGTATTTTTAGTAGAGACGGGGTTTCACTGTGTTAGCCAGGGTGGTCTCGATCTCCTGACCTCATGATCTGCTCACCTCAGCCTCCCAAAGTGCTGGGATTACAGGCGTGAGCCACCGTGCCCAGCCCAGTATATTATAGTTTTTAATGTAGAACTCTTTCACTTTGTTAGTTAAATTTATTCTTATATATTTTATTTGTAGCTATTTTAAATGGGATTACTTTCTTGATTATTTTTCAGAATGTTTGCTGTTGGCATATAGAAATGTAACTGATTTTTGCTGTTGATTTTTATCCTACAATTTTACTGAATTTGTATATCAATTTTACTAGATTTTTGGTGGACTGTTATAGCTTTTTCCAAAGATCATATTATCTGCAAACAAGAAAAATTTGATTTCTTCTGATCCATTTTGAATGCCCTTTATTTCTTTCTCTTGTCTGATTGCTTTAACTAGGATTTCCAGTGCTGTTTTGAATAACAGTGGTGAAAGTGGGCATCCTTGTGATGTTTCAGATTGTAAAGAGAGGCTTTCATTGTTTTCCCCATTCAGTATGGTACTAGCTGTGGGTCTGTCATATATGGCTTTTATTGTGTTGAGTTGTGTTACTTCTATGTCCAGGTTTTTCAGATTTTTATCATGAAGGAATATTCAATTTTATCAAATGTCTTTTCAGCATCAATTGAAATAATAAAAAATTTCCTTCTATTCTGCAGGTTGTTTATTGATAGTTTTTTTTGCTGTGCAGAAGCTCTTTAGTTTAATTAGATCCTCCAGCATATATAAAGAAGTTAAACCAATTTCCAAGAAAAAAACAAACAACCCCATTAAAAAGTGGGCAGAAGAAATGAAAAGGCACTTCTCAAAATATGACATACATGTGACCAAGAAGCATATGAAAAAAAGCTCAACCTCACTGATCAGTAGAGTAATGCAAATAAAAACCACAATGAGATACCATCTCTCACCAGTCAGAATGGCTATTATTAAAAAGTCAAAAAATACTAGATTCTGGCAAGATTGTGGAAGAAAAGAAATGTTTATTCACTGTTTGTGGGAGTGTAAATTAGTTCAACCATTGTGGAAGACAGGGTGGTGACACCTCAAAGACCTAAAAACATCTACCATTGGACCCAAGAATCCCATTGCTGGGTATATGTCCAAAATAATATAAATTGTTTTATTATAAAGACAGATGCACACATATGTTCACTGCAGCACTATTCACAATAGCAAAGACATGGAATCAATGTATATGCCCATCAATGACAGATTGGATAAAGAGATTGTGGTACATATACACCATGGAATACTACAGCAGCCATAGAAAAGAATGAGATTATATCCTTTGCAGGGACATGGATAGAGCTGGAGGCCATTATCCTTAGCAAACTAACACAGGGACAGAAATACTGCATGTTCTCACTTATAAGTGGGAGCTAAGTAATGAGCACACATGGACACACAGAGGGGAACAACACACACTGGGGCCTACTGGAGGGTGGAGAGTGAGAGGAGGGAGAGGATCAGAAAAAAATAACTAATGAGTACTAGGCTTAATACTTGAGTGATGAAATAATCTGTACAGCAAATCCCCATGACACACATTTACCTTTTTAACAAATCTGCAAATGTACCCCTGAACTTAAAAGTTTTTAAAAAATTTTAAAAAGGCTATGAGCTCTGCCCCATATCTTAGATAAGCAATAAAGCCTTTCAAAGAACAACAAAAC
Organism: Homo sapiens; assembly: GCF_000001405.40. Taxonomy (NCBI): domain Eukaryota; kingdom Metazoa; phylum Chordata; class Mammalia; order Primates; family Hominidae; genus Homo; species Homo sapiens. The sequence continues at coordinate 43,919,031 of NC_000014.9, read as the reverse complement.
AGAAATGATTGTATGGCTTTTGTGATTCAGTTGACATGCTGAATCACATTGACTAATCTGCATATGTTGAACTATCCTTGCATCCCTGGGATAAATTCCCGCTTGGTGATGATGAATAATCTTTTTAATGTGTTGTTAAATATGGTTTGCTAGTATTTCGGGGATGCATAGAAGATTTTTTTGCATTCATGTTAATCAGGGACATTGGCCTGTAGTTTCCTCTTTTTTGATGTGTCTTTGTCTGGTTTTGACATCAGGGTAATACTTGAGTTATACAACAAGTTTGGAATTTTCCCTCTTCCTCTATTTTTCAGAATACTTTGAGTAGAATTGGTATTATTTCTTCTTTAAAGGTTTGGTAAAATTCAACAGTAAAGCCATCGACTCCTGAATGTTTATTTGCTGAAATAAATTTTATTAGAGCTTTCATATCATTACTTTTTATTAGTCAGTTCAGGTTTTGGATTTCTTCATGGTTCAATTTTGGTAGGTTGTAAGTATCTAGGAATTTACTCATTTCTTCTAGGATATCCAATTTACTGGCATATAGTTGCTCATGGTAACCACTAATAATCCTTTTAATGTTTACAACATCAGTTGTGATGTCTCTTTTTCCATCTGTGATTCTATTTATTCAAGTCTTTTCTCTGTTTTCTTAGTCTGGCCAAAGGTTTGCCAATTTTGTTTCTCTTTTCAAACAACCAACTTTTACTTTTCATTTCGTTGATCTTTTGTATTTTTTTAATTTCAGTTTTATTTATTTCTTCTCTTATTTTTATTATTTATTTTCTTGGACTTATTTTGGGTTTGGTTTGCTCTTGCTTTTTAATATTTTAAATGCATTGTTGAGTTTCTAATTTAAAGTTTTTCTACTTGATTAATGTAAGTGCTTATTACTATATAAACTTTCCTCTTAGTACTGCTTTCACTGTATCCCACAGGATGGATACGTTGTATTTTCATTTTCATTTGATTCAAGAAATGAAACTATGGTCATTCAGGGGTATAGTGTTTAATTTTCTTATTTGTGTAATTTCCAAAATTCTCCTTGTTATTAATTTTTTGTTTTATTCCATTGTGGTCAGAGAAGATACTTCATATAATTACAATTTTTTAAAAATATTGAAGACTAGTTTTGTGGCCAAACATATGGTATATCCTTGAGAATGAGCCATATGCTGAGGAGATGAATGTGTATTCTGCAGTTGTTGAATGAAAAGATCTGTAAATATCTATTAGGTCCATTTATTCTATAGTGTAGATTAGTCTATAGTGTAGATTAGTATAGATTAAGTCTGATGTTTCTTTGTTGGTTTTCTGTTTGGGTGATCTGTCCAATGCTAAAAGTAGAGTTTTGAAGTCTACAGCTATTATTGTATTGGGGTCTATCTCTATTTTTAGGTAAACAATATTTGCTTTATATATCTGGGTGCCCTAGTTTTGGGTACCTATACATTTGCAATTAATATATCTTTTTTCTAAATATACGCCTTTATTATTATATAAGGACCTTCTTTTTCTTTTTTTATAGTTTGGCTTAAAATCTATTTTGTCAGATACAAGTATAGCTACTCCTGCTCCTTTTTGGTTTCCATTTGCATGAAGTATCTTTTACCATTCTCTTACTTTCATTCTATTTATGTCTTTATAGATGAATTTCTTTCTTATAGGCAAAAAATCATTCGGTATTTTTTTAAATTCATTCAACCACTCTATGTATTTTGACTGACAAGTTTAGTCCATTTACATTCAATGTTATTATTAATAAGTAAGGACTTACTTCTGCCATTTTATTATGGATTTTCTGGTTGTTTTGTGATTTTCTTTTCCTTCTTTCCTTCCTTTCTGTCTTCCTTTTAATTAAGGTGATTTTCTCTGGCAGTACATTTTAATTTATTGTTTTTTATTTTTTGTGTATCTGTTGTATTTTTTTTAATTTGAAGTTACCATAAGGCTTCAAAATACTGTATTATAACCCATTATTTTAAATTGAGGACAACTTAACACTGATTATATAAAGAAACACACAGAGAAAACTGAAAAAAACTGTACACTTTATCTTCATCATTCTGATTTTTAACTTTTGTTGTTTCTATTTATATCTTATCATACTGCCTATGTCTTGAAAAGTTGTTTTAGTTATTATTTTTAATAGGTTCCTCTTTTAGTCTTGCTACTCAAGATAAGAGTAGTTTATGCACCACAGTTAGAGTATAATATTCTGTGTTTGTCTGTGTTCTTACTACTACTAGTGAGTTTTGTACCTTCAGATAATTTCTTATGGCTCATTAATGTCATTTTCTTTCAGACTGAAGATCTCCCTTTAGTATTTCTTGTAGGAGAAGTCTGGTGTTGATGAAATCCCTCAGCTCTGAGTTTGTCTGAGGAAGTCTTTATTTCTCCTTCATGTCTGAAGGATATTTTCATGGTATATATTATTCTAGGATAGAAGATTTTTTTTTCCTTCAGGATTTATATGACATGCCACTTTTCTTTGGTCTTTTAAGGTTTCTACTGAAAAGTCTGACAGACATATTGAAGCTTCTTTGCATGTCATTTGATTTTTTTTTTCTCTTACTGCTTTTAGGATGCTACCTTTATTCTTGCTTTTTGGGAATTTTACTATTAAACGTCTTGAGGTAGTCTTATATGGGTTAAATCTGTTTGGTGTTCTATAACCTTCTTGTACTTGAACAGTGATACCTTCCTCTAGCTTTGGGAAGTTCTCTGTATTATTAATTTGAATAAACTTTCTGCCATGATCTCTCTCTATCTTCTCTTTAAGACCAATAATTCTTAGATTTGCTTTTGGGGGGCTGTTTTCTAGATCCTGCAGGCATACTTCACTTTTTAAATTCTTTTTTGTTTTACCTCCTCTGACTGTGTATTTTCAAATAGGCTGTCTTCAGGCTTACTACTTCTTTCTTCTGCTTGATTAGTTCTGCTGTCAAGAAACTGATGCATGCTTCAGTATGCCAATTGCATTTTTCAGCTCCAGAATTTGCTTGATGCTTTTTAATGATCTCAATCTCTTTGTTTAATTTCTTTGATAGGATTGTGAATTCCTTTAGGTAATCTTGAATTTCATTGAGCTCCCTCAAAGCAGCTATTTTTAATTTTCTGTCTGAAATTCACCTATCTCTGTCTCTCAGGGATTTGTCACTGATGTTTTATTTATTTTGTCTGGTGATGCTATGTTTTCTAGGATGGTCTTAATGCTTGGGAATATTTCCTAGAGTCTCAGCATTAAAGATTTAGGTATTTATTTTAGTCTTCAAAGTCTTGGTTTGTTTGTACTCATCCTTCTTGGGAAGGCTTTCCAAGTGTTCTAACTGACTTCGGTGCTGTGATCTAAGTCTTTGGTCACTGCAGCCATACCTGCATTAGTACCCCAAGCCCAGTAACACTGTGACTCTTTCAGACTTGTCAACATACGGTGCCTTGGTGGTATTGGGTGAAATCTGGGAGAATTCCCTGAATTACAAGGTAGAGACTCTTGTTATCTTCCCTGATTTTCCTCCAAACAAATGAAGTCTCTCTTTGTGTGTTGAGCAGCCTTGAACTAGGGGAGAGGTTACACAAGCACCCCTGTAACCACATCACTGGGACTGCCCTGGGTCAAACCTGAAACCAGCACAGCACTGGGTCTCACCCAAGGTTTACAGTAACCACTGCCTGACTACCACCTATGTTCACTCAAGGCCCAGGGGCTCTACAACCAGCAGGTTGCAAGTCCAGGAAGGCTTGTGTGCTTTCCTTCTAAGTGGCAAGATTCCTTCAGCTTCAGGCAAGTCCAGAGATGCCATCTGAGGGCCAGGGTCTGGAGTCAGAAACCTTAGGAATCTATCTGTTGCTCTATTCTACTGTGGCTGAGGGGGCACCCAAGCTACAAGACAAAGTTCTTCCAGCTCTTCCCTCCTCTTTCCTCAAGCAGAAAAGTCTCTCCTCATGGCCATGCTGCCATGGCACCAGTACTGCCCTGGGCCTGTGGCAAGTATTGCTTGTTTAACACTGATGTTCACTCAAGGTCCAAGGGCTCTTCAGTCAGCTTGAGGTGAATGCTACTAATTCTAATTCTCTCCCTTCAGGGCAGTGGACTCCCCTCTGGCCCAAGGAAGGTCTAGAAATGCTATCCAGGAGCCAAGGTCTAGAATCAGTGACCCCAGGGACCCACATGGTGCCCTACCCCACATTGACTGAGCTGGTACCAAAGCTTCAAGGCAAAGTCCCCTTTACTCTTCCCTCTCCTTTCCTCAAGCACAAGGAGTTTCTCCCCATAGCCACTACTTCTGGGAATGGCCTGGGTCATACCTGAAGCCAACATGGCTCTGAGTCCACTCAAGGCCTGCAGTGTGCACTGCCTGGGTACAGTGGCTGATTATTCAGGGCCCAAGGGCTCTTTAGTCAGCAGGTGATGAATCTTGCCAGAACTGGGTTCTTCGCTCCAAGGCAATGGGTTCCCTTTTGCCCCAAGGAATGTCTAGGAGTGCCATCTGGGAACTGGGGCCTGGAATGGGGGCCTTAGGACTCTGCCTGGTGCCCTATTCTACTGTGACTAAGCTGTTATCTAAGTTGCAAAATCCTCTTTCCTCTCTTATCTCAAGCAGAGGGAAGAGGAAAGGGGTCTCCCCGAGAGCTCCAAGCTGTGCTGCCTGGGGCTGAGGGAGTGGTGACGCAAACACTTTCTTACCCATTCCAGCTAGTGTCTCACTAGGTAACATGCATTGTAAGTCCACTGGCTCTGAGCCCAGCACAGCACTAGGACTTGCCCAGGAATTGCCATCCCTGTGGCTGAGACTGCGTTTCTAGTCTATTTTAGGACCCCAGAGCACTTTAGCCCACAGTGGCAGGGCTTGCTGGAATTCAGATTTTGGCAGCTGGAATGAATGATTCACCTCTGGCTAGGACTGATGTAAATGTATCTTCTGTGTGTGCCAGCTGAGTTCTGCCCACTGTTGCTTTCCACTGTGAGAGGGCTGCACTGAGTTCCAGTGCAAAGTCCCACAATCACTGTGCTGTCCCTTCCTCAAGCACAAAGATTCTCTCCCCATGACATGTGGCTGGTGCCAGAGGATGGGGCAGGAGTGGTATAGGTGATTCAAGGCTGTCTTTCCTACCCTCTTCAGTGCCTCTTTCCTTAATATGATGTTAAAAATCAGGTACTGTGATCACTCACCTGATTTTTGGTTCATATGAAGGCACTTTTATGTGTGGATAGCTGTTCAATTTGATGTGCCTTTTGGGAGGATGATTGCTGGAGTCTTCTATTTGGCTATCTTGCTCCATCTCCATGAAAATTTTCTTAATGAACAGAAAATAATAACATTGAAACACTACCTATGAACAAATGAGAACTAAAAACAGTAAACATTTAAATGCAAAACTTAAAATAATAAAACTAATGAATTATAATACGGGAACATTTGCTTCTGACTTTAATTTTGTCAAGCATTTCTTAAGCAGGATACAAAAAGCACCAATTTAAAAGGGCAAGAAATAAATAATTTATTTCATCGATGGACTCCATAGACAAAGTTTTTTTCTTTATCTTTTTTTTTGAGATGGAGTTTCACTCTTGTTCCCAGGCTGGAGTTTAATGGCGCAATCTTGGCTCATCGCAACCTCTACCTCCCGGGTTCAAGTGATTCTCCTGCCTCAGACTCCCGAGTAGCTGGGATTACAGGCATGTGCCACCACGCCTGGCTAATTTTGTATTTTCAGTAGAGATGGGGTTTCTCCATGTTGGTCAGGCTGGTCTCGAACTCCCCACCTCAGGTGATCCACCCACCTCGGCCTCCCAAAATGCTGAGACTACAGGCATTAGCCACCACGCCCGGCCAAACATTTTTGAAGGAGCAGAATAGTCATGGTTTTCATAGTTTAAACTGATCAGACCTTATCAACGTCTATGAGGGAAACATACTTAAAATTCAGTAAGAACATAAGCAGAAAATACAATAAAAATGAAAATAATGCAATTTGGGTAAACCGGAATTGTTAACAAACTAGAAACTACAATGAGTTACTCTTTGTAAATATCAGATTGTTAAAGAATGGAACATCACATACAATAACATGCTAATGAGAATCTACATGTACTACTGGCAGGGGTTTGAACTGTACATGTTCTGATGAGTAATCTGTTGATTTAGGCCATTCTTGCATTACTATAAATAAATATCTGAAACAGGGCGATCTATGTGAAAAATTGTTTAGCTGGCTCGTGGTTCTGCAGGCTGTACAGAAGCATGGTACCAGGCAGCTGCTCAGCTTCCTATGAGGCCTTAGGAAGGTTACATTCATGGCAGAAGACTAAAAGGAAGCAGGCATTTTGCATGGTGAAAGCAGGAGCAGGAGAGACAGAGTGTTGCGGGTGGGAGTGTCACACACTTTTAAAGGACCAGATCTTGTGAGGACTCACTATCATGAATACAGCACCAATCCACGGGGGATCCATCCCTATGACCCAAACACTGCAAGTGTTCCTTCATTTTCTCATAAGAGTCATATGCAATTATGCAGTTCGAGTTGCTTATTTGAGATATTTTCAGCTCTCTTAATTCACATTTCAAGTATGTAATCTGAGAAGTACTATAATTATACAGATTGCTCTTCTTTCAGAAAAGAAGAGTAACATAGTATAATAAAAATGTTATAGACTTTTTTGTTTCAGAGGGAACTTGGTATAAATCTCAACTCTACCACTTTCTACTAGTTTCCTTGAGCTTAAATTTTCTCTCTTATAAAGCTTCAATGACAATCCCTAGGATTTCTAGAGAAATTTTTCGAGAAAATATCTGTGAATGAATATGTTCTTGGATTATAGTGTCCAACACAAGCCAGTTAGTATTTCACCTATGTAATTATCTCCTAAGAAGATATTTTTATCAGTCTGATTCTAATAAAAGTAAATAGGGGGCAGGGTTACTGGAATTACATTAATGAATCTAGAAAGTGTGACCCATTTGCAATGAAAACATTTTAAATAGCTAAACTATTGATGAGGCACCAACGAAGTAACTATTGGGTCTGTATATAAATCTGTTGCTAATTGGTAAATGTTATAGTACTGTAAGTTATTCTAATGTGAAATCTCAGTGGGAAGATTTTAATGACACAACTATTTTCCTCAATAAAATAACAATTAGTCTGCCTGGTATTGTACTAATTGTTATTAACATAGGATATTGACAGCGCTTAAAAGCTAAGTAGTAAGCCACTTCAGAAAAGCTATTACAAGAGTCCTTCCCATATACAGAACTGATGATCTTGCTATGCTAAAAAGAACATTTAATCTAAATTTTTCTATGCTTTTTTTTAAAATTAATAGAACAGTTTTAGGTTTACAGAAAAATTAAGATAGTGTAGAGACTTCTCTAAACTACCTCCTCTCTGCCACCCTTCCTATACACATTTCCCTTTATTAGTCACATGTTGCATTAGTGTGGCATGTTTGTCACAATTAATGAATACATTTTGATATGTTATTATCAGATAAAAATCATTTACTTTTTTTTTTGTCCACTGATGGACACTTATATTGATTCCATATCATTGCTGTTGTGACCATTGCTACAATAAACATGGGAGTACAGATGTCTCTTTGATGCACTGATTTTCTTTCCTTTGGATAAAAATACCAGTAGTGAGATTGCTGGATCCTAAGCTAGTTTTGGTATTAGTTTTTAAAGAAATATCTATACTGTTTTCCATAGTTGCTGTACTAATACACATTCCCACCAACAGTGTATAAGCATTTCTTTTCCTCTGCATACTCACCAGCACTGTTTTTGTCTTTTTAGTAATAGCCATTCTTACTGGGGTAAGATGATATCTCTTTCTGTTTTGATTTTCATTTCCTTGAAGATTAGGTATGTTGAGCATTTTTCATATACCTGTTGGCCACTTGTATGTCTTCTTTTGAGAAATGTCTATTCACGTTCTTTGCCCACTTTCTAATGGGATTATTATTATCTTCCTTACTTTTGAGTTGTTTGAATTCCTTGTGTATTCTGGATATTAGTCCCTTGTTAGATGAATAGTTTGCAAATATTTTCTTCCATTTGACATGCTGTCTTTACATTCTGCTGAGCAAAAAGAACAAAGCTGGAGGCATCACACTACCTGAATCCAGAATATATTACAAGCTACAGTAACAAAAACAGCATGGTATTGATATAAAAGCAGACAGGTAGATGAACAGAGAATGCAGAAGTAAATCCACATATTTACAGCCAACTGATTTTTGACAAAGGGGCCAATAAAACATAATGAAAAAAGCACACCTTCTTCAACAAATATTGCTGGGAAAAGAAGATATTCATATTCAGAAAAATGAAACAAGACCCCATCTTTCTCCACCTACAAAAATCAACTCAAGATGAAGTAAAGACTTAACTATAAGACCTGAAACTATAGAACTAATAGAAGGAAACATAGGGGAAACACTTCAGGATATTGTTCTAAGCAACAACTTTATGGCTAAGACCTTAAAAATATAGGCAACATAAATAAAAGTAGACAAATGGGACTATATTAAACTAAAAAGCTTCTGCACGCAAAGAAAACAAAAATAAATTTTAAAGAGAAAAATTAATCCAAGAAAGCCATTAATAATTAGATAAAATGTTTTCAATTTATGCAAAAATATAAAATTGTAAGCAAAGTTAAATTTAACAATCAATCCAGGAAAAAATTAAAAACCCACCAGGTAGTAATGATTTAGAATACCTTTTCAAGAAGCTGATGTTTTTAATCTCAAACAATTTTTTCTAGAGGATAGAAAAATAAACACGTTTCCTCAAATAACTGTATATGGCTATTCAAACCTCAAACTTAAAGCCTTTAGAAAAGAAAATTATAGGACAAATCATAAATTATGAAGCACAATCAAGCATTGTATAAATAAGACCCTATCCAAATAGAAGAAAATCAGTTTACTACGTTTTCACATTAAAAGGGAAAAGCCATAATGTAATTTCAATAAATACAGAAAAAATATTTTAAAACATCATCCACTTATTTTTAAAAATTGGAAAATATAAAGAGGACTATCCTTAATTTGAAAAACATAAAAGTACAAGCAGTTTTCAACATTATCCTATATGCAGATCCTTTCAAATTCTAAAATCAAGGGATGTACAAACATCACAACTATCGCTTCTTTTTACCAACATTGTACTTAGGGCTTAATCAGTGCAATGAAAGAAGCAAAAGACACAAAAGAAAAAAAGATTAAAAAGAAAGAAAGAAGACTTCCATTATTTCCAATTAATATGGTTATCTACATGGAAACACTCTTCAGGGATAAAAATGACTTTCTAAAAGATAGCAAATTGGCTGGATATATGAAATAAATAGAATTGCTGGAGAGGATGTGGAGAAATAGGAACACTTTTACACTGTTGGGAGTGTAAATTAGTTCAACCATTGTGGAAGACAGTGTGGTGATTCCTTAAGGATCTAGAACCAGAAATACCATTTCAGCATTCCCATTACTGGGTGTATACCCAAAGGAAGATAAATCATTCTACTGTAAAGACACATGCACACTTATATTTATTGCAGCACTAGTCACAATAGCAAAGACTGGGAACCAACCCAAATGCCTATCAATGATAGACTGGATAAAGAAAATGTGGCACATAAACATCATGGAATACTATGCAGCCATAAAAAAAGAATGAGTTCGTGTCCTTTGCAGGGACATGGATGAAGCTGGAAACCATCATTCTCCGCAAACTAACACAGGAACAGAAAACCCATAAGTGGGAGTTGAGCAGTGAGAACACATGGACACAGGGAGGGGAACATTACACACGGGGGCCTGTCAGGGAGTGGGGGAGTAAGGGAGGAATAGCATTAGGAGAAATACCTAATGTAGATGATGGGTCGATGGGCACAGCAAACCACCATGGCACCTGTATACCTATCTAACAAACCTGCCCGTTCTGCACATGTATCCCAGAACTTAAAGTATAATAATAGTAAAAAAGAATTTCCATGCATTAGCAAAAATAATGATATATACACTTCAATACCTTACTTTTTTTTTGCTGTTAGTTTTTCTAAAATTAATATTTTAAAAAAATGTGTAAAACTTTTATAGAGAAAATTTTAACACTTCATGGAAAACATTGAAGGTAACGTGTACATGGATAGGAAGTGTCAATATTTAAATGATCTCAATTTCCTTCAAATATATATATATGTATATAAAATTATTTTCAATAAAATTACCAACAGGGTATTTTCATGAGGTATTATAAAGTGTATGTAGAAGAGAAAGACTTAAGAGCCTCATGAAAAAGAACAAGGAAGAAGAATTTTCTTATCAGTTAGCAAGACTCAGTTTTAAGATGTAATAATTCACCCAGATGGTTGTTTGTGCCAGAATATATAAACTGCCAAATGCACCAGAGGAGACAGACAAAACTAAGTGTGTTTGTGTGTGTATGTATAAATATAATTGATCTATGACAGCCATGATATTCATTTATACTGGGAAAAAATGGGCCATATTATATCACAATTATCCATCCATAAGAAGCAAAATAAAACTGGATTCATAATTTACAATACACATTTTTAATTGCAAATGAATTCAAGTCTTAATGCAAGTAATATAATTTATAATTTGGAAATCTGATATATTAAAATTAGTATATTTACCAGATGATACAATAGTGGAATATAAAAATTATAATTCTACTAGTGAGAGATTTGCTATATGTGTATCTGAGACCCTTGAATAGAGCTCTGTCTACCCTTGAATAGACTCTACCTTGTATTTCTGTGCAACACACAACTTAGAAAATATGTGCAATATTTCCTACTATATAAGAGAAAGCCATTCTATCTCATCAACATCCAGGTCCAAAGTTACGTTTTTATTAATTTAAAAAATCACATAAAATACATTTATATTTTAAGTGTAATATTTTGAAATAACTAAATAAAATATATGGGACATTCAGAAAAACAAAAGCAAGCTAATATTGGTTAATATCAGTGTTGTAATTAAATTTTAAGATATTTTGAAAAGTGCATCCCAATTTTTAAATTGTATTAAATGGTCATGATTTGATTCGTAGTGGCCTTAGATTTTACCTGGCTTTCTGCTGTTATTGACAGGAAATAAAATCGCTTGATTAGATAAGAAATACTTAAATCCTCTTTCAAAGTTATTTTTAAATGGATACATGATTTATTTTCATACATTAAAATTCTGTGTCATACTATCAATTTATGTGTTTCTTCATTTGCTGACTAATATCTTTTGATGTGAGATGTGACAGTTTGTATTTTTACAAAACTCTCCATGGGATTTTGATGTGTAACCAGAACAGAGAGAAGAAAATGTTTGGATCACAAGTCCTGCCCATGTCTTTTTATCAAATGGCTTAATTCCACTCAGTTAGAAAATTAAAACTCTTTTTGTTCATTTACTAAGGTCTGCACAAGTTTGGGCAAAGAAGTCCAAATTTGCAAACCCTTTTATAAAACCAGGATAGTCTTATGAGTTCTAAACAGGAGAGTATATGTGGAAGGGGAAACATAACAATAAGAGAGAAACCAAGCTCTGGGAACCGTTTGAACATTTGTAGGAGATAAGATGTCTTAGTACCATGGACGCTGAGGTATTGGGAACTGCTTAATTCTTACTATATTTTTCACATTTGTTGATACTGTCGCTCCCATTTTTTTATATTGATGATAAGAGATAGGCTGTCATGTAGGATAATGAAAGGAAAAGGAGGTAAAAACCTTTCATTTCTCTAGTTAAGATCTGTGCCAGTTTAGCTGTAGATGTATAGCATCTCACTGATGCTAAGCTAGATTCTCCAGAGTAGCTGTCTTCATTCACACCAGAGCTCAGAGATGTAAATTTTTATTTTTCACTCAGGCTACACCCATAAGATATTTGAATTCTCTGTGTGTTGGGTTTCCTAGAATTTGGATTCCAAAAAAAAAAAAAATGTGCAATGTATGTAAGACAGAAAGATTGGAGCTGCAGAATGAATCAAGTATGTGGTTTTACAAATATCAGCACAAGTTAGGAGCAAAAGATTAAAAAATTGCACAGTGGGTTTACCCTGTACTAAAAGAGGTCCTTAAAGGAGAATCTAAAAGCTTCAGAGCAGAAAATGAAACTCTTCTTCAGTGGAGCCAAAATTAGATTAAATCTGATTTAACTGAAAGCAGATTTATTGATCTTACTGAGCATTTACTGCAATGCCCAGTAAAATGAAAACAGATATAAATGGTTTGGTTCTGAGAATTTCATTTTGGAAGTATTAAGTATGCACATTTAACCATCTTGAGAAGGAAAAACAATAGAACTAACGAAGTGTATTGTTTTCGTTTTATTTTCCCTAGTTGATAATGTCAAATAAGAAAGTAAATTTTGTACTAGATGCTATTAGTAGATTATCATTCCAACAGAGACACATTTTTTCAAGAAATTATTCAAAGTAGAACCCTCCTATAGGACTTTTAGTCCCTTCCTCCTTGAAATCAGATAGATGAAACTGGTTATGATTGTGATGTTCTTTTATTCAATCCCGATACACAATCTTTTTTTGCTTTCTTTATTATTATTATTAGTAGTAGTAGTAGTATTTTATTTACTTTAAATTCTGGGATAAATGTGCCAAATGTGCAGGTTTGTTACATAGGTATACATGTGCCATCGTGGTTTGCTACGCCTATCAACCCATCTTCTAGGTTTTAAGCTCCACATGCATTAGGTATTTGTCCTAATGCTTTGCCTCCCCTTTCCCCCAACCCCCTGACAGGCCCTGGTGTGTGATGTTCCACTCCCTGTGTCCATGTGTTCTCATTGTTCAGCTCCTGCTTATGAGTGAGAACATGTGGTGTTTGGTTTCTGTTCCTGTGCTAGTATGCTGAGGATGATGGTTTCCAGCTTCATCCATGTCCCTGCAAAGGACATGAACTCATTCTTCTTTATGGCTGCATTGTATTCCATGGTGTTTCTGTGCCACATTTTCATTATCCAATCTATCATTGATGGGCATTTGGGTTGGTTCCAAATATTTGCTATTGTGAATAGTGCTGCAATAAACATACATGTGCATGTGTCTTTATAGTAGAATGATTTATAATCCTTTGGCTATATACCCAGTAATGGGATTGCTGGGTCAGATGGTATTTCTGGTTCTATATCCTTGAGGAATCACCACATTGTCTTCCACAATGGCTGAACTAATTTACACTCCCCAACCACATTGTAAAACATTCCTATTTCTCTGCATCCTCGCCAGCATCTGTTCTTTCCTGACTTTTTAATGATCACCATTCTAACTGGCGTGAGATGGTATGTCATTGTGGTTTTGATTTGCATTTCTCTAATGACCAGTGATGATGAGCTTTTTTTCATATGTTTGTTGCCCACATAAATGTCTTCTTTTGAGAAGTCCTATGCATAAATACCTAGGAATACAACTTACAAGAGATATGAAGGACCACTTCAAGGAGAACTACAACCCACTGTTCAAGGAAATGAGAGGACAAAAACAAATGGAAAAAAATTCCATGCTCATGGATAGGAAGAATTAATATCATCAAAATGGCCACACTGCCCAAAGTAATTTACATATTCAATGCTATTCCCATCAAGCTACTGTTGACTTTCTTCAGAAAACTAGAAAAAAATACTTTAAATTTCATATGGAGCCAAAAAAAAGCCTGTATAGCCAAGACAATCCTAAGCAAAAAGAACAAAGTTGGAGGCATCACACTACCTGACTTCAAACTATACTACAAGGCTACAGTAACCAAAACAGCATGGTACTGATACCAAAACAGATATATAGACCAATGGAACATAACAGAGGCCTCAGAAATAACACCACACATCTACGACCATCTGATCTTTGACAAACCTGACAAAACAAGCACTGGGGAAAGGATTCCCTATTTAATAAATGGTGTTGGGAAAACTGGCTAGCCATATGCAGAAAACTGAAACTGGACTCTTTCCTTACCCCTTATACAAAAATTAACTCAAGATGGATTAAAGACTTAAATGTAAGACCTAAAGCCATAAAAACCCTAGAAGAAAACTTAGGCAATACCATTCAGGACATAGGCATGGGCAAAGACTTCATGACTAAAACACCAAAAGCAATGGCAACAAAAGCTAAAATTGACAAATGGGATCTAATTAAACTAAAGAGATTCTGCACAGCAAAAGAAACTATCATCAGAGTGAACAGGCCACCTACAGAAGGGGAGAAAATTTTTACAATGTAGTCATCTGACAAAGGGCTAATATCCAGAATCTGCAAGGAATTTAAACAAATTTACAAGAAATAAAACCAAACAGTCCCTATACACAATCTTAATTTTCCAAATTTCAGGAGGCACCATAGAACCTAACATTTCTTAAGAAAACATATACAAAAGGATCCACTTAGTTCTAGTTAAAAACATGTAGAGCTGACAGCTACATAAATATTTCAATGGACTGAGCTTCAGAAATTTAGACCTAACCCCTAATATTACCAAATATTCAACAGACTTTAAAATAGGTGTAGAAGTTTGTATCTCATGCACATATGACAGTAAAATGATAATAAAAGTTGTATTTTACATTTTTAAATTATTATTTTTTGTGTGTGTGTGTGTGCATGTGTGTGTATACAAACTATTTTCCATTTATCTGTATTTGAGTGGCTCAGGAAAGTAGAAATTTGGGGAAAAGCATCTAATAATCACTCAATTTAGGAAACAAAGTACAGCCAGATTAGCGCTGATTATGGACAAATTTACATTCAACTACTATTGTTGTAATTATTTCAGGGAGAGATCATAGAACAGAAATGTTATCTAGACAAGATGAACAAACAGATTTTGTATATGACCAGTTCTGCAGCAAGCTAAGCCTAGAAGCAAGCCTCACAGATGGTTTCAAGAAACCTTATTCTGATAAGAATCTTCAGGGAATGAGCCCAATTTATCGAATGATTGTAGAAGGATACCTAATCAATTCCTTATATGTCAATCTTTTCCCAATTTTTAAAATAGTGCTAGTTTAAGAATGGTTGTTTTCCAACTATCAAGGACCCAATTGGTGTCTATGCAAATAAGTAACGACATGCTGGCTGAGAAAATCTGTCTTCCTTGATAAATCTGTCTCCTGCTTTGATTAGATGATGTCCATCACACAAATTCTGAGGTGTCCAATTATGGAGGTCTATTATTCCCTAGGAGTTGGAGTATAGAGGGTTGGTTTATTTGAATATCTCAAAATGCCTATATTGAAATTATAAAATGTCATAACAATGTTTATTTTACCAAACACCACCACTGACTTTCATTCCTGAAATCCAAATGGAATTTTACAATACAGAATGGCTAAAACACTAACTTGTGCTCTACTTTGTTCCTGTAAAACATTTCAGACTTTTGCATACTTTTATCCTCAGCTTCTGATAGTAATCGTCTGTCTAACTTGCACATCCTGCTGTGGGATTCATGCAATAGAATTCTGGAAGGCAATGTGGCAGGACATGACCTCTTGGTCCCATTCTGGCCACAGCAAGTGTATCCTGGTAACATGGATCATTTAGTGTTACTGCACCCTTATGGCTAGAGGGAAGAATTCTATTTAAATCCATAGCTGTGTAACATGAATCATTTAGTGTTGCTGTACCCTTATAGCTGCAGTGAAGAATTCTGTTTCTTTAAGATTCATGGTAAAAATATAATGACATTATCAGGCACATGGTGTAGAAAGATATATGGCCCATAAAGAGCCAAAGCTGTTCAATTTCTGCTACCCACTGAACCTGCCAAACAGGTGCACAATTTACTTGGTGCTGAGTTTATTAAGAAACAGAGTGCTAATTCAGTTTCCTGCATCCTACCTTTATTCAGACATATAGACAATTAGGACTAGGGGCAGAGTAGTTAGCATTCTACACATTGTAGATAGTCCCTTCCTGTTAAATAGCAAGAACAAGAGATTATTAGAGTATGTATTATTCTCAGGAAATTCTGTTTCTTGTTATCAATACATTTATTGCTATTAATCACACTTCCTTGCAGTATTATCTCTGTTAAGAAACAATTGCTTTGCTAATGAATTGAATTCATTCCCAAGGATTCTGATTTGTAATTGTCAATCTACCATCTTATTCAGCATGCATTGCTTAGGTAACAACAGGTTAAAAACAAAAACCAGAAATAATGAAATTTAGAGATGACATGATATAGTGTGGTAATTTATCACACCATCACCTACAAAATGTTTTCTTTTTTCCCCAATCAATCAAGACTCACCATTACAGCAGTTCATTCTCAAGGCACTCACAATAAATTCTCATCCAGAGAACTATCCTTATTAATTTTCTATGGAAACTAAGATGTCTCTGTTGATCAGTATTTTACCTTTCCTAGGTTGTTCATTAATGTCAATACAAAAGTTCATGAGCTGTAAAATCCTGAGGTTAAGATTAAGCAGCTATTACAAGTGTACCTTCTGGCCTAAAGTAAAAGGCTCATAGAGTAAATTACTCTCCTGAATACCAGTGCTTAGTGGTTCAAGAGAGATTTTTTTTTTCTGTTTTATGAGATCACATGAAAGCTTCTTCACATTTTTTATTACTTTCCTTGCAGTAAACTCTGAAAAAAAAAACCTCACTCTGTCTGAATGGAAGCTGTTATTTTTCATCCTCTGAAGATTTATACTTCAATTGAATTTTTTCTTTCAGTACAGGAAAAAAGATGCATTTTCTCACAACATTCTCTTTACTGCTTTTTCTGGGCAACATTTTTTTCTGTAGGAATAAAAACGAGACACGGAGTACTTTGTCTCTTTGTATTTTTACTCAATGTAGTCAGTGTTTGCTGTTGGCCAAAGACCAAAGTATAATGTTAATATACAGAATGAAGAATGTCAACATAAAATGTACTTCCTTGACAAAGGTCATAGGGATACCTAATAAATAATCAAGATCCTTGTCTAAGCCCTTTCATCAAATTAATTTTATTATTCTCAGTGAGTGTCTAGACGTTCTATTGCTTAACCTTTCCTAGATTTTTGAGTGTAAATCTGCTATTGCTTGCTGTCTTGGAGAAATTACACAGCCTTAATTTCTGTCTGTCCTTGGGTAGACAGCAGCCTGCAGATGAACTAGCAGCTTCCCATATCTGGTTACAAGAATCTTTTGTACTGTGTAATGGAAATGGACTTGGTTATAAAATAAACCTATTTTCTAATTGCATTCAAACTCTGAACTGCCTTAAATTACTTGATATACATCTTACTTGGATGCTGATATTACACAGAGAGGCCTTATACTATTTACCCGACACCCTTATTTTGTCTGTCATGGAAATTAAATATTATCCTGCTCACCTGATGTCAACTCAGGCTTATGTCTGGCAATGTACTACTACCTTTTGGGTTAATTGGAAATTTATGTGAGAATATCCTATTGATTGTACTAGTTAGGGTAACCAGCACCTATAGTAACATAGACCCAAAATTGTGGAATGACTCAAAAACTGGTATTTTATTTTTCACTCACCTAATTGTCCCAAATAGATGGTACTGGTTTGTGTGTGACTTTCTATGTGGTGAGTCAGGTATCCAGACTGTTTTTGTATTTTTGCTTCACTGTCATCTAGGAAAAACACTATCCAGTAGAACTTTCTGCAATGATGATATGTTTTATAATGGTAATAGCCACTTGGTATGTGACCATTGAGTACCTGAAATGTAGTGAGTGTGACTGTGGAACTGAATCAAAATTGTATTTAATTTTAATTAATTTAAATATAAATACTCACTTAACGGCTAGCGGTGATTGTATTAGCAGGGTAAATTCCGGGTCAATTAAGACCCTGAATATATACGCAATATAATTAAGTATTTTGTGTATCCAGTTTGAAGAGGAGGAAGGAGAACATGAAGGAAGCATAGCCACTTCATAAAGCTTGATCTAGAAACAGCGCACATAATTTTCACTTTTTACTGCCCAGGGCTCTGAAACCTGGACACACCAAATTGAAAGAAAGCAGGAAATGTAATCTTGCTGTGTGCCCAGGAGGATGAGAAGGATTACACAAATTTTGATGAGTGACTAACACACCTTGTACTGCACTGAGGGATGAAATATAGTTATTAATTATCTGAATATAAGGATGTATTTTTTTAAAAAAACATTAGGTTAAGTAATTAAAATATTATTGCAGAAGAGCTCAAATTCCTTTTGGTTATATTGACCACTTCAGTATCAAAGAGAAGAGATGTGAAACTTGTTCAATAAGTAGATATTTCATAAATCAAGAAATCAGTTGAAGCAGGTGAAACTTAAACATGCCTCTCAAACTTCACCTGATCCTTTTCATCTGGGTATATACTGCCTCTGGTCATAGAATAACAGCTCTTAGGACCATAAACCAGGGCAGGAAGCAGAAAACTGTCTCACTGAATTCTGCCTTCCTGATAGAACTATGCTCAGAGGTCTTTTATTATGTATCTTGCTCCTACCCTTTCCAGTCCTATTGCTCAATGGCCTCAGTAAACCTGGTGCCTAATCCTCTGATGATGCAGCATCTTTCTGTTTTATTTTAAATTCTGGTTACATCTGTACTTTTCCTGCTTTTTTTCTGGCCAGTCTCACAGCTGCCTCTTATCTGCCGTGAATGCTGACAATCATGCTTACCTAGATACTTGCTTTTCTGACTGGTGGCTATTTAATGTCCTCTGCTGATCTGACTTGAACTTACTAACCCTGAGAATGATTGACTTCCAAACACACACACAGGAAGTTGAAGAGGTTTCTGGGGAACTTCGTCATTTAATCTTACATGACTTGGATTCTTGACTCTTTCTCTATTCCTTTTTTTTTTTTTTAAATAGGCTTTCCAAATATCTTGAATAAATACCTGCCAGGGCTGATAGTAACTACCAAACTTTATCCTAAATGTACATAACATGACAAGCGCTTATGTGGATGGGTATATTATTCCTAAATTTGCTTTATACATTTCTAACCCCTTCGTATTTTTCCCTGCCTACCTTTATTTGCAGTATTTCATTAGGGGCTTGTGTAGAAGGACTTCAAAGAAACAAATCAGTTTAAAAAAATTGGTCACAGAAAGTGATCAAAAGATAGTATTTCAAATGTTTTCTTTTAGATACTTTTAAATTGCTAGGTTCTTTTTCTTTTGGCATTCTTGAATTGTGTTTCATAAATGTATAGATATCTCTTTGTGCAAATATAGAGTGATACAAAAAGAACTAAACAACTAAAATGGGATAAGGAGAATTCTTGACAGTTTCATGAATAAAGACATGACACTTTCAGATTATTTTACATTCTTAAATTTTGTAGCTGCTCAATTGATTTCTTGTAAGGAAACTTTATTTCTTTTGAACTATTACCAATCAATTTTTATTCAGAAATTGTTAAGAAATCCAAAATATATCATCAACATGACAGAAATTTTAAGATGCTTATTATATAATTACCATATATATTTGGTGCCTCAGAAAAAAAAAACAGACTGGTATGCAACTTGTTTGCAGATAGAAATAAAGAGTGAGTTAGTGAAATTGGCTCATTATGTAAAGTTATATACATCCAGTGGGGTAATCTTAAATAATTCCCTGAAGTATTTTTGATATTTATTTTGAGATTTTATTAGAAGGTTATTTTTAATCTCTATGCAATAACTTGGTGCTATTAAGACTGTTGTCTGTTAGCCTATCTAACCTGGTAAAAAAACCAAATAAAGCACTAAGAATCTGCTAATGAACTGGAGGATAAATAGTAATCCTGCCTTGTAAGTTGTAGAGTCCTCCATAAACCCGTCTTCCATCATCATCATTAAAATGGCTGAGATATTGTAACAGAAATAACTGATAGAAAGTAAAATATATATTATTTAAATTAATTATAGAAATAGTTGATTTAGTCAATTAATCTTACCATCAAATATTTATGGATACCATTTTTCTAGCTATTATCCTAGGTTTGAGAGAAAGAAAGATCCCAAGTTCTAATACATTTCACTTGTGCATTGCTTTCTCATAGTTTCTATCGCACTCAATGTAATGTTTGTGTGAATGCTTCTTTTTAACACTAGATGGCAAGTTGCCTACAGGGAAGGACGAGAGAGGGAAACTTGTGATCAGATTCAACAAGTTTAAATTCAGAGAATATGGAAAAGTTGGGTCATAACTTTTGTGAAGGAGACATTCAGTGCAAGGATAATAAAGAACATCCCTGGATAAATGAGTAATTTTCCTCAAGAGAGATAAGAAATTCCCCAGGACCCAGACTAATAACTGAAATGTTGGGGCCTGGGAAAATATTATGCCTACCAGTCCCAATCCCACATTCTTCAAATGTAGTAAATTCAATCACGTAAAACCTAGCTTATAATATACATCTGACTCCCAAATTTTGGAGAGGTAATATTTATCTTTAAGACTGCAAAAATGTATTGGTGGAAGAAAAATGCGAGTGGGAGTTAGTATTTTTGAAGTATTATCGACCATTATTTGGTTCCTAGTACTTCTCTCTGTTCCCTGACCCTATTTAATAAGTTACCTTTGTCACATTTACAGATATTGTATAATAAAGGGAAATAAGTAGCTTAAGCAGTAGAGCAAACTGGAATAACTAGTATTCATGCATAGGTCATTGTGACACCAGAGTCCCTGTTATTAAACACTACTCAATATTGTCTCCTATCAGAACATATGAGGTTGTCCAGGCGCTCAGAGATGAGCAAATTCATAATAATAATAAATAAAACTAAATACAAAAATCAAAGAACATATAAGGTAACTAAATGCTGTTATTAGAGCTAATTTTACTAGAATAAAATAACATGATTGTTACCAATTAGGATGTGAATGACAAAAGAGTATTCACTGTGGCTCAAAGGGAATATAAAAGAAAGTAATCAGGAAAAAATGGCAAGAAAACAAGAAATTTGAGTTCACCATCAAAATTATTAAACTTGGAAAATGATTTAGGTAGGTTTAAAAAGGAGAACATGTTAAATAAAGTTTTTAAAGGATAGATTTTGGTAAAATTACAGAAAGTTTTGGATCCTATTTAAATTTTTTTTTTGCCTTAGCCATTGAAAGACTTTGAAAAGAATAGGGTGACCGAGATGAACATAGTATTATTGTAGGTAGAATGGCCATGCAACTTATCCCCTAATTGGATCTTTTTTTTTAGAGTGAAAGGGACTGCTTTCATTTGTCGCAATAGGAAAAATTAGGAGTGTTTCAGGAAAACTGGGATGTATGGTCACCCCAATTATTGGCCATCATGTTCATTAGAAAGAAACATAGAAGATAAGAGCAAGAAAAGAAGACACTGATAGTCTTGCTATAAAACATGAGAACCTGTACTGCTTTAATAAGAGGGAGGATAAAATCAAACCAATTGATTCAAGGGCACAAGTGAAAGACATATGCACAGAATATAGTATTTGCTTGAATGTGGCTGTAGGATGGTTAAAATGATGCATAGTTTGGTTGGATATGTCTGGGAGAAAATATCACTATTAAGAATTAGATAATCTACCCTACTAGTCTCAAATTGAACATGTGTCAGAGAAAACAAAAGTGTATGTCTATAGTGTCATGAAATTATAATGTAAAGATAATGGTAAGTTTTACAAAGTGAATAGAAATTTTCTATTAGACATTTAGGGCAAAGGACCAAGTTGTATTTATTATTTTTCTCCCAGAATCTAGTTTAGTCCACGGCACATAGTAGGCATTCCAATCATATTATTTTGATTATTCTTAAAAGGAAGTTTTTACATAAAAATGTTTTAATGTTACTGAGTATAGGAAATACATTATAATATTCCTAGGAAGGTGTACAGAAGGACAACTATATTGCGATAATAATTCAATTTGCACACCTTATTCCAAATCTCAGTGCCCCAGGTACATCATGGAAGGGTAAATAACATCCATCTCTAATAAATGAAATAAAGCCACCTTATGTCTTTACTAAATCAGAATAAATGATAAGCCTATGGGACAGCAAAAATCAGTTAACTAGTTTAATGTCTTATTTCACCCAATAATTATGATAAAAATCCAATGAAATAAAAAGATATTATTATACCTTTAATGTGTCTAACTTTAATGTAAAAGGGAAAACAACAAGAAAAGCCACCAATTATTTCATCAAACCAGTGTTGCAAAAACATTAAACAACATGAATTTCTCTTACATGACATTCAACCCCCAGTTGTTAGCTTTGAGGTGTTTACAAGAAGATAGAAAGTATTTATAAGGAGGATGAACCAATTTTCATACTTAGTTTACATTATTTTTGGAGGAAGGTCATCTACTAACTTTTAGTTGAAAAAGTCTTCTCATTGGACCTAAAATAACTCCAAATTGCTGTGTATTAAAGACATGTCTTCTAAATGCTATTTTTGTCTTAAAGTAGTACATTAGTTAATGCCTTCCTAAGTTATAGTTATACAATTCTGGATATATGTAGGGTATATTGAAGGCTCAATTTGATTCACCTTGGGGGAAGACAAAGTCATATTGATAGAGTAACTACAGAATGACCCTTCACTTTCACTACATCCATCTTAACCACTGGAGAGCAATGAGCTTCTGAAGAGCCCTTGTGCCAGCTTCATAGCTTCTTGCCCCTACCTCACTCAGTATCCCAGCCATGGTGCATTGGTTCTGTGTACTTCAACAAGCTTTGCACAAGATAGCCTGACTGCACTTTGCCTTATTTACATTTTCTGCACCTCACATTTCCTGCTCCATGGCTTCTCTGAAGACAAAGTTTAGGAAGCCAGCCGGGAAGCCTACAGGAATTCTTTGAGCCTCATGCATACAGTACTTAGAAGTGTGAGGGAGTTGACATTCCTTGAGGCAGCACTTTATCAATGGGGGATAGGAGCCCACGGATTAATTCTCTTGTTTTTCCACTGGGTGGATAGTTTTAAGGTACATTTTATTAGGCATCTCAGAATGTTTTGGTGGCATCATGTGATGAGTCACCCTTAGCTGTAAGAACTCCTTGTATTGGTTTTACTTCCTTTTCTTATTCCAACTCTCCAGTGTTCCAAAGTAAATTACGTAACTATAGATCTTTGTCCCAGGCTCTGCTTTTGGTGAAAGGGTTGGTACTGGGAGTAGCCCTAGAAAGTATACCCTCAGGATATTGATGCTCTGTTACTTACTACACATATGACAACAGAGGCCCCATTATTGGTAGTAAGTGCTATTGGACAGCACCATTATATAAGGGGATACACAGTTCTGACTTAGTAGTATGGCACCTACACAACATTGCTTTGGAACGAGGAACTCAATTTGTAATAAAGGAGATTCTACAATATGCACATGACTGTGGGATCTGTGGGTCTTCCCATCTATCTCATCACTCAGAAACATCTACGTTGATAGAGCCATAGATTGACTTTATTAAGCCTTAGCTAAGATACCAGCTCAGGGACTACCACTAAGATTTGGAATTTTGTTTTCCAAGATGTTGTACATATGTTGAGCCAATGACTGATATGTTGTACCAGATCCTGAAAAACATTCCTCTAGGAATCAAGAAGTGAATGTAAGATGGGTCTATTCATCCTAACTCTTACTGTCCTGTACTTACAGCAATCATGGCCCAAAAAGGGCAAGGAAATTGAGGAGTTAGATTTTTGAGAGACTATTATTTTGTTACATAACCAGGTAAAAACACTTGATAGGCTGATATAAGAAATAAAGTTTCAAAAAACCTAGAACACATGGTGAAGACAAACAGAGTTAATGGTGAAATATCAGTTAAGGACTATGAGTGAGCTGTAGGAACAGAGATTATAATTAGTCACAATAATTGTCTTTTATGAAACTCATAGAATTTGGATCAGGCTGAAGGGTACTATAAGATGGATCGGGGTTAATGGAGAGCATAAACCTATCTACATATCTAAGCGAGGCACAGGGCTGACTGTATAAAATACCTTTTCAATGCGCTTCAAATCTTCTTGGCCTCATCTCATTACTAGCAGAGATGTGGCAACTAGTTTTGAGTGAGTAGAACCTAAGAGTTTCTCATGCTAAGCACATACTCCGCACCTCTTTCTTCTTGCCCTGGTTTTTCTCTGACATTATAATGTAAGAACTTCATATTCATGTAGGAACTTCAGGTCTTTCACACATGCAACTAGGAAGTACCAAAATGTTAATGTCCGATGGAACAATCCTTTATCTATGAGGGAGGGTGACAAATAAATGTTTCCCTTTCTTACCGCTAGGGGGCATAATTCTGAGATACTTTTCTCAAGGCTCCTCAACAGGTCCCAGCAGTATTCAGAACTGATGATACACAGTGGTGGCTAAGTCAGTAATGCACCAGTACATTAGCTTCCTCTCTTACCCTGGATCACTTCTCCAGTCCCTCATTTCTGCTCTTACAAACAATCTTTTGTCTCAGACATTGGTGTTTGGGTAACTAGACTAAGCAAAAACATTAGTAAAGAAAGTGTGTGATTGCATTACCTTCTGATGTTAGGTAGAGTGGGAAAAAGACACAGTGAGATCTAGATACAATTTTAAAGTATAAGAATTTGCCTTTACATTTACTTATTTTCCTCTTAAGAATCCTACTATATTTGTTCTAATTGCTGCGCAGGGCTCTCAGGTAATCCGTATCACGATTTTCTATTAAAATGATTTGTTTTCAATGAGATGACAAGTTAAAACTGAAAAAAATAACTAAATTGTTCAAATATGTACATTGATAACAAACAATAGCTTACTTCACCAAGATATCCTTTGCGTTTTAGTAACAAATAGGTACTCAATCTAGAACATGGGCTCTAGCTAGATTGTGAAGGGACCGTGACTGGTTGTTAGGAATATAGTTTCAGAGAAAGATGTCTTGATGTCCTGTAAATTACTTTTGCTATAAAAAATGACAAACTTATAATCAAATAATAGGGATTACTTTTTCTTGAATGTTATATCTATTGTTAACAAATTTTGATGTAATAGTAGATGCCAAAGTTAGGTTAAATTTTGATCACATGTTTCAACCTGTCATAGGGATGGCATTCAAGTTATATAACTTCAAATTACTAATCTGAATATTCCTGATTTAAATTTGCTGCAAAACATGTACACTCTGAAACTTGTAAAATTTTGGGAAATTAATATTATTGCTGAAAAATGTTACAGCTAAAAACAGTAAATGAAAAATATTGTAGTAATCTTATATGGCTCTTTGGGCTGTTTTTATCAAAGCTACTTTATAAAATTTTTAGAAGCACTGCTATTGAGAAATATATGACTTGGCTGTTAGCATTATATTCAGTAGAAAAATAATAGTAGGTCAGTTGCATGCACAACATATAATTTTCTTAATATTTTCAGAACTTTTCCTCTAATATCTACCTATAACAACATTGAATTAAGAAATTTGATTTTTGTGTTTGCCTGAAAACTATAATATTAAATTTTCCATTGAAATAGAAAAGTCACATTTGTTTTCTGATTTTCATATTAGTAATTTTTTCTCTGATTTAGTAAAATTTTAAGAGTACACTTAATTATTCAGTTTCAGTGAGTTCTGCTTAGCTATATCTACTACAACACTATTTGGTTCTAACTCCAACAATTAAAAGTACAGTGCTGGACACAGATGTTATGTACAAGCCTTTTTAGTACATTCAATTTGCCTACACTCTTTACATTGTTAATTTTTAAAAATAATCTGAAACAAGTTTTTCAAGTTAAAAATAACTAAGATAAAATATGAAAATCAGCAAATGTTCATGGTTGTTCAGTACAATGAGACAACTGGTAGTAATATTCTCTGACATTTACTTCATTTTTATGATTACTAATGGCCGAATTATTGTGGTAAAAATTGTAGCTGCAAGAGTTTTGCCACTAGACGTGTAGAAATGATGTTAGTTAAATGGTTTGTAATGGAAATGGAAATAACTTCTATGAAAGGTAAATAAAGAAGCATAAAGAAGAGGAATAAAGTATAACTGGTTCATACTTGAGGCTAATAGACTGTACCACCTATTTCTTTTTCAGTCATCTAAACTTTTTTCGCTTGTTGGGTCCATGTCTGTTGGAGTGGGAGTTATAAGCTAACATTGATATTTTTCAGGTATCTTCAGTTTTTTGCACACATTTTCATATTTTTTTATTTTAAAGAGCAAAACAAATACATGGCAATTATTATGAAAGCTGAGGTTCAAGTAGATTCTATGATTCTATCAAAGGACTAAGCTATTCAATAATTGTGTAGGTACTAACTTAACTTCCTTTCTGTCATTTGTTACCTTCCAGTTCATGACTAGAGCCATTTAAAAATTACATTGTTTCCCAAACTCACTATTGTCCTTTAACAAATACAAGAAAAAAAAAGTCAAATATATTGCTTATTACTTATTTAAGAGCTATCTGTATCTCTCTGTGTATCCTATCCCTTAGAGATTTCAGGAAACTTAAAATTGGCCAGTTAACATTTCACTCCTCTCTAAAAATTGCTAAGTCAATGGCTAAAATAAAGGAAAAAAGGCAGGCGTGGTGGAAAGGGGCTGATTCTTCAGTGAGCCTAAAATTACCAATCTTTTCAAACTGCAGACAAAAATACAAGTTAAAATATCATTATTCATTTATTGTATGACCATATTGAAGAAATGTGAAGAGAATGAAGATATTTATTATTTATATGATGTAATGCACAAGATGTTTTAAAATAACTTGGAGCTAAACCAACAAATAAGAAAAATAAATGTCAAGAAACAAAAAGCCAGGTTATCCTAAATATTACTATAGGCAAGAAGCACTCAGAGCCTAAATAATAGGCCTTTATCTTTAACCACCTCATGTAATGGTCATCCTTTCAATTCTTTAGCCAAAAAACTTGGAGTCAATTTTGACTCCTGTCATTCTCTCAAAATCTTCATGTAATCACTTATCTGCTCCTGATGGTTGTGTCTTCAAAATTTATGCAGCATCTAGCCACTGACTTCATCTCCACTCTAACTACTAGAATCCAAATTCAGCATGACTTGTTTAGATTATTGAGGCAGTCTAGCTATTTCCTGTTTTTGCCCTTACCCTTTTAGTCTATTTTGAAGAAATCCGCTCAAATGAGCCAGGTAATGTTACTTCAGCTCTACACCATCAGATGACTTCTTATCGCATTTAGAGTAAAATCCACATTCACTAAAATGGGCTCTAAGACTCTGGATGATGTGGCCTGCTGCTCCTCATCCCTAACTCTCCATCTCATCTCCTAACACTCCTCCATCCTCTCCTCCTTTCTTCCAGGACATATCAGGCACACCCCATCCTCAGGACTTCTGTGTTTGTTGTTTACTTCCCTAGGTATTTCTTTGCTCATATGTGGTATAACCCATTTTGCTGACTCCTTTAGTTCTTCAAATAAATATCTCATTCCCATTAAGATTTGCCCTTATTTAAAATTGCAGCATCTTCTTCCAAAGTTTCTTATTGTCTTTCTTTTATTTTATTTCATTCTAATTATCACCATATAATGTATATTTTACTTATAGATACTGTTTACTTTCTGTATACCTTCGCCCTAGTGCAAATGAATGTAAGGAAAATTTGTCTTTTTTTCTTCAATTCTTTGTTTACTATCGGACACAGAGTAGGTGCTCAAAAATATTTGTTGAATGCAAGACTAACTAATGTGAAAAAAGCCTTTCAGATATTTTAAGGGTAGAATCTTTTCCTTATGAATAAACGCTTAAATAATTATAAAGGCCTGATCTGAATCATCCAATAAAATTATACCCACTTTTTGTGGACAAAGCATCTAAAATTGCTCAGAGATTAGATATTTTTATAGTCAAATATATTCTTTTGTTTTCTTAATCTGTATGGCCTTCTACTTGTTAAAGTAGTGGGTGAGCATCACTAATATTACTTGTCGCTTCAAAGTATTAATGCACATTTTAAAAGAATGAAAAATTGAGTTGGCAAATTAAGACTAAAAAGCACTATTCAACTAAGCATCAGCAAAGGTGTTTATTGTTTTGGGCTACACTGGAAAGAATGAAACCTACCTTTAATCTTGGCACTTTTAATTATGTAACCCTGGAAAAATCATAGAACCCTCTGACTTTTGGTTTCTCAAGCTGTGCTTGAGAATGCTACTGGTTCTATTGAATGGGCTCTGTGGATGGATAAAATAAGTACACAGCAATTGAATTTTCCATGGTATTTCAGGGTTTTGTGAAATATACTGGGACCATACGCCCTACATAAGATTAATGCAAGAATATACCCTTCTCTCCCACTGAACTGTGCTTTTGCAGTCATAGTAACTGTTAGGTTTAGCAATCCAACAACAATTTTTGTTGTTGAAAGACTTTATAGACACAAATTCATTATGTTATTTAGTTATAAAGTTGACTATAATCTCTTCTCAGTTACTTTTTCTGCATACATTCAATTAATTTATTTAATGTTTCTTCTAGTCAGTGTCTTTCTTTTGATTATCATGCTTTGAAATATTCCCAACATTTCAACTATGTATTGATCCCAAGGATCTTAAAGCAAGTTTATTACCAGAGAAGCATCTCAGCACTATTATGCAGAGAAACAAACTTGAATAGAGTTTTGATAATCTTTATATAAGCCTTAGGCAACTTAAACGCTTTTTAAGAAAACTACACCATAAAACTTTGGCACTCTTCTCTAGTGTTTATGAAAATTTTTTTTCTCTAATTCTGCCTTTAAAAAATTAGGAAAAATTGAATCTTACGGTGTTTCTCAAGTTTTGGTCTTATTTTAAAGAGCACTTTGACTTAGGCTCTTTTATATAGAAGCTCCCCAAGGGCATTAAAGTGAATGTGAAATAGTGAAATCAGTGTTTTCAATATCAGTGAGCTAGTATTGCTTCAGCTTTGATTCTTCCCACTAATATTTTTTTCAGCCCTTGAGAAGTTTGCAATTATTTTAAATGAAGGATATTTCTTCCCTCAAACAACTCCTTGACTACCACCTCAGTGCTGAGTTCAAGTCTAAATCATCACTCTTCCTTTAATGATGGGATAAATGCAATATAAATATCATCTTCTTTCAAAGTCCCTTTGATTGGATTTTTCTACACTTCTTTAATACTGAAGATCTTGTCAGGCATTTAAAAATTATCATTAAGTATTACTTCTTTACTCTAAACCCTGTCATAGCTCTGGGTTGCCTCAAGTTTCCTGTGCATGTTTTATGCGAACACCATTTTCTAGTAGACTATCTCAACTCCATGTGTTACCACACTCTTGGAGATAACCTAAATCTTGTTATTATCTTGTATTCTTACAAATCAGAAATCTTAGATTTTAGTTCCTCACTTTTTGAAAACAAACTGCTTTCCTTCCAAGACTTCTCATACTTTAACATACAGAACATCCATTCTATAACATTCTAGAAATCCTCTTTTCTTCTCATGGTTTAAGAGGGGCTTTCTTATTTTACTTTTCCAGACAACCAAAGACCCTCAATTAATCACCTGACCCACTTTCTCATCTTCTACCTCCATCCCTTCTACTGCACCCATTAGACAAAACAACAGCAACAAAAATCCTTAATCAACCTTAATATTTGTCTTTATTGCTCCTATACTCACACCAGCAAAAATGCCTCAGCCATGTGCATGGTTGCCAGTAGAAACTGAGGAAACTTACCGTCTATTATTATAATAGTTTCCTAAAGCTTTTCTTCTTTTGTTGTTCTTATCTCAATTAGTAGCACACCTAACTGCCCAGTCACCTAAAGCCAGAATCTGGGAAGACAGTCTAAATCCTGTCTGTCTCCAAAACATCGTATCATGTCACTCATAAAATTGTAATATTTGTCTCCACATACTTCTCAAGTTGATTCTCTCTTTACTTCTCCAGCATTCTACCAGAGGACTATTTCAGTCCTTAACATACCTTGTCTTGATTATTGTAAAAGGTTTGAAGTGGTTTCCTTGCCTCCAGTCTTGAGGGTTTATCTACAATACATTCATAACTGTAGTACTTTTCTGCTTAAAGACCATTAGATGGCTCCTGAACTGCCTTCAAGTCTGAGCTAAGAGCGTCTTTTCTATGTGTTTGTACAGTATTTCATATGCATTGCAGAACTAAGTACATTGTGTTATTATTTTTGTAGAATAGCTTATTCCTGCTATAAGTTCTTTGAGGGCTATGAGCATGTCTTTTCAGTTGTATGCTGGTAATAGAACTTCTGGAAACACACAAACACACACACACACAAATTTGATGTTTAGTAAATATTTGATAAAAATAGACTAAGTCATTCAGAAATCAACTAACATATAGCAAGATAAAGGAAACAAAATGCTAAATTACAAAACTGTATTAGTATCTATATAAATATGAATATATTACATATGTAATATATTATGCTTTAGTGCTGAGTACTTAAGCTTACGTACTTCCATTCTGTTTGATGCTTTGTAAAGGTTGTGGATAAATTTTGCTTTCCTTAACATATAAAAAAATCCAGTGACAAAGCTATTCATTTGACCCTGAACATAATGTCAATTTATATCACTGTCGAAAAGATTTATAATAAGAAGAGTGTACGGACGCAATGTTTTACAGATTCCAAGTTTCTGTCTCCTTCATATTTTCTCACTTTTCTCAGGTAAATAGTATCACAGCCCCCACATTGTCTACATTTAATATCTAAGGCAGTATTCCCTGCATGATACAAAGGTTAATGAGTGATTATTGCTTATATAAATTAAAAGCACTTTTGCAACTGTAGTTTCATCTTTTAAATCAGTGATTCTCAACCATCTCCCCCACCTACTCCTGCTCCAGGGGACATTTCTCCATGTCTGAAGACATTTATGGTTATTACAACTATGAGAAGGGAGCTGGGAGCTGCTGTCATTTAGTGGATAGAGGCCCGGGATGCTGCTAAACATCTGACAATGCACAGGCAGTCCATAACAATGTTCAAATGCACCACAGTATCTTCAAAAAGCCAATAGCACTGCAGCTGGAAAACCCTGTTTTAAATATCATTTCATGTTTGAAAATTATCTAATAGAGGAAATTATCTTTCATTAATACATATGCCAAAAACTTATATATTGATTTATTTCTTAGTGCATTTTATTATATTGGTGCTGTTGCAAACAAAATAATGCATTCTATAAGAAATCTGCTTTCAAAGAATTTATATCCTTATTTAACAAAAAAGAGACTGCTACTAGATAAGTATACATAAGCATGTAGAAATACTAAAAGTAATGGCAAAAACCGCAATTACTTTTGCACCAAGCTAATATAAATGTATAGCAATGTGTATTAGTCTGTTCTCATATTGCTGTGAAGAAATACCTGAGACTGGGTAACTTTTTAATAAAAGAGGTTTATTTGGCTTATGGTTCTGCAGGCTGTACAAGCATGGCACCAACATTGCTTGGCTTCTAGGAAGGCCTCAGGGAGCTTTTACTCACGGTGAAAGGCAAAGCGGAGTAGGCACTTCATATGGTGAAAGCAGGAGCAAGAGAGAGGGAAAGGAGAGGTGCCACATCCTTTTAAAGGACCAGATCTCATGAGAAATCACTCACTATCCCAAGGACAGTCCCAAGAGGATGGTGCTAAACCATTCACAAGAAACCACCTCCATGATCCAATCACCTCCTACCAGGCCCCACCTCCAATATTGGGAATTACAATTCAACATGAGATTTAGGTGGGGACACCGATCCAAACCATGTCACAATGGAAATTAAGACAGAATAATTGAAGAAGATCATTTTTAAAGTATATGAGAATTCAAAGAAGGATAAATTATTTCAATCTGATTAAGATTCCAGAAAAACTTTTGAAGAAGGCTTTATTTTCATTGTATCTTAGGGATTAGTAGGATTTCAACATGTTAAATGAGGGCCAAGAAATGTCCAAACTCTGTAATAAAAATTTTATCTAATTTTATCTTTATTTTTTTTTTTCTAATTTTATGTTTATTATTTTTTCCTGCTATCACTACACTAAATTTTATTCATGCCTTTTGGTACTACTTCATATGAACAAATGATACTCTCCAGTGGATTCATACTAATTGAAATTATTCAGTAACCACTATTTCTCAAACGTTGTTAGATCCAGAAAACACAATAGTCAATTTTTTATATAATTTTAAATTAAACATTTATATCTATGTATCTATATCCACATTATGTACGTATTTACATCCATATATAGTTCTATAAATAAAGGTTTCTGTAAATTTCTGTAAATGTCCACAGAAGTAGAGATGAATAATTTATTTATTTTATGGGAGAACATCAGAGACACTCAGAAAAGATAAAATTTGGGCTGAACATTGTTGAGTAAGTCTGAGGGCAGAGAGACGAGAGCATCACTGTGTATGAATAAAGTCAGAGGTGTGAATATTCTTGTTTTGTTTGGGAATAATCCTGGATAAAGATTTTAAGATCAGGGAGTAAATGACCTTGTATGCATATTTAATTTAGCTGTATAATCTGTATATAAAGGTGTCATTAAATATTTAGTTTAAATAACAACATAGTCCATTGTTAATTATTGGCATTTTATTTTGCTTTCTAGTTTTGTGCCAGTGAATATCACATTTGGCACTCCATTTTATGTGTGTGGTATTTTTTGTGTGTTTTCTTTTGTTACTGTTTTTAATATTATGCAATCTGCATTTGCGTTTTATGCCTGCCTGTCTGAGGCTTCCTTCTCAGACTGAGACCCTGTGACTCTTCCTGTGATCCAAGTCACTGTGATCCAAGTCACTGTTTAATAGTTGGTATTTCTTTCACACTTGACACCAGTCTGAGACACAGTGCTGTGCAATCACAGTAGGAAGTAGATTATAAGGAGATGATCAAGGATCTGGCTGCAATAGTTGGACAACTTTATGTTTTGAGTGGTAGAAGTTTCAGTGAGCTTCATTTTATTATTTCCTGTAAAGCTTATTCTCAGAACATATAAAAATATTCTTTATCATAGAAAATTAGGAGGTGTCCCAGACTTCTTGCTTTTACTTACTACTCAAGCCTAATCAGTGATTGCATCCTTAAGAGCCAGCCTTCCTAGAGTGGCTCCAATGAACTCGTGCTCCCCATTCCTATGCCATTTTCTCTGTTCATGTTTTCATTGGATTACTGTAACAGCCCCTCACCAATAGCTGCATTCAGGCTTCATTTGAATGCTGGAGAAGACACTTAGAATGCAGATTTGCTCCTTTTAGGTCCTTACTTAAAACCATGGCCTCCACTTCCTATGGAATAAGATCTAAACTCCCTCAGCGAGACACACAAGGCCTTTCTCCAGTCCTGACCCTGGCCCCTGGTCTCCAGTGTGATGCTTTGCTCAGTCCTAACAAGCACAGGGAATCCCTTCAAGGGAGGACTCGCTGCCCACCTGTGAGCAGTGTAGCTAGCCTATGGTATCTAGCTGTTACCTCCTTCACGTCTTTCTCAGCTTTTGAGCTGAGGTCATACCTTTTCAGGGTGGCTTTGGCCCATGGCTGAGGAAAATGATGGTACAAAGCCAGGCCACTTTTACCCAGTGCAGGACCCTCTAACCAGGAATCTTTGTTCCTGGCTCCATGTTGGGCTAGCAGAGACTTTTTCAGGGTTGCATTGCAGTTTCAGTCCCCTTACCTGATCCTGCATCCTTCCCTTCCCTTTCGCAGATCGAACTCATAGACCTCTAGCACTCTTGGCTCCCTCTCAGTGTCCATTTCCCAGAGGAATCAACCGATACAAGGTTCATGAGCCTAATCCTATGCAAAGTGTCTCCTCAGCTAAGAGTTCATATTCTCTGTTCTTTTCATGGAGTTTCATTTTGCCCACTCAGAATTTCCCTTCAAAATCAAGTGTGACAGTTCCCTTCTCCACCTTTGTGCTTCCTGGCATTTTCCTATAATTGTTCATTTACTTGTCTCCTCCAATACTTAGTCTTCCTGAGGGCAGTCCCCATGCCCTATTTCACTCTGTAACTCTAGCACCTAAAGTTATACCAGACAGATAGATTCACTCATTGATTTAGCAGAGTTTTTAATTTTTGGTTATTAGGTGAAAGGCTCTGTGCTAGGTACTAGAGATATAGATGTAAATAAGGAAAATGCAGTTTCTGCCCTCATTTATTTCCATACATATATATGGAAAAACTAATTACACAATTATCTTTACTACTATGGTAAAGGTAAGTGCAAGGAGAGAAAGAGTTAGGAGAATGTAAAGCAAGAAGAGCCTGACATAGTCTGAAAAGTTTGAAAAAGCTATTTTTTAAAAAAATTTATATAAGCTAGATTCTGAAGGTTGAATAGGAATTAATTAGCTGAAGTCAGTGAGAACATGAAAATGTTTATTGAATGAATAAAATAATGGTGTTTATGTTTATAAAACTACACTCCAGAGACAAATACAAGTTTTATTAGTGACATCAAATGTTAGTTTCTTTATTGTGACCAATTACATTTAATATATGTTTTTCTTTCAGGAAACATCTTCTATGTACATCTTAACTATCATCTTCACAAAGCTATTTAAATGCACATTTCTAGTTGTAAATATGTCTAGTCTCAAATCTTAAGGTATCATTTGAGAGCCTATACGAGCTCAATGGAGTCTTAAATCTACTATTTTCTATGATTTTTCAGAATATCTTTTATTTTGAACCTCATCAATAAACCATGAATGCAAGTATTTATCTACAGGATTGATTTTTCCAAATGTTGTTTATAGCAGGCAGCCAAAAGTATATTTTTATTTATTCTGGCAACAGAATCTTCTACTGTAATGACATTTCCATAAACTATATTTAATAAAGTGTTCCTTCTAAACATTTCCCACAACTGCTGATTCACAGAAAGTACTCAGTAACTAGTTGTTTAATTGAAGAGAACTGAACTGCTGAAATGTAAAATACATATAATAAGATTTTTTAAGTTTTTGGAAACTTGAGAATAGCTTCTTGATGTCAAATAGCCAGTGAGACTAATTTTTTATTTCACCACCATGTTCTTGGCACCATGCAGACACAATCTATGTCTATTGTTTCCATTTTCACTTCAACCTATGTGCCTCATTAAGCCTGCAATAGAGAAAAGGCTAGTACAAAATAAAGCTTAGATCAATCATTCCTCTATAGGCCAGAACAAGCAAAATCAATCACTGTCCATTCAAGTGCTTCTCAGTTATTGACCAGACTTTCCTGATCTAGAGGTTACTGTACTGCTAATTGCACTGAAGTTGAATGTTTGTACTTCAGCACATTCTTTAGCTATCTTTAGAGAATACACACTACTGTATATCTATTAATTTTATATGTGAATTGATGAAGGTTGGGGATCTTTGACCTGTGATTACAAGCTTGGTAATAATACCCTTAAGTATTTATGAATAGCTTTTACATAGAAACTACTATTAGTTAGCTAAGAATTTATACCTTTCAGCGTCAAATCTCATTGCATATTAATTATTTAAATGCTATAAGTATTAATTATTAATATTTCCACATAATGAAAAATTGGTCATAGCTATGAAGATAAAGTTCTTTCAAAAATGTGAAAAATATACAATTTGGCTTGACACATTTTTAAAGTAATTTTTTCTACAATTAACTATTATTAAATCTAATACATAATCATTGTTATGAAAATATTTCCCATATTAAGAATCATGTGTAATTTCTTACTTTGTATGTAGTAAGCATTATGACTTTAAACAGGTTGCTTTTGAGCCTTGAAATGTGTTTTTTCAAATATTTCCTTTACTTAGAAACAGAAGGCTACTGACATATGTCCAATATATAGTTATGAGTGTCTTTATATGGTCTTAGAA
The DNA here is from genome assembly GCF_000001405.40 of Homo sapiens. Taxonomy (NCBI): domain Eukaryota; kingdom Metazoa; phylum Chordata; class Mammalia; order Primates; family Hominidae; genus Homo; species Homo sapiens. The sequence goes on along the minus strand of NC_000014.9, from coordinate 43,883,161 downwards.
GGTAGCCCAAACTGTGCCCTTCCAACTAAAATCCCACAGGCTTGTAATAGGTTAAATTTAGATTGATTGTGACAGTGCCTCTATAAAAACAAAGTACTTAGAAGAAAACAAAATAAGTCAACTTACCAGTTAAAACATTTGACAAATTAAAAGCTAAGTAAGTTGTGATTGGTCAAACGTTGAGTCAGATTTTTGTTGTAAAGAAACAAAAAACTTGAATGTCTTTACTGTCTAGAAGCCATAAAGTAAAAATTCCAAAAGCCAAATAGAAATTATTTTCACAAATTGGAAACTAAAATGAAAGGGTCTACAGCAAAAGGAAAAGCAAGTGAAAATAAGAGAGGTGAATTTTTCAGCTTTTCATGATAAGAATCTTTGGAAGTTTTATTGTGAAATTTAAAATGACTAAAGAAATCTGAAAACAGTCCATCAAAAATATTTAAAATTATCAGTGTAAAGATAACACTATAATGCATAGACATGTACATGTAAATTCATAAATTCCATCAGGTTTTTGTTTATTTTCAAATAGTTTGTTGGTCCCACTACTACTTCTTTTTATACCAATGGATAAGGATCCCCAAATTGAAAACCACTGCTTTATTATTGCTTTAACCTTTATAATATTTATATAAATGAAACTTGCATTAGTTAATTTACACATAGAGAAAACATATTATAAAAATAAATTATATGACAAGATATATTATAAGGCAAATATAAGGTATGTTTATATTCTTGATTGTTAATTTAAAAATATTTTATCACATTAAATATGTTAAAATGAATGCAAGAAGTATATACATTTTTTAAATACTTAAATAGGGTTAATTTAGCCTCTCTTTCATAAAGATAGAAACACAGTTCACATGCAAAAAAGAGAAACTGGAATGAATCGTATTTTCATGTTTCTCAAAACCAAATTTACCGTTTGTATTTTTGAAACATTTTATATTACTGTGTTTATCAAATGGTTTCCTTAAACATGTTCTGATATTCCAAAACAGAATTTCACTAAAGTTCTCTCTTCCTGGCATCATAAAATAGGTGGCTTTTTCATATTACAGACATATAATAAACAATTTTTTAGTGATCACCTATTCTGTTACAATACAAAATTATATTTGAAGAATATTAAAATTAGGAAAATATACAACTTTTACATGTTTCATTTTCTGAATTCTCAAGAAGAGTACATAATTTTATATCACCAAAAAGAGCATCTCTTAGTTTTGCATAATGAACATGTAGGTAATGAATTTTTATAACTTTAGTGATGTTCCTAATTGGTTTTTGATTTTCTCTCAAAGTGTGTCTCTAAATATAGAAAATTAAAATTGTTCTTATTCTGCTTGATGTGCAAATTCAGCAACAGACTTTCAGGGTTTTTTTTTCACTATTTTATATTGTATATGGTCCTTTTATAGTCCATGAATTTTCTCAAAATCAGTTGCTATGTAATTATCATCTTACTCAGGTAACTCTGTCCTAAAATAAGCTTACCTAATTATAAAAAATGATTAGTACAGTAAACACTTCCAGCATTATATAATCAAAATGTTTATTTTTTTTACAGTTATGGAGAACATTTTTTCTGAAATGAATATAAGTCAAAGTCAAACCAATGATTTATAAAACATTTCCTAAGATGTTTTCTCTTTTAAATTAATCTATCATTTGCATACATTTACCATAAACATTATAAACTTACGAATTTATGATATAAATATTTCCTTGTTAAATAATAATCTTTTAAAAATGTGAACATTTGTTCTTGATCTTTATACTACTCATGTATTTTTCCCTTTGTAGTGATAACTTTAACCCTTGAAATCTGAGACGTAAAGGATATTTGGGTTAGAGAGTGAGGCAGTCACTGGGATATGTGTCGATTCAGAGCTTGACCAAGTCTGAGATTTTAGTCCTATTTCCAAGTCTGATGAAGAATTTTTTTTTTTTTTTTTGAGATGGAGAGTCTCGATCTGGCACTCAGGCTGGAGTGCAGTGGCATGATCTCGGCTCACTGCAACTTCTGCCTCTCGGGTTCAAGCACTTCTCCTGCCTCAGCCTCCCGAGTAGCTGGGACTACAGGTGCATGCCACCACGCCCAGCTAATTTTTGTATTTTTCGTAGAGACCGGGTTTCACCATGTTGGCCAGGATGGTCCCTATCTCTTGACCTTGTGATCCGCCCACCTCAGCTTCCCAAAGTGCTAGGATTACAGGTGTGAGCCACCCTGGCCAGCCCCCTGATGAAGACTTTTACATTCCCAATATGAACAAAGTCTTCTTGTAGTTATATATCCTGCTTCCTTGAAATAATTGAATATATTGATTTATGGGTGATAGAACAACTAATTTATATTTCTTTGCAGCTTTTAACTTATCTGTATTTTTCATGATAGTAATAATAATAGAAATTACAAATCAATTTTAGAATTGTATCTTTATCTTCTAAGATCTTAAGAGTAAAACCATTTAAACTATTTTGCAATTGCATTAATGTCCTCCCTGAAGTTGCTAGCAGTAGCAATCTAGTCTGTACCTCTAGCATTCTGAGGCTGAAAAGAAGAAATATGTAAAACTTCATCCCAAATGAACTTACGGAAAAGATTATGTATGTTTTAAAAGTTAGGGCCTTATCAAGTGTTTATTTTCTTTTCAATTTTATTGGTGTGTGGTTCTCTTGTTTTGAGAAGCAAGATCTGTGACATCAAACAAGGGTCATAAGCTCACCTGTATCTTTAAAAGAGTGATAATCACATCATAGGCTAATTGCTAAAATTAAATAAAATTTGTTATATACAGCACCAAGTAGGAGAATGCCACAACACAGCTCACACATGATAACATATACTTAACATGATGATGATGATGATGACAAACTGCCTACAAATATATAGTTAATAGCATAATAAACTAAGACCATCTAAACTAGCATTATTTCACTTTTCCAGAAAATTCTTGTCCAGGAAGATAATATTGCAATAACATAATTGTTTGTTTCAGAAACTGCCTGAAAATGTACTTCAATGAATAGATTGCTCTCTTGGCTTGCCTTCTTGGCACAATGAATCACACAATCAGGCAAACTATTCTCTTATCAAATGACTTCTCATCAAGATTCCTTGAAAACTCTCACACTTTTTCCACTAATTCTCAGTTATTATATCATGAATTTTGAATTCCTGCATTGAAAAACCCACCCTAAGTCAAAGTCTAATTCTTACAATGATCTACCTTTAGCATTTCTTTCAGAGACATTAACTACTAAGACTGTCAATATGATGTTTCCATTATTGCAGGAAGTAACAAACTCATCTTTGCTTAATCAACTGGTTATTTTAGTGTTTTGCTCAGAAAGTCATCAATTGAAAATGACAACGAGGGTGATAGTAACATTTATGCATTTGTACAGCAATTTATTTTCACTAGACATTTGCAGATTTAATAACCGGATTTTCAACATGTCATAAGATGGGAGTTTTTATATATTCCTTTTATAGATGAGGAAACATGTTTAATGAGGTTAATGTCATCCAAATAAGTGGCTAATTTAGGGAAGAACTCCTGCTTTGTGATTCTCTGTCCAGTGTTCTATTACGTTTTTCTGATTATGAGTGTCCTCTTGTCATCAATTATTTTCTATAGTTAACATAATTAAAAAAAAAATTTAAAGAATAAGCCTAAAATGACTGAAGATCCCAAAAGCCATATTATCCTCAGCAACACTGTTTGAACCAAGTGATTGTTTGAAGTTATTGTCAATTTCTAAGCCAATATAGTTATAGATGTAAATTTTAATGTATTCTCTTTATTTCTACAAGATGTAGATTTTTCAAAATTTTGGCAGGGAAAAGGTTCAAGGGGACCTCATACTTTACTATTCAAAAATTCACTGGTGATTTTTCTTTACAAAATATTCATTTAAAAAAATTCTTGTTAAACAAATAACAGTTATCTTTATCATGCACTTGAAAGAAACTTAGCTTCTATTCATTCATTTTTTTCTTTTGCGAAAGGGCATTTGAGAAGAGCCACTTGCTTAATTTGTAAAGGCGTTACAAATAACTCTAAAACTTCTTATAACAAGGTACAAGTGCATACAAGGGGAAGAGGTTTTCCTTAAAGACGTAGCTAGTCTACACACATAAATATAAGAATATAACTTGTTAATTTCCTTTCAGAAAGGCATCAAAATTCATGCTTTACTAAATGTCTATTTTTTTGTTACAACTTCAACTGCCAACAATGTATTGACCTTCTAGAAAGTGACATGCAAAATTTTGTCTTACATTGTGTATATCACAAAATGACTACTGCATTTTACAAATACTGATTAATGAAAAATACTTTGGCTCCATTCGTGGTCTTTTTGCTGGTTCTTACCATGATAAATATGCTTGTATATGTAACCCTCACAATCTTGGTCATGAATCAACTAGTTAAATTTCTGAACCACTCCATAGCAACCCTTGTAGGAGAATATTTAATGATATTAAAAATAATATTTTAAGTAATGGCCAAATGTGGGTTCACTCGCCAATCAGATGCTCAAGTAAGAAGTTCTCATCACAAGAGCTTTCAGCACTCTCTCTTTGACACTGAAGGGGTGCAAAGCGAGCCATATAAGAAGAAAATGGGAGATTTTTAGTGAAAAATGAGCAGAAACAATGCTCTCAGATTAAAGCTGCAATTTGAAGTAGTCATTTCTTGGCTGTCATCAACAAGAAAAGAAATGTAACTCCACAGTGCACTTTGAGCAAGTGCCTAATCAAAGATAGTCTTCCTAATAAAGGTCAGTTAATGTACTACAACAAGCACTAGCCCAGCCAGCCATCTCAGCCCTAAAAGGTCCTGGGAAAATCAAGAGATAATTCAGGTTGAATTTGCAGTAGCTAATCTCCACCTTACCTGCACCACCTCTGTAGCTCAGGATTATTACAAATCCCTTACTTAGAATTGGAATCAGACATGAACCCATTAGTGTTTTACATATATAAATATGTTAATTATATATTCTCATTGTAGAAACTTGATTTATTTAAATCAAATTATGGCTTTATCATAATAAATCCCTTGCTGTATTTTTCTCCATCCAAAACAACAGAAGTTGGAACTGAATATCTATAAACCTCTCACCAAGTTAAGATTACAATGCCCAGAGTGTGCCAAAAAATAAAAAGAAAGTCTTGCAGGATTCCTTCATTTCTTATTTTGCCTGCACATTTTATGAATTATAATGTAACTCTCAAACAAATGTCTGCATTTTGGAATAGTTTCATAACTATTACTGAACAATCTCATCATTAGCATTTTCACATTCCAAGCTGTAGTGTCCTCCTAATTAAAATTTCATGTTTACCCCTCTGCATAAGCTTGCCAAATTCTGAAGACTTTCAAGCAACTCATGTTCTGCTCATGAATACAGCCAGCACACGTCAATTCTCAATAAAAGGTTTCACATCAGTCTACTCTCATTTTCGTTATCCATCACAGTGCTTCCTGCCTGTATTATGCCAAAATGACTTTTTCACATCTTTGTAAGCTTATTTCCAGACTCTTCTAAGCATTGCCAAGATCAGATTACTTTGATTGCCATGGCTGTGTATTCTAAGCTCTTCGCAGACACAGAACCTGCCATAATTAGAAGAGAAAAGCTAACATGTTAAATGTTTGAATTGAATCAATAATTAACTGTGTAACTTTAACTATGGTCAAGGTTTTTTGTTTGTTTTGTTTTGTTTAACAACTACAGTAATTCCCCTTTATCTGTAAAGGATATGTTTTAAGACCTCTGGTGGATGCCTAAAACTACAGATTGTACCAAACCCTATATAGTGTATACTATGTTTTTTTCCTTATACATACATACATACCTATTATAAAGCTTAATTTATAAATTAGTCACAGTAAGAGACTAATGACAATAATAACAAAATAGAATAATTATAACAACGTAGTGAAATAGAAGTTATGTGAATGTGGTCTCTCTCTAATATTTTATTTTACTCTACCATAGGTAACTAAAATGGCAGAAAAAAAGCTTCAGGTAAGGGAGGACTACTGTATATCTTGCATGTCATAGTTGATTAAGACAGCTACTTTTTCTCCAAATGACTGTCGTTAATTGAAAGAATTAGAATAGCTACAGAGATATATCTATATAGGTAATGTAATAAATATTCTAGGTTTTTTTTACTCCATTTGTAAAAGGGACATTGAGCCATACATAAGGTATGAGATATTCCTTTGGGCTCTAAGTACTGTTTTTTATGAGATTAATAAGTGAAAAACACAACTGATCAGTCACAACCTTCAAAAGAAGAAGAATTTCAACAAAAAAATAGGTTGAATGCCATGTATAAACTTAAGATGTGTATAATTTTGTGGAGGAAGCAGAACGTGTACTGGTTTAAAGTCATAGTAATCCAATTTAAAAATGGAGAAATTCAGTCTCATTAAAGTAGATGATCTGACAAATAAATTACCACCCTTAGTTAGTGACAGAAAGAATCAAATCCCATGTTTTCTCTATTATCTGCTTTCAGTATCACAGCCCCAATTCTGGAGATATCCCCACACTTTTTTCTTTAATCTAATATTCCAATAAATCACTCTTTAAATTCAGTACTTCTAGACCCAGAACCTAAGATGGGTATTCTTATGTAAGTGATGCATTAAGGGTATTCTAGCAAGAGAAGCTTATAAGAAAGAGAATAATAGATAAAGAAGGGGATTTATTAGTCTGCTCAAACTGTCATAACAAAATACCACAGACTGAGTGGCTTAAACAACAGATATTTGCCTTCTCACAGATATGGAAGCTAAACATCCACGACCAAAGTACTGAACAATTCCATTCCTGGTGAGGGCTTTCTTCTTGACTTGCAGACAGCTCACTTCTTGGTTTATTATCCCATCTTTTCCTCCATATGCTTGCAGAGGGACAGATCTCTGGCATCTCTTCTTCTTCTTATAAGGATACAAGTCTTGTTAGATTAGCATTCACCCTTATGACCACATTTAATTTAGTTACCTCCCTAAAGACCACATCTCCAAATACCTTGGGGGTTAGGATTTCAACCTGGAGATTTGGTAGATGCACACTTAAGTCCATAACAGGTAAACCCAAACAACAATATAGTTTTAGCTGAAGTCTAGTCTTAGTTGACACAGAAGGAAATATAATGTGCACCACAGAATTAGTCCTGCCGAGGCTAGAGAGATAGGCTTTTGTGCCAGTTTTCTCACCACACCCAACCAAATAACATCACATTGGCTATTCATGTTAGTAAATTTGATAGGGGCAGGCAAGCATCCAAATTGGGGCTTAGCCTGACAGGGTGCTTGGCTTTGCCCACGAAAGAATTCAAGGGTGAGCTGAAGGTATTAGCAACTTTTATTGAAGTGTACAGCAGCAGCAGAGGTACTACTTTTGGTGGAGCAGGACTAACCCTTAGTCAGTATGCCCAGAGTAGCAGTGTATGGGCTGTTGGCAGCTGTTTTTATACCCACTTTTAATTAAGAGGCAGATTACTTAGAACTTTCTGAAAAAAAAGGTGGGGAACTTTTATAAGGTAATTTTTGGGCTATTGTCATCATGCATTGCCATGGTGCATTTGTCATGGCACCAGTGGGAGTGGCTTTATGTTAATGGGCAGTGAAGGCAACTAGAGATTGTTTTTATTGCCATCGACTGATTTTGACTGGCTTCTTTACTGCACCCTGTTTTGACCAGATTCTAATCTGATTAGTAGGGTCATGACCAGTGTCACGATGAGTGCTTGGAAAACAAGTCCGGATGATCTCCTACCTCAGATTGTGGGGTGATATAAACCGCAGGGTTGATCCATTCATACAAAGACAGTACTCTGGAGGAGTTTCCAGGTGGGAGCCGTTAACAGCAATACAAGCAAAAGTTAGGAGATGGGGATATTAAATCAATGAAAGAGATCTCAGAGGATTTGGGCAGGTTCCAGTCAGATCTGCAAAGTCACCAAATTATGTGTTTCACTTATCCAAATGCCGTGCTCATGCCCCTGTTGATTCTCATCTAGATATTACAGTAGCCTCTGATCTTGCTGCTTCCAGTGTTTCCCTTCTCCATTCCATTCTTCTTGTTGTATTTTTAAAACACAAAAATGAGCATGCCACAACTCTCTAAAATCAGTGACATCCTTAAGGGAAATGTCAAACTCTTATGTGCAACACCTAAGGCTCAATTTATCTGAACCTGGTCTACTTTTCTATCTTCATCCATGGCAGTGTCTAGACCCACATACCATGCTTAATTATACCTAACAAATTACTATTTGTTGAATCTCCCAAGCTTAACTAAACTATGAGGAATTTCTGGAACTATTTTATCCACTTAGTTTGCCCAATAGTCCTCTTGTTCAATTGACTTTCTTGTACTTACTCTAAATTTAACTAAAATGTCATTCTCTGTAGGAAGTTGTCAACCCACTCAAACTCAGGCTAGTTTAGTTGCCTACAGGGCTACTTGAGCAGAATATATATATATCAGAGCATTTCATATTATGTTATAGTTAGTTGTTTTATATATCTAATTAGTATTAATAGTATAAACCACATGTGTCAGAAGAAAAAAATTAATTTGTGTCAAGAAGAAAAAAGAGAGTGCATCTCTGAAGCATTATAGCTATTAAAAGCTAAGCAAAAATTAGATTTAACCTAGAAAGTAATAAGAAGTCACTGAAAAAAGTAAAGTTTAGTCATAATCTGTCAAAATTAGAGATAAGTTTAAAACAACTGCAGGTAAAACAGTTTTGATTTGAAATAATTTAAAATATACATAAGATCTGTGAAAAGAAATACTTATGCAATCTATTTTAATTGTGTGAATAACCTGTGATGTGTATGCAGTCACAATTATAGTTTTGAAGTATGTGGAGACGAATTATAGAAGTGCATCATTTTAATTTTAATTAAAATGTTTTAATTAAAAAATTGTTTTACTATTTTTTACTGTTTACTAAAAAATTGACCAAATTTTCATAAATTATGTTAGAGTTTCAATCCTTTCAAGTTACTTAACCTGAGTAATAAGGTCTTACATAAGCATGATTATTTATAGCTATGCTTTGGAATTCTAAAAGATGTATAAATAATAAGAAAAAAATTAGAATGCTGAAATATTTAATTCTATTTAAAGTCATAGGATATTGGATTGAGGGTAAAAGCAATTTTCACTATTTTGTTCTAAATATTTCTGTATTACCCTTTTAAAATTAGCATGTATCATTTTTGAAATTCTAAAGAGTTTAGAAAAGATGAAATAAATCATTATATTTATCACAAATATCTAAAAATTTTATGACCTTAGTAGATTCAATCCATGATTAAATCAGAATAGATTCAATCAACTTCTGATTGCAAATCAACATGTAAAGACCCTGGAAGCCATTACTTCCATCCTTACAACAAGAAAATCAAAACAACATGAAAATCAACATTTGGACCCATCTGAAAATTGATAAAGCAAATTCCATCCTGAAATCTCGAGAGACAGGTAAATTAAGAGAGTCACAGATGAGCTTACCTAGAAGAGAAGCTGCTGAAGCTACAAATTTGCAGAACATTTAAATGCTATTATTGATGAATTCCCGGAGTCTGAGTTTAGACTAGAATGAGAGTGGGAAATTCCTAGGGGCTACATTCTTAGAGGTCCAACACTCCAGGATCCCACATTCCAGGAACTCCACAAGGCTCTCATGGTTAAGCACCAAAAGATATCCATGTGTGGCTCTGGAAGGAGACCAGGAAGAGTAACCATTGTACAATATTCCCCAAAACATTCTTCATAACAAAGGAACTATTCACCACATGAAGGTCAAACTTACTTGAGCCTTACTGCCAGCTAGAGGGAGGGCATTTCTCCCATATCAGCCCCTCAATAGACTTCCTCCCTTACCTAAAGGATGAGTGGGGAAGGTGAGAAACATTGGGAAGGTTACGATTCAGAGAAACCGTCTCACTAAATACTGATTATAATTATAGGTTCATTAAATTCTCCGCCACACCCTTTACATCAATATAGGTTCAGTAAAATCACAACAGATTGTAACCAAAACAGCTGCAGGATGCAATCTGTCTGTGGAGGAGTTTTTAGAGAATTCCCAAATCAACAGGGCAGTAGCGGGCAAAAACAAGAACACTAGAGGAATTTGAAGCAGTTGGCACCTACTGCTACAGCAAATATTAAACTCAGGTTAACTCCTAGCCAGTTTAAAATAAATCATTACACTAAATGCCTATTTACCGAAGTTCCTATTACCTGATATATCATGTCTGGCATCTAACAAAATATCACAAAGTGTGCTGAAAGCCAAGAAAATACAGCCTGAAATAACAGATCAAGCATCACAACCAAATTTAGACATTATGTTCCCAATAACAAACAAGATGAACTCTCTGTGGCTCAAAAGTTAAAGGAGAGTAATGGAGGCTAAGCAAGATAGTGGAATAAAAGGCTCCACCAATCATCATTCCGTCAAGGACACCAAGTTAACAAGTATCTACACAGATGAAACAGCTTCATAAGAACTAAAAATCAGATGAGCCCTCATAGTACCAGATTTTAAGTTTGTATCACTGAAAGAGGCACTGAAGAGGTAGAAAACAGCCTCGAATAGCTGACGCCACTCCTCCTCCACCCCCAAGCAGTGGCAGTGTGATGCAGAGTGTTTCCAGGTGCTGGGGGAGGGAGAGCACAGCAATTGTGAAGCATTGAACTCAATGCTGTCCTGTTAGAACAGGAAGGAAACAAGACAAAACTCAGCTGATGCCCACCCACGGAAGGAGCATTTAAACCAGCATTAGCCAGAGCGGAATCGCCAATCCCAGCAGTTGGAACTTGAGTTCCTGCAAACTTCACCACTGAAGGCCAAAGTGCCCTTGGTCTCTATGAACTTGAAAGGCAGTTTAGACCATAAGGACTGCAACTCTTAGCTAAGTCCTAGTGCTGAACTGGGCTGAGACAGTGGACTAGGGGGTACATGACATTTTGAGATACCTGCTGGAGCTGCTAAGGGAGTACTGGCATCACCCCTCCCCTAACCAAAAGCTGCACAGCTCACAGCTCAAAAAGAAACTCCTTCCTTCTGCTTGAGAAGAGGAGAGAGAAGAGTGAGGAGGACTTTGTATTGCATCTTGGATACCAGCTAAGCCACAGCTGGACAGGGCATCAATCAGAGTCGCAAGGGCACCATTCCAGGCCCTAGCTCTCAGATGACATTTCTAAACACACCCACAACCAGAAGGGAACCCACTGCCTTGAAGAGAAGGATGCAGTCCAGGGGCATTGGTCACCTTGGGCCCTGAATAACCAGCAGTGATACCCAGGTACTACAGTACAGGCCTTGGGTGAGCCCCTGAAACTAGCTGGCTTTAGGTGAGAATCAGCATATTACCAGCTGTGGCGGCTATGGGGCAAGATCCGTTCTGCCTGAGAAAAACAGAGGGAAAAGTAAAGGGGACTTTGTCTTGCACCTTAGGTAACAGCACGGCCACAGGGGGATAGAGCACCAAGTGGGCCTGTGGGATCGCCAATTCCAGAACTTGACCCTTGGATGGCATTTCTGGATCTGCGATGGGGAAGACAGGAGCCCATTGTCCTGAAAGGTGAGTCCTAGGTCAGGCAGAATTCATCACAAGCTGACTTAAGAGCCCTTAGGCCTTAAGGGAATATTGGTGGTAGTTTGGCAGCACTCCCTGTGGGCCTGTGGGAGCAGTAGCTATAAGGTGAGGCTCTCCTGCCTTTGGAAAGGAGAGGAAATGGTGGGCAGGAGTGCATCTTGTGGTTTGAGTGCCAGCTCAGCCACAGCACAAAAGAACACCAGGTAGATTTCTAAGGTTTTTGATTCTGTCTCTGACTCCTTGATGGCACCTCTGAACCTACGCGGGGCTGTCCTGGTTGGCTTTGCCACTTGCCAATTGCAGACCCCCAGGGCCTTGAGTAAACTTAAGCAGTAGCCAGGGAGTAGTTACAGCAGGCTCTGGGTGAGACCTAGTGCTGTGCCAGCTTCATGTCAGTTGTATTGGTAGTGGTGGTGACAGGGATGCTTGTATCACTCCACTCCCAGCTTTAGGTGTCTCAGAACAAACAGAGATGTCCGCTTTCATCAGCGTTTTTCAACACACTACTGGAATTCCGAGCTAGAGCAATCAGACAAGAGAAAGAAGTAAAGGGTGTCCAACTGGAATGAAAGAAGTCAAATTATCCTTGTTTGCAGACCCTCCAGATCCTAAAGGGATTAACTAAGATCTGAATAGGAAACATTTGTCATCTATTGTCTCTAAGGGTAGCCGCTGTAAAACTTCAGAAGAACTTTGGTCTTCACAGTCTTTATCTTAACGTGAACATTCCCTTTCTATCAATCCCAGGTCTTTAGACAAACTCAACCAATTGTCAACCAGAAAATGTTTAAATTCACCTATAGCCTGGAAGCCCCCCAGTTTTGAGTTGTCCCACCTTTCCAGACCAAGCCAATGTATTTCTTAAATGTATTTGATTGATGAATCATGCCTCTCTAAAATGTATAAAACTAACTTGCGCCCCGACCACCTAGGGCACATGTTCTCAGGGCCTGCTGTGGTCTGTGTCACAGGCCATGGTCACTCATATTTAGTTTAGAATAAATCTCTTCGAATATTTCACAGCGTTTGACTCTTCATTGATGGAAATTCTAATTATTAATAGCCACAAGATAGATACTTTAAATTAGACTCATAATTAAAAAAAAATTGAGAGTTCTTATTCTAAAGAATTGCCTTATACACATTTATAAAAATATTAAAGTTTTTAAAAGGGACACATAATAGTGTTATGGCTAGACTTAGAAATTTTCTTGACAAAACTAAAGAGTAAATCTGCCCTAAAAGTTAAAATCCTTTGTATGCTCAAACTTCTTGCTTTGAAACCCCTGTAAGACTTACAAAAATTGTTCCACCCTATGGTCTAGTCACTAAGATTCTGTGCCTTTATGGCTGTAGCCCAGGTTGGATTCCTGGTCATGGAACTAATTGGGGTACCCATTTGTTACGGGTCGTTTTTCCTTCCATGGACAGACGTTGATATTTTCTTTTTTGTTTTGTTTTGTTTGTTTTGTTTTTTCATCTTTGGAGCATATGAAGCCTTTGGGCTTTTATGTGTAGGCGCTCAGCTGAGAAACAGATCCCAGAAAATACGGTCAGACAGAAATTAGGTATAATAGGCTTGCTTCTTTTTCAGAGCTATCCATACTAAGTCCAGGCATAGAAAATATGCCTTTTGTCTTATTAAAGTCAATAATCTAATCAAGAAACAAGCTTTGTTAAAAAGGCCACCTATCTAACTAGATTGGTCTGTAAAATACTTTCTGGAATTTTTATGGCTATTCTAACATGCTTTGTAAGAGAAATTCACATCTATAGAAGAAATCTTCATGTTTAAGTGTATCTCCCTTCCAGTATCTAAGTCACTAGAAACTGTTAGGAAAAGAAAGATACTGGCTTACAAATCTTCCCTTTGTTTAAGATACTTTCCTGATAATCTTGTCTTGACTGGACCTTTACTTACCCCTTTTTTATTTCAAGGAATAATGGTGTTTAGATCTAAATCCTGTGCCTTTGATATGTAAATATTCACCTAAGAAGTCATGTCTTGGGAAATAAAACATTTCTGCTTGCTAGGTAATAATCATGTAGAGCTTGACAGTCTAAAAGGGGGAACAAAACTATTTGAAAAGTGGCAAATGAAGAATATTAAAAATCTATAAGATCCACTTCTGACTGTGTCTGCATGTTTATATGTGTTATGTTATGTGCTATTTCACTACCAAAATATAAGAGCTCTAATTAATTGGCTTAAAGAAAAGTATAAGTGCTTAGATAAAATATTTTATCAGAAAAATAGAAACAAACATAAATGTCTTTTAGTTCACATGCCTTGGATAAAGCTTTGTTAAATAAAGTTAGTTTAAAATTGTTGGAAACATAAAGTTGGAATATCCTCAGAACTGTCAGTGTTAAACATAATTCAGACATTTTCGCTTGTACTGCTCACCAGACAGGTTTAGGCTGTTTCTACCAGATGTATTAAGGTCATAACACTATTGCTTATTGCTTCTGTAGTACTTTTAATATGTGCTGGATTTGTCTGTGTGCTAAAGCTTTAAGGGATGGCTGCTAGGCTTCTCTGAAGCCTTGTGCACATCTGATTGTAAGCTTATCTTTGGTTTTTGAGCCTCTAGATTCTGAGGTCTGAACACGTGGCCATGGTAAGGCCTAAGGACATGTTCTCAGCACCTGGACCACCAGCTACAAGGCAGAGTCAAGCCCAGTATGGCCCCATCTTCTATGGCACACCTTTGCCTCCTAGCCAGGCTGGGAGGGGTTAGGTCCTTCAGACATCATCTTCACAACTCTGTCCTTTGTCCTGAGCTCATACCTGGTATGTAATGCAAGATCCAGATGGGCCCCACTCTCGATAGCCATCCATGGGTGCCACATGGCTACTTGGGACCCCATAGAACTTGGGAAGACTTTAGGAAGGGTACCTGCTTTATAGCTTCAAAATTCTTTTCAGTAACTTAAAATCCTGTTTTGCTAAGTAATAGATAACCATAAAATGTCTGAATCATTTAAAAGTAAGTTAACATAATTAAATATTAATTACTAATCATAAATTTAAGTTTATATACTTTGACATCTTATTTCCATATAGTATACAAAAGGTAAATATATTTAGATTTGTTAATAAAACATTAAAGAAACGTATGTTTCAAAAATTATAAAGTGTTTTTCATCTACAAATATTATTACAAAATAGTTGAAATTACTTCCTAAGTTTTCTACTTAAAATTGGGGTTAATAAGAGTTAAAATTGTAGAACCAGGAGGCTACAACAGGGTGAGAAAGCAGTCATCCTCTCTGTGTCCTTGGAAAATCGTGCAAAGCCTGTTTTTCTAATATATTTGCTTACATGTTAAGGTAATGTGTACAGCCAGGAATGTGTGTTTCTATATTTCTGTCCCCCCATATTCCCTACTTCTTCTTGTTACTTCCAAGCAAATACCCATGCCCTTTGTATTTCCCTGCTTTGGATACTTTTTGCAGGGCAGAAAGCTGTAGTTGCATGGAACATCTCTATTTGATTTTTGTAGATGTTCAAACACATTAAGAGGATTGTTATGGGAATGTATTTGAGGAATATAAAAGTAGGGAATGGATAGAATTTTCAGAGATTACAAAAAATTGAAAGTTGATTGGTGAGTTTGGGGATTACCAGAGAGAGAGTAGAGAGAGAGAGAGAGAACAGAGTTCTGTTCCCTCTTCTCCAAGTCCTCACAGATCACAAGGTGATAAGACTTGGAGAAGAGGGAGCAGATGGCTGTGTGATGTAGCTTTAGAGGCTGGATTGCAATTGCTGAGGTCTAGATGCTGTTCTGGAAACAACAGATCTAATAGAATGGAGGAGTTCTACAGACTGTACAATGGGCATCTCAGCAGGAGCAAAGAGGGACCACTAGCAGTCACTAAGATTCTTCTCCAACACCCTGGCTCTGTATAGAAACTGGAACTTTGGGACAATTTTGCTCTATGTGGCAGGACAAAGCCTCAGAATAGAAACTAAACTGATTTCAAGAAAATAATAAATAATATATCTAAGATACCTGAGCAACTATATTGAAATATAACATATTAAGTTACTCATACTTTTTTATTCCCCTCAAATGCAATATCACAGCATACTGCTTATGAATGTATGAAGTATTTCAACACATAACTTGCATACCTATGAATAACAATACTTATTAAATATATTTTAATGATTTAAATTTCTTCAAGAAATATGACTAAAATATATATGAAAATTCAATGAAATAAAATACCTGCACTCTATCGAATCATCACATAAGAGTAAATGAATAAGAAATGGGGATTTGAATGAACAGAATGCTGGAGACAGGTAAACTTGCAAAAATAGGTAACAATTGTGAATGAAATACAACACTTTTCTAAGTGAGATAATGTAGAGATGGCAATAATAGTAACTGTCTGTCATTCACATTTGAAGTTAGGAACTTGAAGCTGGGTCAGCTGGATCATGTTGAACATTTTGAGGAGAACTCAGTAAGATATTCAGGTTTTTAGGGTGACAGAGGGAATAAACAAATGAGAATTACAGGCTTAAGACTTTCATGGGGAGATACTGGCACCCTCCAAAGATTTTATAAAAAATTACTGAAATTAGGTGATAAATCACAGAATATATGTTTTAATTTATGCTACATCTAATTATTTTGAAATCTGGGGAAAACACTATTAAATATTTCAAAGGTTAATAAAACTTAGCACGAGTAGTTATAAAATACCAACTAAAACTACTGTATTTTCTTTCTTTTTTCTTTCTTTCTTTCTTTTTTTTTTTAAATAGAGATGGGGTGGACTCACTGTTTTGTCCAGGCTGGTCTCAAACTCCTGGACTCAAGTGATCTGCCCACCTCGGCCTCCCAAAATGCTGGGATTACAGGTGTGAGCCACTGTGCCAGGTCTCTTTTTTCTTTTATTGTGAGAATATCAGAAATAAGAGGAGAGACTAATTCAGTTGTTACATATATTATTTGGGGAGACATTTGTAACCATCTACACTTCTTTGTTATGTCTTTTAATCTGAATTTTTTTGTGACAGTATATATTTTATTTTTAAAACAATGAAGCAACATTTATAATCAATATATAATTTAAAAGGAAAAAAACCTAAAAACTTTTATGTGATAGCACACTAGCAAAGGTAGTAGTCTATAATGATTTCCCCTTTCAAATTGATTTTCATATATTAATTCATCATAACTCCCATTGTTCCCTGGGGTGTCAATTTCTAGCTGATTACCTTTATCAAAAAGTATTTTTCAGTAATTCCCATATGATTTAAACTTTCACCAACTTAAAATGTAATTTTTGTTCTTGAATGCTCCTCTTTTACAAAACAAGTTGTCCAAATCATCTTCTTCAGACATTTAAAAGGCTTATTCCACTACTTTCTGTGTCTTGCATTTGAAAGACAAAGTCCTAGAGGGTTTCTGTAAGCATAATATGGTAGACCTTTATGTAAGTGTGTTAAATGGCAGGTGTTCCCTGTGATCACCTTGGATTATATTTTTGCTCTGTTCATCCTAAATTTGAGCATTTCCAGAGAATTTACAGAAAGGCTTCATCTAGAGTCTCCTCAGAGGAATGCCTTTGTAACATAAGAAAGCAAGAAACAGCAGAGTGTTAGCGGTGTAGTTTAAGTACAAGGACAACAGACTCATGTCAGAGGAGGCATGATTCTGAGTGACGTACTCTTTTTTTTTTTTTTTTTTTTTTTTGAGATGGAGTTTCGCTCTGTCATCCAGGCTGGAGTGCAGTGGCTTGATCTCCGCTCACTGCAACCTCCACCTCCTGTGTTCAAGAGATTCTCGTGTCTCAGCCTCCTGAGTAGCTGGGGTTACAAGTGCCCACCACCACACCCAGCTAATTTTTGTGTTTGGTAGTGGAGACGGAATTTCACTACGTTGGCCAGGCTGGTCTCAAACTCCTGATCTGAAGTGGTCTGCCTGCCTTGGCCTCCCAAAGTGCTGGGATTGCAGGCGTGAGCCATTGCATCCAGCCTTCAAATATTTATTTTAGATGAGTTACCAGAAACTCATGTCTGAGTACTAGGTATAGTTTTTTAAATACCTGTATGAATAAAAACTAAACAGAGTTTGCCATCTTATTAATACAGTCACCAAGAAACTTTGAGAAGACTAACTCTTATGATCATTGGGAACCATAATTTATCAGTGATCCAAGACAGTTATAAATTGACCTTGCACATAAAAAATTTTAGCCCTGTGGGGGAACTCAATAAATTGATGTCTCTGGACACTTGCCTTTTGGCTTAGGAAGACATTATTATACTCAATTGTAAAATAGAGACACAAAATGAGTTATACTTCCAAATGATTATTTTAATTTTCTCATGTATACCAAGTAAAAAATGTTGGACAATGCCTAGATGACTGAATAGAAGTAGAATACTGTCAATACTCTAAAACTATCTAAGTAAGGATAAAAATGTGTTCACAGTGGAGGAGATGCCAGTGACTCCAAGAGTACACAGGTTATTGCTATGAATTAGAAGCCAGATGTATTTCTAGGTAATTCTGCACATACAAAGCTTTCCTAAAATTTTCTTCATTATTAATTTCTTGCTAAGCCTCCTCATTTCATGTCTTGGTCTTTAATTGAAGTATGCCAGTTGTTTGATTCTCCAGATTTCTTAAATAGGCAATTGCTTTATTGCACTCTTGTAGAATGGCTGTACTATATTCCACAACAATGTAGTTGCATCCTTCCAAAATACCCTGCACAGAGTTCAACTGGTTAACTTAAAAGCAACTTATAAAATGCACAGTATATTGGTGTCTCTGAGAGGGGTATTATTTGTAAGAATATGAGAGGATCAGTTGTAGCCAATTTGTGATATTTAGTATAACTCTTTAGTACTATTCAATAAATAGTACCCATTAATTTTCTAGGCATGTTGTAGTTTTAAGGTAGTGGTTAAGAAACAGTCTGGGTTAAATATAGTTTGCAAACATACTGATTTTGTGACTGAGGGTTAATTACTTTACAGATTTTTTTTTTATCTCTGAATTGGATATAACAGTATTCCTACCTATTAATTGTCTCCTGTGATGTTTAAATGAGAATAACATTTTGCATATGAATGACATATATAATACACAATAAATATAAGTTATTTTAAAATGCGTATTGGAAATGGCTTACAAATTTGTTCTTAGTTGCTTATATGATATTCAAATTCTCAGCAGAAGCAGAAAACATAAACCAAGTTGAAATATTAAAAACAATTTATACATATATTAATATAAAAACTTGCTTAATGATCTTTAAGTGGTCATTTAATCTGCTTTTGTACTCAGCAGAAGAAAGATCATTGAAACTGAAAACAGGCCAAACCAAAACATAAAGATAATAATGAGTAAAAAAAATACTAAACTGCCAAACATACTGAGATTAAAATGTGTGTGTGTATATACATAAATATGTATATACCTGTCTTATATATGTATTTGTCATATATATAAGATATGTATATATGTATGTGTGTGTGAGACAGAGAGAGACATTATCGGAATACAAAATAAAAGAGGAGAGATAAAATAGTGCAGAAAATTATTTAAAGTACGTACAATATATCACAGGAATCCATTTCAAGTGGGAAAATGCAAAGAAAACCATATCTAGGTATATCAGTCAAACTGCTCAAAACCAAAGATACAGAGAAAACCCTTTTTCTTTTTTCTTTCTTTTTTTTTTCTTTTGAGACAGAGTCTTGCTCTGTCGCCAAGGCTGGAGTGCAGTGGCATGATCTTGGCTCGCTGCAACCTCTCCCTCCTGGGTTCAGGTGATTCTCCCCCTTCAGCCTCCTGAGTAGCTGGGATTACAGGCACCCACCACCACACCTGGCTAATTTTTGTATTTTCAGTAGAGATGGGGTTTCACCACGTTGGTTAGGCTGATCTCAAAGCTTCTAGAGTCCAGGGCAAGGCCCATTACAATAAAAACAATGAGTACATCTCATCGGAAATAATGAAGGTCAGAAGACAAAGAAAGAGCATTTTTATAATGTGCAGTTGGAGGAAAACATAAACTCTTCCTTCTATATCAATTATATTTCAGTTGAAATATCATGTAACTATGAAGGCAAAATAATAATATTTTCAGGGAGACTTCGTCTCCAGCCCACCTGTACTACAAAAAATACTGAAAGTTCTTCAAACTAAAAGAAATGATTACAAATAAAAATGTTTAACTGCTCAAAAAATATAAATAGGTGGATAATTATAAAATATATTTTAAAAGTTAAACACATACATCTGTGTATGTATATGTATATACACATGCCTATATGTATGTGTGTATATATATTATGTATGTACTCTCTAGTGATTATTTTAAGAAAAAGTAACAACAATATATGATGGGATTATTGCATATGTAGAAATACATAATGACAAATGTGAGCCTGAGGGCATGAGGAGGTAAATGAAACTTTACTATTGTAAGGTTCTTATAGTGTCTATAAAGTTAGTTTAAAAATGTATTTGATAGATTGTAAAAATTTAAAATGTATACTAGCATCTCTAGAGTAGTCTCTAAATTAGTCCAAAAATATTTAACTAAAAATTCATAAAAGAGATAAACTATTTTTTAAAATTTGATTAAACAATATGAAGATAAGATATTTAAAACAGGGGGAACAAATAATAGATTGGAAAAATAGGGGACATATGCCAACATGGTAGATTTAAATCATGGCACATAAACATTTATATTAAATGTAAATGGTCCAAACACTTCTGTTAAAAAAGAGAGGGAGGAACAAATAATAGATTGGAAAAACAGGGGACATGTGCCAACATGGTAGATTTAAATCATGGCATATAAACATTTATATTAAATGTAAATGGTCCAAACACTTCTATTAAAAAAGAGAGGGAAGAACAAATAATAGATTGGAAAAATAGGGGATATGTGCCAACATGGTAGATTTAAATCCTGGCATATAAACATTTATATTAAATGTAAATGGTCCAAACATTGCTATTAAAAAAGAGAAGTTTTCAGATTAGGTTAACAGCAACAAACAAGCGGCTGGGCGTGGTGGCTCATGCCTGTAATCCCAGCACTTTGGGAGGCCGAGGTGGGCTGATCACGACGTCAGGAAATCGAGACCATCCTGGCTAACATGGTGAAACCCCGTCTCTACTAAAAATATAAAAAAATAGCTGGGTGTGGTGGAGGGCACCTGTAGTCCCAGCTACACCGGAGGCTGAGGCAGGAGAATGGCGTGAACCCGGAAGGCGGAGCTTGCAGTGAGCCAAGATGGCGCCACTGCACTCCAGCCTGGGGGACAGAGTGAGACTCTGTCTCCAAAAAAAAAAAAAAAGCAAGAACTAACTGTAGTTTATTTAGAAGAAATATATTATAAATTATAGGACTTTATAGTTTGAAAGCAAAATAGTAGAAAACTATCTTCTATGCAAACAATAAAAATTAGAGAACTGGTATGGCTATATTAATATTAGATAAAGTAGATTTGATGACAAAAAACTATGCTATAGATAAAAATATTTTGTAATGATATATGAGTAAACTTTATCAAAAAGTCGTAACCATCTTAAATACATATGACTGTAAATATAGAATTTCAAAATACGAGAAGATACAATTGATAGAAATACAGAAAGGCAGAGAAATTCACAATCATAGGTGAGAGTTTAAAAAATAATAATATGACTTATCTGCAAGTCTTCAATTTTGGTAACAGAAATAACACATACAAAACCAACAATAAGGTGAGAGGTACGGTGGCTCACACCTCTATTCCCAGCACTTTGGGAGACCAAGGTTCGTGGATCACTTGAGTCCAGGAGTTTGGAACCAGCCTGGGCAATATGGTGAAACTCAGTCTCTACAAAAAATACAACAAATTAGCTGGGCATGGTAGTGCACGCCTTTGGTCCCAGCTACTTGGGAAGTAGAAGCAAGAGGATCTCTTGAACTTGGGAGATCAAGGCTGCAGTGAGCCGTGATTGTGCCACTGCATTCCAGCCTGCGTGACAGAGCAAGACTGTCTCAAAAATAAAAATAAATAAAATAAAACCAACAATAATATACCTCAGAATATGACTTTGCTAAAAACTAGAGTTACAGAGTACTATAAGGAGACAGAAAAAAGTAGAACCTTGAATTAAATTTTAGTTAGATAAATGTATGAGTGTCTTAGATAAAGACAGTGGTGGCAGCAGAGTAGAAAAGTTCAGGTTGTGTTCACAATTTTGCCACTAATTCTTCTTCAGGATGTGTTCGCAATTTTACCACTGCTTGAAGAACAGAATGCTTAACAAGTTCCCATCGTAAGGTAAGTATATCAATTCCTTTATTGGTCCAATAGAAATAAGCTCTAATAAGATGTCAGAATTACTTGAGGGAAACTGTAAAGAGCATACCAAATAGTATGTACTGAATTGATTTTGATGTCTTCCCTTCTCCAAATGTTTCTTCTTTTCTGGTGTTACTGATGTAGATTATATGCTTATTTGATGCCATCTGGATATCCCAGTACAGATTTCCTTTCCTCTAGTCTCTGTTAAGACTTGCCTAAACTCCACAATGTGACTAGATTGATTATTCTGCTGAAAGACTTCCAGATTTATCAGTTGCCCATAATAAAATATTAATTTCCATAGCACAGCATCACATCTTATTCACTTAAAAAGGAATAGAAATTAGACCTGAAAAACATAACCAAATATATAAATTTAATAAGAAACCACACATTTACACTTTGCTTCATCACTGGAATTAATACAGTTATGGAATAACTTATACATTTTATTCACTTCAAAAAATAAACAATGGGCTGGGCATGGTGGCTCATATTTATAATTCCAGCACTTTGGGAGGCTGAGGGAGTCAGACTGCTTGATCCCCGGAGGTTGAGACTAATCTGCGCAACATGGTGAAACCCCATCTCTACAAAAACTTAGCCAGATGTGGTGGCATATGCCTATAATCTCAGGTACTTGGGAGGCTGAGGTGAGAGAATCACTTGTGCCACTGCACTCCAGCCTGGGCACCAGAGCAAGACCTTGTCTCAAAAAACAAACAAACAAACAAACAAACAAACAAACAACAATGTTCTAAGCTTAGATACAAAAAAAAAAAATTGCTGGGTGTGGTGGCTCATGCATGTAATCCCAGCACTTAGGGAGGCCGAGGCAGGAGGATCACCTGAGGTCAGGAGTTTGAGAACAGCCTGGCCAACATGGTGAAACCCCATCTCTACTAAAAATACAAAATTAGCCGGGCATGGTGGCACACTCCTGTAATCCCAGCTACTCGGGAGGCTGAGGCAGGAGAATTGCTTGAGCCTGGGAGGCAGAGGTTGCAGTTAGCTGAGATCACACCACTGCACTCCAGCCTGGTTGCCAGAGTAAGACTCCGTCTCAAAATAAATAAATAAATAAAAATTAAAAAAACTAATTCAAGTATAAAAGGGACAAAATTTATGCAAAATACTAGGAATGAAAATTTACCTCCTAGAATCCATGTAACAAATACTTCAAAGGAGTCTTGTTAGACCACTGAAAGAAACTAATCCTGTAGAGCTGAGGATAGTCATAATTTTGATTACCAGGCATTTTCATATTCTGCCAAATCTGTTGTATTCATCTGTGAAATAATTGATATTTCCAAATTACTGGTGATAACAAGTAACTTGACTTAATCAGAGTTTAAAGACGTGAAAATCAGAAAATGAGTTCTGCAAACGTTACACTACAAACTAGGAAGAAAATATGCCCTGACATGAGACTACACACTAGAAAGAAAAACTGCCATATTTTGTTAAATCTGGAAGAAACAGCAAGAGGATATGAAAGGTGGTACATAATTGCTCAGTTCTCAAACAGAATTGAGTTTTCTCCAAAAAAGTTTCATAGTACTAAATGTCATATCCAATAACCAAGGTGTTGGGATCTAGAGTCATGTGAGGAAAACAGCAGGAACCTACATTTTCCTGTAATGATTGAGGTCATACCAACCATAGGAATGCAGATGAAGTGAACCTCAATGGGGAAGTCTTCCTACTTTTCATTGCATTGTTATCCAGATGTAATATCCAATATAGGGAAAGCATCAGAAAGATAAATATTAAGGAAGCATAGGCTCCAACTGAGAGCATGTAGATTATGTGACTATGGACTTTTTAAAATTTCCTAAACAAAACAAATTAAGCAGAAAGATGTTCACAAAGCAGAAGATTTAGTAAGAGAAGGTTTGATTTTATAAATCTGTTAGATGCTGTGCCTAAACTCACTTCCTTCTCTCTTACTCACATAATTCTTAAGTAAACATTAGCTTAAATATAACTGCCCTCTTTCAAATATGAATATCTACAAAGATGTAGTATGGACTTTATGCACACATTTTTATAAGGGAAGTGAACAAAATCAGAAGACATTTGAAAAATATGTGTTCTATGCCTAAGACTGAGCCTTGTGGGGTGTACACAGAAGTGCATAAAATGTGGTGATATGCTGTGGGAATTAATATTTTACTGTGAGGAATTAATATTTTATTGTGTTTATTTATATTTTATTGTGAACAATTAGTAAGTCTGGAAGTCTTTCAGCAGAATAATCAATTTAATAACATTGTGGAGTTGACAGAGAAGAGAGGAAAGTAAATCTGTAGTGGGATATCCAGATGGAACCAAATAATACATAATCTACATCAGTAACACCAGAAAAGAAGAAATATTTGGGGAAGAGAAAATATCAAAATGTATTCAGTAATACTATGTGCTATGCTCTTTACATGTTTCTTCAACATCCTGTTAGTTGGAGGTTATTTCTGTTGTACCAACAAAGTACTTGAGATATAAGGATTTTGTCCTGTTCAAAATCACTCAAGTTGTAGTTGGAGAAACCAGATTTGAAACTAGCATTAATGAATATCTAAAATCATTAATAGAGTCCTGAATTAAAAGATGTGAATGTGAAATAAATTAAATTTACTCTTTGATTCTGAAGTTTGAGTAGAGGCAAGAGAGTAAGTTAATTATATTTTTTAATGGTGGATATTGTGCCATCTATCAAATTAAAGAACAGTAAATTTTAGGGTCAAAAGTTTATGTATTGTAAGTTTGAGATGTTCACAGTGCTTAAAGGTGAAGATTTCTAAAGTTGTGTTGGAAATATATAGGAAAGATGTTATCAGAGCTTCTAGAAGGCAGGAGTATATCTAGTCTACCTTTGTATATCTGGCACCTTGCACCCAAACACAGTTTGGCAAATGAATGCTGTCAAACTCCTGGAAGTTGATGAGTATGTCTATAAACAGAAAGAAAAATGTAATGAAATTAGAACATCAGAGCTAAGTAAGAGCAGGGGATTCAATAATGCTCTCAGATTGGTCAAAGAGGAACCTGGAATATGCAGCACCTCAAACTATGTTAAAAAATCAGAAATGAAGGAATTTAAAAATCGGTGAAATGTTACCAAAAGACTCTACAGATAAGACCTTTTAAGATATGATTTAATTGGTTGTCTTTAACATGTAATGGGAATATCAAAGAAATGAATGTAAAATTGTGGTGTTCCAGATCCATGGCTACAGGTAAAAAAGTGTGTTCATTTAGTCGACAAAACAGAAAAGGTTTCGCAAAGGAGGGGATGGTTAAGGTCAGTGAAACTAATGTAAGTCATCAATCCAAAAAATTTTTTTCAATTGTTTGAGTCATGATTGTACTTGTGTTGTGATTGAGTACTCTGCACTCTGACTGTACTTGTGTTGTGAAGAGTGCTCTCTTGTTAGAGTATATAGGACCTTTGAAATAGGAAAAGTTAGCTATAACTGAAATGGATTATGTCTGGAAAAAATAGTTCATTCTTAGGAGTAGCTGTGGCTAAATGAACTTTGTGATACATGAGACAACACAGCTCTTGAAATCTGATTTTGCTATTTCAAACTAAAATACATATTTCACATAACTATATAGTTTTACAAAATAATCTGGCATTATTGTAAAATGGTTATGTGTGTGTATTAAATGAGCTGTTTATAGGATATAGATTAGCCTAATTAAAATATTGAAATATTGTTTAAAAATAGTACATTAAGCCTGGGTGTGGTGGCTCACACCTGTAATCCCAGCACTTTGGGAGGCCAAGGCAGGCAGATCACTTGAGGTCAGGAGTTCGAGACCAGCCTGACCAACATGGTGAAAGCCCGTCTCTACCAAAAAATACAAAAATTAGCCAGGTGTGGTGGTGTGCGCCTGTAATCCCGGCTACCTGGGAGGCTGAGGCACAAGAATCGTTTGAACCCAAGAGGCAGAGGCTGCAGTGAGCCAAGATCACGCCACTGCACTCCAGCCTGGGAGACAGAGCGATACCCTGTCTCAAAATAAATAAATAAATAGAAATAAAACATCAAGTTTGAAAGAAGTTGACAATCCAGAAATTACCTTGTGATTATGTTCTTCTGTGTTGATCACATCAGCTTCTAGGATGTGCTCATAGTTTTCTCAGTACACACCACCTCTTTTTTTTTTTTTGAGACAGAATTTCCTTCTGTCACCAGGCTGGAGTGCAGTGGCTCAATCTCTGCTCACTGCAACCTCCACTTCCCGGGTTCTGGGTTCAAGCGATTCTCCTGCTTCAGCCTCTGGAGTAGCTGGGATTACAGGAACACACCACCATGCCCAGCTAACTTTTGTATTTTTAGTAGAGACGGGGTTTCACCATGTTGGCCAGGATGGTCTCGATCTCTTGACCTCGTGATCCGCCCACCTCGGCCTCCCAAAGTCCTGGGATTACAGGAGTGAGCCACCACACCCGGCCCACACCATCTCTTAAAAGAATCAAATCTCTGGCAAATTTTGCCTGTTAACTTGGATGCTCTCTCCAAAACAGGGATGAAGCTCTTTTTTTACCTTTATGTACCACAGAGTTTCTTAATTTATTTTTCCTGTTGCCTCCCACAAGGAGACGTTTTAAACATTTTCTCCTACTGATTCCCCACAAAATGTTGATAATACAAATACAGTATATATTTGTTATGTAATGTATGAATATCTGTGCTTTATACATATGAAGAATAAGATTCTCCCCCTCCACCAGGATCAATTTTTGTTCTTTCAGATGTTATACTGTGCCATTAATACATAATATATCTTATTCAGAGTAAACAATGTATGATTCCTTGGTGAAGATGTATTATTAAGAAGGCTACAAAATTCATCAGTACTTATAGCAGTTTTGTTTTTAAGGAGCCAATTATTTTCAGAACCATGTGAATGCTGTCTTGAACATAGTATATCATTAAAAAAATAAGAGAACAAACTTTACTATAGTTTCCTGATTTGGAAATGATGGTTTAAATACTTATTTAATCTGATGCAAGACTTGAAAAGCAAAGTTGTAGGAAGTGTAACCATATTTTCAGAGATTTAAACACATAATTATATGCACTTTTTATAAACACGAGCAATCTAAGGTAAAAGAAGTAAATCATTTATTTAAATATTAATTGCATACTGGGGATTCAGCAGTGACTAAAATAGAAACGGGTCTACCTCAGGAAGACCATTATCTTACTGAGTGAAAGAGTCACTCAACCCAGGTTAATAGAGGCTAAGTTCAAGGGTTTAGGGAACTCTGAAGATCTATACTGAAAACGTCCACAGGCAGACCATCTGGCACAGGGGACAGTTGGCAGGCTATAACAAATCTATGGACATGGCAGATTTTGGATCCCGAGGTGACTGAAGTGTAGAAATGCAGGCATAAAATCTGTTTCATGTAAGAGAGCAGTTGGCAAATGTCAAATGAGAGCAACAAGCAGTGAAGATTTTAACAAGGCAGGCTGGGTTGCGTCCAGAATTTTTTTTTTTTTTTTTTTTTTTTTTTGAGGAAGGGACAATTGGTGTAAGCCACTGCTTGAGGAATAAAGCTGCTAATATCCAGGCCTGGGAACAAAGGTTGGAAGTTAACAAAAGTTGGAAGCTAAAGGAAAAGAGTTGAGGCATCAGATGTCTGCAAATCACAGATCCACAGAAGAGACAAAGATGAAAGACATATGTGGTACTGGTAGCAGCATAACAACCAGTAATATAAGACTAGGGACTGTCTTCCCTGAACTCTTGCTTTACCCTTCCTAGAATAAAGGATCTAGGAATAGGCTTAAACTGATGGATCATCTGAAAGGCAGAAAGTTGATTAAAGCCATTAACTTTAAAAATAAGATTTTTCTGAGATTCCTAAATTTCACCTAACTTTTAATGTCCAACCCCAAATCATTCATTTCGTTTTCTCTGTAATTTCTCTCAAACTAAATAGGATTGTTAGAAAAAAAAAAAGCAAGGAATTATATTGGCATGTAATGCTTAGTATCAATTTTCAGTGGACTATAATTTCCCCGATAAGATAAATTTTCTAATTTCACTGCTATCCCAAGTATAAACTTACAGTCAGAAGTTCATTGTAAATACACTAAAGTACCGTGTTTTTCACATTTTTTGTAATAATCATCTCACTTCTAATAATATTTCATGTCTGTTTTCTCTAGTAGATGAGAACCTCTTAAAGGTAGGAGTAAGATCTTTTTGGTTCGTCCCTATTTCCCTAACACCTAAAACAGTGTCTGGAAAAAATTAATAATTGTATGTGGAATGATAGATTGTGCAACAAGAGAAGAAAACAACATTGGGGTAGGAAGGAAGAGAGACAGGCTGAGAAAAAGGAAACATGTAGGAAAGAACTAAAGAAAAATTACAGAGAAAGTTTTGTTTCTTCCTCAGCATGGGCAACTCAAGGAAATCATTCTTACTTGACATATTCAATAAATACTCATATTAAAATAAATATTTATCTTTATATATTTAAATTTGTCTAGTCAGAGATTTACATTACAGATACATTTTATTTCATATTAGTGTATAGAAAACAAACCCATTTAATAATTTGAGAATTAAAGAAAACATTTGTTCAGATGCTAGTTTTTTCTTCCCAATTGTAAAAGTCTTAAGAAACATCTCCTTGTATATAGTGCTTTAATAAGTACAAGAAATTTCCAATGCAGTGTTTAATGTCATTGCAAAACATAACAAAACAAAAAACACCTAATGGATAATAAATACCTAATAAATAATAAATATCAGTAAAATAATTTTATTATTTGGGAACCATAAATATAATCTCTTATCATAAAGCAATCCCAGATATTTTAGTTAAAGTATCTTATAAAGTGTTATAAAGCCCATCTATTACTATAGAGAAAAAACTAACTTTAATAAGTGCTTAGAGGATCTGTCACATTTGGTTTTTCCAAAGGCCCTAGCCACACCCTAGATGACAATCACTACAGCCAGGAGCACTCTGTGGGTCCTTGCATCCTCAGCCAGTGAAGTGTGTTCTTGGGGTCCTTTTTGGAACTTAGAATACAATTTCACCATATAAAAATATGTAGTAGATAAAAAGCATTAATCAATACGGTATTTCATGTATTTTAAGGATTAAATTAGGCATCCTTCACCAAACTTTGATGCACTAATCACTATTATCTATTTTGAGATATTGATTCAGAGTTACAAAGATCAATGTACAAATAAAATTTTGACAGAAAAACTGCTTGTCAATTGAGCTATATCCGTAGTTTCCTAAAATATATTTTTTCACACTTTGCTTATGACATCCTACTTAAACCCAAGCACACTATTTCTGCTTCAAAGAAGACTAACTCTCTCAGTGATTTGGCAAGGCTTTATAGTGTTCTAAGCCAGCTTGCAAAGCCTCAAACAAGTATACATATCTATGCTTAGGCAGCTTTAACATAGATCCCTTAAACTTGTTTCAGACAATTTCCTCTGCTCTGTGTCAGAGTACATTTAGTGAGAACCAAAATCTCTGGCTGACTCTGGGCAAAACTCTTTTAGGGTCTTCTACTTTAGCCACTCTGTCAATCTCCTTCCAATATCCAGGGCTTTAATGGATATTTAAACAGACAAGTATTAGGAATATGTTCTCAAAATAACCAGTTATTTTCTAGGACTCTCTCTTGCCTTACCTCTTGCTTTTGTGGGCCAGTTTGATAATACCTAATTTCCAAAAATGAACATGCAAATTATTTTACATGTAGTTTTATGGAGCATAAACATAAAGCATGAATATGCTATTTTGGCTTCCCTTTAGGAAATATTAATCAGGTTTTTAGCTGTGGTACACAGAAATACATAACATGCTGGTGGATTTTGTTCAATCCTTACTTTCTTAAATACAATCATACCTATAGCTAAAACAGATGTTGTAAATTGAAAGCCAAATTAATGGCATGATTATTATTTATATATTTTAAATTACAAAACATTATATACAATTTCTGATGAATTTGTTTTAGAAAAGCTATTTTCTTTAAATTTAAAATTTTAGAAAGAAAATGAGTTCTAATCAGATTAGACTGAAGTCAGATTAGAATACAGTTATGCTTATGTAATGTCCAAATATTTTATTCTTTATATCAATTGCATTTGTTTGATATTTTCACATCAGAAATCAGATGTTGGAATTCTGATAAGCCTTTGTTTGATAAAATTATATAATTTTTAGTAAATAGATTATTAGAGATACTTCTTTTTAAAGATTGAAATACATTTGCCTCATGTTAGTTTAAGGTACTTGGAATGACTGTTCTGAATAATCACTTTTCTCTGATATCTCCAATCAGTATAGAGAAATGCTATTGTATACACTTGAACATGTGACTCTCACCAATTTCTTATCCCTGGGAGGACTGCATAAACATCATGGTATCTGGAGGCAGTGCGGTATAATAAAATGAGCCTTACTGGTAATACCCTGGTTTTGTCTCTAACAACATGTGTAACTTCAGACAAATTATTTAAGCTTTCTAACTGTTAGTTTTCTTGTCTACATAAGAATCTTAATGATCTATTACAGAGCTATTGAAAGTCATCACTAAAACAGCCAACTATAACAATGCTTTAGATTAATATGTAGTAAATACTATGCCACAGTTTTGTTGAATTTTTTACCTAATTTATGAATATACTGCGTATATTGCTTGCTAATAGTAAACTACATGCCAAAAAGATTCTATTTATATGTGTTCATCATACATGCAAACACACGTACACACAAATACCCTTTAATTGGCATAGGAATTCTTCCTTTCGTGTGGTTATACAAGTACCATGGTGCCAGCATCTGCTTTTGGTGAGGGCTTCAGGAAGCTTCCAGTCATGGCAGAAGGTGAAGGAGAGTTGGCATGTTACATGCTGAGACAGGGAGCAAGACAGGGAAAGGAAAAATGTGCCAGGCTCTTTTTAACAGAGGCGTCTCTGGAGAACTAAGAGCGAGCGCAGTCACTCAATTCTGAAAGAATGGCACCAAGCCAGTCATGAAGGATCTGCCTTTATTACCCAAACACCTCTCACTAGACCCCACATCCAATAGTGGGGATCACATTTTAACATGATATTGGTGGTGACACGTAGTTAACCTGTATCACCAAGTATCAAGAAATCTTTGTCTGCTGGTGGAACTGCACAATGGTGCTGCCATTTGGAGGAGCACTTTGATGCTAGTCAAACTAAAGATGTATCCCCAAAAATGATCAGATTGGGCTCACTGATTCTCTTAATACTAATAATATGCTATTTTGGTCATATTTTCTATATTTAAAGACATGTTTTTCTTATTATTCCTTAAGATAAAGAGGGCAGTCTTCTTGATTCTTAAGAATATTTTGTTCCTGGCTTCTCTCCTCATCTTTTCACATTTTATCTTACTTACCTTATCATTTGATAACTACATATGTGTAATTCCTGAACACAAGTCTTACTTCAAATGAATTTTCTTGCTCTGACCACTGCTTTTCATGTATCCTGAAAGTAAAGATTCTCACCTGATTGTCAATCTCTGCTCCAATCTGACAACCTACTCAGGTATTTTTCTTAATCTCAACGACTACTGATCGACACCTAGTTGTGTTTTTTTTTTTTTGTACAGGATTATAGCATTGTTCATTGGAAACAAAGAGACATACATACTGGAAGGTTGGACATAGGTACATATATATATATGAGAGGCTCAGACCAGGGATACCTATTTGGAAGCATCAGCACAGAGGTAGAGCTATTAATTCTAAGCTAAGGCAAGGCAGCCAACTGAGGTGTCGATACTCCATAACCATGCCCATTCTTTTTTTTTTTTTTTTTTTTTTTTTTTGAGATGGAGTCTTGCCCAGGCTGGAGTGCAGTGGTGCGATCTTGGCTCACTGCAAGCTCTGCCTCCCAGGTTCATGCTGTTCTCCTGCCTCAGTCTCCTGAGTAGCTGGGACTACAGGCGCCCACCACAACACCCAGCTAATTTTTTTGTATTTTTTTTTTAGTAGAGATGTGGTTTCACCGTGTTAGCCAGTTTTATTCTAATATATTTTATTTTATATATATATATATTTATTTCATATATATTTATAATAAAATATTCCTGCCTTTCATATTCATTGCAGCATCATACACAATAGTCAAGATATAGAAGCAAATAAAATGTCTATCAATGAATGTATGGATGTTTTAAATGTGGTATAATATACACAATGGAATATTATTTATCCTTGAAAAAGAAGAAAAGTTTGTACCTGGGAGAATATGAAGAAATCTAGAGGACGTTAGGCTAAGTGAAATAATCTAGACACAGAAAGGCAAATGGAGCATGATCTCACTTATATGTAGAATCTAAAACAAGTCAAATTTGTAGAAGCAGAGAGTAGACTAGTGGTTACCAGAAGCTGGGTGTGGTGGTGGACAGGAAAAGGAGAGATGTTGGTCAAAGGGTACAAAGCTTCAGTTACACACAAAGAATAAGTACTGGTGATCTATTGCACAATGTATTGGCTACAGCTAATTATAATGTATTATATATTTCAGAATTACCGAAGGAATAGATTTTAAATGTTCTCACCACAAAGAAATGATAAGTATATGAAGTGATGAAAATCTTAGCCTGATTTTATTATTCCATAATGTAAACATGTATCAACATATCACATTGTACCCCATAAATAGATACACTTATTTATTAAAATTTAAAAATAAGATTGCTGGTTTGGTGTTTCTTGTCACGACATCTGGTGTGTTGGAACAGAGAGAGATAGGAATATTCATGGAAGCCACTCCTATACCAGAATGGTTTATAATTACTGTAAATGAAGCAGCTTAGAACCACATAAATATATTTCATTAATGCCAAAACTCACACTTCTTCAGCTAGATCCCAGAGGTGCCAGGAGCCATGACAATGTTACCTACAGAAAGGGAATTATAAATGAGAGTAATGTAAGATGTAAAAAGTCAGTGATTTAACCTTTCGCAATAAAAATATCTTACTCTCCCAAATTACACAAAAACACACAACAATGATGTCAATGTATTGCTAACGCTTCTCATTGCAAGTGAAAGTTCATGAAGCTTAGGTGCTATTAGCTTCACATTATATCTTTTCATTACATACAAAATAAATGTGCTTAGTGCTGGCTTGGGAATGGGAAAACAATGACTCTGATAATATACACACACAATGGAATACCATTTAGCCATTAAAAAATGAAAACATTCTTTTATATTTGTATGTACATATATAATATATACCCATTTGTGTATATACATATACATTTGTGTGTGCTCATATATATATATATATATATCTCACATTTTCTGTGTCCAATCTTTTATTGATGAACACTTATGTTGATTCCACATCACAGTAATTGTGAATAGTGCTATGATAAACATATAAGTGCAAGTGCTCTTTTTGATATAATGATTTCTTACCTTTGGGTAGGCACCCAGTGGTGAGATTGCTGGATCAAATGATATTTCTATTTTTAGTTCTTTGAGAAACTGCCATACTGTTTTTCATAGAAGTTGTATTAATTTACATTCCCACCAACAATGTTTAAGTATTATCTTTCCCCTGCATCCACACCAATATCTGTTATTTTTTATCTTTTTAATATTAATTTATTATTAAAAGTAATGGCAAAAACAATTACTTTTGCACCAAACTAAAAATAGCATTTTAGCTCATGTAAGATTATATCTCATTATGGTTTTAATTTGCATTTCTCTGATGATTAGTGATGCTGAGCATCTTGTCATATATTTGTTGCCCATTACTGTGTCACCTTCTGAGAAACGTGCTCATGCCCTTTGCCCATGTTTTAATGGGGTTCTTTGTTTTTTTTTTGTTTTTTTTTTGTTGTTGTTGTTGTTGTTGTTGACTTGTTTGAGTTTCTTATAAATTCTGGGTATTAGTCCCCTGTCAGAAGCATAGTTTGCAAATATTTTCTCCCGTTCCAGGTTTTCTGTTCACTCTGTTGAATGTTTCTTCTTCTGTGCAGAACTCTTTAGTTTAATTAAGTCCCATTTGTCTATATTTGGTTTTGCTGCTTGTGCTTTTAAGGTGTTGGTCATAAATTCTTTGCCTAGGCCAGTGTCCAGAAGATTTTGCTCTAGGTTTTCTTCTAGTATTTTTATAGTTTCAGGACTTAGATTTAAGTCTTTTATCATGCTGAGTTAATTTTTGTATATGATGAGAAACAGGGTTCAGTTTTATTCTTCTTCATATGGCAATCTGAGTTTTCCCAAATCAGTAGTATTTCTATACATCAATAATGATCAAGTTGAGAGAACTCAATCACACATACAATAGTTGCAATAAAAAATAAAATACCTAGGCATATATTTAAACATGTGGGCGAAAATTCTCTACAAGAAAAACTACAAAACACTGGTGAAAGAAATTGTAATTGAAACAAAAAAAATGGAAAAAATCCCATGCTTATGGATCAGAAAAATTAATATAGTTAAAATGGCCATATCATCCAAAGCAATCTACAAATTCGATGCAATCTCTATTTAAATCCCAACATCACTTTCTCCAAAATCAGAAAATTCAATCCTAAAATTCACATGGAACCAAAAAAGAGCAGCCCCCAAGAAAAAAACAAAAAACTAACAAACAAACAAAAAATCCTAAGCAAAAAGAACAAAGCTGGAGGCATCACATTACCTGACTTCAAATTATTCTACGAGGCAATAGTAACCCAAACACCATAGTACTAGTATAAAATAGACATATAGATCAATGGAACCGAATAAATAACTCAGAAATAAAGCTACATATATATAGCCAACTGATTGTTGACAAAGTTTTTCAAGAATACACACTGGGGAAACGAGATATATATACATATATATATATATATATATATATTTTTTTTTTTTTTTTCCGAGACAGAGTCTTGCTCTGTCACCCAGGCTGGGGTGCAGTGGCATCATCTCGGCTCACTGCAACCTCCGCCTCCTGGGTTCAAGCAATTCTCCTGCCTCAGCCTCACGAGTAGCTGGGATTACAGGTGCCAGCCACCACACCCAACTAAATTTTTGTATTTTTAGTAGAGATGGGGTTTCACCATGTTGGCCAGGCTGGTCTTGAACTCCTGACTTTGACCTCGTGATCTACCCACCTGTGCCTCCCAAATGCTGGGATTACAGGCGTGAGCCACTGCGCCCGGCCAACATTCTTTTAAATAAATCACATTATGAGTTCCTGGTTCTTGATATCATGGGTGGTTTTTATTTTATTCTAGACATTTTGACTATTATGTTAGAAGAATCTGGACCTTATTTAGATATTTTGTTTTGGCACATAGTCACCTTGTTTAGGTTTGGCAAACAAGTCTTAGTCTGTGAGGGCTGTGGTTTCAATGACAATATAATTTTTTAGAGACTATGCAGTGTTATTTTGATCTGTTTTGTTTATCTCATATTGCTGGGGTTTTCATTGACAACAGCTGATGGTGACTGAGAGCCTGGAGGATATTCCTCAGTCTAGGCTGACTGGCTTCTAAGTAAGGGAAGGACTTCCTAACTCCCAGTTATGTCCACTGGATAGAATGCAGAATGCTTACTGGTATGGAGCTTGATGTGCTGGGATCCTACTTTCCAGTGCCCCCCAGTATCAGTTTCATTAGGCATAAGAGGGAAATATCAGGCCAAGTGGAGAAAAAGAGACATTTTCATGGCCAGTTATTGTCACTAGGACTTCCCATTGACCCCTCTTTCCTGTTCTGTTAGGCACGCCTGATGTCGTAGGCTGGAATTCAGTTCCATCTAGGGGAAGAATGAGACTCCTGGGCTGCCTTTCTATTGCCAGGCTTGGAGTCGGGAAATTCCAGGCCTAAGGTTGCCTTCTTATGTTGGCTGGGGTCCATAAGACATGCTGCCACTGTGTTTTCCTCCAATCCTGGGGCCCCAAAGCACTGTAATGCTCCCCTCTACCTTGTGCAGTTCTCCTTTGTCTCTTAATTTACTTTCTGGTTTTGTAGTTCTACTTGGTAGGGAAGAGGAGAGAGAGAAAAGTTTGCCATACTGATAGGACTGATAATCCTATAATCACATTTTGATCTGAAATTTTTTTTTGCATTAGATTTCTTAATTTAATTTATAACTTTTCGGTATAGCCCCTTTGAGAATATATGTTCCATGAGGGTAGCGGCTTTATTTTTTAAGTGCTCTCTTCCTATTGTCTTGAATGTACTTGGCAAATAGGAAGTAAATATTACCTGTGTAGAAAATAAAAATTTAATATGTACCCAAATTATTTAAAGTACTATAAATGCAAGTGCCATTGAGAAATGGTGAATGTTTTCAAGAAAAAAAATAAGGTGAGAATACAGATGAAAATAACAAAAGATTCACTGAGTAAAAGATAATTGTAGCATTTTACTCAGAAGGAGTAGGTACCGAAGCAATTAATGTATTCAGCTTAAAATATTCTTTCTTGATATTAGTTCTAAGTTTTTTTAGCAAGAAATTGATCAAATATAAATGTAGAGGAAAAAATATATTCATATATGCCCATATGTATGCACACAGCCATGTGTCTTTTGGCAATGCCATTGTGCAAACATCATAGAGTATACTTACACTCACCTAGGTGGTATAGCCTACTACACACATAGGCTACATAATATAGCATATCGCTCCTCAGCTACAAACCTGTACAGCATGTTACTGTACTGAAAACTGTAGGTAATTACAACACAATGGTAAGTGTTTGTGTATCTAAACATATCTAAACACAGAAAAGCTACAGTAAAAATAGGGTATAAAGGATGAAAAATGTGTTGAACCTTTATACCCTATGACATCACTAGGCAAAAGAAAATTTTCAGCTCCATTATAACCATATGGGACCACTGTCATATGTGGTCTGAGTAGCCAACTGAAGTTTTATTATGTGCTGCATGGCTATATTTAATTGTCATAACTCCTAAAAAAGAACTTTTAGAGAACACAAAAAAAACACTGACATCAAATTTACATGTTTATATAACTGTATGTGTGTGTTTGTTGTGCAGTCTTGTGATAATAAATACACATAAACTTTTGATAGAGCACAAGACATAGTTAGCGTAAAGTGCAAAGCAAATATTTACACAAAAAGTTTTCAACACAGACGATTCCAGGACAGGACAGAGCATCAAATAAGTGAATCATTTAACATAATACATTTTAAAATGGTTCAATCTAAAGAAATTACATACCAATGTCCAAGACTATGAGCAGTGAGCATTTTGAAACAAAAACATTGTATATGTTTTATTCAATATCTAGTTGATAACTTAATCATTTTCTTTGACAATGAAAATATAAACTGGTTTATTTTTAAATTATTTGACATCATAAATTTTCTTTTCTGTTTGAAGCAAAGGGTTTATTTTGCATGTTGAACAAATAACTTCAGTGAGATAAATTCCTAGCAAGTGGAACTCAGATAGCTGAATTGTGGGAAGACAAATGGGAGGAACCAATGACTCAGTGTTGCTATCTCACATAAAATAAAACATCATATCACACATATTCAATAAACAACAGCACCACAAATAACTTCTAAGAGACTATGCAGTTCTCATAGTAAAGAAAGAGGTTTACAGGTCCACCAGGTAGGGTGTCAAAATATTAGAAGATTGGAATGGAGATATTAGACAAAATATTTTTCCCATGGAGTTTTTTATTTTATTTTATTTGTTTTACTTTTTTTCTGAGACACAGTCTTGCTCTGTTGCCCAGGCTGGAGTGCAGCAGCATGATCTTGGCTCACTAAAACCTCTGCCTGCTGGGTTCAAGGGATTCTCCTGCCTCAGCCTCCCCATAGTTGGGACTAAGGCAACTGCCACCAAGCCCTTCTAATTTTTTTTTTTTGTATGTTTAGTAGAGATGGGGTTTCACCATGTTGGCCAGGCTCGTCTTGAACTCCTGACCTCAAGTTATACGCCCACCTTGGCCTCCCAAAGTGTTGGGATTACAGGTGTGAGCCACCACGCCAGGCCTCCATCTGCTAAGTACTGTTTGATTGTTCCATTGCAGAGAGCATGCTAAGCTGAAAGGAAAGAAAAAAGGAAAAAGGAAAAATGGAAAGAAAGAAAGAGAAAAAAGAAGAGAGAGAGAAAGAACAGAATAAGAGAAAATCTTTTTAAAAACTTTACATGTTTAGGTAAATAAAATTGTGAGTTGAGAAAGAAACTTCAGTCTTAAATTCCACCATTCTCTGACCACTTTGATATTTTTCAGACTCCCTGTTTCTGTCCCCTGACAGAAATGAACAAAATATAAATAAAACAATTAAGCAAACAAAGCAAAACAACCACCAGCAAACAAAAGAGAGTTACAAACAAAACAAATTTATTTGTGTCAGTAAACAATTATCGCTTTTCACAGAAAAAGTGGATAAAAAGAACATTTCAACATTTTTCAGAAAGTAATTTGAATATTTTATCTATTATAATCTAATGAACTAAAAACCTAAGTAGGTGAAGAAGAGCTTCTAAGAGCTAATGGTTGAAGTATTAATATTTAGATTTTGTATATATAGAGAGATCAATAGGTCAAAAGGAATAGATAATTCATACATATATTTATTTATTCTTCTACTCATTCAACAATTATTACTGAGCCTTAATATGGGTTAGCCAATAAATTGATACAAATTTTTAATTTTAGCTCTGACATATAAAATGGTCAGAATATGCTACTTCCATATTACAATGAGAAAAAAGCTGGAAAAACTGAAAATCAATAACTTTCCTTGGACCCAT
Source organism: Homo sapiens (assembly GCF_000001405.40). NCBI lineage: Eukaryota > Metazoa > Chordata > Mammalia > Primates > Hominidae > Homo > Homo sapiens. The sequence continues at coordinate 43,844,357 of NC_000014.9, read as the reverse complement.
AAGATAACTGAGGTCATGAGCAAACTGCTTCCCAGAAATCTGAAGATGGGTAAATTGAGAGAAGCACAGTGCAAATCATCTTTCTATGAGCAAAAGCTGCTGGGGCCATAAGCTGGTAAGAACACTTAAACACCTGGTGGGTTGAACTGTATCCCCGAAAAAGTTATGTTTAAGTCCTGATCCCTGGTACTTATGAAAGTGACCTTATTTGGAAGTAGATATTTTGTAGATGTACTCAAGAAAAGCTGAGTTTATATTGGGATTAGGGTGGACACTAAATCCAATGTCTGGTGTTCTCATAGAGACTCAGTGACACGGGAAAGACATAGAGAAAAAGGCCACGTGAAGACAGATGTAGAGATTGAAAGGATGCAGCTATAAGCCAAGGAAAGCCAAGGATTGCTGGCAGCCATGAGAAGCTATGAGAGAGGTATGGAATGGATTCTCCCTCAGAGCTCCCAGAAGGAACTAAGCTGTTGACACCTTGATTTCAGACTTACGGCATCCTGCACTGTGAGCAAATTAATTCCTATTGTTTCAGGCCACCAAGTTTAATGTAATTGGCAGCCTGAGAAAACAACTATAAGAGGTAACTTTGACCAGTTGCTAAATGTGGCAGGTAGGCTAGTCAAAGACTGAGAAATTTCTAAGTGTTAGCGTGGCCTCTATGTTTTTATGAAACTTAATCCTAGGAACTCCAACAGGTTCATAAGGTGAACAGTCAAGTAAAAGCATCATATTTCTGACAGGAGAAAGGAAAAATTTGCTATTTTGAAACACACCCAGAACATTCTCCATACAAAAAAGGCCTACCTAGCAGGAAAAAGTACATTACCAGAGCCATATCTGTGTGTGGAAAGAGAAATTACCTATCTCCAGCACCCTACAGACTTTCTGTCTATCTGTAGAAGGCACAGAGGAAAGTTAAGATGCACTTGTGAAGGTCATTGCCCAAGGACCCATGCACTCTAAAAGATCGTGACTTAATCACAGAATTAAATAACTTTTCTTTCTGCAGCACATCTTTATCAGCATATCAATGGTACTCCAGTATAGTAACAATTAAATACATCTGAAAAGAAAGTCAAGGCTCAGGCTCCATGTAAAACAAAAATAAAGGAGTTTACAATACATAAAAAAATTACAGAACACTGCTGAAAGAAATTAAAACATGAATAAATGCAAAGATACCTTATGTTCATGGATTGAAAAAACTGATATTGATAAAATGTCCATAATAGCCAAAGCATTCTACAGATTCAATGCTATCCCCATCGAAATCTCAATGGAATTTTCTACAGAAATAGAAAATACTCAAGAAAAACACCAGAGTAAGAAAATATTGAAAAGGAGAGCGAAGCTGGAAGCCTCACACTTCCTGATGTCAAAACATATTACAAGTCTACAGTAATCAAATGAGTATGGTACTGGCATAAAGATAGACACATAGACCCATGGAAAATAATAGAGAATCCCAAAATAAACCCAAGCATGTACTGTCAACTGATCTTTGACAAGAAGCCAAAAATACACAGAAGGGAAAATATAGTCTCTTCAACAAGCAGTGTTGAGAAAACTGGATATCTACACACACACAAACACACACACACACACACACACACAAATGAAATAGGATCTGTATCATACACAATACATAAAAATCAACTCAAAATGAATGAAAGACTTAAATGTAATATCTGAAACGGTAAAACTCCAAGGAGAAAACACAGGGGAAGGGCTTTAGAACATTGATCATGGCAATGATATCTTGAAAATAACACAAAAGCACAGGCAACAAAAACAAAAATAGAGAAGTGGGGTTATATAAAACTAAAAAGCTTCTGTAAAGCAAATAAAACCATCCATAGAATGAACAGAGTGACAATCTATGGAATGGGAGAAAATGTTCTTAAACCATATACCTGATAAGGCATTGATTTCCAAAAAATATAAGAAACAACTACAACATAATAGCAAAAAATCTAGTACCACAATTTGAAGTGGAACTGAGGACTTGATTCCTAAAGCACCTAAATAAATTGGTATTTCACCAAAAAAGCCATATAAATGGCCAAGAGGTAATGTAAAAAATGTTCAATGTCACTAATCCTTAGGGAAATGCAAAACAAAACCACAATGAGATATTACCTCACATTTGTCAGGTTGGCTGTTATAAAAAAGATAAGAGATAAGAAGTGTTGGTAAGGATGTGGAGAAATCAGAACTCTTGCACACTTTTGGTGGGAATGCAAAAATGTACAGTTGCTATGGAAAACAGTTTGAAGATTTCTTAGAAAATTACAAATAAAACTAACATATTACCTAGTAATTCCACTTCTGGGTATATATACAAAGCAATTGAAATTAGCATCTCAAAAACATACCAGTATTCCCATGTTCATTGCAGGACTATTCACAATAAACAAGATGTGGAAACAATCTAAATATCTTTGGATAGATGAACAGACAAAGAAAATGTGACATATACATATAATAGAATACTATTTATCCACAAAAAAGAAAAAAAATTCTGCAATATGTGACCACATGAATGAACATAGGGGACAATATGTTAAATAAAATAATCCAGTCACAGTAAGACAAATACTGTAAGATTCTACTTATATAATGTATCTAAAATAGTCAAATTCATAAAATCAAAGAATGGAATGATGGTTGTCATGGGCTGGGATTATGGGAAAATGGGGACTGACTAATGAGTGCACATAAAGTTCCAGTTAAGCAAGTTGAATAAGCTCTAGATAGATGATGTCCAACAATATACCTATAGTTAACAATAATGTGTTGTACTTTAAAAATTTAAGAGAGTAGATCTCATTTTATGTTTTCTTACCTCTATAAAATAAAATCTACAAAAATGAAAAACTCAAGAAGACACAATTACTATATTAGAAATAAAAACAAAATTCTAACTTCTCATTTCAGATACATCCAAAGAATAATAAAGAAATATTTAGAATAACTCCATGCCCATATGAATAACTCTGTGCCCATACGCACTAGTTTCTTGAATATACTAACTACAAAATCTCACACATGGAATGAATAGATTTTAATAGGCCTATATTTACTAACTACATCAAATAAGTAATTGATAACACTTCAAAAAAGAAAGCATCCAGCCCAGATGATTTCAATTTGTGGAATAAATGGTACAAATTCTCTACAATAGAAGCAAAGAAGACATTTCTGTTATGGGCTGAATTGTGCTCTCCTCAGCAATAAAAATCCTGCGTTGAAGTCCAAACCCCTAGCACCCCAGATTGGGACTGTATTTGGAGACAAGACTTTTAAAGTTATGATTTAAAAAAAAATGCCTTTAGCGATGGCCACAATTCTATTGGCTGGTGTCCTGATAAGAAGAAGAAATTTGGAGACACTAGGCATGTATGGGCACAGAGGAAAGACCATGTGAAAACACAGAGAGAAGGCAACCATCTTCAAGTCAAAGAGAGAGGCTTCAGAAGAAAGCCAACCTGCTGAAACATCTTGAAATTCTAGTTTCTAGAATCGTGAAAAATAACTGTGTTATTTAAGCCACCCAGTCTGCGGTATTTTGTTATGTCAATCCTTGCAAACTAATACAACTTCACAACTCATTCTATTAAACCAACATTACTCTAATACTCAAACCAGATAATGACATTATAAGAAAAGAAAACTATAGGTCAATGCTTTTCATGAACATAAATGTAAAAATTCTCAATAAAATATCAGCAGGTCAAGTCCAAAAACGTGTAACAATAATTCTACACCAGAACAAAGTGGGATTTATTCCAAGTATACAAGGCTAGTTCAATGCTTAAAACAATCAATTAATGTAAACTACCAAATCAACAGACTAAAGAAGAAAAAAATCATGCAATTATATCAATTAATGCAAAAAAAGGATTTGATGAAATCCAACACTCATTTTTCGGTAAAAAAAAAAATCTCAGCAAACTAAAAATAGAGAAGAAATTCTTTAACTTGATAAAGAAAATTTACAGTAATCTGTAGCTAACATCATACTTAACTGTGAGAAATTGGATTTTGCCCCTTAATGTAGGGAACAAGGCAAGAATGCCTTGTGTTACCATTGTATCAGATGTCTTAACTAGTGCAATAATGCAAGATAAGAAAATAGATTAGACAGATTGGAAGGGAAAAAATAAAACTCTTTGTTCTCTGATAATATGACTATCTAGAGAAAAACTAAAAGAATTGACAAAAAGTCTCCTTAAACTAAAAAGTAATTGTAGCTAAGTTGCAGGATAAAATCTTAACATACAAAAGTTAATTGTTTATATAGCAGCAATGATCAACTGTAATTTAAATTTCAAATGCAATGGCTATTAGGATATAAGAATAACTACACATATAAGTGTGTGGAGAAGAGGGTTTGAGATTGTATTGTTAAAGTATGGGGCATAGGTTTTCTTGTTTCATCAAAATGCAGCCAAAAGAAATAGATGGTTTATTCATTTGTTTATCTATTCACTTAATAATTACTGAACTCTTATCAGGCTTAGCCAGTGAAGTAATACAAAGTTGAAAAAAAATATGTAATTCTTTTCTTCAGGGAAATTCTAACCTGCAAGGAATTATAGAATAAATATTAGATCTAAAACATTCAAAGTAACAAACATGTTTTAAAATGCATTAAAACAAAATGCTGAAGAGGTTAGAGGAAGAAAAGAGCTTATGACTGCATGGTGAAATTAAAAATGATGACATTGGAGCTGGACCTCAGAGTACGTGTAGGCTTTCAATGTTTGGGAATGGTGAAAAAATACATCAGTGCAGAGAGAATGGCATAAGCTCTTTACCCATATTATGTCATTTAATCTTTAAAATTATACATTAACTAATCATTAACTTATTAACTTATGAATTAACATATTCACTAACTTGCCAAAGGTCATCCAATTAAGAAATGACAAAAGCAACATTTGGTCTTAGTTTTTAAAATTAACTTTGATAGGAAAAATTAAAAGGAAAAGCAAAAACAATTAAAACAAGAGAAGCTGGATTGCATCATATCTCACCAAGAAGATTTAACATTCTGAATTTTCCTTCATAGGAATATTGATATCTTATTGAAGTGAAGTGCTGAAAATTATGCTTCAGAAAGATTAATATTGGTGAAGGATCCATTAAAAATGGATTTAAGAACATGTACTGTGCTTCCCAATGAGACCCCTGGAAAGATACAGAAGGCACACCTGGGAGAGAACAATAAAAAGGCAAAGCCTTTAGGGGAGCTGTGTTTTGGGGTGCAGGACTCAGCCAACCTATGACAACCTCAGAGTGAACTTGAGAAATAAACATCCAGTGTTGTTCAACTTCTTCTCTCAGATCTCTTGTCCCATTTTATGGCAGGAACTAAAACAGAATTATTTAAACAGAATTTAAAGGGCAAACCAACCCAGTATGTTTTCCACAGAGGTCCGCTTCATGGTCTAGAAAGCGACTTCAGAAGGAGAATGGGTGAATTCAGAGAAGTAAGCAAAAATATCCAGCTTGCCACATATGAATATATTTCAGTTGTCCAAATAAAAACAAAACCATAATTGTTGAAAAGACATTAGAACTAGATTTAAATAATTAGTGTAAGAAATAATGTATAGTCCTCAATACTTGAATATAATATAAAATTTGAGGTGAAAAGGAGATAAAATATAGGGTTAATACTAAAGTCTTAAGACGAAGTGATTTAAATATCACAATGTTTTTAAGCAATTTCAAAAAATGAAAGTTTAAATGGTGAGGATTCAGGGTAAAATGACATCCACTGCACTCCATGTCCTCTGACTTCGCTTAATTAACTGATCTTTTGTTTTGCTTTGATGGCTACTTTGCATGGATATATTTTGTGATAAATTTATTCAAATTATTTGAGGAAAAATAGAGGATAAAATAAATGAAAACATAATTATAATAAATTAACTCAGATTGAGATTTCCAAGGGACATTTATTTGGACATGCAGGATTTAAGAATGGAAGAAATACAATAATTAGCTAATTAGGTTTGAGAGTCACTGTCACAGAGGTAGCAGAAGTTCTGAATATAGTTAAAAATATAGCAGAAGTTCTGAATGTATAAAGTGGAAGTTTTTAATCATTTCAGAATCACCAATCCTCTTGAAAATTATGTCCCAAATTTCCACAAAATGCAATATACACATGAGCATAATATGCTGCAATTTAGCTCAAGGAGCTCAAAAACTTCATAAAGTCTATATGAAAGCCCACTCAATCCTAAAAAAGAGAATTAAATCATGTAATTTGTGGCAATATGGATGGAACTGGAGGCCATTATCTTAAGTGAAACAAGTCAGGCAAAGAAAGTCGAATATTACATGTTCTAACTTATAAATGGGAGCTAAATAATGTATACACATGGGCATGAACATGGAGTGTGGAATGATAGACAACGGAGATTTAGAATCATGAAGGAGTAGAAGAGGGGTGGATGAGGAGAGATTTCTTAATGAGTACAATATATAGTATTTGGGTGATGGATACCCTAAAAACCCTGACTTTACCGCTACAGAATCTATGCATGTAACAATATCATATTTATACCCCATAAATGTATACAATTAAAAAATTTGCAGAAACAATTGCTTTAAAATGAACTCAAATTATATAAAGTTATGATTAAGTAAATTCTATTTTTAAAAAGAAAGCCCACAACCCCTATTTTAAGAACCCTGGTTTAGTGTGACACCACGGAGGACCAGGACTGAAGTATACTAGCATATTTTAAATGTTCAGTAAATTTCTGTAAATGAATGAATGAACAATGTGATTAAGTTTCTAACTTCAGTAGGGCAGTCTCTCTACAGCTCAAGGATAGAAAGACCCAGCTCATATCTCTACTGCACTAACTTATAATATCAGAGTCTCTTTGTTGCCTAGGCAAACAGATGATCAGAAGTATAAAGAAGAAAGTCAAACTCTTTATTTTTTAAAATATAGGAATTCTAAATTATTAGGTAACAAAATACAAAGCCTTTTACTTCATAAAGTAGAAATGAGCACAGCAGGCCAAATATTCTAACAGGTGCATTTACAACTGGATTTTTAAATTTAGGTTTTATTGCTTCCCCTTAAAGTAACTATAATGCATTTTGAAACATATTCATAGATGCGTAACTGAAACTATGAGATAGTGTGGCTGAGAACTGAGTGAGGACTTAAAACTGTAGCTAAAAGAATTTAAATAGAGAAAACATAAGGTAAAAAGATTTTAAAATCATGGAGAGTAGAATAAATACATAATGAATCACCAGACTTGATAAATTAGAACTAGGAGGCTATCTAGAAGTTTAATATAGACTTCATGCCAAACATAATTTTATATCAATTTACAATGCTAAACAGAGAATTAATTACTAGAATAGGTGGTGATATGGTTAGGCTTTGTGTCCCACCCAAATCTCATCTTGAATTGTGATCCTCATAACCCCGTAATCCCCATGTGTCAAAGGACAGACTAGGTAGAGGTTATTGAGTTATGGGGGTGGCTTCCCCATGCTATTATCATAATAGTTTGTTCTCATGAGATCAGATGGTTTTATAAGGGGCTCTTACCCACTTTGCTTGGCATTTCTCCTTCGGGCCGCCTTGTGAAGAAAGTGCTTGCTTCCCCTTTGCCTTCGCCATGATCGTAAGTTTCCTGAGTCCTCCCCAACCATGCTGAACCATGAGTCAATTAAATCTCTTTCCTTTATAAATTACTCAGCCTTAGTTTTTTATAGCAGTATGAAAATGGACTCATACAGGTGGTAAAGTCTGAAAGTAATAAAAAGTTTAAGAAGGGCCTTGCATGTATGTATAGATGATAAGGCATTATAAAAGAGTAGAGAATCAGCTATTTATTTTGGGGAGTGAATTTGTAACCCAAATCACATGAATTTAGAAATTTTGTGAGAAATTATGTTTATCAGCATACTATCTCCTGCATTCAAAATTTAAAATAGTGTGGAAAATTACATGGCCATCTCACCCATACTACCTTTCTTGTGTTATTTTATAACACTATAACTTTACAACATGAAGACAGTATTAGTGGTAACTGATAGCAAATGCCTTTAGGTGAGGTGACAGGATTCTAATCAAATTAAAGTCACCTATCTTTGCTGCTAAGGATACAATGTTAAACAATTACTTTTAATGTGAGTAGTTTTCCCATCTCACATTAAAAGTAATTTCCCATCTGCTTACTACTAATACCTTTATATCTATATTTAGGCATTGGTGAATACCTTTAAACCTCTGTAGATAAAATGATATAGAAGCAAAGAAATCTGGCTGAATTGTTTCCCCCTGTCGGTAAAATTGCCAGAAGCTCTGCTCAGTATCTCATCCTTACAGCCAGAGTTAGCATTCATTTTTGGCAATTTCATAAATTTTTACATTTCTTGGGTTCTCTTCTTCTCCAGTTCTTTGCTCTTTACATTACCATTTTCTTAGGAGCTTTCTGTCCAAAAGATTTTTTTGTTTTTGTTTTTGTTTTAATTCAGTACCACAATCCCTGTTGTTCTCAACAGGAGAGATGGTCTGTAGAAATCTGGTCAACTATTACTAGAAACCTTCATTTGTTTTTTGAAATTTCCTAACTTGTAGACACTTCATCAATGTGTTTATGAGGCAGTTGTCTTTTTATCTTACTCTACAATTCTCCTGTCTCACAAGAACTTGTGTGTTTTGGGGCTGTCATAGGCTTACCAGTCCAACTTAGTTTTCCTGTAATTTTTTTTTGTTTTTGTAAAGAAAAGGTCTCACTATGTTACCAAGGCTGGTCTTGAACCCCTAGGCTCAAGTGATCTTCCTGCCTTGGACTCCCAAAGTGCTAGAATTATAGGCATAAGCCACCACGTCTAGCCCCATAGTGGTTTCTAAAGGAAACAAACACTGTTTAAATGTATCTACGTATTTTAGAAATGGCTGATTTAATTGATTTTCTAGGTTCTGAAAATAGAGTTGTGAACAAGCTACCTTCAGGTAACTTACATTATAGTGGAAGGAAACAAGTCATAAATACATAGGCAAAAGATTATATGATATAATGAAATATGTTGATAAATGTTATGAAAAACAAAAAACTGTCTTGCTCCAATCTTGATATATTACTAGAAAAAAGTGGCTAGTGATGACAAAGCACAGCAATTGTACAAGCTACTATGAAGTAAAGTAACTGCAGAATTCTTTCTGCAAAGTGATTACCTTCATATTGGAGTAAATATGCTCTGTGAAAAGAACAAAGAGTTTTTATGTTAGAGAGTAACATAGAAACTTCAGGTGTGGATTTCTTAAAAATAATCTGGTTTTAGATCTTCAATTGCTATAAGTAGTTTTCTTGCCTGCATATGCTTCCTTACTTTCCTCAATCCCTTACTTCCATCTATCTTAGAATTCAGAAACGAGAAGGGACGTGTCTTGGAAGGAGAAAAAGATGAAGTTATACCTTTTCAGCAAATCTAATTCAGTTGATAGTTTTGACACTGAGGACTGACTTTACCATTTAGGTTATATTGTATACATTTTTCATAAACTGAATGATCTAAATCTTATCTCCAAGGGTTTGATAAATGTATATTTAGAGCGTATATGTAATAAACAATATGCTGGAAAATTTGTCCATTGAACATATTTAATATTTTAGATAGCAACTTCTAATTGTACAGGGTGATAAACATGTTTCTGATAAATATATACTAGCAAAAATATTCAAAGAACACTGTCATTGAGCATGGTTAGTAAGATTAGTAATATTAGATATAAACTTCATTTTTAAGAAGGGCTATTTGCTTAACTATGAATATGGTCCCATCTCCTTTCTGGGAAAGATGATATTAGTGTTTTAGTATTAGAATTTGAAATGCTTTGTTTAAATGCTTAAGTAAACTTTGTTAGAGAAATGAAATAGCCAAATAAACAAAGTTGATTTTTTGTGTTTCTCTGTTGGCTGTTTCTGATTACTCCAATGAGGATACATTTTCAACAACTTGGCATGAGAAGCCCTTACTGGCCATTTCAGATTCTTTAAGAACAATAACAAAAGATGGTTTGTTGCTCTTGGTTTTTCTCAAAAACATGTGAAAAGTACATTCACATATTTCAATGTCATTTACAGCCTTTTTGATTTATTCTCTTCGGTGGATGCAGTGGTGCATTACCCAAATTACCTCACTGCCTCTGAGAACTGAAACACTCATTTCCCAGGGGCTAACAGATTACAGCTGAGACCCCCAATCCCATTGTCCTGAGCTAAAGAGAGCTGCCTTATCCAAGTAAATTTCCCAAGGTCAAGTTCAATAAATGGTCCATACTCAATTCTGAACAATTTTGAAGTGTCATCTCAGATCCGGAGTTTCCTGTGGTGTTGCCTAAGGCCTTCCTTGAGGCTACATCTATAACTCCTCTGCTCAATTCTTCTTCTGTTTCTTTTAGTCTTGCATGGAATTCATCTCTAGAGCACTCCCAAATAAACATCCTGCACAGCTCTAGTGTAGAATATGCTTCAAGGTAGCCTTACCCATAACAGTTGCCTTATTCATATCCAGTTAATTATAAAAATTTGTCTATCATCTATACCGCTCTTTTTTTATTATTATACTTTAAGTTTTAGGGTACATGTGCACAACGTGCAGGTTAGTTACATATGTATACATGCGCCATAATTTGCTCCACCTTTTCCACCATCAGTGCTACAAACTTATAGCAGACCATTATGTTTCTTTCTTTTTTTCTTTTTTTGAGATGGAGTCTTGCTGTGACACCCAGGGTGGAGTGCAATGGCGTGATCTCAGCTCACTGCAACCTCTGCCTCCAGGGTTTAAGCGATTCTCCTGCCCCAGCCTCCTGAGTAGCTGGGACTACAGGCATGCACCACCACCCCTGGCTAATTTTTGTATTTTTAGTAGAGATGGGGTTTCACCATATTGGCCAGACTGGTCTCGAACTCCTGACCTCAAGTGACCCACCCACCTTGGCCTCCCAAAGTGCTGGGATTACAGGTGGGAGCCACCACACCCAGTCCATTATATTTCTTTACTTGACTTATAACCTCTCCTATGTCCTTTCTTTTTTCTTCTTTTTACCTGCCCTTTAAACCACCATATAATGATCGTTTTTAATATTTAAAGTCTAACTAAGTCCTTACCTATCTTAAAATCTGTCAGCAGCATCAATTTCTAGAAAAAGAAATCTAAACTCCAATACTATTGAAGATGTGGAGAAAGGGGAACTCTTCTACACTGTTGGTTGGAATGTATAATTAGTTCAGTCATTATGGAAAACAATATGGAGGGTCCTCAAAAAACTAAAAATAGAACTATCATATGTTCCAGCAATACCGCTGTTGGGTATGTATCCAAAAGAAAGGAAATCAGTATAATGAAGAGACAGCTGTCATCCCATGTTTACTGCAGGACTATTCACAATAGCCAAGATATGGAATCAACCTCAGTGTCCATCAACAGATGAATGAATAAAGTATATAGGCACAATTGAATATTATTCAGGAGTAAAAAAAGTGAAATCCTGTCATTTGAAGCAACATGAATGGGACTGGAGGGCACTATGTTAAGTGAAATAAGCCAGGCACAAAAAAACAAATATTTCATGGTCTCTGTCACATTTAGGAGCTAAAAAATTTGCTCTCATGGAGGTAGTAAATGGAATAATGGTTACCAGGGAGGCTGGAAAAGGTAGTGGGAGGGGTGAGTGAAGAGGAGTTATTAATGGATAAAAAAAATCATTAGATATAAAGAATAAGTTCTAGTGTTCAGTAGCACAATAGGATGACTATAGTTAACAATTTATCATATTTCAAATTAGCTAATAGAGATTTGTGTTGGAAGATTTCCAACACAAATGAAAAATGCTTGATGTGATGGCTATCCCAATTACCCAGTTTTAATTATTACATTTGCATCCTTGTATAAAAATATCACATGTACCCATAAATATGTACAATTATTATGTATCCATAAACATTAATAATAAAATAACTAAAAAGTAAGACACACTAGGCTCTATATGATCTAAACTTTAAAGTCATTCTTCTCACTGTATACTTCAGCAGTCTTGGAAAATTGGTAGTTTTCTGTGTGTTTGATGTTCTTTCACTCCTGCGTTGCTTCATGCATGCTTTTCTAATATAATATATTCAAAATATTCAATATATTATATTTAGCACCTTATATTCAGGTGCTAAGATTGCACATAATATCATTGTTATATTAATCTTTTTTCCATGGCACTTAATTCAATGAATAATTGAAAGAACTTGCATTAATTAGATCAATTTTGCTGATGGAGAAAAACTAATATTGCAATTTTGTTTGATGACTCTGTAGGATTATCTGGAGGACACTGCAAAGAACTCCACCAGAGGAAATATTCATCCCTCCAGACTTCAAACAATTAAGAGCTAATGCTTAATTACTAGTTTGTACTCATTAGAAGCGAGACTATGGGATGTAGTCAAGAAATATAAGGCATTGTTTCTGCCCTCGGAGAGTCTATAATTTGAAGAATAAAACAAACATTAAATGATTACAAAATATTATATATACTAAAATATGTAAAACATATATTATTAAAGAACCTTTGCTAGAGTGAGTTGTCTTTAAATGTGAAAAAAGGAAATAACTACAATTATTAATCAACTAAGATTTGCTAATTAGGTCACACAACATCTCTTTGAGTTAACTAGTGTTTTCTCTAAGGTACACTTCAGGGAGGTGTGCCCATTTACACTGGCATTATATGGCTTTAAGAACTTGAACCCAGGACTTGACAACTTCTTAGAATCTTTCTCCCAATCATGATCTAGCTAACTATTCTGAAATTCACTTAACTTCAAGTAGTGCCAGTTTACTCAATGATATCTCTATTATGATTTAAATTATTTCATCCTCTCTTCTAGCAAAATACCTAACTTTTAATGGGATTTTTGTCTTTAATTGGCTAGATTTTCTCATGCTTTTTGTTCTGAAATGCCTATCAACCTAGCAGGTCTCTTAGGTGTTTTGATGATTAAAGAACACATCAACGTATCAAAAACAGATATCATGACTTGGGGATTATCCATTTGACCATAAATCTATCACTCTGAAAAATTACTGGACTTCTCTAAAACATAAATTATACAATTCCGTAAGAAAATATGGCCAATTATTTGCTGCCAGCAGCACTAGTGTTGATGACATTCCCCACAGTAGACCCCGTGTCAACAGCAAATAGCCATGAGGTTTGTGTTCAACATAAAAGAAAACAAAATAAAGCAGATAATCACATTTTTGACCTATTGGAGTGAGCTAGTGATAGGCAATTATGTGATCAGTTTCTGGAGATACGTAACTATGCAGATACTATATTCAAGAGACTGTCACTTAATATCATCACAAGCAGTAATAATGCAAAAGCCAAGGCTTATAGATGAAAAACAGAACTGTGCATAGGAAAAAGCTTCCTTTTAAAAAGGAAGTCAAAATATATTTTATGAATTCTTAATATGTCAATTTAACTTGCTTAGCTCTGTGTTGCAACATCTTAAATAAAATTGCTATTTATGTAGACATTACCTTGAAAGATATATTGAATTAATATAATAATTATACAATGCTGTTGGTGTGAAACAAAAAGGAGAATGATTAGACCATTTTTGAAAAACTGAAATTTAAAAAATGCCTTGATTTTTTGAAAAAACAGATTCAGGGGTAACAAGTGAAGTTATCTGGATACATTACTTAGTGGTGAAGTCTGAGCTTTCAGTGTACCCATCACTCCAATAGTGAACATTGTACCGAATAGGTAATTTTTCAACCCTCTTCCCTTTCACACCCTCCTCCATTTTGGATTCCATTCTTTTTCATGGCAGCATAGTATTCTATGGTGTGTTTGTGTGTGTATGTGTGTGTGTGTATGTGTATCACATTTTCTTTATCCAATCATCCATAGATGGAAATAGGTTGACTCCTTCACATCACTGTTGTGAATAGTGCTGTGATAAATATATGAATATAAGTGTCTTTTTGATATGACAATTTCTTTTCTTTTGGGTATATACTTAGTAGTGAGATTGCTGGATTATATGGTAGTTCTATTTTTAGTTGTTTGAGAAATGTCCATTCTGTTTTCCATAGGGGTTGTACTAAGGGACATTCCCACCAAAAGCCTATAAGCATTTCCTTTTCTCTGCATCCTCACCAAGATCAGTTTTTTGACTTTTTAATAATGGTATCCTGCTCACAGATGAATTCTACCAAATGTATGAAGAAGAGCTGGTATCACTTCTGATGAAACTTTTCTAAAAAATTGAGGAGGGGAGACTTCTCCCTAACTTATTCTATGAGGCCAGCATCATCCTGATAACAAAACCTGGCAAAGATGCAACAAAAAAAGAAAACTTCAGGCCAACATCCTTGATGAACATCAATGTAAAAATTCTCAACAAAATACTGGTAAACCGAATTCAGCAGCACATTAAAAAGCTTGTCCACCATCATAAAGTAGGCTAAAGTAGAACTAAAGACAAAAACCACATGATTACCTCAATAGATTCAGAAAAGGCTTTTAATAAAATTCAACATTCCTTCATGTCAAAAACTCTCAATAAACTAGGTATTGAAGAAATATACCTCAAAATAATAAAAATCATCTATGATAAACCCACAGCCAACATTCCCCTTGAAAAATGGCACAAAACAACGATATCCTTCTTCACCATTCATATTCAACATAGTACTGGAAGTCCTGGCCAGGGCAATCAGGAAAGAGAAAGAAATAAAGAGCATTCAAATAAAAAGAGAGGAACTCAAACTGTCCCTGTTTGCAGACAACATGATCTTATATCTAGAAAACCTCATAGGGTCAGCCCAAAGGCTCCTTAAGCTAATAAACAACTTCAGCAAAGTCTCAGGATCCAAAATCAACGTGCAAAAGTCACTAGCATTCTATATACCAACAACAGTCAAGCCAAAGGCCAAATCAGGAATGCAGTCCCAATCACAATTGAACACAAAAAGGATAAACTACATAGGACTATCGCTAACCAGGGAGGTAAAAGGAGAGCTACAAACCACTGCTCAAAAAAATCGGAGATGATACAAACAAATGGAAAAACATTCTATGCTCAGGGATGGAAAAAATAAATATCATTAAAATGACCACACTGCCCAAAGCAATTTATAGATTCAGTGCTATTTCTAGTTAACCACCCTTGCCATTCTTCTCAGAACTAGAATAAGACTATTTTAAAATTCATATGCAACACACACAAAAGAAGCCCAAATAGCCAAGGCAATTCTAAGCAAAAATAATGAAGCTGGAGGCATCACCTACCTGACTTCAAACTATACTACAGAACTACAGTAATGAAAACAGCATGATACTGGTACAAAAACAGACACATAGACCAATGGAACAAAATAGAAAACCCAGAAATAAGGCTGCACACCTAACAACTACCCGATCCTTGATAAACAGAACAAAAACCAACAACGGAAAAAGGATACAGCAAATGTATTAGTGCGTTTTCATGTTGCTGATAAAGACGTACCGAGACTGGGCAATTTACAAAAGAAAGAGGTTTAATTGGACTTACAGTTCCATGTGGCTGGGGAAGTCTCACAGCCATGGCAGAAGGCTAGGAGGCGCAAGTCACATCCTACATGGATGGCAGCAAAGAGAGAGATTTTGTGCAGGGGGACTCCCTTTTTTAAAACCATCATATCTCATGAGACTTACTCACTATCACAAGAACAACATGGGAAAGACTTGCCTCCATGCTTCAATTACCTCCCACTGGTACTCCCACAACACATGGGAATTCAAAATGAGATTTGGGTGGGGATACAGCCAAACCATATCAGCAAAGTCTCAGGATACAAAGTCAATATAATGCCAAAAGCATTTGCAACAAAAGCAAAAACTGACAAATGGAATCTAATTAAACTAAAGACCTTCTGCACAGCAAAGGAAACTGTCAACAGATTGAACCGACACCTACAAAATGAGAGAAAACTTTTGCAAACTATGCAACTGAAAGAGATCTAATATTCAGCATCTATAAGTAACTTAAACAACTTTACAACTAAAAAAAACATTAAAAAGTAGGCAAAGGACATGAACAGGTACTTTTCAAAGGAGGACACACATGTGGCCAACAATCATATGAAAAAAAGCTCAACATCACTGATCATTAGAAAAATACACATCAAAACCACAATAAGATGCCATCTCACACCAGTCAGAATGGTTACTATTAAAAAACAGATGCTGGCAAGGTTATGGAGAAAAGGGAATGTTTATATACCGTTGGTGGGATAGTAAACTAGTTCAGCCAGTGTGCAAAGCAGTTTGGAAATTCCTCAGAGGCCTAAAACCATTCCACCCAGCAATCCCATTACTGGATACATACCTAAAGGAATATAAATTGTTCTGCTATAAAGACACAGGCATGTGTATGTTCATTGAAGCATTATTCATAATAGCAAAGGCATGAAATTAACGTAAA
Source organism: Homo sapiens (assembly GCF_000001405.40). NCBI lineage: Eukaryota > Metazoa > Chordata > Mammalia > Primates > Hominidae > Homo > Homo sapiens. The sequence continues at coordinate 43,827,822 of NC_000014.9, read as the reverse complement.
TACCCATTGATGATGGAGTGGATAAAGAAAATGTGGTATATATACACCATGGAATACTATGCAGCCATAAAAAAGAATGAGACCATGTGCTTTGCAGGAACATGGATGGAGCTGGAGGGCATTATTGCTAGCAAACTAACACAGGAACAGTGTATTAGACCATTTTCACACTGCTGATAAAGACACACCTGAGTCTGGGTAAATTATAAAGAAAAAAGATTTAATGGACTCACAGTTCCACGTAGCTGGGGAGGCCTCACAATCATGGCAGAAGGTGAAAGGCACATCTAACATGGCAGCAGGCAAGAGAAAGAATGAGAACCAAGTGGAAGTGGTTTCCCCTTATAAAACCATCAGATCTTGTAAGACTGATTCACTACCATGAGAACAGTATGGAGGAAAATGCCCCCATGATTCAATTATCTCCCACCAGGTCCCTCCCAAAACACATGGGAATTATGGGAATTCAAGATGAGATTTGAGTGGGGACACGGTCAACCAATATCAAACAGAAAACCAAATGCAGCATGTTCTCACTTATAAGTGGGAGCTAAATAATGAGAATACATGGGCACATAGAAGGAAACAACAGACCCTGAAACATATTGGAGGGTGAAGGGTGGGAGGAAGGAAAGGATCAGGAAAAATAAAATAGATAGTAGGCTTAGTACCTGGGTGACAAAATAATCTGTATAACAAACCCCCATGACACAAGTTTACCTATACAACAAACCTGTACATGTACCCCTGAACTTAAAATTAAAGTTAAGTTGATAATAATAAATACTACTACTACTACTACTACTACTACTAATGCTATTCTGACTGGTGTAAGATGGTATCTCAATGTGATTTTAATTTGCATTTCCCTGATAATTAGTGATGTCAAGCATTTTAAAAATATTTTTGTTGGTTAGCCTCTTGTTTGTCTTCTTCTGAAGACATGTCTGTTCATGACCTATGCCCACTTTTTAATTTTTTTTTTTTTATTTCTTGAGTTGAGTTCCTCATAGATTATGGATCTTCATCCTTTGTTGGATGCACAGTTTATAAATATTTTCTCACACTCTGTATGTTGCCTGTTTATTGATTATTTCTTTTGCTGTGCAGAGCTTTTTAGTTTAAATCCCATTTGTTGGCTGGGCACTGTGGCTCACCTGTAATCTCAGCACTTTGGGAGGCCAAGGTGCATAGATCACTTGAGGCCAAAAGTTTGAGACCAGCCTGGCCAACATGGTGAAAGTCTGTCTCTGTGAAAAATACAAAAATTAGCCGGGCATGGTGGTGGGTGCCAGTAATCACAGCTACTTGGGAGGCTAAGGCATGAGAAGTGCTTGAACCTAGGAGGCAGAAGTTACAGTAAGCCAAGATGGTGGCATTGCAATCCAGCCTGGGCAACAGAGCAAGAATCTGTCTTTAAAAAAAAAAAAAAAAAAAAAAAGTAAGAAAGAATGAATGAATGAATGAAAAACAGAAACCTTACCTCAAAAAAAAAATCTCATTTGTCTTTTCTTGTTTTTGCTGTATTTGCTTTTGAGGTTTTAGTCATAAATTATTTGCCTGAACCAAAGTCCAAAAGAGTTTTTCCTAGCCTTTCTTCTAGAATTTTTATAGTTTCAGGTCTTAACATTTTTTACCCATCTTCAGTTAGTTTTTGTATATGGTGAGAGATGGGTTCCATCTTATTCTCCTGCATATGGCTATGCATGTTTTCCAGTACCATTTATCGACAGGGTGTCCTTTCCCCAGTATATATCTTTTTGTTGACTTTTTTGAAAATCAGTTGGTTGTAGGTATGATTTTTAAAGTTCTGTTCATAAACATTTTGTTTTTTTGAAATAATAATCCATTGATAAGACTAAATCATAAATAATTGAACAATGTTGTTGCTCAGCATACTGAGGTGAGTTTAGGACCACTGGATCTATATGCTGGAGTAGTCTTCCCTCTTTTAAAGGTCATCCTCAGCTTTATTGAAGTGAAAATCTGTATAGACAAAGCCTTTTGGATGAAAATGCAAACTTCCTGGTACCTGGGTCTCTTTCATGTTAATCCACCTGGAAAACTTTTTTCTAAGTTGTTTCCTTAAAATAAGATGTTAATGTCTTTTTTAGGAGAGATTTATATCTGATAGTAGTTGATATTACATAAGTAGTACAGAGAGTATGAGAAAAGAAGGCAACATCTTAATCAGATCTCATGCTCTGTATGTAGACATTGCTATTCATATTTCCAAATGGTTCTTATTCTTAATTTTAGTCCTTCTCAGATGTCAGGCAGGTGAGATATAACTAATATCAGTCTTAACCACTGGAAGAAATAACAGTTTAAATAAACTAATAAAAAATTATAAGAGCACTAATTTATAAATGTGTACTGCATTCACTTTTGGATTGTCTAAAATTTGGTTTGAGAATACAGTCTTTTTCCTTAGTTCACAAAAACTTAAATATATACATATATTTATATATATTTATATATACAGATTTAAAACAAATATATACATATTTATATACACACATATATACTTCTATACATACTTATTCTTTTTCTCACATGTTTTCTTTATTTTATTAATCAATTTATCTATGGTCAGTTTTAATTTTAATGTAAAAAATGAGGCATCTAAAAATTGACAATTATAACAAGTATTATAAGTGGAAAATAGCATCTGGATTCTATGAAGATAAAGACTGTTGAAAGCAATTCAGTGCAAAGCTACAGCAGAAATTTTCAAATTCTGCACTACTGTGAACACTTTTAATCACAGAGTTTGATATAATTTCCACTTCTCTACATAATGAAGCCTTAGCTAAATTGTAAGAAAATGTCAAAAATTACAAAACTTTGAGTTTATATTGATGATATACAAATATGAGTTTGTAGTGACAAATAATACCAGTTATTTATATCAGTTGTTTCTACTTTTGTTTGTACAGCAATGAACTTTGAACTTTGTTTTACTTCCATAAAACATACTAAATGAGACAAGGATCCAAAATGTATGTAACAGAGATTATAGATACAAAGATTATATATTGTATCTATCATATATTATATACATGTATAGTAAGTATACACGATTGATATTTCTTATTGATTAAAACAACCTTTTTTCACTTTATTTTAACCTATTTGAAAAGTTTAAAGTGAAAAAATATAATTTTACAGAATTCATGCACCTGATAAAATAAATGTATTTGTTATTATTATCAACAGTAATATCATATATACAATGTATCATTGATTAAGTTTCCAATTGGCAGTGGAATTTGATTTAGAAAAATAAAATAGAACCAGCAGTGTAAACTCATTTATTTTTGGCAGCTGGAAGTTGAACAGCTGAAAGACATGACATTTTGAAGCAGGCATGGAAAGGCAAAATATTTGGCACATGCTTAGCAGTTTACAACAGCAATATTGCTTTCTGGGTCATTAGTGCATAGTATAAGCACAATATTAGGATTGATAATGGAAAATTATATATATATTTCACTATAGCCTTCTGAATTCAAATTCGACATCTGCAAAAATCACAAATTATTTGAAATATCGCTTTTCAATGAATTTTAAAGCCCCCAAAAATAAATACAATCTTTTAAAACTCTTAAGCCTTGAATTGAACACAAAATATACACATATAGTAGTGTCTCAAATTTAGATGTTCAGCAATAAAATTTCAATTATTAGTAACAGTATAAACTTAGCAAACAATAGAATGCCTTAGAATACATAAAACTTTGCCATAAAGTTTATTCAGGTAATATATCCAATATACTTATTTCTTATTTAGAGCCTTACTAACTATCATTTAATATATAACTCAAACTTGGTTGCTTGCCATTAGCCTATAGCAGATTGAAATAGAATCTTCTATAGATTCTGGAAAACTACCATAAGAGTATTAGGGATAGATAAAGGATTAGCTGCCTGATAGTCCTGAGATAGAACAAAGAAAAAAATAAGCTGTCTTGGGATAATATATCCATACTTTAAAAAGATTAAGATTATTAACAAGACTGACTGCTGAGTTATAAAGTACAGTTTAAATTATGACCAGGTCAGCTTATGAAGAAAAAGATATAATAAATTTTCAGAAACAATGACTAGAAAAATGAGTAAAATATAAGGAGACATTTATGTTAAGGAGATAAGACTTAGATGAATAAATATGAGTTATGTGATTACCTTTTTCTCTCCATGATACCAGTAAAATTAGATGCAATTATCTCATGTATTTAGAAATCATTCATTGCATACAGTGAAAGAAATGTCAATGAATTTAACTCCCCCTCCCATAACTCAGTTTAGAGATAAGGTACACACCTATATATATATATATATATGAATGTGTATATTTGTATATAGATTTATATATGTATATGTGTGTATATATATCAAATGACAATATAAGTTGTATTATAGAAGAATAAAAAATAAAAATAACATAAGAAAAGTAGGACATTTCTCTACTGAGGGCCAAAGGTAAAAAAAAAAAAATGCTTTACAAAATAAATGATAACTAAGCTTGGTCTGAGAAAACAAGAGTTTATCAGGTGAACTAGGTAGGAAAGCATATTATTGTCATAAGAAATAGCTTTTGGAAAACCATGAATACTCTATTTAAAGACTAGTACAAAGTTCAAAAGTATGTTTCATTGAAGGAAGTTATAGACTATGGTCAAGTCATTGGAGACTTTATTCTCAGGTCAGAGATTAACACACTTTTAAAATAAAGAATCAGATAATAAGTATTATAAGCTTCTTGGGCCATATGGTTTCTTTCACAATTACTTTCCTCATATTCTTGGGTTCTGCCATCCCAGGGTGAGTGAGCTGTACCTACCCCAAATGCCACACACTACACGATTGCCTTCTTCAACCTAATCAACTCCAATTCATTAGGGTCAGAACAAGCATCAGTTCTCTCTTCATTTTGCTTCGGGCTCTTGGGCTTTGTACCAGGACTTCCCCATCTCATCTCCATCCCCATGGACACCTCCTCACTTAATTTGGGTTCTGTTACCCCATGCTAGGCTGCTCATTCATATATCATCTCTTTTTCCCACTTGGGTTCTAAGTTCCTCTCCAGTGCTGGTGCTATTGTCATCCCATTTTAGCTCTGCCAATCCATGCCAGGATGTCCCTTCTTATGGAAGCACTCTTGACTCTGCTCAGGCTAAGAGGCCTGCATCAGACTGCTGCCTTTCATGGACATTATTTTCACAATTCTAGTGCTCCTCTGTCCTGGGCATGCCACAACAAGGTCCCTTCCTCACCAACCTTAGTCTCTGGACCCATGGAAATGGAGATTGGTTACCTATAGGGAACTGGAACAAACCATTCATACATTAAACATGGTAGAGTCTATGTTTCTCAAGGTGAGTGGGGAGAGTTTGAACCCTGTAATGACATATTGGATTTGGAAATATATTGGTGGCAATTCATGATTTTTGATGTGTATATGGATATAGACATAACTATAGATGTAAATGGGTATGTATAGATCTGTTTTTGTATATACACATATATTTATGAGCTGTATTCTATAACTCTGTATAGGAGAGGGTCTGGTAACAGTGATATGTTGACTGCAATGAGTATATCTAGTACCCATGTCTTGGCTTTTAAATTTCATTCTCTACTAAAGGAAAGCAATATGCTTCGAGGAAATGGTTAATTCCATAGCTGAAACCAGGAAAGTATAAGATAAGACTGGAATATCTTATTTCAGAAGGTAAAGAAGTATTTGATGAGGGCATGTCTAAGGAAATAAAATTCCACTTAAAATGACTTCTTGTGGCTAAATTGAGGACAGTTAGAGAAATAATAATAATAGAAATGAGTTATATTCAATGCAGGAAGAAAATATGAGTACATAAGATATGAATAAATGAGTAATACACAAAATGAAAGTTTAATGAGAATAGAATATATACATAGTGTGAAAGTACTCTTACCCCAAATTATTATTCATTACAGAGTGAAGACCATGTAAAGATAGAGGGCGTTGGCAGGGCTGGTTTCATGTAAGTCCTTTCTCCTTGGCTTGTAGATGGCCTACCTTCTTCTATAGGCCTATCATGTGTAGCCTACCTTCATCTGTACTGTTTCATGAGAGAGGGAAAAAAGTGTAAGTAGTATCATTTAACCTCACTGATATTACAGTTTAGTCTTGGCCTCACCTAATAAATAAATATTATTATTGTAAGTAATATTAAGTATAGTCAATACATGTATTTATCATCATAGCTCCTTGGCTTGTAGATGGCCAAGGAGAAAGGACTCAGATAAAACCAGCCCTGCCGACACCTTGATCTCTGACTTCCAGCCTCCACAATCATCAGACAATACATTTCTTTGTTTAACCGCCCAGTGTTTGGTATTATGTTATGGAAGCACTAAAAAACAATTCAACAATTATAACAAAAGTCTATAACATTATTCTAATTATGAACATTAAACAAAACCAAACTGAATAAAAATCTACAAATTTGTAGGCTATAATTTTCAAAAGCTGCAAAGTCATAAAAAACTCAAGCAGTTTCACATTTTGCAAGCAGCTCAGCTGAAGTTCATTAAGGGAACTGTGTTAGCTGCCTGCAGCCTAAATTTACTGAACCTTCATGCCTTGCTAGTTGAAGCCTGTGATGTTAGGGAAAAGGACTGATTTTTCACACCCAACAGCCAGAGATAAAGAGATAAAGGGAGGTTCTTGAAAAGGTTCTGAGTTTAAGTGTCCTCTACCAGAAAATGAGAGCCAGCCCCACAGAAACATCCTTCCCACTCAAACATCTAAACTTAGTGCTCAGATATCCACAAGTTAGTTTTCATTATATTGAGAAAGAAGGGTATATGCTGAGAAGAGAAAACTAAATAAACTAAATGAGAGACTTTATACTTAAAAATTGTATTTAGATGATAAACTTGGCTTTAGTGGCTTACATTTAGAACTAACTGACAGTGAACAGTCCAGAAACTACTAAGTCTGTGGTAAATATACTGTCAATAAAAAGGCTTAAAATTATCGTCTCAATACCTGGCATTCCTCAACTCCTAAAGCAACTTGCAACCTCTGGATCTGCAACCTTCACCCAAGAAAGCAGGTTGTAGAAGCTGTGTTTCTGCCAATGAGGATACACAATTTTATGCCATTTGATGTGAATGTGCAGGATAATAGATAGGGAAGAAGCTACTAGATGGCAAAGCCAGAGACCCTAAAGGATAATAGATAGGTTTGTTTAAAAGCAAACTAATGATAAAGAAGAAGTCTATATGTCAGGTCAGAGAGTCTTCACAATTTCTGCCATTCAGAATTTAATAACTGCTGTGGAAAAGTAACTGCCCCCATCCCATATCTACCCATTTTTTTCAAAATGAGAATTTTCAGGTTGGGAATGTTTATTGAAATAATACAGCTCCTATACCAGTAGTGTATATTAGTTGTGTATGTGTAGGGCAGAAAATATGTTTTAGTTTATAGTTTGAAGAAAATGAAGATTTATCTATCTATCTGGATCTGGTAGAGAGCACTGCACTTCTCCACATTGCCTAGAAATAATGGATTTTAGAGCTGGATGTGGAAATTTAAAATTGCCTCCTTTGTATGTGTGAGTGGGTTTATGTATTGCAAGAAATATATCTGTGGACACTTGTGTGCTTAGAGGAACGGACGTTGGCCAAGCCTGACAATTATTCCCTAATATCTCCAGTTTCTTTCTTCCCTTCAGCAATAATGTCCTAAGTTCTGAGCATATAGCCATCTAACCAAAAAACTCCATTTTCCAGCATCTCTAATAGCTAGGGATAATGCTACCAAGTGACTACATTCTGGACAAAGGGATTTAATGGGAAATGATGTATTCAACTTTTGAGAGCAACTTTTTAAAGATGCTTGCCCTTCACTTTTCATTTTTCTTTGTGAAGAGAACAGGTGTCTGTTAGCTTCATCTTCTTCAGCCAAGTATATGATAACTATATCATAATAAACGTCACAGTAAGTAAGCAAAGACAAGACTATGGACCTTGAGCAGGAAGAGTTATTTACTGAAATCTAGATAGCCTACCTTCATCTGTACTGTTTCATGAGAGAGGAAAAAAAACTATTTCAGTAGTATAATTTAATCTCATTGATATTACAGTTTAGTCTGGGGCCCACCTAATAAGGAAATACCATCATTCTAAGTAATATTAACTATAGTAAATACATTTATTTATCACAAGCTATGTGCCAAGTACTCTATCCAGTGCTTTAAATGAATCATCTGATTCTTTCCCCATTAAAAAACGTACAAGTTTTACACTACAACTTTCCTCCTTGCATGGATAATACAAGCCTGTAGAGTTTAACACTCATGACTTTTATAATGTTCGAAAATTGCCAAAACTTAAAAAAGTGATTAAATTAGTTATAAAACATCATTTTACTAAAATATTTTTGTTATTAAAATAGCCATGAAAATACAAGTACAAATATGACAGAAAGATTTGTTATATTTTGTGGAAAAGGGATTCATATTGGTTCACAGAATATGGATATAATTATCTAAAGCCCAAATCAACTGAAGAAGTCAAGGATGCATAGAAATATACTGAACAAATACATACCATAAAATAAGCAATACATTCTTACAGGCTGTTGAATCCTAGTTAAAAAATACATGAAAAAAACCCATCATTGTGTTTCCTAATACATCTTGATTTTTTAATATTAGTAAACATATTTTAATTTACTTTGTACCCTTAAGTTACTCCAGATAATTAAAGGTGTCTCAGGGAGTTGGCAATTTTTTCCAAAATAAAATAAATTCAAATAAAAATATCTGCTACATTGCCTATAACTCATATTTGAAGGTGGACTTTAAAAACAGTTGATGCTGAATGATGATAGATTTCTAATATTTAGTACCTGTAAGTCATTATTTTTTCATTTATTTGACATATATATTTTTGGAATCTAATGGTTCAGTTTAAAATAGTTTAATAGAGTGTCTTGTGTGTTCTGGGAACTGTGCTAAGTACTAGAGATATAAAGATGAAAAAGAGAGTGTCCTAGTTCTAGAACAGTATATTGTCCAATGGGATCAATTATATTTAAAGAAAAATACATTAAGCAAACATTGGAACTTTGAGCATGTTAACCCTGTATGGACTCTTCATTGATCCTGTTCTAAGACATTACTTATATTATTTCTTTATAAATATTTAGTAACATTAAAATTATAAAGCACATTTATTTTAACAATTTTTTAAAAATGCCTAGACATTCCAGATTATTGTGCCCCTATATCACGTCTTAAATATTGCATTTTAGACATTGGGGAGATAGATAAATAAGATACATTCATGGTAGCAGCTTGCAAAAAATAGCCAGTAATTAAGGCTTAATTCCACAGATAGCAATTAGGCTTAAAAGAATCTGTTTAATAATCCAATGAAGAGAGTAAAAATAAAATGCAAATAATCTGATCTACTTCCCTCAGCAATAAGTACTTTTGAATATTAGAAAGCTTATAATGCTACAACATCATGTTATCTTCATTTACAGATTGAGATACCTAATAGAATTATACAATATGAAGCACTTCATCTTTTTAATATTCAGAGTAGACAATTTAAAAATTCATGAACTAAAAAGTATAGTAAAATGTTAGAATTTTACAAACCTCATCCACCAAAGCAATAAACTGAAACAAGCAAGCAAATAACCAAAAAAACAATTAATATGAACAAAGAGACAACTAAAAATGGCAAATATACTTTGAAAGATATGCATATTTTAGAGTAATCAGATAAATGTAAATTAACATAGAGAAGCTAACCCATCAAACTGTTAGAGATAGCATTAAATTGTTATGAATATGTTGTCAAAAAGGCCCTTCCATGCAGGGTATTTCGGATTAATGGATACAACAATTCTGGAGGACAATTTAAGATGGTTAAAAATATTTAATTTTGAATAAACCCTAGGCCAGTAATTATATTCTTATGAGCTTTCTTAAATGAAAATATTTTCAAAAATACAGACAAGAATATTCATTAAATTGTTTTGTTAATGTTATATTTCTATTGCACAAAGCATATATTATTGAAAAATGAGAAAAAAACAAGCAAACATAATGAAACTGAAAATCACTTGCATTTCCAGAGACAACATTGACATTTTTGTCTATGTTTCATGTATATATTCTGCTTTAAACAAAGCTAGTTTATGCCCTCATACAAGCATACGTATGCACTTGAATGTTGCTTTGGAATTAATATGCTAAAATAGGCTTTTAATAACACTAAAAATTACATGAATAAATTATGCTACATCCATAAGGATTTGTTAGCAGGGCTTATCTTTCAGGTTGTTTCCAAAATTGACTTCTTCATAGCATCTTTTAACTTTTCAAATGTTCTAGCATAAACATATATTCAGTTTTTACTCAAAAAAATGCATGCTATTATAAATGAGAATCTAAAGTATCAATGAACACTTCTCGAGCACTTTGAAGGTCTTCTCTGCTCATACCTCGCTACACCCAGGTTATTTAAAGGCATAATTATAGTAAGTATACAAGACCTCAAAGATTTTTGTATATATATGTTGTGTATATTAATGGTTAGTAAGATATCTGTAATTTGTGCTTTTTCTAACTGAATTTCTATAAATCTATTTAACATTTGCTTAAAATTTGAAATCACAGGCAGCTTGGAAATGTAGAAAAATGTAAATATACCTTCTCCTTCATAGAAACAAAATTATGTAATGAATGTTTGGTGCCACTTTATGGATAAAACAAATACATTGATAAGTTTTTTTTATTATTGAACTTGATTCATTATACTCATCCCCCTCTTTGTTTGTTTTTTGAGGCAAAATCTCTCTCTGTCACCCAGGCTGGAGTGCAGTGATGCGATCTGGGCTCACTGCAACCTCCGCCTCCAGGATTTAGGTGATTCCCCTACCCCAGCCTCCTGAGTAGCTGAGATTACAAACATGTGCCACAAATGTGTCATCATGCCTGGCTAATTTTTGTATTTTTCGCAAAAATACAAAAATAATTTTGTATTTTTCACCATGTTGGCCAGGCTGGTGGTCTCGAACTCCTGACCTCAGGTGTTCTGCTGCCTCAGCCTCCCAAAGTGCTGGGATTACAGGCATGAGCCACCACACCCAGCCTTACTCAATGCATATTTATCCATTGAATGAATAAGCCAATATGTTTTATTTTGTTTCTTTCTTTTTTTTTCCCAGAAGGTAAACATTATATTTTAGGAGGAAAGGTTGAGTTAAATTTTTGTAAATAACTAAAAGAGTTTCCATGTTTAAACCATTAAAATGGCTCATTTGTAATTTTGGAGACAAATAAAAAAAAATTCATTTTCCAGAATAATTTCTGAAAATATTTTTACTTCGGTCATTCTTTAAAATTTCAGAACTATATCTCTTATAATAAAACACAAGAAGAAAATAAATGTTTATGTTATGAACACTGAATTTGGAAATTGAGGCCAATAAATCATTAAAAAAATAAAAGGACGTAAAAAGAATAAAAAATATAGTGCCAGTACAAAGACCTTAACACTAAAAATTGATTAAAATATATCAAGTACAGTGATAAGTGATAACTTATTTCTGTGTTTTTAAAATGTACTTTACAACTACTTAATGCACCATAGAATCATTTTAGTGTGTCTCAAGCAGTATTTTTAATAGAATAAAATACATATTTCAGAGTTTATTACCTTTAATCAGATTAGGCATTATTTTGTGTGGCTTTTGTTTTAATTTTATATTATTATTAGTCTGTGTGTGTGCCTCTATTCTTAATGTACTTTTTACAATGGGACATGGGTGAAATATTTGAAAATCATTGTTGTATCTCATTTAATATCACAACAAACTTATGTATTAAGTACACTTTCCAATGCCAGTTTGCAAAATGAAAATTAAGTTTCAGTGTGGTAAGCACTTTTTTCCACATTTATATTTGGGAAAAGTAGCAGAAGCAAGTCTTGAACCTGATATCTTGAGCATATTAGAGTTCTGTGATTTAGATTTTTCTTTTTCTATATATCTTCTGTTTTAAAAACTTCTTGGTTCTTAATATCTGTCTCTCCCTACCTCCATGTGTCTCCCTCCAATAAAGCTGGTTCAAATATGTAACCAGCTGGAGTTAAAGAAGGAAGATATCATTATAAGGTTTAAAATTAAATAAACCCATAGTTGTAATAGTGCTCACCAATAGGAAGCCCCCCTCTGCTGTCATCCACCAGGAAGACCCTCAGCCCCCAGGAAGACCCTACACAAAAGCTAAAAGCATTTCCCAGAACAAATGGGACAACTGTCCCCAAATTCCCAAATAAACGCATCAACCTCAACCAAAGGGAGGTCAATCAAAGAAACACCAATACTCAATCAACCAAAGGAATATCAACTGTCTTATATTAGGAAGCGGCTGTTTGGGCCAATTTGAAACTTTATGGGAGAAGCCCAGTGAATTTATGCAATGTCTGTAGTGGATTTAGTTGAAATTTCCTCAGGAACGTGTTTTTAAAAAGTTTACCTCTTAGCATTTTTGTGATTTGGGTTAAGGGCAAGAATAGGCAAGGGTGTTAAAAAAATGGACAATGGGTGACGGTCCATTTCAAGAATTATTTCCTCTTTTTGAGGAAAGGAATTGGCAGCATTATATTTTTCTAAGAAGTTCTTTCAACAAAGTGAGCTGGGCCAACAGAACTAGTAAGGAAAAATAATGACAAAGTTATGCCAGGACTATTAGATTTCTATGAATTTCATACAATTTCTGAAATATCCATAAAATATAATTTTAAAAGATTTAACATCACTTTGTTATTTGACAATACTTCCCATACAATTCAACACATCAAACAAGCTTGATTAACTTAACATCTCTGCATTATGAGGGATATATCCTTTGAGGCTCTCCACGGGCCGTACTGGAAAATCCCAAAGTCAATTCTAGGTCAAAAATACTTAATTTAGAATTCAATTTGGGGAAGTTTGTCAAATATATAAAAGATTGAAAGTGCTTGATCACAATAAGATCACAGTTCGCTATGAAATAATAGACATTCATTTAACCAGAGTGATAATTAAATATCTAAAGCTGCGTAATTGTCGAAAAAATTCTAGATCTTTACTTAGGAAGATTGAGTCTTCTCTCTTAATTGGGAGACCTAATAAAGCTCTGTTTCCCATTAAAAGCAGATCATTTCTCTAACGAAATCTTGTTGTTGTAATATAGGGAACCAAATTCTAATTTTTTATAGTCATATTTGACATTAATGTTCAGTTCTCAGAAAACTTAATAATTCCCTTTTAATTTTAGCCAACATATTCATACACAAAATTTCACTGACATAATTCATATTCCATAAACCTTCTACAACCCTCTTATCCATTCAATTTTATCTATATTATTCCTTTTTTCTTCAGAAATAACTTTTAAACAACCTCAAAACTAGGCAAAATTACTTTTTTTTTTTACAAAAACACATCCTTCACACCTTAGAGTTTCACCCACCAAAAAAGTTTTGCTCTCTTCAAATAAGAAGTTATTATCTTTGGTTTTAATTACCACATATTAATTCTAATTTGTAATTAATTTCTAGTGAAAACCTAAAATGCAAGCAATTTTGAACTGTTTTATATCAGCATTGTATAGATGAACACCATTTTGTAATTTATTAGAAACACATCTCCTCATAATACAACCTTTTTCATGTTTATTACAGACACAAGTACACTTAACCTCTCCATACTTCATAAAAACAGAATATACCACTAGATGAATGTATTCATTATCAAACATTAAACTGTGAGACCAGCACTACGTTTTGGTAGTAGATAAACTGCAACAAAATTGACTGACATGAAGTGTTCAATCCAACTATTTGTTCCTTTGCAGATTATAATGAGTCGACAATACTTTTTGTGCATAGTGTGTTACAGGATTTACTAATTTTCTGTATTTTCTTGTTTGTACTATGTGTATATATCTGTTTCTTCTATGCCATTCCATGAGGGGAAGAACGACATCTATAGAACCTTGTTTGCCATTATATCCTTGGCCCTATAGTAAAAACACATTTTACTATGTAAAATGTGTTATATATAGTAGATTGTCAAATACTTGTTAAACAAATGTGGTCATGCATTAATTATCAGCCTCAGCCAACTCACAGTTTCATTGCTGAATGCTTTCCAGTTAGTCAAGACACATTCTACATTGTGTCAATGAAAGCAATGAATAGCTGTTTTCTCTTCAGAACAATTTCTAGTAGCTTACTTCAATTATTAAAGGTAATCAGGAAATTTCCCACTAGTCAGAATCACAAGTATCCTGTCCTCATCAGACACTTCTCCAATATACAACAAAATCAGAATGGTAGAGGAGCAAGTTTCAGTATTTTAACTGACTTAAGCATGATTTAGACATTTCATAAATGTCACTTAATACAACATAACTTTAAAACCTCAAGTAACTGAAACAATCCCTGAAACTATGAGAAACTCATCTACAAATTGTCATCCCGTTTTTATTCACCTAACTTATTCATTCTTAATGATTATGCTTGAGTCACTCATTAAACAAAGTGAGCCAATGAAAAATTTCAAGAACTACTACTCCAAAATATATCACTTTGCTATATTGATTACCAATAAACTAATAGATAAGCAAGGTGAGGTTTTTTGAATTCCTTTGTCTGTCTAAAGAAAGAGCCTCCAAGGTACTCAACTGATATCAATCCTCTGAAAATTAACTCTTCGCTGGAGGGGAGACTTTCTCACACCCAGACAGATGTTGTCACAAATCATTTATACTTCTAGGGCCCATTCATCTTCCCCCCCTCCCCCAAAGAAAACCACTTTGTTTTCTTCACCTCACTTACCATTTTTACTCATTTTAGCAAGGGGGCTGAATTAAGAGACTCTTTTCGTTTTCTTAATTGACCTACATAATTATCGACCTACATAATTATTGCCCTAAATGATTATTAGCTTGGTTGTTAATTGTAATCAGATTTCAGGCCTAAACACCATTACCTGCTGAGACAAAGAAAGGCATGAGTAGGAAGCCTCATTCAGACAAAATGGTTAAAGGTGAGACATGTTTATACAGATATAAGTCTTTTTACCTTCTCTATGGTAAAAGCCTCTCCTGATTTAGCCCTTCCTCCTCCCAGATGAAAAGTGAAAGAAACGTCCATAAAATGGAGACTTCGGCCAGGCGCAGTGGCTCACGCCTGTAATCCCAGCACTTTGGGAGGTCGAGGCGGGCATCCCAGCACTGTGGGAGGTCGAGGCGGGCGGATCACTAGGTCAGGAGATCGAGACCATCCTGGCTAACACGGTGAAACCCCGTCTCTACTAAAAATACAAAAAAAGTAGCCGGGGGTGGTGGCGGGCGCCTGTAATCCCAGCTACTCTAGAGGCTGAGGAGGAAGAATGGCGTGAACCCAGGAGGCGGAGCTTGCAGCGAGCCGAGATGGCGCCATTGCACTGCAGCCTGGGCGACAGAGGGAGACTCTGTCTCAAAAAAAAACAAAAAACGGAGACTTCTTCCACCAGTGTGAGTTTTCTTCTCTAAAGATAGTTTCAATATAACTAAAGATAGGCAGCTTCTTAACCCAGATTGTATTTTTTAAGCTAGATTTCTGAGTTCAGGGCAAAGTTCAGTAACAAATGGGGTAGATGAAGCAACTTTAAAACTAGGCCAAGATAGCTTTCACTGCTGTTCTGAGCTCAAGATTTTAACTTAAAGAAGCAAACCCCATTGATCTAAGGGCTCACTCTGTAATTTTTTTTTTCCTTTTGTGTTTTAGTCTTTTTTAAAGCCTCTGTGTTCTCATTTTAACTATATATTCCGTTGTTTCGATGGATTTTTTTATCCTTCTTTTTCTAATATACCCTGTAAATAAACAATTTCACCCAATTTAAAACTTCTCTCATTATGGCTACTGTAATACCAAATTACCTTAGGTGAGGTCCATCTATTTCTCTTACACACACACACACACACACACACACACACACACGTGCTGGGGATTTTTATACATAAAATTTTCAAGAGTTCCAAATGGAAGAGTACCAGACCATGGACTCTGTCCAGTTTTTTTCTGATCCAGGTAGTCACCACAAACCACTACACATCACCTAAAGGTGATATGGGCTCTGATAGCACACACAAACCCTGGAAGCAGTTCCAGAAGATTCTAGACTTCCTGGATCCAAATGAACCTATTATTATGTCTTCCAGTTAACTTTATCTAACTACTGAACCCACTTCAGTTTTTGCTGCAACTTCCAAGTCAAGTCTGGATCAAAAGTTTACCCAAACAAAATAAGATAGCTCAAAACATATCTGTGGAGCTTTGGAAGCCGTGAGAGAATTTACCCATAATCTCCATAAGAAGCAAGAAAATAGTGACCACAGTGGGTTCAGTGAGTATCTGTGCTTGGTTAATTGATGCTCCTGGGGTCACTGAAACTCTTATTCAGATCCTGCCAACTACAGCAAATATGGTAAAGAGAAAAAAACTTAGACAAGTTTACATTTTAACTGAGTTTATTTGGGCACAGAAAAACAAAACAGAACAGAGTGAAACAGAAATGATTTGATAATCAGACAGTCCTCTGAACCAAAGCAAGTTTAGAGAACTCCAACCAATAACATGATCTAATAGCATTTATAGAAAATGCAAGTGTAGTATAGAGACAACCTAATTGGTTACAGCTTAATTGGTTAATTGGCTACACAACCTCTTACAATTAATGAAAGCTCAACTACTGTAGTTAAAATCCATATTGGGTTGGTCTGTTAGGCTGAGTTTAGTGGCCTAGTCCAAAGCAATGACCTCTCATACATTTTATTTAACAATGTTAAGGTTTAAAATTTATTTTCAGTTAATTTTCATTTGCATGTAAGATGTGGTTTGGAGATTAATTTTTTGTTTTGTGGGTTTGTTAGATGTTATCCATTGGTCCTAGAACCATACTGCTTTTGAAAAGACTATTTATTGTCCACTGAAGTGCATTTTCACTTTTGTCAAATATCAACTGACCATATATAGGTCTAGTTCTGAACTCTGTGTTCTCTTCCATTAATTTATTTGTCTCTCCTTGTCACAGTACCATATTTTTTTGATTATTGTAACTTTATAATAAATCATCCAACTTTGTTATTTTCTCAAGATGCTTTTGACTGTTCTAGGTCCTTCGCATTTCAATATGAATGTAAATTGATTAATTCCTTTTTAAAAAAAGGCTGCAAGAATTTTTATTGGAAAATTCTATACTATAGATAGTATAGAATCGATACATCACTTTACAAAGAATTGAAATAAATATATTGAGTTTCTTGGATCATGAACATTGTATATCTCTGGATTTATTTAGGTTTCCTATAATTTTTTAAAACAATGTTTTATAGGTTTCAGTGCATAGGTCTTAGTAATTCTTTCTCTAATTTATTCCAAAACTTCTAAATATTTGATGTTACTGTAACTGGAGCCTCTTTCATTCCTGATATTTGTAATTTGTTTCTTCTCTCTCTCTTTTTCTCTCATAAGTCTGGCTAGAGGTTAATCAACTTTATGAATTTTCTAAAAAAAATCAACTTTTATTTACAATGTGTTTGTTTATTTTGTTTTGCGCATCACTTGTTTCCACTATGGTCTTTATTATTTCCTTTCATTCGTGTGCTTTGTGGTTTATCTGCTGTTGTCTTCCTTGTTTCTCAAGGAAATAGCTGTGCACATTGATTTGACATTTATTATCTTCTAATTTAGATGTTTACTACTAGAAATTTTCCTCTAAGTGTAGCTGCATCCAACAAATTAGATAGGTTGTTTTTTCATTTTCATTAAGTTTAAAAAACATTTTTTAAATGTCAACTTTTAGATATGGGGAGTACGTGTGCAGATTTGTTACACGAGACTACTGTGTGATAGGGAGGTTTGAAGTATGGATCTGACTACACTGGTAGTAAGAGTAGTACATAATAGGTAGTTTTTTAACCTACATCCCTTCACTCTCTAGTAGTCCACAGTGTCTATTGTTCCTATATTTGTATCCATGTGTGCTCAATTCTTAGCTCCCACTTACAAATAAAAACATGCGGTATTTGAGTTTCGGTCCCTGTGTTAATTTTCTTAGGACTATGGACTCCTGCATCATTAATTTTGCTGCAAAATACATTATTTCATTCTTTTTTATGGCTGTGTAATATTCCATGGTATATATGTACCTTATTTTCTTTATCCAATCTACCACTGATGGGCAGCTAGGTTAATTCCATGTTTTTGCTATTGTGAATAGTACAGCTATGAACATATAAGTTCATGTGTCTTTTTTTGGTAGAATGATTTATTTTCTTTTGCATTATACCTAGTAATCTATTTTTTTGATGAAATCATATCTCTGATTTCAGTTCTTTGAAAAATCCCCAGATTGCTCTCCACAGTGGCTAGACTAATTTACATCCCCATCAACAGCATATAAATGTCCCCTTTTCTCCACAGCCTCACCAGCATCTGTTGTTTTTGACCTTTTAATAAAAAGTCATTCTGATTGGTGTGCGATGGTATCACATTGTGGTTTTGATTTTCATTTCTCTGATAATTAGCGATGCTGAACTTTTTTTTATATGTTTGTTGGCCACTTTTATGTCTTCATTTGAGAAGTGTCTGTTTATATCCTTTGCCCATTTTATAATGGGGTTATTTGGTTTTTGCTTGTTGATTTAAGTTGCCTGCAGATTCTGGGTATTAGGATTTTGTCAGATGCATAGTTTGTAAATATCTTCTTCCATTCTGTAGGCTGTCTGTTTGCTCTGTTGATATTTTCTTTTCCTGTGCAGAATTGTGTTAGTTTAATTAGATCCCGCTTGTCTATACTTGTCTTTGTTGCAATTGCTTTTGGCTACTTAGCCAAAAATTCCTTACAAAGGCCAATGTTGAGAAGAGTATTTCCTAGGTTGTCTTCCAGGATTTTTATAGTTTGAGGTCTTGCATTTAATTCTTTAATCCATTTTGAGTTTAATTTTTGTATATAGTGAAAGGTAGGGGTTCAACTTCGATCTTCTGTATATGGCTAGCCAATTATCCCAGCACCATTTATTGAATAGGAAGTCCTTTCCTCATTGCTTGCTTTTGTTGGGCTTGTTGAAGATCATATAGTCCAGATGTATGACCTTATTTCTGGGCTCTGTATTCTGTTCCATTAGTCTATGTGTCTGTTTTTCTGCCAGTACCAAGCTGTTATGGTTACTGTGGCTTTATAGCATAGTTGAAGTCGTGTAATGTGATGCTTCTAGCTTTGTTTCCTTTGCCTAGATTTGCCTTGGCTATTTGGACACTTTTTTTTTTTTTTGACTCCATATGAATTTTGGAATAGTTTTTTCTAACTTTGTGAAGAATGATGTTGGTAGTTTGATAGAAATAGAATTGAATCTGTAACTTGCTATGGGCAGTATGGCCATTTTTATTATATGGATTCTTTCAATCCATGAGCATAGAATGTTTTCTCATTTATTTGCATTGTCTCTGATTTCTTTCACAGTGTTTTGTATTTCTCCTTGTAGAGATTTTTCGCCTCCTTAGTTGGCTGTATTCCTAGGTATTTCCTTTTCTTTGTGGCTATTGTGAGATTGTGTTCTTGATTTTACTCTCAGCCTCGACGTTGTTGGTGTATAGAAATGCTACTAATTTTTTTACATTGATGTTGTATCCTAAAACTTTACTAATACTGTTTATCAATTCTAGTAGTCATTTTCACAATATTGATTCTACTCATCAATGAGCATGGGTTGTGTTTCCATTACTTTGTGTCATCTATGATTTCTTTCTGCAGTGTTTTGTAGTTTTCCTTGTAGAGGTCTTTCACCTCCTTGGTTAGGTAGATTCCTAAATATTTTATTTTTTTACAGGTATCGTAAAAGCAGTTGAGTTCTTGATTTGATTCTCCACTTGATCGCTGTTGGTGTACAGAAGATCTACTAATTTGCATACATTAATTTTGTATCTGGAAAATTTGCTGAATTCTTCTATCAGTTCTAGGAGCGTTCTGGAGGAGTCTTTGGATTTTGAGGTAAATAATCATATCATCAACAAACAGTGACAGTTTGACTTCTTTGCTGATTTGGACGCCCTTTATTTCTTTCTCTTGTCTGATTGCTCTGGCTAGGACTTTCGCTACTATGATGAAGAGGAGTGGTGAGAGTGGGCATCCTTGTCTTGTTCCAGTTCTCAGAGAGAATGCTTTCAACTTTTCCCCAATCAATATTATGTTGGCTGTGAGTTTGTTATAGATGGCTTTTATTACATTGAGGTATGTCCCTTGTATGCCGACTTTGCTGAGAGTTTTAATCATAAAGGGATTTGAATTTAGTTGAATGCATTTTCTACATCTATTGAGATGATCATATGATTTTTGTTTTTAGTTCTGTTTATGTTGTGTATCACATTTATTGACTTAATGTATGTTAAACCATCCCTGCATCCCTGGCATGAAACCCACTTGATCATGGTAGATTATCTTTTTGGTATGTTGTTGGATTCAGTTAGCTAGTATTTTGTTAAGGATTTTAGCATCTATATTCATCAGGGATATCGGTCTGTGGTTTTCTTTTTTGATTATGTCATTTCCTGGTTTTGGTATTAGGGTGATGCTGGCTTCATAGAATGAATTAGGGAGGGTTTCCTCTTTATCCTGTGGAATAGTGTCAATAGGATTCATACCAATTCTTTGAATGTCTGGTAGAATTTTGCTGTGAATACATCTGGTCCTGGACTGTTTTTAGTTGCTAATTTTTAAATTACCATTTCAATCTTGCTGCCTGTTATTGGTCGGTTCAGGGCATTTAATTCTCCCTGGTTTAAGCTAGGAGGGTTGTATCCAGGAATTTATTCATCTCTTCCAGGTTTTCTAGTTTATGCATGCAAAGGTGTTCATAGTAGCATTAATAATCTTTTGTATTTCTGTGGTGTCAGTTGTAATATCTCCTGTTTCATGTCTTATTGAGCTTATTTGGATTTTCTCTCTTCTTTTCTTGGTTAATCTTGCTAATGGTCTATCAATTTTATTTATCTTTTTAAAGAACCAGCTGTTTAATTTATCTTTTGTATTGTTTTTGTTTGTTAGTTTCAATTTCATTTAGTTCTGCTTTGATCTTGGTTATTTCCTTTCTTCTGCTGGGTTTGGGTTTGGTTTGTTCTTGTTTCTCTAGTTCCTTGAGGTGTGACCTTAGATTGTCAGTTTGTGCTCTTTCAGTCATTTTGATATAGGCATTTAGAGCTTTGAACTTTCCTCTTAGAACTACATTTGCTGTATCCTAGAGGTTTTGATGGGTTGTGACACTGTTGTCATTCAGTTTGAAGAATTTTTAAATTTTCATCTTGATTTCATTTTTGACTCAATGATCATTCAGAAGCAGGTTATTTAATTTCCATGTATTTGCATGGTTTTGAAGCTTCCTGCTAGAGTTGACTTCCAATTTTATTCCACTGTGGTTTGAAAGAGTGCTTGATGTAATTTCAATTTCCTTAAATTTATTGAATCTCATTTTGTGGCCTATCATATAGTCTATCTTGAAGAAAGTTCCATGAACTGTTGAATAGAATGTGGATTCTGTGTTTGTTGGAATGATTGTTCTGTATATATCTGTTAAGCCCATTTTTTCCAAGGCATAGTTTAAATTCATTGTTTCTTTGTTGACTTTCTGTTTTGATGACCTGTCTAGTGCTGTCAGTGGAGTATTGATGTCCCCTACTGTTATTATGTTGGTGTCTATCCCATTTCTTAGGTCTATTAGTAATTGTTTTAGAAATTTGGGAGATCCAGGGTTAGGTGCATATACGTTTAGGACTGTGACATTTTCCTGTTGGACAAGGCCTTTTGCCATTATATTATGTCCCTCTTTGTCTTTTTGAACTGCTGTTGCTTTAAAGTTTCTTTTGTCTGATACAAGAATGCTACTACTGCTCACTTTTGGTGTCCATTTGCATGAAATGACTTTTTCCGCCGCTTTACTTTCATTTTATGAGTTCTTATGTGTTAAGTGAGTCTCTTGAAGGCAGCAGATGGTTGGTTAGTGAATTATTATCCATTCTGCAGTTCTGTATATTTTAAGTGGAGTATTTAGGCTATTTACATTCAATGCTAGTATTGAGATGTGAGGTGCCATTGCATTCATCATGCTATTTGTTGCCTGTGCACCTTGGTTATTTTTTTAATTGTATTTTTGTTTTATAGGTCTGTGAGATTTTTGCTTTAAAAAGGTTCTGTTTCGATGTGTTTCCAGGGTTTGTTTCAAGATTTAGAGCTCTTTTTAGCAGTTCTTGTAGTGGTGGCTTGGTAGTGGCAAATTCTCCAGCATTTGTTTGACCGAAAAAGACTGTATCTTTCCTTAATATATGATGCTCAGTTTCACTGGATGCAAAATTCTTGGCTGCTAATTGTGTTTGAAGAGACTGAAGATTGGATCCCAGTCCCTTCTAGTTTGTAGGGTTTCTGCTGAGAAATCTGCTCTTAATCAGATAGATTTTCCTTTATAGGTTACCTGGTGATTTTGTCTCACAGCTCTTAAGATTCTTTCCTTCATCTTAACTTTAGATAACCTGATGACAATGTGCCTAAGCAATGATCTTTTTGTGATTAATTTCCCATGTTTTCTTTGTGCTTCTTACATTTTGATGTTTAGGTCTCTAGCAAGGCTGGGTATAAGGGAAGCTTTTCTTGATTCTTCACCCAAATATTGAGAGGTGAAGCCAGCTGGGCTTCTGGGTCAGGTGGGGACTTGGAGAACTTTTCTGTCTAGCTAGAGGACTGTAAACATACCAATCAGCACTCTGTGTCTAGCTAAAGGATTGTAAATGCATCAATCAGCACTCTGTAAAAATGCACTAATCAGCTCTCTGTGTTTAGCTAAAGGATTGTAAACGCACCAAACAGCACTCTGTAAAAACGCACCAATCAGCACTCTGTGTCTAGCTAAAGGATTGTAAACGCACCAATCAGCACTCTGTAAAATGGACCAATAAGCACTCTGTAAAATGGACCAATCAGTACTCTGTAAAATGGACCAATCAGCAGGACGTGGGTGGGGACAAATAAGGGAATAAAAGCTGGCCACCCCAGCCAGTAGTGGCAACCCACTCAGGTCCCCTTCCATGCTGTGGAAGCTTTGTTCTTTCGCTCTTTACAATAAATCTTGCTGCTGCTCACTCTTTGGGTCTCCACTAACTTTATGAGCTGCAACACTCAACACGAGGGTCTGTGGCTTCATTCCTGAAGTCAGCGAGACCATGAATGCACTGGGAGAAACAAACAACTCCAGACACACCACCTTTAAGAGCTGTAACACTCACTGTGAAGGTCTGCGGCTTCACTCTTGAAGTCAGCGAGACCACGAACCCACCGGAAGGAATAAATTCTGGACACAATATGTTTCCCAAATTTTTGGATTTCTTTCTTCCTCAGGAATACAAATTATTCTTAGGCTTGGTCATTTAACATAATCCCAGACTTCTTGGAGGCTTTGTTTATATTTTCTTACTTTTTTTCTTTGTCTTTGTTGGATTGGGTTAATTAAATGATCTTGTCTTCAAGCTGTGAATTTGTTTCTTCTACTTGTTCGATTTCTATTGCTGAGACTTTCCAGAGCATTTTGCATTGCTATAAGTGTGTCTGATGTTTCTTGAAGTTTCAATTGTTTTATATTTATGCTATCTATGTAATTGAATATTTCTCCCTTCACTTATTGTATCATTTTTTGGATTTCCTTGCATTGGAGTTTGCCTTTTTCTGGTGCCTCCCTGATTAGCTTAATAACTAACTTCCTGTATTCATTTTCAGGCAAAGCAGGTATTTCTTCTTCGTTTAGATCCATTGATAGTGAGCTAGTGTGATTTTTTGGGAGTGTTATAGAGCCTTATTTTGTTATATTACCAGAGTTGGTTTTTTGGTTTCTTCTCATTTGTATAGGCTCTGCCAGAGAGAAGGTCCAGGGCTGAAGATTGTTGTTCTCATTGTTTTGTCTTATGGGGTGTTCCCTTGATGTAATACTTTCCCCATTTTCCTATAGATGTGGCTTCCTGAGGGCTGAACTGTAATGATTTGTTATCTGTGTTCTGGATCTAGCCACCCAGAAAGTCTACCAGACTGAAGGCTGGTAATGGGGGTTTTCTGCAGAGTCCTGTAATATGAACCATATATGGGTCTCTCAGATGTGGTTACCAGCACTTGTTCTGATGGAGGTGACAGGGGAGTGACCTGGACTCTGTGAGAGTTCTTAGCTTTGGTGGTTTAGTGCTCTATTTTTGTTCTGGTTGGCATCCTGCCAGGATGTGGTGCTTTCCAGAGAGCATCAGCTGTGGTAGTATGGAGAGGAACTGGTGGTGGGCAGGGCCCTAGAACTCCCAAGAGTATACGCCCTGTGTGTTCAGTTACCAGGGGAGGTAGGAAAGGCCTATCAGGTTGGGGGGCAGGGCTAGGTATGTCTGAGCTCAGCCTCTCCTTGGGCGGGTCTTGCTGTGGCTGCTGTGGGGGATGGGGGTGAAGTTCCCAGGTCAATGGAGTTATGTACCTTGAAGGATTATGGCTGCCTCTACTGAGTCATGCAGGTTGTCAGTGAAGTAGGGGAAAGGTGGCAGTCACAGACCTCACCCAGCTCCCACACAATCCAAAGGGCCAATCTCCTCCCACTGTGCCCCCCAACAGCATTGAGTCTGTTTCCAGGCAGTGGGAAAGCAGGGTTGAGAACTTGCCCCAGGCTACCCACCTTCCAGCTACAAAAGAAAGTAGGGTTTTCGTTCTTTCCCTGCCTTTGGAGTCTGCACACAGGATTCACACCCTCCCCCGAGTTCTGGCCAGGAGGCTTCTCACCCTGTTCAAATTGTTATAAAGTTCAGCTGGAGACTTCCGTCTTCCTGTGGCATTTTTCCTGCCTCTCTGGCTGCCCTCCTGAAGGATTCCTCTGGTGCCAGGCAGGAATGGCCTGCTTGGGGACCCAGCGAGTTCATAAGACCTTTTCCGCTGCTTCCTCTACTCCTGTATTTTGCTCAGCTCTCTAAATTGACTCAGCTACAGGTAAGGTTAGAATCTTCTCCCATAAACTAGACCTTCAGTTTCCCCAGTGGGGGTGTGTGTTCCGGGGTGGAGGATCTCCCTTCCCACTTCCACAGTTTGGACACTCACAGTATTTGGGGTGTGTCCCATGTCCTGCAGGAGCAATCCACTTCCTTCAGAGGGTCTGTGGGTCCTCTTGGGTTTTCTGATTTATTCCTGCAGTCATTCTGGAGCTAAAATTCATGATGTGGGTCTCCACACACTATTCTGTCTGTCCGAGTTGAAGCTGCAATCTTGTCCTGCCTCCCGTTTGCCATGGTCCTCTTATTTTATTTATAAGTAATCTGAATTACTTCTACATAATTAGTAAGACTATAAAATATAAATTATACATAATGGAATATTATTTAGGTTAAAAAAATCTGCCATTTGCCACAACGTGGTTGGACCTGGAGAATATTATGCTAAGTGAAGTAAGCCAGACATAGAAAGATAAATGTTTCATGATCTCAATTAATACGTGAACTATTTTTTTAAAAAATAGCTCAAGTACGTAGAGGTAGAGAATGAAACAGTGGTTACCATGGCATGAGGGGGAGGAAATGTAGAGGTGTAGGTCAAATGCATAGAGGAGTCCCAGAGAAATGGGTTGCCACATCCACAGTGAAATGCAAGGGGTTTTATAGATGCCTGTTGAGGAGGTGGTGTCTGATTTACATAGGGCATGGAAGACTGGTTGTACCAGGTGTGTCATTTGCATAGGCCATGAAAACTGGTTAGGACTAGGTGTGCCATTTGGCTAGGGCACAAATTTCTGGTAGTCCCCACCCTAATCTCTTATTATGTAGGTAGGTTGTCTGCCTGCCCTGTGCCATGTTGCCTATTCCTTTACTGTACAAGTGGTAACAACAACAAAAAAAGGAAGTTGGAGCCTCCATGTTGGATATGTATGGCTCCCCAGATATCCCTTTTCTGTTGGCACAGTTGCTGGTGTTCCCCTGTGCAAGCTTCCAGATTGTTTAATTATATTTACAGCTCAATTTTTCAGGCTAGTCTTTTTTAGGAAAAGATAATTTCTGGGGCTGCTTTCTGTTAAAAGGGAAGCTCTGCTGAGGACTCTTTTACCCTCACTATCCACCTAAAAAATTTCTTTCTACTTCCTATATCACATGTGCCACATTATCTTTATCCATTCATTCATTGGCGGACACTGAGATTAATTCCATATTTTAGCTGTTGTGAATAGTGCTACAGTAAACATGGAAGTGCCAATGTCTCATGAATATACTGATTTCCTTTCTTTTGGATATATACCCAGTAGCGGGATTACTAGGTCAAAGAGTAGTTCTATGTTTAGTTTTCAGAAAAAGCTCCATACTACTTCCCATAGTGGCTGTACTAATTTACATTTGCAACAGTGTAAGAGGGCTCCTCTTTCTCCATATCCTCCCCAGTATCCATTATTTCCTGTTTTTTTAATAAAAGCCATTTTAATTGAGATATGATGATATCTCGTCGTTTTGATTTGCATTTCTCTGATGATTAGTGAAATTGAGCATATATCTGTGGGCCATTTAAAATTTTTATTGAGAAATATCTGTTCAGATATATTGCACACTTTTTAATCAAATTAGTTGTTTGTTTTTTGCTACTGAATTGTTTGAACTCCTTATATATTCTGATTATTAATCCCTTGCCATATGAGTAGTTATAAGACATTATTTCCAAGTCTCATGGTAACCACAAAACAAAGACCTATACTAGACACAGAAAAAAATAAAAAGCAAGATATTAAAACACACTACCAGAGCAAATCACTTTTACACAAAGGAAGACAGGAAGGAAGAAAAGATGAGAGGACCAACCAAACAACCAGAAAACGAATAACAAATTGGCAGTAGTAAGTCCTATCTATCAATAATAACAGTGAATGTAAATGGACTACATTCTCCAATTAAAAGACAAGAGTAGCTGAATGGATAAAAAGACAAAAAGAAAAACAAAACCTAATTCTATGCTGCCTGCAAGTAACGCACTTCACCTACAAAGATACACATAGACTGAAAATAAAGTCATGGAAAAAGATATCCCATGCAAATGGAAACCAAAGGACAGCAAGACTATCTATGGTTAGATAAAATAGCTTTGCACATTTGTTTTGAGGAATTAATTAGCCATACCTACTGTCCTCTAAGGGCCTCATACTGTTCAAAGAGTCCAAATCTCTCTCATGATGGCACCCAGAGAAATCTCCTTATTTGGGGGACATACCTTTCCATGAGAGAAAATGAAGACATCAAATTATTATCTGGCTTCTTACCTCAACATGCATTAATAATTCCCACAAAGGGAATCAACTCTTGTGATACTATAATGTACACTGAATTTTATTCAGCACTTACTTATTTCAGCTGTTTCAACTTTTTAAATTACCATGTTGAATGTGCTTATATGTGTTTTATTAGTATAATGAGAATATGATATACTTCTCAGCTTCTTTATGGTTTGTTTTTGTTTTGTTTTTTGCTTATTGCCTCACTAATGTTTCATGGACAATATAATATTTTGCTTTGGATGGCAATCCTTGTCATACTAAGTACTAGAATGTAGAAGCCAATATTTCACGGCATTTCTATTTTCTTTAAAATAATGTCATATCAATTACCTGTTTTGTTCCCCTCCTCACTTCATCTATCTTCACATTCCCATGGTGAATTATTTTCTTTTTCTAAAATCTCCATTTAGATGCATTCTTTTTCCTCTCAGCCTTTGAACTCTGTGTGAGCAATGATTATGTCTATCTCAGGACTATTGAGAAGGATTTTGCACTTCGTGTACTGCAAAGTGCCCATATAAGAGAGAATGAACTGGTAGGGTCTATGTTCTACTCTTTACCAAATCATTTGCCCTTTCAGTTAATTTACACTGATAAAGAGTGCTATTTTGTAACTCACTTGAAAAATTCTTGCAGAGACATTGTATGTACTGATAGGTACTCCCCAACAACTTCTCCAAACCCCAAAATAGCTTGTTCCTCACTGTTTTTACAGGACCAATTCAGAGGTTGATAAAGATAAGTATTTAATAAAATGTTTAATTAATTATATGTCTAATTATACTTGCTCCCGATAAACGGTGTTTCTCCCATTCAGTAACAGTGCTTTAGCTTTATGCCATCATAAGTCAGGAAGTAGTGATGTTTTAATGCCAGTACCACACAGTGATAAAAACAAATAGGAACTTCTAAGTTTATTATTCTGGTTTTACCATTTACCAACTGTGGGACCCTGGGAAAATTACCTAATCTTTTTGATTTGTAGTTCCCTTATCTTTTAAAAGGAGACATTATCAGCAATTATTCCATAGAATTACCATGAGAGTTTAAATGGTGTCTGTTCTAGCAACAGTGTTGCTTCCTCTGAGAAATGGGTTGTTTACCATTGATTATGTTCCAATCTTTTCATTGCTGCTTGGATATTCAAAGCCAAATCCCCAGTCTACTTGTCACAAATCAGTAAGACTTTACAACATATAATTCATATACTAACTTTACATAGTTTTTGTTATAGTTTACCTTTAAATGCTATTTTTTTCACCTTAAATTTGTTTAGGAAATTGATGTTTATATCAAATAATTGCTTGGTAAAATATGAGAAAAAGGTTACCCTAATTTTCGACGTAATCTTCCACAAGGAAATTTGAGGAAATTTCCTCAATTTTCCTCAATTCCTTTGTAATTGTCTAGCATAATTTTCACTTCTGTTCTACTAATAGAATAAAATCTGTCATATATTAAAATAGAAAAATGAGTATATTTTGTATAATATGCTGTCTACATATAAAATGCAGCCTTTATTAGTAGTTATTCCTAGAGGATATTGTCATATGATATATCAGGATATAATTAATGTAGTTAGTTACATTTAGATGCTGCCATAAAATTTTTACTATTAAATCTTTATAAAACACCTACAAGAAACTATATTTAATGAAAAATACTTTTCATAAACATTTCTAACCTGAAGTTAGAGTCAAACTATACTAAAGAAATTAAAGAAATTAAAATTGTCCTGAGAAAGTTAAAAAAAAACCCTTGGTTATTGTAAAGTCACAATGACTTCTTTAATATTGGATTCAAAATTACTGTAATATCAGAGACCTTAATAGCACCTGGAAATGCTGTTTAAGACTATCATTATATGAGGATTGAAATAATTGCTATTTTCCTTGTTAAACAATTGCTGAGACATCTGTAATTTATAATTGGTAATGATTTAAAAATGTTTTGACAGGGTTCTATGCGATCACAATATGGGACACATATAGGGTCCTTATGCATTCTAAATTTCAAATTTCATTTTATTTTAATTGGATTATAAAATTGAGCTCCTAATAGATGTATAATTTTGATGTTTTTTTACTAAGTAATATGCTGCAGAGTTAGTTTTTAGGACTATTTTGCCTTCGTTACATACTCTTCTTAAGGACAAATACTTATGCCAACATATTTTAAAATAATTTCTGGAGAAATGCTATATTAAGTCGATATTAACAAGTTTAAAATAAATTTACCCAAGAGAGCTAAGAGTTCTTTCGGGGTCAATGTATTAACAAGTGAAGGTTGTAAACTTTACTGTTTTCTCTATTTTATTATCAAATTTCTCAAACAAATACCCACAGGCAATAATAAAAATAACACCTTTAATGGCATAGGTAATTAGAACCCAAGAAAAGCTACCTAAGGGAAAAACCTTGTGAATCTTTTATTTTTTCCCCAAAAATCTTTTTAAAAAAGGAAATAAAGTCCCTGAAATTATTATATAAAAATCTCCCTTGTGCTGTAACATCCTCTACCTGCAGGAGATAAATTTAATCAAAAACAAAAGACCAAAGAAGAAAACATTTGTGCTTCCAAGCCCCGTTTGCCAAAATAAGCTATGGACTGGAAAATAGGAGATATCTTCTCTAATTTAATTTTAATTGATTAGTTGTTTTACCATAGATTCTGTGACTTGCTCAATGTCACAAAGCTAGTTATCAGCTGAGCTTTGATTAAAAAGATGTGATATTCTCTCAGGTCAGTCTCTACCTAATTGTTTTCTTCTTGCACAGGTGATGGCGTTCGTCTTGCAAGAAGTGGGGAAAACTTTTCCAATTAGCCAAGTTAGTGAAGTTTCTCAAAGGTTGATTTTTTTTTTTTTTTTGACCTTTGACAATGATGCATTAGTGAAAGACTAAGCAGCGGAATCACAAAATCAGGCTTAAATTCTAAAATGTTTACAGTGATGAGAAGGATGAATGAAGAGGCTGTTGTCCATGCCAGAGCATAAGAGTTTTACATATGATAGAGAATCCTAGGATAGTTTGAAGTGCAACCATTCAGGAGATTAAAAGAACAGGCTTTAGGTTGGACTGAGGGAGAAGATCTTGAGAATGCTACCCAAGGCCTTCTATCAGGTTTGAAAATAACTAATGGGAAAGGCTGACCAAGAGGGCCGTAACCTTTCCCTCAGCTTGACTAACCTTTAGAGAGGCTTCTTTCTGCCCCTGCCCATAGGCCCCTGATCTTCCATTCACCCTAGCCCTTACAGAATTCAGATAGCCTAACCCCAGAGGACTCACCCCTCCCTTTTCTCAGAGCATTCATGTTAATAAGCTTGCAATTGCAAATTCTTTCTCTGACTTTAAGATGTAAATAATTTTAAAAGGCTTACTAGCTTATAAACTCAAGACTGTCTTTGTTTGGGACCTAGGAAACATATATTTGGAATGTAACCATTGAGGAAGGTAATACCCGCCTCTCAGTCTCTGTGTGAGTATAGGAGCCTAACTTTGAGCGGTGGCCACTTGCCATAAATTGCGAAACTACCTCTTGTAATAAAAACAGAAAAATTTTATTTTTTCCTTTGGATAAAGCCAAGTAGCTAACACAGATGGTCCCTCCAATTGTTTTACTGTTATTATTCTTATTTGTTTACTTTCAGCTCCATCCTGACATTTACATTCTGAATCTATGTTGATTTTTGTCTTCAGGTAACAGGGAATAAACTAACAATTTAGTAAAGGCGGTTCTCTTTGGGGGAGCCCAAATAGGTCTAAATGTTCCATAAATCTTAGTCTTCTCAACATCAGTGTCTAACTAGTGATCTAGCAGAAACACTTTAAGTTTGAAAGGAAAATTATTTTAGTTTTCTGGCGCTGTCATAACAAGCTACCACAAACTGAGTGGTTTAAAACAAAAGAAATTTATTGTATTACAGGTCTGGAGGCTAGAAGTCTGAAACGAAGGTGTCATCATGGCCCTCTGCACCCTGTAAAGAAGAATCTCCTTTTTTCTGCTGCTTCTAGCTTCTGGTATTTGCTGGCAATCCTTGATGTCAGCTTGTATATGCATTAGTCTAATCTCTGCCTCCACCCTCATATGGCTATCTTCTCCCTATGTGTCTGCACATCATCTTCCCTCTGTGAGTCTGTGTCCAAATACCTGTCTTCTCTAATTGTATTAGATAAGAAGACCACCCTCTTCCAATATGACTTCATCTTAACTAATTACATCATTGCAGATATCTTTTTAGTTAACAGAATTCAACCTTTAGCAAAGATTAAAGGAGAGCAAATGATATCATGTCTTAAAATTCAAAGTCCTAAACAAAGCTTTTAGAATATTTACACTTAATCATTTTGGGTTTATCTTGAACACTGTGAAACCTGATGGAGTTTGAATCAATCCAGAAATTAGGAAGCACAAATACCAAGTCTTTTTATTATAAACACCTCTCAAATATGAATACTTTGGGAAAGGCATATATTATCCATTATTTTCACATTCATAATGGGTTTGATGATTTTTAGCAAATACTAAATATGGTATAAAAGATATACTCTTGAAAATACCACAAACTCCTGCAGTGCAATTCAGAAACTACCACTTGGTGGCAAGATAATGCTGCTGTTAATGGGCTTAGCAATGACCTACATACTTTTTCCTTTGAATTCTAAATCCTTGATAAATTTGAAATAGATTTGCAAAGGGAGACAGGCTAAATTACTGACATTTTTTAAAAAGAAAATAATTTACATAATAAAAATGACTCTGGTAAAACACACATGTAAAATTCAGTTCAAACAATGAGTTAATTCTTTGACTATTATTAGTAAAATACTCAAATAAAAATGGAAATGAATAAGAAAATAATTATTCCATAGATATATTTTATATCTGTATATTTTCTTACAAATCCTAGCCCAAGGTGAGGTGTCATAATTTTTTTTTGGCTCTGGCTCATTTGATTGAGCATGACTACCCAGTGCAATATTTACATTTGTCTCCCGGTAGCACTTTAGAATAATATGTCCCTATTTTATTGAACTACTACTACCTTTTAGAAGAATTATGAAGCTTCTGGCAGGGAAAAATGGATTCCTTACTTGGCACTGTGGTCAGACAATGTTATGCTTAGTAAATATACAGTGTTTTCTATGAAAAAGAGTATGAAGATTTCTCAAATAACTAAAAGTAGAACTACGATTTAACCCGACAATCCCACTACTGGGTATCTACTCAATAAAAAAGAAATTATTTTGCCAGAAAAGACACCTGAACTTTTATGTGTATCACACATTATTCACAATAGCAAAGTCATAGAATAAACCTAACAGTCCATCAATGGATGAGTGAATAAAAGAATTGTGGTACATATACACCATGGAATATTATACAGCCATAAAAATGAATATCATGTCCTTTGCAGCAACATAGAAGAAGCCAGAGGCCATTATCTTGAGTAAAATAAGAAACAGCAAGTCAAATACTGCATATTCTCATTTATAGGTGAGAGCTAAACAATGAGTACATATGAACATAAAGAAGAAAATAATAGACACTGGGTACTCCAAATGTGCAGAGGTTAAGAGGGAGGTGAATGTTAGAAAATTACTTATTGTGTACAATGTTCAGTATTCAGATGAAGGATACACTAGAAGCCCAAACCCCACCATTATACAATATATCCATGTAGCAAACCTGCACATGTACCCCCTGAATCTAAAATAAAAATATATAGGTATGCACACATACAAGTATAAGATTTCCTAATGAGTCTATATTCATTCTAAAATACAGAAGAAATAGAACTGTTTTCCAGGATTCTCTGTTTGAGGGAAAATAGAGTAACAATAGAAAAGGCCTATTTTATATATATGAAGAAAAATGAAAAGGGATAATAATAAACAATTCATGGAAAAATTATTTGATTATTGAGAATATAAAAGATTTAATGATATTCTTGAGCAAAGGGAATTGAATATAAATTATTGTTTTGTTGTCTAACAATCTCTTTCAATGCTTACTTAATTTTTTCATAGACAATCATTCTAGGAAATATTTGAAGAGTAGCCTCTCATTGGCATAGGAGACATAAAGGTTTGGATTGTTTTATTTCTATGTTATTTTGAGGCAGTATTTTACAGTAGTTAGGAAGGAAGTGTATTGCATCTTGAGTCCCACCTCTATAGTCTACTATATACTCTTGAGCTAGTCACTTAACTTCATTTCACTTCAATTCAAACATTTGTAAAATTTGAGAAATAGTAGTACCTACCTTGTGGAGTTGGTGTGAGAATTAAATAGAGTTATGCCCTTAAAGTGCTTGGTTTAGTATCTCTTCCACTGTAAACATTAAGTATAATTTGTTAATATTTTTCCTAAGCATCCCTGGGTACATATTTCTTGGATATTTGATGAACAATTAGGATCTTGGAAGAATTTCAGGAAAGAAGTTTCCACCAAATTCCTTTTTCCCAAGCCTTTTTGCAACTTACTAACAATTTTCAAGTAGAACAAGATTATAGGTCGTTTTGGTTGCTGACAGAAGATCAATTTTTCTTGCTCTTTCTGGCTTTTGGTGCTTTGCTTTGGCTGGCAATCTAAAATCAAAGAATGCCTGGAGGTGTCGCATTTTCTGGGAAAGTACTGGAGCCCTGCAGTGTTAATGCTGACTGTAGTTCTATGATGAGCTTTTCAACTTCTGTGCCATGCCTTTTAATGAATTTTGCCAGGGGCTGCAACTTCTAAACTTTTTTCTCAGATCCTTTTTAGCCTCTTAACATATTGCCAAAGCTGATAGAGAGAGATATCACAAAGTCATTCCTGGTGCTGAAATAGTCTACTCCGTGGTGTTTGCCATGGGCAGAGGGTCAACACTAAGCAATAGACAGACTCTAACAAAGAACTAATGTAAATGTGCCCTATCCATTAAGTCTTAGAGGTATACTTCTTTGTTTAAGTTTTATGCTTGGCTGTTTGTTAATTTAACAATATAATTTACAATAAGCAATATGAAAATGCATGAACAAATCGCTTTGGAAATTTAACTTTAAATATGAAGAATTACTTTTTATAGAAGTATCTAGCATCTCAGGACTTCAAAGTTTGTTTTCACTTGCTTATAAAAGTTTTCTCATGTATGTCAAATATGCAAGCTATTTTGAGAAATATTTTTGGCAGAGTCGCCTCCTATCCCAAGTAACAAGTATCAACAAAGGCTTGAGGGATGCAATGAACACAGGAGCATCGCTACAACGCACACACAACAGAGAGACATAAGAATTAGTCACTGGCTACTTTCAGAAGCAAAAACAGCACTTCTTTCTCTTCACTTTTTCTCTACTCAAAATATACAGAAATGGCCAAACTGTGGATATGCTTAGCTGCTTGTTTTTGTAGTAAAAATATAGATCATTTGTAGGTATGTAAAAAATTTAAAAAAGAAAATATGAAGATAATAAAGGCTAGAGGTGAGAATATAAAAGATCAAAAGCGCTGGTCAAAATTTTAGGCTCTTCTGTTGGATCTTAGAAGTGTTTTCCTTTACTGTGGAGAAAAGTACTCTGGAAGAAGAAATTACCTACCCAACTGGAGGTCCATTTTATCATATATAGTATACTCTTTCTATTTCCATAAGGAATTTTAAAATGTCATCTGCCTTTAGTGTTTAAAAGATAAATAAGCATAAATGCAGTTTCCCTATTAAACCAAAACAAATAGAAGTTAAAATCAGTTGAAACATTTTAAATGAACCATTGAAACATCAAGACAGATAATAATGTAGAAACATAGATGATAATTTAGATAATGAAGGAGACTTTTATTTTCACCTGGAGTGACAGAGGATATATAAGAGATTATATCCCATGGATAATTTAAAGTTAATTCATTCAAAATAGAAAGGAATTTGAGATATTTTAGAGGCTGGACAGAAGAGGGCTGTTTCTACGAGATCTCTTAGGGACATAGAATTCCTACAGAAATAAAGGTGGACTATTTACTTGGCACCTTCTGTATCCCATTTGGGAGTGAATCACTCAGCAAAGGTCATAATTTTCCTTAGAGACAGAGCAGAATATGTCTTCTACTTCTGGGTGGGATATTGACTTGTATTCTGTCCAGATATGACAAAAGCTGCACTTAATCTCTCAAAAACCCAATTTATCTTACCCATCACTGCTACTTTTGACCCCCACCATAAAATTTGATCTCATTCTCATCTGAATTCTCACCACTGACTTACTGTAACATTCACTGGTTTTGATCATCTATTACATTAAAGCATTTCTTCTATTATTTTTATCATAAAATAATTGAGCTGCTTCAACTGAGCTTCTTCACTCAGCTGGAATGACAATAGAAAAGGTTACATTCAACTAAATTCTTAAAATCATAGGATAAGGATGAATAAATTAAAAGATCAATATACTAAATTTCACTAGACAATATTTAAAATTCTGCCCTATATCCCAGGCACCTCCTTTCTAAAATTGGAAAACCTGAAAAAGGGAACTAAAAAATTAGAAGGTTTTTTTTTGGCGGGGGGGGAACAAAATATCTGAACAAAAGGAGATGAGATTGTCATGGGTAAAATGAGCCACTTGTGTCTCTTAACAGAAATCACCTCCCAGGAAAATAGTGTGTACAGTACCAGCATCCCTCAGAACTGAACAGTGTTAAGCAAAATAGTATCATATTGTTGCTCTCTCATCTCCCTATTCTCTAGGTATTCCAGTTGATCATTCTTATGGTAACATTATCAGATATATTAATACCATGCTTATAGTAGAGTTTCTTTTACATTTAATTACCTTTTAATTGGACTCTAAGGAATTTAATGCCTTCCTGTTTTATAAAGTAGATTTCCTGTCTCAGTTTTCTTAGTTTTAGCATGAAGGGTTTATTTATTCCCTTCTTTTCCCTTTTTTTAAAATAAACATGTTTGTGAGAGTTTGAGGCATCTCCCTGTAGTTTAAATATTACATGCACTAATTATGCATGTTTAGGAAATGACTCATATAAGAAACTACAATAATCCTTTAAAATAATTAAGAACATGTATATATATATTCAATTCTTAAGGGAGAGAAAAAAGCAAGGAAAGAATGTAAAATGCTTAAAAACTTAAAGTAAAAAAATGACAGGAAATTTTATCATGTAAATAACATATGGCCTTAATACTATTCATAATATGATGTATATAGCTTCCATGTAGTTGTTTCAGACATTGTGAACGATTACTTTTAGAAAGTTTGGGTTAACATCTCATATTTTAGACTCTTTATTAACTCTAGAATTACTTGATAACTAAGATCTCTAGGTGACTTTTTCCCATGATTTGTGACAAATAGTAATTAGCAGCAAAATTCTGCATATTCACAAAAATCCTTTAGATATAAAGTTAATTTTTATTAAAAATATGTGTTCTACAAGTCCATATTGTCAGAGATGTTTGAACCAGAGTGACTTCATCTTGTACTGTGGCTGGGTAAAATAAGGCTGAGACCTACTGGGCTGCATTCCCGGGAGGTTAGGCTTTCTTAGTCACAGGATGAAATAGGAAGTCACACAAGACACAGGTCATAGAGACCTTGCTGATAAAAGAGGTTTCAGGAAAGAAGCCGGACAAAACACACCAAAATCGAGATGGCAACAACAGAACCTCTGGTCATCCTCACCGCTCATCCAGGAATTGCCCATCCCTTCTCTGAAAACTCATGAATAATCCACTCCTTATTCAGCATATAATCAAGAAAAAACCATAAAAAGGGGAACCAGCAGCCCTTGGGGCTGCTCTGCCTATGTAGTAGCCATTCTTTTATTCCTTTACTTTCTTAATAAACTTGTTTTCACTTTGTACTGCGGACTCACCCTGAATTCTTTTTTGTGTGAGATCCAAGAACCCTCTCTTTGGGTCTGGATTGGGACCCCTTTTTGGTAGCCATATGAATTGTAGAAATCACCATACATAAATTTTATTCATTCTTTAATTATAAAATGATAGCTTGGAGATTTTAGAAATGATTTAGATAGGACGGTGAGGTTGGAATGAGTAACAGATTTTATTTCTTCAGGCAGAGATATTTTTAAAAGGTTGAAAAAATGTATGCTATGATAGTTCTTTATTGAATGCCTACCTTTTCTCTCAAAAACTCTAGAGAACACCAATAGATACTTTATACATCTTATTTTGAGTATATCCTGGTCTGAATAGTAACAGAAGAATTTTGGAAAAAGCTCTATCATCTCTTTAAAATAAAGTTATCCTGTGTTTCACATCTTAATTTACATAACTCACCTTGGAGTAAGTCTAATGGGAATAAATCCACCCAAGCTGGGGCTTATTCTCACAGTTTATCTCTTTCAATAGAAACTTTATTGCTAGGAGACATTGGAAACTAAATGGAATTGATGACAAAATTTAAGGTATGACTTGTGGGAGTAATAAGTTCAGGAAAAAAACCTTGACCTTTATAGTTTCTTTAAGTCTCAATAGGTAATGTTTTTGAATAGTTCACAACATATATTTTGATGAATCAGGGTTGTTAGAAAAATAAGATACCGATTTATAATATCAATCAAAATATTTTTAAAGACAATAGCTTCACTAACAAAAATTTTCAAAGACAATTGAATGAATTTGGTGGTAGATGTAAAAACAAACAAAGATACAAACGCCAGTTCTGCTTTTTAGTTTCACCTACCTGTGGTCAGCAGCCTGTGAAGCCAGGTAGATGCCCTGAGGGTATTTCCTCTTTAGCAGAGCAAATTGTCTCTGGGCTACAAACCCCTGCTAGGATATGTCCTGGACTCTGGCCTGCATGGATAGACAAGTTTTACTAGAATGATTGGACTAACTGATGGAGATTGGAGGTGAAATAAAGGCTGGAGGAGTACCATACTTCTTCTCTTCTTCCTATCAGAGAACTATGCACACACCATGCTTATCTGTCAAGTGTTTATAATCCTATCCACACTCTAAGCCTTCTTGAAGCAGCACTTAGTTCTACTTAGTGCCTGGCTTAGAATAA
This sequence comes from Homo sapiens, assembly GCF_000001405.40. NCBI lineage: Eukaryota > Metazoa > Chordata > Mammalia > Primates > Hominidae > Homo > Homo sapiens. The sequence goes on along the minus strand of NC_000014.9, from coordinate 43,789,388 downwards.
GTGCTTAATTAGTGTTAGTTGAACAATAATCAACATCCTCTCTTGTAATTGTTCTCTTCTTTGTCAACCTGAACATACACATATTGACATACAATTATGCATACAAATTTTCCTCAGCTTACATTCATCTCTAGTGGCCGTTTTATTAATATTAACAAAGGATAATCCACTTTTCCTTTAAAATGTCTATTTTACTAATCTTTGTTAGTCACAACTACACAGAATGGAAAACAGTAGTATGTATATGTGGAAGATACTATTTTTCAGTCTCCAGACAAGTCTTGTTGCTTGTATGAATTGCAGATCCCTTGCACTAACTCTGCAGCCTCCTTCATTGCTCCACACTGTACCTACTAAATAATTGTCTGAATAAATGAAACATAACTAGATTAAGATTTTTTTTTACTATGAGATATACACACATCAAAGAGCATGAGGATCAAATTGATGATAACAAAATCAGTAGTAAGAGAATTATAAATCCTAAAATCCCTGACGTGTAATATTTTACATGTGTTATTTTAGATATTTATAATAGTTTGAAAAGGTCAGTATTTTCACGTCCATTTAACAGATAATAAAAATGTAAGTTAAAATAGTTAACATGTCCAGGGTCATAAAGCAGATAAGTGGCAATATTTATATTATTTCATATTCCCTTGTTAATTACAAATACCTTATCCAAATGTTGACTTTTATTGTCCTTGAAGATTTCATCAACTAAGACTATTTGACCCATAATGCAAGAGCTTGGATCCCTTTAATCATTTCTTCTCCATTCTCTTCTACCTCACAGATGTAGCGTAAGAGAAAAACATTTTTCAAATTTGTCCTCATTTTTTCTCCATTCATTTCATATAAAACTTTCCCAAGAGATACTGGTGATAAATGGATTCAGTGTTAATGATATATTTATGAGCTTTTAAAGTTAAATGAAACATTATAAAAGAAATACTGCTATAAATACTTTAATCCATTGAACTGGTTAGAAAATATATTCAAAATCTTGCTAAACATTCCATCTCCTTCTAGCATCAGCATTTTGTAAACTAAAAAATGCAAAGCGTTCTTTTAAACATTTTTCTTTCTTTTTTCTTTTCTTTCTTTTTTTACTTAAGCTGCTTCACATTGTTTTGTAAATATTTATTATAAAAGCAGAATATTTTTATTGTTCTAGGCATTAAATAGGTACTCATGATTATGGAGCCTTTTTACAGAGACCCAAAGTGCACTTATTCACTTATCAACGGCAAAAATAAGAGGATATTAAAAGAAAATGTGGATATTAAAAGAAAAATATAAAATATATGTGCAAATAAGAGGAACATAAAAATTATGTCCTAAATGACAGAGATAAAAAAAATGTAAAAGAACAAGAAAGAAAATAAAGAAGAGCTATAGCAAGGTATTTCTATTATGCCTCCAAGAGAAAACAGACAGTATTAAAACTTGAACGCTAGCTAAAGAATATACTCACTAAATGCAGCGTCAACTTTAGAGGAAAATGTATTTTTGGTGTAAAAGATTTACTATGTGATGACATGAAAACCTTTATTTCCTTACTATAGCAGACTAAATTATTCAGACAGACCATCTGCCTAAAAAAAGTAAAAATGCTCAAAACAAGTGCAACTTGCTCCCCTCTAGAGAAATCAACCATTCTGTCATGACTCAAACTTTTCAGTAAAATGTTTTCAGGAAAACCTGAGGCTTAGAATAAAAAATAACATGTCCAGGCATGGGGGCTCGTGCCTGTAATCCCAGCACTTTGGGAGGCCGAGGTAGGAGGATCACTTGAGGTCAGGAGTTCGAGACCAGCCTGGCCAAAATGATGAAAAACTGTCTCTACTAAAAATACAAAATTTAGCCGGGCATGGCAGCAGGCACCTATAATCCCAGCTACTTGGGAGGCTGAGGCAGGAGAATTGCTTGACCCCCGGAGGTGGAGGTTGCAGTGAGCTGAGATCACACCACTGTATTCCAGCCTGGGTTACAGAGCAAGAGTCTATTGCCCCGGCTGTTATTTATTTGTTTGTTTATCTCAAAAAAATGAACAAATAAATAGCAAAATATCTGAAAAAATAGCACCATGAGTGAAAACCAGCATTGTTTTTAAAAAAGTCTTTGAAACTTCTACAGAGTATAGAAACTATACACACAAACCCAGTGGATTTGAAATTAAAAAGTGAATAGAAATGGAAGACATTAAATACAGAATAATTTTAAAACTTAAGTAGATAAGTTTACAAGGTAATTAAATATAGCTAATAATACAACAAAGGAACTAAAATATATGGTAGTAAACATATTCAAAATATAACAGATAGTGAAGAAGACTAGAAAATTCAAGGACTTTGAGCAACATTGTGAATACAGTGAGAGCTAGTTGTACTTCCAAAAGAAGAGCAGCAAAAATGGGTCACTGGCAGTGCTAAAGAGATGATGAGTGAGAGTTTTCCAGAATGACAAGAAGGAAATCCAAGAAGTACAATGAATCTCAAGCATGATGAATAGAAGAAATATACATGCAAGTGATTTGGGAGGAGGGCAGGGAAATGCTGGGTAGAGAAAGGTGGGGCCCTGGCTAGGGCTCTACCCTCAGGCCCGGGCCCATGGACCTATGTGAGGACAGGCACTCCTGCTTTCACACCTAAATGTTGCATTTCCCAAGACCATCCTGGCCACCACGTCCCCATCTTGTGCCTATAAAAACCCCAAGACTCTAGCGGGCAGAGACACAAGAGGCTGGACGTTGAGAGGAACATATTGGTTGAAGAGCACGTTGACAGGCACCAGCAGATGCCAGCACGCTGGCAGGCCATCAACCGGTGGAATGACCTGGAGTTTGGCCAGGGCAGTTGGAGAAGAGTCCAGTTGCTGAGTGGCCCAACGCCAGGGGAAAACTTTCCCATTCCATCTCCCTTCTGGCTTCCCCATCTGCTGAGAGCTACTTCAATAAAAAAACTTGCACTTATTCTCCAAGCCCAGGTGTGATCTGCTTCTTCCAGTACACCAAGGAAAGAAACCCCAGGATACAGAAAGTCCCCTGTCTTTGCGATAAGTCAGAGGGTCTAATTGAGCTGAGAAACACAAACCGCCTGTGGACGGCTAAACTAAAAGAGCAGACACTGTAACGCATGCCCACTGGGGCCTCAGGAGCTGTAAACATTCACCCCTAGACACTGCCATGGGGTCAGAGCCCCACAACCTGCCCACATGCATTCTCCCCCTAGGGGGTTTGAGCAGCGGGGCACCAAAGAAGCCAGCAGCTCTCCCTGTCACACACCCTGCGAGGGGTACAAGGGAACATTTCCCTTTTCATAAGCATGACAGTGAAACTAAACAAGGACAAATCAAGAGGAAATCGTAAAAATCTGAGGGGGAGAAAAAATTATTCAGAGAGTGACAGTAAGCTTGGTTCTAAACAGCAACTATAGAAGCTGGGTACTAAGAAAAAAATCAACGTGGAAAGCTGTATCCCAAAAGGCAGTTTCAGACCCACACTCAATTGCCATTGAGAAAAAACATTGGAAAGAATGTCCTTCAGGAGGAAGGAAAGTGATCCCAGAAGTAATGCTTGTGATACAAGAAGGAATGGAGTAAAAATGAATTGGTAAATCGGTGAATAAATATTAGCAAATCACAACTGTATACAACAATAATTATGTGTGCAATTTAAAATGCAATTTAGAATAAAAATAAGTGACTTTGTCACAAAATTAGTTGAGAATGTAGTAAATGGTATCAAAGTTTTCTTTTGTTACAGAGGAATAACTTTTGCAGAGTACTGTTAATCATTGGACTTTGATACATTAGTATGTGGTCACCTTTGCATATTTCTTAATTTTTCAAATATGTAAATGCATATTCTAGTTTTAAAATTATAAAATTTTTCATACACAAACACACAAATATTACAATCAGTGCTAGAGAACCTATAAATATATGGCTAAATCATAATAGTGAAATTCTCTTATTTACGAATATTTGTTTAATTCTGAAGAGTAAATACATAGAATAAGCATTTCCTTGAATGTGTGTCATACAGTTTTTTCAAAATAAAATTGTGTGCGTATAAAAAAGTAAATTTGAATAACAATTAGACATTTAAAAAAAGTGATCCATAATTCTATTGTTGGTGAGAATTATGAGTTTTCAAGCAATTATAAGAAAAGAGTTAGAATTATGTGAATGCATATACATTTTTCAGAATAATTGAAAGGAACATTTTCCTCTATATAAGATAATATTCTAATAATAGCTTTTGACCATAGTACTTATTCATCTCTATTCATTTTATCATAATGGTAAAATAATGTATTTGCTCACAATGGCCTATATCATTAGAAATTAATGTTGGATTTACTGTATTCTGCTGATAAAAATGGAAAGGAGATTTTTTTTTTTTCTTTGAGACAGCATCTCATTCTGTTGCCCAGGCACAACAGTGGTGTGCAGTGGCGCGTTTTCCGCTCATTGCAATCTCTGCCTCCCAGGTAAAAGCGATTCTCGTGCCTCAGACTTCCCTAGTAGCTGGGATTACAGGCGCCCACCACAACTCCTGGCTAATTTTGTATTTTTAGTAGAGATGGGGTTTCATCATGTTGGCCAGGCTAGTCTTGAACTCCTGGCCTCAAGTGATCCACCCACCTTGGCCTCCCAAAGTGCTAGGATTACAAGCGTGAGCCACCGCCCCTGGCCAGATTTTTTTCTTTTTTTTGCCCAGGCTGGAGTTCAGTGGCGCAATCTTGGCTTGCTGCAACTTCCGCCTCCCGGATTCAAGCGGTTTCTCTACCTCAGCCTCTGGAGTAGCTGGGACTACAGGTGCGTGCCACCAAGCCTGGCTAATTTTTTGCATTTTTTAGTACAGACGGGGTTTCACCATGTTGGCCAGGATGGTCTCAATCTCCTGACTTCGTGATCTGCCTGCCTTGGCCTCCCGAAGTGCTGGGATTACAGGCATGAGCCACTACGCCCAGCCAATTTATTTTATTTTATTTTTAATTAAAACTGATAATAGCTCATCCTGGCTTCCCATGTTGGTAGATGGTTCATATCCATAAAAATATATTTTTATTGCTTCCTTCCACTTATCATGAATAGCGAAAAAATGGGTGAGATCCTAAATAAATGGCCAATAATTAGGGGGAAAATGTATATGAGGATGTGTTTTGATTCTTCTCAGGGAGGCAAAGAACCCCTCTAAGGGAGAGGTGGCTGAGGGGTCCACAGGGATGAGCCTAAAAAAGTTGATATGCACCACATGGGAAAATCGTAAGATACAAATATAGTTGGGGTTTTGGGGAACAACAAGTGCAAATACAGATATAAAGATGTAAATGAGTAGAACATAAGATCAGTTAACAGAAACAAGATTATGGAGTACCTTGTATATTTTCATCTATGCTGAGGAATTTTGTCTTAATTTGATAAACCACTGACTTTCATATTTCTAAAAATACAATATCTTGCACTTTTTAAATGCCATCATCAGTTCTCCTCATTCTGATTCATTTGGTTTGAAGGAGGACCCACAGAATTTGCATTTTTAAGTTTTGCACTGAGAGAAACATTGTTTTAGGTATTGAAAAACCATGAAAAGTTTTATAGTAGGGGACTGATATTATCAGATTTTTGGTTTTCAAGTATAGTTTGAGAGAAATAAGGCAGGGTTTACTAGTTATGAGGCTACTGGAAAAGGACAGGTGAGTGATAATGATGTCTTAAAAAATAATAGTGATTTATGACAAAGGCAGCAATGCAGTACATTGGGGAATGACAGTTTGTTCAATAAATGGTTGTTAATAAGCAAAAGTAGATATCTGAACTTCCATCTTTCAAATACAAAAATTTTTATCTCATATCATAAACAAAAATTATAATGTATTGAAAAACCTAAATATTATAGGCAGAACAATAAAATAAGGAGAATAACTTTAGGACTTTGATTTAAGAACAGACTTTTAAAATAGTATATACAAAGCTTTAAGAGAAAAAATATAAAATTGACTATATTAATATTAATACCTCTTGTTAATTCAAGACATCATTGAGAGTTGAAAAGGCAACCTACAGAGTAGGGGAAGCTATTTTTAATACACATATCAAGAATATATAACTTCTTAAAATTGATAAGGAAAATAAAGAAAACTCAGTTGAAATACGAGTTAAAGACTTCCTTTTGAAAAGTGGACATCTAAATGGCTAATTAACACACAAAAAGTTGTTCATAACGTAAGACATCAGAGAAATGCAAGGAAAACTTCAATGGGATAGCATACTACATCTACTGGAATAGCTAAAAGATATATGATAAAAAATGAAATGTTGGCAAGGACACTGAACAATCAGAATTCATACGCTGCTTGTGGGAATGTAGTTTTTTTTGTTTGTTTGTTTTGTTTTTTTTTTTTTTGAGACTGAGTTTTGCTCTTGTTGCCCAGGCTGGAGTGCAATGTCGCGATTTTGGCTCACTGCAAACTCTGCCTCCCAGGTTCAAGCAATTCTCCTGCCTCACCCCCCAAGTAGCTGGGATTATAGGCATGTGCCACCACACCCAACTAATTCTGTACTTTTAGTAAAGATGGGGTTTCACCATGTTGGTCAGGCTGGTCTCTATCTCCAGACCTCAGGTGATCTGCCCACCTCGGCCTCCCAAAGTGCTGGGATTACAGGCATGAGCCACCGTGCCCAGCCTGGGAATGTAAATATTTTACATCTACTTTGGAAAATTATTTGGTTCTATCTTTTAATCTGTACCAATGAATACTAATTCCATTCATGTTTATAAGCTCGACACAAATATATACAAAGGCTCAACAATACACAGATGTTATGTTCACAGAAGCACTATTCATAAAAGCTACAAAGTAGAAAAAAATCCAAATTCTCATCCACAGTTGACTATGGTTCATTCAGAGAATGGGTACAGGTTCCAGTAGCTGCATACATAGCCATTGTTGCTGCATACAAAACCATTTCAAATACACCAGAATAAAATAACAAACAATATGGCCATAGATACTGTGAATCAGAAATTGAGATAAGGCACAGCAGGGATAATTTATCCCTATTACATGATGTCTGGGGCCTCAGCTGGGAAGACTTGAATGGTTGGGGCTGACTTAAATGGCTGGAAACCAGAAGCTTTTGAATATTACTTCACTGGAGTGATTGATATCTAATTGGGATTATTCAGTTGGAACATTTGCATGTGACTTGGGCTTCTCTGAGAATTTCAGCTGCATTCTAAGAAGGGAGGATCCCAAGAAGGAGTATATGAGGAGCTGGTGTTTCAAAAAATAAGAACTAAGCTGCAGTGCTTCTTCTGATCTAGCATTAGAAGTCATAAGTCACACCCTATTCATTAAGCCACATTGCACTGATTACAAGAAAGTCATTAATGTCAGGATAATCCAAGTGGATAGGAATTGGATTCCATCTCTAGGAAGCAGCAAGCTCAATTTGAAGATCATGTGGGTTGGGAGACACTGTGTGGCCATCTTTGAAAACAAAATCTGCCACAGAGTACAGTGATAAGATTGACAACTATATCAATATAGATGAATCTCTCAAACATTCTGTTGAATTAATGAAACTAGACACAAAAGTGTGTATGTTGAATGAATTAATTTATACACAAAATATGAAAACGCAACACATTTATTTTTTATGTATCAGTATGGTGATTAACTATTGGAATAGTAATTGAAAGAGAACAACAAAATTATTTCTGAGGTATTTGTTATTTTTCTTTTATGAGTGCTAGTGACAAGGAATGTTTAGCATGTGAAAATTCATTAATTGTTCAGTTATGGTATAAGCTTTTTTCCTGTATATATATATATATGCAAAATATACATATATATGTATAATTTCAAAAAAGTTAAAATAAAAAGAAAAATTCTTTCAATTTATTTATATTCAGTATATATAGTTTTGTCAATATTTTGAGATCTTTTATAAACGTTTCTCTTTTTTTCAGTCATTGCTTTGCAGTGTCTTTATTTCTTCAATCACATATCTGCACAAAACTATTGCAAAGATGCATGCTACTGTGTTACACATAATACTTGAAAAACGACGCTGGTATAACTGCTTATTCTTTACTTAACACAAAATAATTGACTTCCAAAGGTAAAATTAGTCTCACCACTATTTGCTTCTACTTGTTAAAAAAATTAAAAGTTATTGAAAAAGGCATGAAGAATTATAATACATGAAGAAGCCATTATCTTTTAATGGTATTTATAAATATTCAAAAAGTTATTTTTCCAAGACATTTAGAAACTGCTATTTTTCCTTATAAATACTATTTTTTTCACACCTACCTCTAATCTTATGATAAATCATTTCCGTTTTTGCTTTAACACATATCCAGATTCCAACCGTTTTCTTCCACCTTCACTACTATTACTCTGACCTGAGCCACTGTGATCTCCCACTTAGTTTTTAAATAGTATCTTCTAGGGATCCTTGCTTAGTCCTTGCCCCTTGCATTCTAATTCATGACACAGCAGCCTGAGTGATGATCTTAAATCTATCAGATCATGTAGACTATGTTGTTCTTATGCAACTCATTTCCCAATGGCTTTGATGTCACTCAGAGTAAAAGTCAAAATTCTCAACAAAAGCAACAATGCCCTACAATACCTCATCTGCTCTCCCAACTTGTTCTCTTTGCTTTAGTGAGCTAGCCTTCTTGCTTTTGTAAAAAATGTTAGCCAAGCTCTTATCTTGGCTATTTCTGTTTGCATTTCTCTTTACATAAACGTTTTTCCTCAGCTCTTTGTATGACCTGTTTGTTCTCTTTCTTCTTTCTGGTATCTGCTCAAATTTCACCCTTTCATTGAAGCTCTTCTCTTGACACTGTATTTAATATTTCAAGCCTTTTTCAGTCCCCGTCATTGCTATTTGTTCAGTCTTTCCCTGCTTATTTTTTTCCCAAAGCACACATATTTTCACATATTTATTATTTATGCATGTTTTTGTATTGTACATCTCCTCTACCCCATTTTCACCCTTAACAGAGTGAATTCTATTTCCATAAAAACAAGATGTTTTAACTCTGTGTGTGTGTGTGTGTGTGTGTGTGTGTGTGTGTGCATGTGTGTGTGCGTGCACGCACAGGCACCTCAGGCCCTTTGCCCTTTCTGTATTCTCTTTCTGAAACAACTTTCTCTACTCACTGTTTTACGTCTCTTTTTCAACTTTCATGTTTAATGTTTAAGCTTAAATGTCATCTTCCCAGGGAATGTTTTCTTGGTCATTCTATAAAAAGTAGTCTGGCTTTCTACCTTTTATTTCCTATCATATTTCTCTATTTATTTCTTACACAGATCTTTAACATTATGTGGTTATCATATTCACTTAATTATTGAATTGATTGTCTTTCTAAATGAAATATAATCTCAGTGACAAGAACCTCATTAGAAATTGAATGTGTGAATAGGATGTGTTGAATAGATTTTAGCTGAATACTGGACTTTTTTTTTAACAGTTCCTCTTTATAGATAAAGCTTATATCTACATTTTTGAGTATATTTTTTATTATATCAGTAAAGAGAGCTGAAAAATAGGGTTTTGTAATAATTTTCTTTCTCATCATATGAAACTTTCTTTTCACTTCTACTTTTGGGAGTACACTAATTTATTTTTCGGTTGACATATTTCCTTCATAGAAAAAATAAATCTTACTTCACCCACAGGTCCAAGGATGAGCCTGCTAAATCCTGCAGTAATCTCCAAGTCAATTAACTACAAAAATTCCTTTAGCTTCAAGATTGGGGTATGGCTGACTCTGAGACGGAGAGATGAAAGAGAGGTTTGCTGGGAGCTTAGGCAAAAGAAGTTTTCTGTTTCCTAAAATAAAGCCACCAGAAGATATATCTCACCCTCATGAATTTGTGTTCTGTGATTGTGAAACTTTGACCTTCATCGTTAGATTGTTCTCATGAAGGACACCATTGTAGGAATGAACACAGAGGAATTCACAGGGAAAGATGTAGCCCAGACCTACTGGATATAGCTAGATTGAATCCAGTGACCTCTGGACTTTTAGTTGTGTGAGCAAATACACTTGTTTATTTTATCCATTATAGTTGGCTTTTCTGTACTTGCAGCCAAAAGCAGCATAACTGAAATTCAGTTTTCATTCTCATTCATTCTCATATTTAACACCACTTTCTGCTATTGTACTCAACTAGAAGATTCTTCCATTGCTTAGGGCTCATATTGATTTACATGTCACCATAGCTATTGGGGGAGGTGTTTTATGGTAGAGACCTCATGCCTATTACCTTCACATTGCTTTGAATACACATAATATTTTTTAGTGAACTTCCAAACATGAGACCCTAGTTCCTGTCATTATTACTGTTATTGATTAGTTTAGTGTCTTCCAGCAACTAAAATCAATTAAAAGTCAAAGGTAATGCTATTTTGTTCTTTATTCCACAGACTATTCACTGATGGGAGTTTCTTTCAGGTAGTAAAAGACCAATTTTAGAGTTTGTCTGCCTCTTTCAAAGTTGTGTAATCTTTCATCAGTAAATATTGATTCATTTTCAGTCAAGCTGGAAATGTTTTAGAGAGTAACTTTCAGTAAAATTAACCAGTCTTACAAGTCAGTAAAAGCTAAACATTCTTGGCAGTGCACTCCACTTCCAAATGTGTTGGAACTGTTCTCTCATATTACGCCTTCTGTATTATCATTGTTAACATACAGTGAATGTAGTACTTTTCCCTTTTGTAATACAGTAATAGATAAACAAAAGTATGTAATAACTTGACTATGATGTAATGGTATGTTCAATTTATTTCATGAAAGCAGGTAAAACTTGCCAACATATAGCATAATATTTTCCTTTAACTTATTTTCCCTCTGTTTTAGAGTATCAAAAAACCTTATTCTGCTGGCTCTGAGGCTACAGATAAATAAAAATAGGTTTGAAAATACTGTGGCTATTTTATTTACGAAAAACAATTTTTCCTGTTTACATTTTTTAAGAGAATTTATCTAAAATTAAATTACCTCTTAAAAGAATAATTAAGAGGATAATTAAGACAGGACATTTCTATACTTTAAGATGTTACATAACAACTAGAGGTTTAGATGAACAACATGAATATATTATTCAAAATATTAAAATGTTTTTTGTTTGATTTCTTTTTTTAATGCTTGATAGAACATATACCACAATCTCTCAGAACAATTTGTTACATCATCTTCTATCAAATATCCTCCTAATTCAACCAAAGTTTTTTTCTGTTTCACACTGGTTGGATACTCTTTAGCAAGATATAAATCAGACTGTTATCCTTCAAAATATCTTTATAAATAATGTATTATAATAATGCCATGTGTAAAAATATTGCTGTCTTACTATATTATTACTTTGACTCATTTTGAATGCATTGGCAGTTCTTTCATTATTGTGCGTATAGGTTTCTATTATAAAAACTTAGTTAAGCTTCATACGTAACTAAGAGTAGAGAAATGCACTTTTTTGTATGTATGAAATCTCAAAATTTTAGTTTATATTCTTAATTCTGGTACAAAATAAATATTAAATCCCATGCTTAAAACTATTCCCCTAAATCTCTAAGTCTAGTTGTCTTTAGAAGTAAGTACTTCTAAACAATTAGGAAGAAACAATACCAATCTTTCTCTGTAAAATCTCTATACCAAAACCTGAAAAGAACATTTCAAAACAATAATATTGTAGACAATCTCTCCTATGGATGGATATACAAATATTTCAAAGAAGATATTAGCAGAGTGAATCCAATCATATAGAACAAAAAGATAGCAGAAACAATTGTGTTAGGAATGAAAGAGACATTTTTATATTAGAAAAGTAATCAATGTAATGCGCCACAAGCAAATTTGATGATCATCTAGATAATTCAGAAAAGAAATGTAATAAAATTAGCATTAGTTTTTGTCAGATTTGTTGAAGATCAGATAGTTGTAGGTGTGAAGCCTTATTTCTGTGTTTTCTGTACTGTACAATTGGTCTATGTGTCTGTTTTTGTACCACCACTTTGGTGACTGTAGCCCTGTAGTATAGATTGAAGTTTTGGGTAGCATGATGCCTTCACCTTTTTTCTTTTTGCTTAGGATTGCCTTGCCTATTCATGTTCTTTTTTGGTTCCATGTGAATTTTAAAATAGTTGTTTTCTAGTTTTGTGAAGAATGTCAATGGTAGTTTAATAGGCATAGCATTGAATGTATAAATTGTTTTGGACAGTATGGCCATTTTAACAATACTGATTTTTCCCATCCATGAGCATGAAACATGTTTCCATTTGTGTCATCTCTGACTTCTTTTAGCACTGGTTTGTAGTTCTCATTGTAAAGATCTTTCACCTCCCTAGTTAGCTGTATTTCTAGGTATTTTATTCTTTTTGTGGCAATGGTGAGTGGGAATTCCTGATTTGGCCCTCAGTTTGACTGTTGTTGATGTATAGCAATGCTAGCAATTTTTGCACACTGATTTTGTATCCTGAGACTTTGCTGAAGTTGTTTATCAGCTTAAGAAGCTTTTGGGCTGAGACAATGGGGTTTTCCAGATATAGGATCACATCACCAATAAACACGAGATAATTTGACTTTTTCTCTTCCTATTTGGATACGCTTTTTCTTGCCTGAATGCTCTGGCTAGAACTTCCAATACTATATTGAATAGGAGTAGTGAAAAATGGGATCTTTGACTTTTGCTGGTTTTCAAGGGGAATACTTCCAGCTCTTGCCCATTCAGTATGATGTTGGCTGTGGTTTTTGTTATTTGTGAGTCTTATTATTTTGAGGTATGTTTTTTCAATACCTAGTTTATTGAGAGTTTTTAACATGAAGGAGTGTTGAATATTGTCTAAAGCCTTTTCTGCATTTACCGAGATAATCATGTGGTTTTTGTCTTTAGTTCTGTTTATGTGGTGAATCACATTTATTGATCTGTGTATGTTGAACCACCTTTGCATTCTAGGGATAGAGCCTACTTGATCATGATGGATAAGCTTTTGGATATGCTGCTAGATTAAGTTTGCCAGTATTTTGTTGAGGATTTTTGCATCAATGTTCATAAAGGACATTGGCCTGAAGTTCTGTTTGCTTGTTGGTTTTGATGTGTCCCTTCCAGGTTTTGGTATCAGGATGATGCTGGCCCTGTAGAATAAGTTAGGGAGGAGTCTCTTCTCCTTAGTTTTTTGGAATAGTTTCAGGAGAAATGATGACTGTTCTTTATTGTACATCTGTAGAATTTGGCTTTGAGTTTGTCTGGTCCTGGGCTTATTTTGGTTAGTAGGTTATTTATTACTGCCTCAATTTCAGAGCTCATTATTGATCTGTGCAGGGCTTCAATTTTCTTCCTGGTTTGTCTTGGAAAGGTGTATGTGTCCAGGAATTTATCATTTCTACTAGATTTTCTAGTTTACGTGCATAAAGGTGTTCAAAGTATTCTCTAATGGTTGTTGTTATTTCTGTGGGGTCAGTGGTAATATCCCCCTTGATATTTCTGGTTGTGTTTATTTGAATCTTTTCTTCTTTATCAGTATAACCAGTGGTCTATCTGTTTTATTAATTTTTCAAAAAAAACAGGTCCCGAATTTGTTGATCTTTTGAGTGTGTGTGTGTGAGTGTGTGTGTGTGTGTGTGTGTGTGTGTGTGTGTGTCTCCTTTGTTCAGCCTGATTTTGGTTATATCTTGTCTTCTGCTAGCTTTGAGGTTGGTTTGCTCTTGATTCTCTAGTTCCCTTAGTCATGGTGTTAGGTTGTTAAATTATGATCTTTCTAAATTTCTGATATGGACATTTAGTGCTATAAATTTCCCTCCTAATGCTACCTCAGTTGTGTCCAGAGATTCTGGTATGTTGCATCTTTGTTCTCCTTATTTTCAAAGAACTTCTTGATTTCAGCCTTAATGTCATTATTTACCCAAAAGTCATTCAGAAGCAGATTATTCAATTTTCATATAATTGTATGGTTTTAAGTGAGTTTCTTATTCTCCATTTCTAATTTGATTGTGCTATAGTTTGAAAGACTGCTTGTTATGACTTCAGTTCTTTTGCATTTGCTGAGGACTGTTTCACTCCCAATTATGTGATCAATTTTAGAGTATGTGCCATGTATAGATGAAAAGAATGTATATTTTGTGGCTTTTGGGTGAAAAGTTCTGTAGATATGTATCAGGTCCTTTTGATCCACTGCTGAGTTCAGATACTGAATATTTTGCCAATTTTCTGTCTATGTGATCTGTCTAATATTGTCAGTGGGGTGTTGAAGTCTTCCTATATTATTGTATGGGAGTCTAAGTCTCTTTGAAGATCTCTAAGAACTTGCTTTATTAATCTGGGTGCTTCTGTGTTGGGTGAGTATATATTTAAGAAAGTTAGGTTATATTGTTGAATTGAACACTTCACCATTATGTGATGCCCCTTTTTGTCTTTTTTGATCTTTTTTTGGTTTAAAGTCAATGGTGTCTGAAAGTAGGATTGCAACTCGTGCTTTCTTCTGTTTCCCATTTGCTTGGTAGGTTTTTCTCTATCTCTTTATTTTGAGCATATGTATGTCATTGCATGTGAGATGACCCTCTTGTAGACAGCATACCAGTGGGTCTTGGTTCTTTATCCAGCTTGCCACCCTGTGCGTTTTCATTGGGGCATTTAGCCCATTTAAATTTAAGATTAGTATTGATATGTGTAAATTTGGTCCTGTCATCATGATGTTAGGTGCTTATTTTGCATACTTGTTTAAGTGGTTGCTTTATAGTGTCACTGGTCTGTGTTGTTTAGTTTGTTTTTGTAGTGGCTGGTAACAGTCTTTCTTTTCCATATTTAGTGATTCCTTCAGGAGTTTTTGTAAGGCAGATCTGGTGGTAACAAGTTTCCTCAGCATTTGCTTATCTGAAAAGTATGTTATTTCTCCTTCACTTATAAAGCTTAGTTTGGCCAGATATGAAATTATAGGTTGGAATTTCATTTCTTTAAAGATGTTGAATGTTGGCCCCCAATCTCTTCTGGCTTGTAGAGTTTCAGCTGAGAGATCCACTGTTAGTCTGATGGGCTTCCTTTTGTAGTTGACCTGGCCTATATCTCCAGCTGCTTGTACTATTTTCTTTTTTTTTTTTTTTGTTTTGACCTTGGAGAATCTCATGATGATGTGTCTTGGGGATGATCTCATGGAGAATCTTACTAGGGTTCTCTGCATTTTCTGAATTTGAATGTTGGCCTCTCTAGCTAGGTTGGGTAAGTTCTCATAAATCATATTCTGAAATATGTTTTCCAAGTTGATTCCCTTCTCCCCATCTCTTTCAGGTACATGGACCAGTTGTAAATTTTGTCCTTTACCCAATCCCATGTTTCTCAGAGGTTTTGTTAATTCCTTTTTATTCATTTTTCTGTATTCTTGTCTGCCACTTATTTCAGAAAGACAGTCTTCAAGCTCTGTAGTGCTGGGATAACTGGCTAGCCATATGCAGAAGATTAAAAGTGGGCCCCTACCTTACACCATATACAGAAATCAACTCAAGATAAATTAAAAACTTAAATATAAATCCCAAAACTATAAAACCCCTTGAAGGAAACCTACATTAATATCATTCGGGACATAGACATAGACAAAAATTTCATGATGAAAATTGTAAAAGCAATTGCAACAAAAGCAAAAATGGACAAATGAGATTTAATTAAACTAAAGAGTTCTGCACAGCAAAAGAAACTGTCAACAGAGTAAATAGATAATGTATAGAATGGGAGAAAATTTTTGCAAACTATGCATTCAACAGAGTTCTAATACCCAGCATCTATAAGAAACTTAAACATGCAAATACATGGGACAGAGTGAGAAAAAGAGTTTATTATGGAATTTTCTGACAGTTTTAAAAATATTATACAAATATCTAACATATATGAAGAAAATGAAAATAACTACAAATTAATAAGCTAAAGGCAGCCAACCAAACAAAAAAAAATGACAAAAGATTTGTTTCAATACTTTACAAAAATTATTTAGGAGTTTTTAGAAAGTCAGTTGAGAGAGTTTGAAAGGAGAGGATGGATGAATAAAAACCTGCTTTTGGATGAGGAGGAAAGGACGGAACCTCAAGAAACGGTGGAAGCATTGTCCTTAGATGAAAAGAAGAAGAGGATTTGGGTTGTAAGAGGAAGAAGAAGATCTGAGTTGTAAGAAAAAGGAAGGGAAGGGGAAGATGGAGCTATGATTGATTCTAAGATTGATATGTTGGTGATGATCAGAAAGTTCTCTTTTAAGAGCTTCTCTTTTCAAAAAGGATGCTGTCTTCTGATGAAAACAGAATCAGAATGAGTGAAACATGGAAGTTTGAAAAGAGTGAACATCAACACTGGAAACTCAAGAGTGTGTTAAACAGAGAAAATTAATAGAAACCAGGAAACACTTAAGGTGTATTTGAAGTTTGTTGTCTTGAATTGATGTATTAATTAACTCTGGAATCAATTTACTGTATTTGGTGAACCCAGCTTTCAGTGGAGTTCTTCTTAATTTTCGCCTACTGTTCTACTTGTTCCAAATGTGTGTATCATGTATTTTTTCTTTTAGATTTTTCTACCTAATTAGCTTTGATTCTGTCATCAGGATTGATTTTGGCTAAAATAAAACACATATATGTCTTTTAGTGGCTTACCAATTAATTTTCCTTATACAATAAAAGGTCTCAAGATAGAGTTCTTTCAGTAGGGCGAAAATATCAAGGCTCTAGAGGGAGGTATATGCAAATATTTTGATTTTTCTTTCATGATTATAAGATGAATTCTGCAGTCCCAAATACTGTCTTCTTACCAAAATCTGAAGCAAGAAGGAAGGGACAGAAATAGAGATTTCCTATTAGTAAATAAACAAACAAAAGCTTCCCACAAGTGCCTTCTACTCTCCATCTTGATTTATTTTCTTAAGGCTGTCTCCAACTATGAGATTTTGTTTTTAAGAAATTGAGAGGAATGTTTACTTGATAACTAACTGGAGTATTTACTATAGTTCACCCTTCAATAACATTTTTGCAATGTCTTCAAGTTTCTTCCCTCTGTTACTTTATTGCATACATGTAAAAGCTCCAAAGCTGGGTATTTGTGACAAAATAAGAAGATAATAATCAGAAGTAGAATTTTTACCTATAACATAAATAGAGAGAAATGACAATTACAAGATTTGTTCATCAGAGCTAATAAGTGAAGCAAAGTAGAATAAAAGGACATTGGTGATGAGAAGGTCAAGGAAGTAAACATTAAAAAGCAAAATGATTACTAGACAGCTCCAGACAAATACAATTTTAAATTGACGTTTTCTTTTTTCTTTTTTCTTTTTTTTTTTGAGATGAAGTTTTGCTCTTGTTGTCCAGGCTGGAGTGCAATGGCGCAATCTTGGCTCATCACCGCAACTTCCGCCTTCTGGGTTCAAGCGATTCTCCTGCCTCAGCCTCCCGAGTAGCTGGGATTACAGGCATGCGCCATCACGCCCAGCTCATTTTCTGTATTTTTAGTAGAGATGGGGTTTCTCCATGTTGGTCAGGCTGGTCTGGAACTCCTGACCTCAGGTGATCCACCTGCCTCGACCTCCCAAAGTTCTGGGATTACAGGCATGAGCCACTGTGCCCGGCTGCTTTTTTCTTTTTTAAAATAATCATTGCACATTTTAAAAATTTAAAATATTTTAAAACAGAAGATTTAAAGAAGATTTATTTATTTCTAATTATCTATCTACTATTCTAGGCACAGTTCATGCAGAAGTATGTCCTAAAACTCCTCAAGCTGCACACAGACTAGGAAATATACATCAGTAAAAGCAGACAAATTGATAAATTTCCAGTCTTAAATCAAGAAAGTTTATTATATACACTTTTTCTATCAGATTTAATTCAATATAAAAATAATGATAAACCCGGAATAAATGTAGGAAAATCTAATGAACATATTATTATATTCTTGTAACAACTATTTCAGTTTCTTATAATGCTTTTATTTATATATACATATTTATCTTTAATTCACAAATAATTATATGTATTTATGGTGCACAACATGATGGTTCAATATAGTATAACTTGTGGGATGGCGAAATCAATCTAATTAATATATGCCTTACTTCAAATACTTTTTATTTTTTGTGGTAGCAAAAACTTGAAGAAGATATATAAACTTGAAGAAGATATATAGAGTGAAATGACAAACATCTATGTGCCCACTTCCCCACATATATGATCTTCATGATCTCTCTTTAGAATTAACCACTATCCCCAATTTTGCATTTATCATCTCCCCTGCGTGTCCTTATTATGATTTTATGTAAATAAATGTTTTCAAAGTATTCAGTTATATTTTATGCTACCACATTTTACTGAATATACTTATCTTCTTATCTTCAAATTGTTATTATCACTCTTTCATGTGAGATTTATCCCTACTGACAGTGAAAAGTTTAGTCCTTTTGTGGTAGGGTGTAATATATTTGCTACTTCTCCAGTAGATGAATTATTCCTGTCCTATTGATGTTACAAGTAGCCATTCAAGTTGTTTTGGGCAATGAAATGTGGAGAAAAGAATGCACATTGATGGTCCATCTTTGTAACTTCTTCCTGTCTTCCTTGAAAGGCTTGAATTGTATAGAGGGATCTCTATTTATTTCCATAGTGCAAAGGTAGGAGAACAGACCAGAGACTAACCTAGGATGTAGTGTAAGAGAGTGATACATATAGTTGTTGAAAGTAGTAAGGGTCATAGGTTACCACAGAATAATTTATCTCTGGCTGACTGATATTACTTAGTTTCATTGTTGTTGACTATTTTATTAAATAAATACACCAAACATTTTATTCACTTTTGTAGATTATTATGAACTATGCCCTTCACCAATTCATATGTCACAACCCTCACCTCCAATGTGACTGTATTTGCAGACAGAATTTTTAAAAGGGGAATTAAAATTAAATGAGGTTATAAGAGCAAGACCTTAATCCAATATAATGGATGTCTTTTAAGAGAAAGAAGAGACACCAGGTATGCATATGAACAGAGAAAAGGCCAGGCAAGGGCATAGGAGAAGGGAGCTGTCTGCAAGCCACAGGAGACACCAAACCTGCCACAATGTTGATCTTCAACTTTCAACCTTCAGAATTGTGAGAAAATACATTTCTATTGATTAAGCCATCAGTCTGTGGTATTTTATTTTGGCAACCCTACCAAACTAATAGATAAATGGACAATAAATTTTTGAGTTGTTTTCTAGTGTGAAAACTCGTTTGATAAACTTACTTGTTCATATTTTTTTGTGCAGAAATTTGAGAACTTCTCTTTCATATAAGCTAGAAGTAAAAACATTGAATCAATAGAAGCTGTATATTCAATGTAGATGTTGATTAACTGGCTTTGTTGGTTTACAGTCTTACCAACTTACATGTGAATTCCCGTGTTCCACACCATTGCCACTATTTGTTAGTGGTTAGCTCTTCAAAAACATGCAGTCGCTTGTTGATTTTAGTTAAGCTGATTCAGACAGCACATGTGACAAACATTATTGTATCTCTATTAATACATGTATAATGAACACTTCTGGTAGATACTTTCTATTCTGTGTGGAAGATATTAACATACTCTTATTGCCAAACTGAATGTGAGGGACCATAATTACCAGATGGAGTTTGCAAAACTCTCAGATTAACTAATTCTTAAAATGGAGTCAATCCTAGCATTTTGTGCTTTTATGCCAAAATTATCTGTTGAAGATATAAAATAGATTGATGCTAGATATTTACAATTGTGTAGTCAACAAAAATATTAACTCTTGATCATCAATAAAAATGTATTTTCTTATGAATACTAGATTTATGCTTGTCAGGCAAATCTACATTATTCAGAAACATTAAGTGAAAAGTAAATTTTGATTGGCATTTTACAAAAGTTTGTACAAAATTTAATTCACACAGTTTTTAATAACAACATAGTTTATGGAGATTTTCCATCACTGAAATAAAGAAAATTTAGAAAAATATTGTTGTTGCTTTCTGAATATAAAATACTTGAATCCCATGTAACTAATATATGCTGTCTAAAATTATCATAGTTCTGAAGAATATAATTAGAGAATTGGCACCATTTAACATCTACAAATTGAAAAAAGTAGCAGTAAAATTTAAATTACCAGTGGAATGTGTCCAGGTTCTTGGCATTTTGAACAAATAATTGGATAAAACACAAAAACAAAGACATGAAAGAAAAGCACATATTTATTGAAATGAATGTACACTCCACAAAGTGAGCAGGCTCAAGCAAGTGTCTCAAGAGCCTAGTTACAGAATTTTCTGAAGTTTAAATACCCTCTAGAGGTTTCTCATTGGTTACTTGCTGTATGTCCTATGTAAATGAAGAGGATGAAGTGGAGTTACAAAGTTATTTACTTGGTGTACACGCTATGCAAATGAAGAGAATGAAGTGAGGTTATCAAGTTATTTACTTTGTGTACACCCTAGGCAAATGAAGAGGATGTCTTCTGTCATAGTTGAAGTACAGCTGCAAAGTTATTTACTTGGCCATAAAAAGTCAAGTTTTCTCCCTTTGATTTAGTTCTAGGAAGTCCTTAAGTTCCCTGCCCCCAGAACCTATTCTCCTGCCTCAAGTTGAACAAATTCAACATGCAAGTACAAATCTCAAGTCAAAATTTACCTTTTAGTCTCACATCTGACAATTATTTATGGTGGTTACTAAACCTATGGAAACATAGAAATACCACTGGACACCTTAACTCCTCTGTTGCCAACAGGCATTACCTCATTATGTAATAGAATCAGGAATAAATTTTTTCAGACCTAGTAAAATGAATCAATTAGAAACCTGATGAAATTACAATGGAATTGCAAACAGATTAATCCTAATAAAATTCATGCAGTAGTGATACAATATAAAGTACTATAGCCTCTTATGTGACCAAAAAGAAGCATGATTTATAGCCTGTTTGTTGACTTAAATTTTAGTAGTCCAAATATAGGAGAAAAGAAAAAAAATGTGATCTGTCAAAAGAATAAGAGA
The DNA here is from genome assembly GCF_000001405.40 of Homo sapiens. Taxonomy (NCBI): domain Eukaryota; kingdom Metazoa; phylum Chordata; class Mammalia; order Primates; family Hominidae; genus Homo; species Homo sapiens. Next base: position 43,768,341 of record NC_000014.9, on the reverse strand, counting down.
AATATGACAATTTATGCTAGCTGTATACATAAACACATATTTTGCTATTTTGACTAAATAAAATATTTGAGATCATGTGTATGTTTATTACTATTTTGCTTTTGTTGCAGAAAAAAATGTAATAATTTCTCTGGTTAAGAAAAACAAAACAAACAAACAAAACATAAGTAGGTAGTTAAGGCACAGAATGCTAGTTGTGCCCCTAAGCATATTATCTCCTGATTGTTAGTTTTACTCAATCTGTCCTGCCTGTCCAATAAAAAATATATTTTCAAAATATTACAGAATTTTGCAAAAAGCATTACAGAAAATCATTGGTCTCATGATTACTGTGCACCTGAAGTGCAAGATAAATATTAGACTTTTTCAGACATAAAGTGAAAAATAACCATTGTCTATGCCCCCAAAGCCTTGGTGGTATATTTGGCAAGATGAAAGATATAATCATTTACATAAAAATTTGACTTAGTTCAAGACAGTAGAGTATAGACACTAGATATTTTCCTAAGTGTTTCCCAAGGGAACTTGAGTTAAACAATAGAGTGTTTGATGATCTGGATTTTAGATAAATTTATGTATATTGAAGAAGGACAATGTAGCTACAGAAATCATTTATAAAATTTTCAGATTATGTACATGTCAGAGACGGAGCTGTGGAATATGTTAGTGAAACTTCTGGAATAAATAAGATTTAATTTGATTGAAAAGCAATTAGATTTGTGAACAAAATCTTTAAGGGTGAAAATTACAATAAAAGACTACTGATTTTTCTAATTTCTGAGGAAGTATTGTAATAGAGATAAGGAGGATTTGACAAAGGTGTTTCAGTCAACAAAACAAAATGTCCCCCTCAATTTTACAAATTAAAGCTATTATTAAAATTTAATAAAATTTAATCAACTAGTCAGCCTGAGAAATTCCTTCTTTGACAATATTTTAAATTGTGTCTAGTATTAAGCATACCTTAAAATGTCCAAAAGCATCTGAAAGTTTCAGAAATACTATCAAGTCTAAGGCTATGGCTGGAGGTTTTGATTTAGAAGTGATGTAAAGCAATAATAGCCAGGCGCAGTGGCTCATGCCTGTAATCCCAGCACTTTAGGAAGCCGAGGCAGGAGGTTTGCTTGAAGCCAGAAGCTTGAGACTAGCTTAGGCAACAAAGTGAGGTCATGTCTATTAAAAAATAAAATAAAATAGAATAAAATAAATAAAATAAAATAAAATAAAGCAATATTAGAAGACTAGAGGTAGATAAAGTCATAGGAAGGGTTAAAATTGCCCAAATTAAAATATAAGGTCTTTGGAGAGATAAAGATCTGAAATTGGATTGGGGGTCAGCAATGACTTTTCACATAACAGATTCAGTGGCCCAAGGAAGGAACAAAAGAAATTGCAGAAAGGTTTAAATAAATTAAAGACCTCACACATTTCTTGAAACATTTTAAAATCTTTTCAAGTGAAAAGAAGAAGAATAGGTACTGTTTGGAGAATGAGTTTTAAGGGACTTTCTTCATTTTTCAGTAATGTCTGAGCTTGAATATAATTATTATAATTATGTTTCTTTATAAGTAAACATCACATAAAATGGACTTTTTCAAAGTCATAGTTAATAATAGAAATTAGTTCTTGAGACCACATTCTTCACTGTAGTGCTTCAGCTAGAAATTATTTTATTAACTAGTCCCCTAATTTGTTTTATTTGTTTTCCCCCATAGAATATAACTCCAAGAGACAGGGTCATGTCTGTTCACTTCAGTATTTTGTCCCCACTGATGAACGTATGTAGGCACAAATCAGATATTTTTTAAATAAATGATTTGCACATCCTAGGATAAGTTCACAATGGCAGAGTGTTTTAATTTCCAATGTTGTTCCTATTTTTTATAATGATTAGAAATATTGTAATACTTACGTTAATGAAATAATCTGGGCATGAAAAGGCAACTGCCACATGACCTCACTTATATGTGGAATCTAAAAAAGTTGATTTTATAGAAGTGGAGAGTAGATGGTGATTATCAGGGACTGAGGAGGAGGATAGGGGAGATGTTCATCAAAAGGTACAAAATTTCAGTTACATAGAAGAAATAAGTTCAAGAGATCTATTGTAAAACATGGTAACTATAGTTAATAATGTACTGTAGTCTCAAAAATGACTTAGAGAGTAGATTTTAAGTATTCTTACCTCAAAAATGGTAAGAATGTGGGGTAATGCATATGTGAATTAGCTCAATTTAGCCATGCCACAATGAATACATATTTTAAAACATGTTGTAGATGACAAAAATGTACCATTTTTGTTAATTAAGAAAATATTGCTAAAAATAAATATAAAATACCAATAACCATTAAAATCATTTGTATATTTTTTTCTGGTTTTTTGTATCATTCATTACATAAAACAGTGTAATTTCTCTCTGTGTGTATCAGTGATTTATACTATGTTTTGGTGAGATATCAAACAATCAGAAATTGCCAGCTGGTTATAATTGAGTTTTATATATCACTGATGCTCTAAGTCCACTGTGGACATAGTAGGTTGACAGGATAGCTCTTCTCATTAACTGAGCCTTATAGCAGCTTCACATCAACACACACCTCCAAGATCACTGTAGCAGAGGAAGCAGGGATGTAACTCACATATTTGCTCTTAAACCTCCCACATGTAACCCATACAACTTAATGCCTGACTAGTCACATTAGCTCATGTTTCATTTTCAAAAGCAAGGTTTGTGGTCATGACTACTTTCAAGAAAAGAATTAACTGCTATCCTACCATTTTTCTGGAACATAAAGACCTAGAACTATTTAGTAAATAGCAATACTGACTGTCAAGCACTTTCAGTTCACTGTTTGTGGAATTTGCTCTAATCATAGGAAATTTTAAAAATATTGGTTTGCATTACACAAATATGGTTGAAAAGCACAAGTGTAACAATTTATTCAAGTTATGCTTAAAAATATAATTTGCAAAAACATCACAATTCAATTTAAATCGCTAATTATAAAATGAGGCAATAAAAAGAATTAATATACAAAGATGTAATAGTCAAATTTAGCACAGTATATGCCATAGTGGTGAAAGATGCTAAATAGTAAGAGAATAGTTGAAAATTATTATCATAAATGTGATAATTGGTGATGATGCTGGGGATCCATTTTTTAAAATATGAAGAAACTACTTAAGTTTTTCTAATGACTTAATATCTGAACCAAGAAACCATGGTTGTACATGGCAATTGGGATTGCAGTGTTTCATTACGGTAAGTTGACTATGATTATAGTGATACAAGATTTATATATGTAAATACAAGAAAGAAAAATAAAATATTTGCTATTTCAGTTTTAATAGCAACACATTCTTTAATGTTCTAATGTTGTTTTTCATAAAAACATATTGAGAGAAAAATGTTTTTACATTGAGGGATTCAGAAGGAGCATAGTCTGCTCAGATGATTATCAGGAAATAAGCAATTATTATTTTAAATGAGTAAGCACAAAAAATCAATTATCATCTTACAGATAAACTGAAAACTAAATGTCATTATTATTTTCATTAGATCACTCCTCCTATTTTGTTCTCTATGCTCTTTTCAAATTTTAAAGGAGAGCTTCAGTGATTTGTGTGGAAATTATGATTAATAACTTCAACAGAAAGTTTTTTCTTTTTAAGTAAGTAGTCATTCAAATAATGAATCATGCTGAAATAGACCTATATGTCTTTACAGTTTTATGATTGCATAATAACTGAGGTAACTGTTAAAATATTATAGTTTCTAATCTGATTTAAAACTGTGTCTTTGCATTACATTCATTTGGATACAGAATTCATTTTGCATATCTGTTTCTTTTTCTGTCTTATCGTTAACACAGATTTAGCAGATAAATATGTCAAATTCCAGTCTTCAGTGAATAATTTATTATAGTTGTCTTTCATCCCTGGTAACATGAATTCTAATGTCATTTTTAAGAAATTAGAATTTTACCCAAATGTTCTGTTATCATTTATCTACATTTAATAATCTGAGCTATCGTTGTTCTTACTTATTGAAGTCTTAATTAAAGTCTTCAAATAATGAGAAAAGGTTTAAGGAAAATGTTCCTTTAGAGAGCCTAAAAAATGCTGTTTAGTGTTTAAATGTATTAATATTTCTGTATGACAGATTTCTCGAAGCAGTAAAAAATACCAATTACAGATTTTTTAATACAGAAACAAAATATATTGTTACTGATTAGTTTCCTTCAGTGAAATTTTCACAAGACATTCTGAATAAATTAGTAATGAGGAGCCAATGGTCTTCATTATAATATACTTATTTAAAAATTTCAACAGTAGGAATATTGTGTGAAAGGAATACAAAATTATTCTGTCTCAAATAAAAATGTTTGTTATTTTCCACCCATACAATACAAAAATTTACGTTTCTAACTTGGCATAAAAGGTAAAAATGGAGTTCATATTTTACATCTCAAGAAGGGGTACAACGTGTTGAACAAATATTTTCATTAGATTTACTGCTTGGCTTATGTTCACTGATATTTTATAAGTTATCTTTATTATATATCTAAGAAAACTTATTTAATTCTCATCTGTCTTCAAGATATATTTATACATTTATTTTGTGAATACAAAAACATGAATAAATCAGATTTCTATTATCTGCAAAGTAATCAAAGTTTGTGACTGTGTGACTGTATATTATTCTGAAAACATAATATAGACTAATGTGATTGTTCCTGAAAAGTTCCCTTTTCTCTCTTTTTATGCTGAGTTCCATGAATATTGTTATTCTCCATTTATTTCTAAATCATATTGGTATCAGAAGGTATAACATATGTTTTCATTTATATAGCAAAATATTTTAATAAATTTCCAGTGATATTAAGATTGTTATATAGGATAATATATCTTTGAAAGCTATAAAGTGGTACACATGTTAAGTCATATTATACATAAAGCAAATAACTGAAATTTAGGATTCATGGAAATAGTTCATACTACAACTGGAAAAATAGAATAGTCTATGCTAAGATGTTCATCAAGAAATAAATTATTAATTCAGATAGATAAAAATATCAGTTATAGACTTAGATCAAAAGTAAAAATGAAATATGATTATTATCTCTTAAGATTTCTCCTCCTCTTTTGCCTCTTGTGCCAGCTCTGTAAATTTTCACAATGATGTGATAGATGACTTTAAGAGCTTGCTCTTTTTTTGTTTGTTTTCTAATTTGTATTTTGTCCTGAATTATTTATCAAACTATTTCCATGACTTCAAAGAAACTTAATGAATACTTCCATGCTATATGTTGTTCATTCTTCTCCAAAACCATAATTGGCAGATTGTCAGGGAAAATACTATTACCCCCATCTTGTAACATTACTGATATGGCAGTTTTAAAGCTCTTGCAGCTTTCAAGATATGTGACAGAATATTTTATCATTAGGCTATTGGTAAAAATAACAATTGAAGAATGAAAGTTTTAGAAATATATAGAGTTTATAGGAACATATGTAAGATGACTGTTGATAATTGACAACTGTAAAGTTTCAGGGGATTTGTAGACAGAGGCTGTTAGTGAGGTTATTAAAAATAAGTTGCCTTCAGTGAAATTACTTACAAATAAGTAAAAAGATGGTTAGATGATTTGTTGTTACTATTTAATAACTTGTTTCAAAAAAGGTTAACCCTTATTCCATCACTAAGATTTTGTAACAGACATGTGCAGGTTTGTTATATAGGTAAACTCATGTCATGGGGTCTCACTGTATAGATTATTTCATCACCCAGGTATTAAGCCTACTACCCATTAGTTATTTTTCCTGATCCTCTCCCTCCTTCCACCTTCCATGCTCAGGAAGGCCCCAGTGTCTCTTGTTCTATGCGTCTATGTGTTCTCATCATTTAGCTCCCACTTATAAATGAGAATATGTGGTATTTGGTTTTCTGTTCCTGCTTCATCCATGTTCCTACAAAAGATATAATCTCAATCTTTTTATGGCTGCATAGTATTCTATGCTGTATATGTACCATATTTTCTTTATCCAGTCTATCATTGATGGGTATTTAGGTTGATTCCATGTCTTCGCTATTGTGAACAGTGCTGCAATAAACATACACATGCATGTGTCTTTATAACAGAATGATTTATATTCCTTTGGATATATATCCAGTAATGGGATTGCTAGGTCGAATGGTATTTCTGTCTTTAGGTCTTTGAGGAATTGCCACATTGTCTTCCACAATGGTTGAATTAATTTACATTCCCACCAACAGTATATAAGCCTTCCATTTTCTCCACAACTTCACCAGCATCTGTTGTATTTTGACTTTTTAATGATAGCTATTCTGGCTGGTGCAAGATGGTATCTTGAGGTTTTGATTCGCATTTCTCTAATAATAAGTGATATTGAGCTCCTATTCATATGTGTGTTGGCCACATGTGTGTTTCCTTTTGAAAAGTGTTTATGTCTCTTGCCCACATTTTTATGTAGTTGTTTATTTTTTTCCTGTAAATTTTAGTTCTTTATAAATGCTGGACATTAGACCTTTGTTGAATACAAAGTTTGCAATTTTTTTTCATTCTATAGGTTGTCTCGTTATTGTTGATAGTTACTTTTGCTGTGCAGAAGCTCTTTAGTTTAACTAGATTCCATTTGTTAATTTTTGCTTTTGTTGCAATTGTTTTTGGCTTCTTTATCATGAACTCTTTGGCCATTCTTATGTCCAGAATGGTATTTCCTAGATTGTCTTCCAGGGTTTTTATAGTTTTGGGTTTACATTTAAGACTTCAATCCATCTCGAGTTGATTTTTATATATGGTGTAAGGAAGGGGTCCAACTTCAATCTTTTGCATATGGCTAGTCAGTTATCCCAGCATCATTAATTTAATCGAGAGTCCTTTCCCCATTGCTTGTTTTTATCAGGTTTGCCAAAGATCAGATGATTTTGGATCTGTGCCCTTATTTATGGGTCCTCTAATCTATTCCATTTGTCTAGGTGTCTGTTTTTGCACCAGTACCATGCTATTTTGGTTACTGTAGCCTTGTAGTATAGTTTGAAGTCAGGTAGCATAATGCCTCCAGCTTTGCTTTTTTTGCTTAGGATTACCTTGGCTATTTGAGCTGCCTTTTGACCCCATATGCATTTTAGAGTAGTTTCTTCTAGTTCTGTGAAGAATATCATTGGTAGCTGGATAGGAATGGCATTGAATTTATAAATTGCTTTGGGCAGTATGGCCATTTTAACAATATTAATCATTCCTATCCATGAGCATGAAATATTTTTCCATCTATTTATGTCATCTCTGATTTTTGATTAGAGTTGTGTAGTTCACAATGCAGAGATTGTTCACTCCTTAGTTTGCTGTATTCCTAAGTATTTTATTCTTTTTGTGGCAATTGTGAATGAGACTGCACTTCTTATTTGGCTCTTGGCTTGACTGTAGTTGCTGTGTAGGAATTCCAGTGACTTTTGTACATCAGTTTTGCATCCTGAGACTTCACTGAAGTTGTTTATTAGTTTAAGAAAAAGGTCAGGTCATGTACAAAGGGAAGCTCATCATCCTAACAGTAAATGTCTCAGCAGAAACCCTACAAGCCAGAAAAGACTGGGGACCAATATCCAGTGTACTTAAAAAAAAACATTTGATAAATGTACAGATAAGTTATACATACAAATGACTTAGAAAAATATCAGTATTGGCTTGGGTATTAAAATATATGGAGAATTCGAATATATAGCAAAAATGGCACATAATTTAGGGAAAGGATTAAAGTAAGTTAAAAGATTCTAATGCCCTAGAGTTGTTTAGGAAAATATAAAAATAAAAATTTATATTAGATTTTAATGAGTTGTGTGCATAGTGTAATATCTAATATAACAATTATAATAATAGTAAAGAGTATAAATATGTCACTAGAAAGGTAATGTTAAAATTAAACTAACATATAGACAAACAAACAAAAACCTCAATTCAAAAGGAGAGCAATATTTTTTTCTAAATAACACAAACAGGAACAATAGTAATACTAAATGGTGTATTGAGATACATATGTTTCAATAATTGCATTAACTATAACTCTATGAAGACATAAAAGATGAAATGGAATTATATGCCACTAAAAGCAGAAGTAGAAAAATCCACCAGTGTAGTGTAATCATTTCTACTAATCTTTCTCAGTATCTTCATTTTGACTTAGGATATCAAACATGTTTATTCATACAAGAATTCAGAGGAAGAAAAATAATTTTTTAGAATAGGAAAGTAAGTATTATCAGTTTTGAGATATAAACTCACATTGTGACAAGAGATGAGTTTATATTTCTCATTTACACCAAATCTTTTCAGAAAGAAAATCAATCAAATATTGAGGTAAAGAGATATGAATAATTTTTAGATTCATTCTTTAAAACCAGCCACAGGCCTGAGTGATTTCCTCAGTACAATATCTTGTCTAAATTTTGTTCACAGTATCAAAGTTTATCTTGTCAACACCCCAGGATAGCCAGAGGATACTAAAACTGAATCCACCCTTTCCTCTCAGTGCATCAGGAGTTGGAAGAGGAGAAAAAATCCTTTAAGGTTGAGGCTACTTAAAACTGTGAAATTTACTAGGTGCAAGGGAAGACAAAGTAGATTAATGATTTGATTATGTGTTAACGAGGTAGTTATAAATTCCTGGATAAATGTTCAGTTAAGAAACACAATGAGGGAAGGGTTTAATGGTGACAAGAAATATTCATCACAAATGATATAATCAATCAGACTCAAAGGAACTATGATTAATTTTTACTCTGAAATATCATGACCTATGAGAAGAAAAATGAAAAGAACGGCCTTAGTCTCTATGGACTGCTGTGACAGAATACCATAGACTAAGTGGTTCACAAACAACAGCAATTTTATTTCTCACAGTTCTATGGGCTGGGAATTCCAACAGTAAGTTGCTGGCAGACTCAGTGTCTGGTGAGGGCCTGCTTGCTGGTTCATAAATGGTTATCTTCTTGTTCTGTCCTTACACAGTAGAAGGGATGACAAAGCTTTCCAGAGGATCTTTTATAAGAGCATTAATCTCATTAATCAGGGCTCCACTCTCATGACTTAATTACCTCCCAAAAGTTCCACCTTCTAATAACATCATATTGGAAGTTAGAATTTCAACATGTGTTTTGGAGGGACACAAATATTCAGTCCTCAACAAGACCTACTATAGCAATTTAACAAACTTCGTTCTCACCCCTTCATTAGCTTTCCCTTTATCCAAACATACAGATTGCCAGAACCTTGAAGCATATTTAATCAGAATAGTCATATATGATGTGTACAAGTTCATATAGTCAATGCATATCTATATCTGTAAGGTCAAAGTAAAAATCACTTTGGTGGCTAAATATTAAGATATACATATTCATAATTTATTTAATAAATATCATATTAGGAATTTTTATTTTTTCCCTTGTGTAATTAAAAATGGACTAGGCTAATAAATATTTCTTTGAATCTTCAATTAAATCCTTAGTTATCAAAAATATCTTCCTAAAATCAATTGACATATAGTATGTCATTTCCTTTATCTGTCAGGATAAGGTAGTTCATGACACAGTAATAGTATAATCCATTGGTTTGTGTGCCAAAACTGTCTTTTGCTGAGTGAGGCTGCATCTCAGCAAATGCTTTATGTATTCACCATGATATAGAAATATATTCATTGAAAATTGCACTCATATTCTTAAAATCTCTATCGGAAAGCGTCAGTTATCCTTTTTCACTTGCCAGCTGTTGCTCTAAGCAGCTCACATGGTCACCACTAACTTCAAAATTTTATGAATCTAAAGAAAAAGACAGAATACTTGTCTAGAGTCCTAATTATTACCATATTTCTCTTTGAAAGACTTTGCATTATTCTCTTTCCTTTTTATTTAGAATCCTATTCTAGTGTGGTCCCTAATTACTTTCTGACCTCCCGCCTTTTTATTGTCCAAACACTTTCAAAACTCCTTTGCTTATGTTATCTACTCAGTCTAAAATTCACTTCTCTCATTTTCACCTTTGGAAATACTTTTCATTCCTTTCTACTTTCAAATGTTATTTCACTTGATAACCATTCTTAATTGTTCAGTCTCCTTGCAGCCACAATTAAAGACTTCCCTTTATTTGGGTATTTCACACCTTGTTAATTATGCATCTCTGCAGCACTTCATTCTGCCTTGAATTGTTAGTCATTTATCTGTTACCTTGTACTATTTGAATTAGAAACTTAGTTTTACTCCACAATTTGTAGTACAATGCTTTCTAGAAAGAAAATGCATAGTAAATAATAATTAAATAAAATTGAATAGAGGCAAACATTATACTGTTTTATATTAGATTGAACCATTTGACATTACTAATATTTTATTACTTTATTTAACCTACAAAAATGGCACTTTATGTGGTACAACCTAGTATATATTAATGTCCCCATACCAGAATTAGTGTGCAGTATTTGATACATTTTTATATATTCGTATTTGTATTGAATTTTAAAAATTGAGAAAAGAATTTGCAGCAGAAAATATAAAATATTTGAACATCCAAAATGAAGAAATTAATCATAATTACTTCATTCCCAAAACAAAAATTAGAAAAAAGTGGTTAGTTGTCATAGAAATTAAATTACTATAAAAATCAAGACCTTTAAATTTAATGACAGTAAAATCTGTAGAATGAGAAAAATATACTATGCAAATGTATTGTCACTGTCATTCAATTATTAAAATTGGCTATTTGTATTAGAGACATTATCTTATATTTTTAGATTGTATCTGATGGTATCATAGACAAATTACATTTTTTTAAGTCTACAATATTAGAGATTCTCCTGTATCGGAAGTAACATGAATGTTAAAAATAATAAAGTCACTATTTTTTCTTTTAATTTTTATTTTTAGTTCTGGGATACATATGCAGGATGTGCAGGTTTGTTACATAGGTAAAAGTGTGCTGTGATGGTTTGCTGCACCTATCAACAAATCACTTAGGTATTAAGCCCAGCAGGCATTAGCTATTTTTCCTAATGCTCTTCCTCCTTCCATCCAACCCCCCGACAGGCCCCAGTGTGTGTTGTTCCCCTCCCTGTGTCCATGTGTTCTCCTTGTTCAGCTCCCACTTATAAGTGAGAACATGCAGTATTTGGTTTTCTGTTGCTGCATTAGTTTGCTGAGGATAGTGGCTTCCAGCTTCACCCATGTCTCTGCAAAAGGCATGATCTCATTTCTTTTTATGGCTACATAGTATTCCAAGGTGTATATGTACCACATTTGCTTTATCCAGTCTATCCTTGATGGGCATTTGGGTTGATTCCATGTCTTTGCTATTGTGACTAGTGCTGCAGTGAACATATGTATGCATGTATCTTGGTAATAGAATGATTTATATTTCTTTGAGCATATACCCAGTAATGGAATTGCTGGGTTAAATGGTATTTCTGGTTCTATAAATACCAGAAATTGCCACACCGTCTCCCACAATGGTTGAGGTAATTTATATTACCACCAACATTGTAAAAGCGTTCCTGTTTCTCTGCAACCTCGCCAGCATCTGTTGTTTCTTGACTTTCTAATAATCACCATTCTGACTGGTGTGAGATGGTATCTCATTGTGGTTTTGATTTGCATTTCTTTAATGATCAGTGATGTTGAGCTTTTTTTCATATATTTGTTGGCTGCATGAATGTCTTCTTTTGAGGAGTGTCGGTTCATGACTTTTGCCCACTTTTTAATGTTTTTTTTCTTGTAAATTTGTTTGAGTTCCTTGTAGATTCTGGATATTAGACCTTTATCAGATGGATAGATTGCTAAAATTATCTCCCACTCTGTAGGTTGTCTGTTCACTCTGATTACAGTTTCTTTTGCTGTGCAGAAGCTCTTTAGTTCAATTACAGCCCATTTGTCAATTTTTGCTTTAGTTGCAATTGCTTTGGCAATTTCATCATCAAATCATAAAGTCACTAATTTTTATTAGCTGGTACTATTTTTTCTTACACATTTATTTTCTTTCTTTCTTCTTTTTTTTAAGTAAGCAAATCACGTTCTATTTATTTTATATGGTCAAATGGTATAAATTACCATACAAAAAACTTAAATATTTTTAGATATTTTTACCTAACCAGAGAATAATTATAAAGAATATAAAAACTATTAAATGTAGCCCTATAATATTAAAGTCATAAACTGTCATTGCTTTGGAAGATATAAAGTAAAAACTGAAAAGTATGATGATTTTATGTACATGATTCTTCTGTTCTTACACTTCTGTGACGATTGGAAAATTAAAAACTGCAAAGCAGTTTATGCTGTTTAAAAGCAGATGATATATGAGTCACTTAAGTCACGGAAGTGCTACCTGTCATTATATCTCCCACACCACTGAGAGAAATTAGGTGTTTGAAAAGCTGTAGTGCGCCTTTTACTTGAAATGCGGAGGCTTTAATTTCCTCTCTGTGGAGTAACTGTAATGTGATGATGCCTGTCTGTTTAATCTGAATATGATATTCTTTCTTTATAAAAGTAAAATATAAGATCCGAAGAAGTCTTTTTTTTCAATTTGCGTTATACAATCCATTAAAATATAGCACTTCCAAACATTCCCATTATATGCAAAAATATGCCAGTTTCCTGTATTTTAAATCTCTATCACAGGACATTAAAAGGGACTTATTCTTCCTCAGTGTCTATTGAAATGTCAGTGAGACACAATTAGATACCAAAATGATAGTGAGACCAATCTGCATACAGAACTTTTTAGAGAAAATGTTACACCACTCCTAAGTTATAGCACCTCCCTCAAGAATATAAGACAGATGAAAATTTGGCAAGGGGAGATTTTGTTAAATAATTCTATAAGCCCGTTACCCTACTGATCAGGGCTTGGAAATATTTAGAATATGTAAGTATATTTGTTGCAGTATAGTACAAGGACTCATTCCTGAGCCACATCTTAAAAAGTTACAGTGGAATTGTGGATGTGGGTCTGAATTGTGTCACCTTAACCCATTCCTTCAAGAATTCTGGGGTGGAAACACAATGCCACAGGGCCCAGTGCCTTAGAAAAGAGACCAGAGAGCTTCCAGAGTTTGTTGGATTGGTAAATGTTTCCAGTGGATCTTTTGCCCATTGTGGGGTTTCTGTGAACCCTTTTGAATGGGAATTTCTGTTAGGGTGAGTCAACCTTAGCCAAAGAGAATGGATGTATTGCACCAAACATGCAGTGAATGACAAAGGAGAAAGAAGTTACGCATTAGAATAAAAAGGCAGGCATTCTCATAAGGAGGCTGCTGGGGAGAGGTTTTAGGCAAGAATCACTAAAGAATTACAATTAGCATAATCCTATGCAGACTCATTAGGAACCCCAGCTTTCGCCAACCATTAAACGTGGAGCATTCTAGGCTACCTAGCCAAAAAGGTACTGTCCTCCTGCTCACCTATTTGTACTCTGCATACCCTCATAGCCTGGCTGAAAGTAAAACAACTAAAGTGAGTTCAGGATTATTGGCTAGGGAAAGAGGAGCACAAGAAAGCAAATCTGCCCCAATCCCTTTCCCACTTCAGATGTGCCAAGCTAAAGAGGCCAGATAAGAAGAAAGAAGAGTTAATTTTAAATCAATTCATAACATCGAGATGTAAACATACATGCAATTGGATATGCTAATTACTATCTTGAGGCCTATTTTTTGTTATTAAAGGGGCTTTTTAATATTTGTAAATTATATCAGGAAAGTAATTGTCCTGTAATAGTGTACACCCAGGGTCAGGGCAGATTATAGCATTAAATATGTTAGAAAGAACTGTAGGAGGTGAAACCCAAGTTGTGTTTTGATTTAAATTTTCCTGTTATTTTATATATATTTATATTTATACATATTCAATGTGCATGACATTAAAGACGTTTTTATAAATGTAAGATAAAATAAATTAGGTATTTTATTTCTTGTAACACAAGAAAACTTCATTTATTGATATTCTTTTCTATCCAATTGTCTCCATTAAAATCTAATAGCACAGAATTGAGAACTGATCTGAAGAAGCAGCATAAATTGACTGGCAGCCTTGTTGATGGAGATTCTTTTACTCTAAACGTATTTCTGTAAGATACAAGGGCTATCAATGAATAGTGAAGTCTTGGGATTGTTTAATCTCCATTTGTTTTTCTTTCTTGCATCCAAGAAATAATTTTATAATTACATGTGTTAATTTGAATTAAGTTTTGTCCCAAGCATGCCTCCACATTTGAGTCTTTATGTAACAAACTACAACCGTTTTTAGTATGTAAACTAACTGAAAGCCTAATTTAGGGGAATACTTTCCTAAGAAATAGCTGAGTACCAGCCTTACAGTCACTCATAGGCAGCCAGCTGATTCAAATATGGGAAAATGCTGAGCTGTGACCAGGTAAGCCGTCTCTATATGTCACTTCTGTTTTCTGTTCATAAATGTTGTCTGACTGTGTTGCAGCCCCAGAGTTCTTGGAACTCCAGTTCTGAGGGCTGCTCGATTTGTGAATCACTTTTTATCTTAATGAAACTATGCTAAACTTAACTTGTCTAAGGTTTTATCCTTTTTATATGTGTTTCCATGACTCTTTGAGTCCTACTCCATGTCCAGGTAGTAGGGTGAATATGGGCCACCTGAAGATACTAGGTCTTAATCCCTAGAACCTGTAAATGTTACCTTAAAAGTAAAAGGGGTCTTTGCAGATGTGATAGTTAAGGATCTTGACATGGAGAGATAATCTTGGATTATCTGCATGGGTCTTAACTGTAATCACAAGTAACCTTATAAGAAAGAGGCAGAGGAAGATGAACACCCACAGAAGAAGAGAAGGCATGTGACTACAGAAGAGAAGTTGGATTGAGGTGGGGCAGCGGGCACAAGCCAAGGAATGTTAGCAGCCACCAGAAGCTGAAAGAGGGAAGGAATAGTTTGTTTGTTTGTTTGTTTGTTTAATAGCATGGGAAGGAAACTTGTCCCTGCTGACTTGATTTCAGCTCAGGTGGCTCACATCTGTAATTCCAGCCCTTTGGAAGGCCAGGGCAGAAGGATCATTTGAGCCCAGAGGTTCAAGACCAGCCTAGGCAATATAGTGGGACCCTGTCACTATAAAAAAAATAAAATAAAATAAAGAAAAAAAAATTAGCCAAGCATGGTGGCACACACCTGTAGTAGCAGCTACTCAAGAGGGCAAGGCAGGAAGATCCCTTGTTCCTGGGAGGTCAAGGCTGTGGTGAGCCTTGATTATGCCACTGAACTCCAGCCTGGGTGACAGAGTGAGACTCTGTCTCACAAACAAACAAACAAACATAAACTGTTTTCTGGCTTCTAGTTTCCAGAACTGTGGGAAAAGAGATTTCTGTTGTTTGAAGTTGCAAAGTTTGTGGCTATTTGTTATAGTAGCCACAGGAAACTCATGCCGCTCTCTAACTTTTATGATCTGATCTCTCGCTCCTCTCACTACTTTTTCTTTTCCGTTATTCTAAGATCCATAGCTAAAATTGACCTCAAGGGCTATTTATTCCAGTGGCTATAAAATTGTGTTTCTCAAAGGCCTATAGTTTCTGTAGAGCGTTGGTTGAGACTGAATGAAAAGACTTATTTTTAATAATAATAATAATACTTGAAGTCTGGAAAAGTCAGTGGGCATCCCAAGTTTAATACTATTAGTGATTTATACCACAACCCTTCCTTCTCATCTTTTGTGTGAAGAAAGCCCTGATTTTTAGAAGTGTCCATCCCTCAGACTCAGTATTAGATCCTGAAAATTTCAGGTCACACATTCCCTCTGTGAGGGGTGGGCATTGGGATGGATAAGTGACCTAGTTTTAGCCAAAACTATGTGAAGGGAGGAATGCTTGGGGTGGAGAGTAATGGTGATATATGAAGAAAAGGTCATTGCAGAAAAAAATATACACACACACAGAAGTGCGTGTGTGTATCAGTGTCTGGAACTGCCACAGCTATCTTGTCAATAGGGCAATTATTATAAGGATCAAAGTTGATACACTATAGATGGCAGCACAGAGAAATGGAAAGAATCTGGACCAAGTATTATATCATTGAGTCAACAAATTAATGCACCACGAGAGGTATAAACTTACTTTTAAACCATTTTGAGTTTGTTTTTTCTGAGTTGAAGTTTCTGAATTGAAAAGAATAATGTTATTTTAAAGTATATTTGCACACGTAGGCCAGGTGCAGTGTCTCACACCTGTAATCCCAGCACTTTGGGAAGCTCAGGCAGGCGGATCACAAGGTCAGGAGATCAAGACCATCCTGGCCAACATGGTGAAACCCTGTCTCTATTAAAAATCCAAAAATTAGCTGGGCGTGGTGGCACATGCCTTTAAGCCCAGCTACTCGGGAGGCTGAGGCAGGAAAATCTCTTGAACCAGGGAGTCACAGGTTGCAGTGAGCTGAGACAGCACCAAAAAGAAAAAAAAAAAAAAAATATATATATATATACATGTAAAACATGAATTAAAATAATTATAAATAAAACTAAGTCAAGGAAATAAGTTCCCTTTAAGAATTTTTAGGATGTTAATATTTATACCATCATCATAGTAACAGCTATTAGCCTAATATTTGTTGAGTACACATAAATATGCAATACAAAGATAATATACAATCTTTATTAATAAAAGAAGGCAGAGATGACAGGAAAGTTACTCTATATAAAGTATTTACATGATGAGAAAAATCACTGCTCAATGTTTAGTGTCCTGGGAGGAAAACGACTAGGAAAGAGTACCTCATTAAAAAAGTTTTTTTGCTGCTCGTTTTTATAGCTTCTATTTCTATAAGTAAATACTGAATACATTAGACATTTGGGAAAATTAATAATGTTTCCAGGCCTCCTACGTTTTCAAAAGTTACTATAAAACAGAATAAAACAGTTTTGAAAAACAAATCTTGCAAGATGTTCTGTACACACACATAACATATACAAAATGTATTTTGACTTACAAGTTTTATTGCAGGAAGCCATATTTATTTTAAATATATAACTAATCTTTGTCTGAGAACACAATACTTTTTAATAAGAAGAGTATCAAGGGAAAAATAAGATACGGGTGTTAGGAAAACAGAAAACAGGAGGATATGAGGGTTAGGGGGACATCGGTTTAAAATCAACTCCATCTTAAAACTAGCAAGGCACATTCCTTGCCAGTCAAGACTCATGGTATAGATGTTTATGGCTGAGGAAACAGCCTAAAGATAGCTGCAAGGACACACTCCAGTAACAACAGAAAGTCAAGAAATCCCAATACCCACAACAATATATACTTTCAAGATAATTATAATTATGCTTTGATGTACTTATATATGAAAATGCTACGGATAACTTTCTTTCATATCAACAAAGTACTAAATTTTGTCAGACAGCCCACAAACATGTAGACATGGCTTAGCTTTTACATAGATAAGACTACTATTTGAGAAGAGTTTAAAACAAAGATAGCGTTTTCTTCCTCTTGCTTTCTGAGAACACCCTATTCTGTATCTAGTAGCTTTTGATAAACTCTCTCTTCTCATTGGACTCTGTAACTCACTCTGAATTCCTTCCTACATGAGATCCAAGAACCCTCTATTGAAGTTTGGATTGGGACCCCTCTTTCCATCAACAAATATACTGTTTTCTCTTTCCTTTGGTTGTAGAATTGTTTTTCTTTTCTAGAGAAGAAATGTTTATGCATGAGTCATATCAAATACTTTACAATATTAGGCGCATGTGTATATATGTGAAGATATAAAGTAATAAAGAGTTAAGAGAACTAGGTTGCACAATAATGCGCTAAAAAGTTGTTTCCAAGTTAATTAAAAATGAAATGTTTACATTGTTACATGGGAAAAGAAATTTATGACTATACTTTTATTTTAAAATATTTTTACCTATTTGTTATCTTTCCAGCATCTCAATATTCTTGTTAAGATAAAACAAAATATTTTAAAAATTCCGATGTTTCCTAGGTTTGTAAATTGCTGTGTGATTTTGGTGTTAAAATGTGGATCAAATTTTGCTGTTACACTGTCCATGGTTTGTACTGTTGTCAGACAGCACTTGAGACTAAATATGAAAGTGAACTTATTTTCAGGAGGACTTTCATGGTGTGCCCAGAATTTAGTAGGTGACCATATGATAACTGAAACCTTAAAAGAGACATTTGATAAAATGTTTCAATTCTGACACAAAATAGCACCCTGTGGTTTTATTTCTGAAAGAAGGAATAAAAATATATTTGTTTTGTTTTTAAGAAGATAAATTTGGTACCGTAGAAAGAATTGAGTTAGCCAAGTTCAAATTGAAGATCCCCCACTTATTACCTGGTGACATAAGATTTCTGAACTTCAGTCTTCCCAGTACACAATATCTAACTAACTGAAAGATATTTTCTGAAGACCAAATGCGGACTCAGGGATCAATAATGCACAGTGAGTTCTCAATTCAAAAACTCCTCTTACTGTATGTACACAGATAGCCTAAAAGTTACTGGAGATCTTGGATAAAACATCTTTATTCATCAGAAACAAAATGGATTCACAACATGACCACCATGGGTGAGGCCACATGTTTGAGGGGTTCAAAAATCATGAAGTGGGCTGTTAGGTGGATGTGCCAAAATAACTTAAATTGAAACTGAATTCCAAAGCCAGGTTTAGAGACTGAGAAGCCACGGATGAGATGTAACCCGAACTCATGATGAAATGAGGCTGAGAAAAGTGGGAAGAAGGGAGGCAAAAAATAGTTTTGCTACCAGGACCTAAGCCAAACATGCTTTCAGGTCTGCCATATTCCAATATCTTACAGTCACTCAGTACCATCTATCTAAGAACTTGTTTTATTGGCTGATGATAGAGGTATTGAGGTAACTACAAAACAAGTAGAGAGAGATAAGCATTGTTAGGGGAGATGGAGGTAATAGATAGATAGATGATAGATGATAGAAGATAGATAGATAGATAGATAGATAGATAGATAGATAGATAGATGAAAAGGAAAGAAAGTAGGAAGGAAAAGTAAGAGATTGCAAGCCTACTCAAAATAAGCTTGAAAATAAAAACTCCAAACTGCATGCTAAAAATATAACACTAAGAAATTGACTAGCAAAATCCACAATTAAGAAGAGGAAATTTCTAATGGTAAATTCAAAATAACTATTTTGAATAGTTTACAGAGATAAATGAGAATATAAAAGAAATAATCAAATCAAGTAAGTCAGAATTTTAAAAATGATATTTAGGTGGATATAAATAACTTAACATACAGTCATTGATATAAATATGAAATAGTATAAAATCATCTAGGTAAAGAGAGTAACTAAGATAATTTAAAAACGTGTAAATGATTCTGAATGCACAACTAAAGTGACTTTAAAATGAAATAGCAGTTAAGATAAAAGATAGATGGAGAATCCACAACAATAATCTAAGGAAAGTGCAGCAGAAGGAAATGAGAGAATGGAGCAAAGCAAATGCTTGAAAACATACTTGATAATTTTTCAGAACTGAGGAAACACAGAAAATAAAAGATCTGAATACAAAGTAGGAGACATAAACCTACTTTCACACTATCACACCGTACTTATTCTCTAGAGCATCAAAAGTAAAAATAAAATCTCGAAAGCTTCCAGATAAAAGACAAATTGCCTACAAAGGAAATACATTTTGAGTGATAATGAAAATTCTTACCATTTCAACAGAGATTATAGAACAATAAAGACCTTAAAATGCTGAATAAAAGTGTCTATTATTCTAAATTTTATGATTAGGAAAATTATATATCCTTGGTGAGGGGAAAAAGAAAAGGCTAAGATCATTTATTACTCAGAGTTTATCACTAAGTGAAATTTTGTGGGGTTTTTTTGTATAAATTTAAGAAATACAAGTGCAATTTTGTACATGGCTCTACTGAAAAGGGGAGCCATGAGTGACATAAATCTGTCACTCAAATAAAGTACATTATACCCATTATGTAATTTTTAATCATCTATCCTCCCAACCCCTCACCCTTTTGAGTATCCAATGCCTATCATTCCACACTTTAATATGTAAACAGTATTTAGCTTCTACTTATAAATGAGGACATATAGTATTTGTCTTTCTTGTTTTGAGTTGTTTCATCTAAGATGATGATCTCTAGTTCCATGCTGCACAAGACATAATTTCATTTTTTTTTTCTGGCTGAGTAGTATTCCATTGTGTATATATATACCACATTTTCCTTATCCAGTTATCCACTGATGGACACTTAGGTTGATTCCATACTTTTGCTTTTGTGAATAGTGCTGTGATAAACATAAGTGAAGTTTTACAGAACAGATTTCGGTATTATCAACACTTAAATGATAAGTACACTAGAAGCCCAATCCCCAAATAAAAGAAATCTAGAGAGAAAGTACAGCATGACAAGAAACAAACAGTGGGCCAAAAAACTGATAACTCACTTAGGTAAATCATTATCTAATGATGGTAATAATAATAATTAGTAATAATAATAATAAAGTTTCTGTGTTTGCTAACAGAAGAGAACTATAATTCTAAATATCTATAATATACTTGAAAAACATGTATAGTTAAAGGAAAATAAGATCCTTGTCATGATTAAGAGTGACAACAATTATACTAATTAACTTTAGTTCTTATTTGATTCATTTAAGGTACATTTACAGCTTAAAATTTACAAGCAACTCAAATGTGGAGCAATTAAAACATTAAAAGACATAATGATGTTTACAATAATAACTCTCTACCTGAACTCACATTGATTATATAAGTAAAAGAATAAAAACACATAATTAAGTAAATGCAAAAGAAAGGAAAGCTTTTTTTATGAATGTCAACTAATAAATGTTGAAGGAATGGTGAAGTCAGAAAATTATCATTGGTTGCTAAGAGTAGTATTTAAAAGTTTGATGAGGAAGCAGATATTTACCTAGTCTCAAAGTATCTCCTTGCAAATTGCTTGTTCATTACAAAAAGAAAAAATAATAATTTTAAAATGGAGAAATCTGGTGGACAGTACCGTAACTCAGTGATCAAAGTTAACATCACCAATACTGGGGCAACCTAACATCCTTAGGCTATTGATACGATGCACCAAGAAAGACATATCATTATTTTTGTGATAGTCCAGCTGAATATTTATAAACTGAATCAATTATAAGGAATCATCTCACAAGCCTAAATTGAAGGATCTCCAAAATAACCAGCCTATATACTCTTCTAAAATGTTAAAGTGCATCAACATCTGGGAGAATTTGAAATTAAATAAATAAATAAAGTTAAAGTTCAGAGAGACAAAGAAAGTTTTAGTAATTTTTCCAGCTTAAACTAACTACTCTAATACTCCAGTGTCTTCAATTTCCTCTGAAATGCATCCAAAAATGTATATATGTATAATGTGTGTATATTATAAATAATATATATTATAAATGCATTATAAATTATATAGGTTCAGTAGTATATATAATCTGAGAGAAGTAAAAAAATAGAAAGAAATTAAGGCAAATTTCTTACAGATGAATGATTTAATCTACAGCTTTCTTATGAGTAGAAGAATCAAAAATATTGAAGTGCAAATGAAAATAAGAGGCAAAGTAAAAGAGGTGTAAGAAACATCAGATAATATTAATAAAAAACAGAACAGAGAATTTCATTATGAAGTTGCTGTTCTAACCCTAGACACTAGGCAACTGACTTAGCTTTAATCACCGATTCAAGTTCCAGGAAATTATATATGTACTGTGTCTGTCAGTGCCTATTTAAAGAAAATAATGCCATTTTTTTTTGTTTAGTGGAAAAATACTTTGAAACATGTTATTGTTTATGTATAGAAAAATCAGTGTACATGTCTTAATGCGATGTTTCCCTAAGTCATTGAAGAATGCTTTCAAAACAAGAATTCCAAAAAGCACATCATTTCCAAAAATTTCTGATACCTGCAAGGGGTGATGATGCCTCATTTTAGCTATACCTTAATCCTTTTTGAGGCTTTAAACTATGGAATATATGTGCTTCATTATCGGAAACAGTTGAATTATAAAAGCTGACCCAAAGCAGATCTAATCATAGATCTTACCAAACTTCACAAATAATCCAAAGTCTATAAGACATATAGATAAAAATAGTATTCCTTTCTGGGAGAGTCCTGAACCTGTCAGATGCAGCTTCCCCATTACCCCTTTTGCTGTTTTGGAATGTGTTTTGGTTTCAGATTACCAGATAACTGCTTAACAATGTATGATGTACATTGACAAAGTCACATTTTGGTTTATTAGTTTTACTCCCTGTGGGTCACACACAGAAGTGGAATGTGTGACTAATTTCTATCCATCATCAACCAGCCATACCCCAAATTTAGGAATCCTAGGTTTACGCACATTAAGCAAGTTGGACAGCTCAGGAATACTTTGTTAAACAGAATGTTTTAGGTAAAGATTTCCTAATAGGTTTCCACTAATAAACACCATTAGACTGTACATAACAAGATTCAATGGAGATCACCCATTCTCTTGGGCACTGCCAATGTCAATCATTTCTTTGGGCTTCTCCAATAGGGAAGATGGAAGTCACAGGCCACCTATTATGCTTTCCTTCCCACATAGCCAAATAAGTAGTATATTACCAGTTAAAGTTTAGAAAATTATACTATTTAAGCTAGAGAAATCATATCATTTGGGAAATGTATTTTGAATGATATAATTTGTGGAATTATATTACCTTTTATATTTCAGTTTAGATAAATACAAAACTCAAGATTTTTTAAAGGAATTCCTTATATATTTTTCTCTAAGTGTAAGGCAGGGTCACTATAATTCAGGGAATTTTGTTATTAGGTCAAATGGTTGTACTTACAATCATTGTAAGTACAGCATTATGTTTATACAGTAAGATGAAAGTTGAATAAGGACATCCTATTGATTAGAATATCTTAAAACCTATTTCCTTAAGATAAATATATTTAAAAGAAATTTCAATTTTTTAGTCTGTTATTTGTTAAACTATATTTTTCTATTCAAGAAAATAATTTCCTAATAAGCTCAAATTTGTGTTTGAACTTAATTCAAAGAGTATGAATTGAAAAGAGTATGTAATTGACAGTTTAATCACCAGTGGTAATTTTATTTTTTTCATTAACTTAACATAATTCCATCACTTTTCCTGTATTTTCCACCTAAAAATGAAGTACAAAGATGGAACATTACATGATCCATTTATCTGATGCACTCTATTATAATAATTCTTATTTTCTAGTCATTGACATTTATGTGATAATGCAAAAATTCATTGTAGAAAATTGCCGTTAGCCATTTATCCATTGGGATTCATCCAGGAAAACAAAGTAATAATGTAATGTAAAAGGACATTTATTATAAGGGTTAGAATTTATATAATTGCAGAAGCAGATGAGGTAGAGGTGTACTTAGGAATCAACCTAAGTGTTCATTCACTGTGGATTGGATAAAGAACATATGATATATATACACCATGGAACACTACCCAGCAATAGAAAATAATAAAATCATGTTATTTGCTGCATCATGTGTACAGCTAGAGGCCATTATCCTAAGTGAACTGACTCTAAAGCAGAAAATCTGATATAGCATTTTGTCACTTATAAGTGGGACCTAAGCAATGGGTACATATGTACATAAAAATGGAAAGAACAGACTCTGGGGATGCCAAAAGTGGGTAGAGTAGGAGGGCTGTAAGGGTAAAAAAATTACCTGTTGGGTACAATATTCAACATTTAGATGATGAATACACTAAAAGCCCAATCCTTAACATTAAGCATGTAATCCCCATGTAATAAATGAGTACATGCACCCCCTCAATCTAAAAAGACAAAACAACAAATAAACAAGTAATTTACAAATGGCCTTATGCTTCCATGTTTCTGTTTACCTCTTTCATAACTGTCCATGAGTGGCCTTTGCAATTAAATTTTTCACAGGTCAGTTTATGTAACAGGATGCAATGGGTGAGTTTAAATAGGCCAAGTGCATTAAAACAAACAAACAAAAAATTTTCCAGATAATAAAATAAGCCATTACTTCACTAAGTAAGATTTTATCAAGTCTTCCTTTCACTTTGCTTATGGAAATTCAGATTTGCTTATCACTGAAACCACATTTTTCAGTCATAATATTTCAAATAAATTTCAGAGTGGTATGTGTTGTAAAATGAGAAAAAATTGGATTTGGGACCTTTATGTTGACCCAGTCTTCAACTGCTAATGAAATCATTTTCCTTCACATTTTGATTCCCTTGCAACTTTATCATTTACTTTGTGAAGGTGAGATTACTCTCTCATGTTCTTCATGAATTCCTGTAGGTTACTTGGCCTGCCACCTTTAGGTTATTCAGTTAGTAAATGGGAATTATATGAGATCATGGGTTCTCAGAGTGTAATGGAAGTTAATAAGTAGGAAGATGTCTCTAAACTAATTAGAACTTTTTTGAGTAATTTTTTTCCTCTACCTTGCCCCTTAAAATAGTATTTACTTTGTAGAAAAACATGGCTTTTTGCTTTATAGAAAAAAAATCTTTAAAATAGTATTATAGATAAATATTTATCTCTAGTTTAAATATAATGGATAACAAAAAAGGCAATGAAAACAACAAAAATCTTAACAATTTAAAAAATGACAAATAAAGGAAAAGGCGTAAAATTGGGTCAGTCATAAAACAGCATATCCTTCTTTAAGTATATATGAGAAGGCAATAGCTAGGCCAAAAGTAAGTGACACCATTAAAGGGCAAAAGGAGATGTTAATGCAGAAAATGTTGATATTGCCAAGGGTGTAAAAGATTATTTAGCCTCAGTAACCACTGGGGAAACTAAAAAGACAATTCAGTACTTGTAGAATGTATGATGTATTTATCTGAAGACAGGCTTATAAATATATGTATACTTTAGTATAAACAGATTTTTAAAAACAAGATTCTAAAAAACATTAGAATGAAGGTAGGAAACAATGAAGGAAAGAAGGAGATCAGAAAGGAAGGAAGGACAGAGGGAAGGAGAAGAGAAGGAGGGGGAGAGGAAAGGAAGGAGAAAGAAAAGTCCTTCAGTTATGCATAACAAAGGTTAAAGGTAACTCTCTTTATATATATATATAACCATATATATTAAACTATATATAACTATATATAAATAAAATAATTTTAATGTCTTAATTATACTTTATGATGAACATGAATACACACGTATATATAACTATATATGCATATATGCTATATATAAAGCCATATATATGCATATATATAGCATATATGCTATATATAAAACTATATATATGCACGTATGTATTCATGTTCATGATAAAGTATAATTAAGGCATTAAAATCATTGCATTTATAAATAGAGCATGGGGAAAGTAATTCAGTTACACACATACACATGTGTGTGAATACCTGAAGGACTTTTCCTATGTTTTGTGCAATTTACAAATATGGTATGATGTCAATGCCTTTATTGTGCTTCACCATAAACATGAATAATTATTTAGCTACTTAAAAGTTAAGTTGTTTTAAATGTTTAAATATTATAAACAATGTCCTGATGGACATGCTTGTGTAAACAACTTTGGGCACCTCTTTAGTTCATGGTATATAATTATTGATAATTATTCAACCCTTTAGAACTAATGCTGTATAACAAGTAATTTTATTTATTCAATAAATAGTTATCAAATACATAAATATATTCCATGTAATGTTCTAGAAGCAAGTGTATAGCAATGAAAAGAGAAAAAAAAATCTCCCCTGGCTCCATGTCTCTAATATTTCAGACAGAGTAATAGATGAAAATGAGTAGTAAAAATATATAGTATATTAGATGTTCAGTTTTCTATAAAGGAAAATAAAGCAGTAAAGGATAGGCAGTATTGGTGGAAGGCAATTTTACCACTGAGAAAGTAATATTTGAATTAAAAAAATTAAAAGCATAAGGAATACAAGTGTTTCATGCAGTTACCTGCAATAAGAGAATTTCAGCAACAGAGACCAGCAAGTGTGAAGGTTCCAAGCCAGCAATAGAATACAGCATAGAAACCAGTATAATGGGAATAGGAAGTTATGAGAGACTGTGAAACTTAAGCTAGGAGTGAGGATTGCAGATAATATAAGGTCTTGTAAGCTATTTTAAAATTTTGTGTTTGATTTTGAATGACAATGGAAACTTGGTGGCTTTTGAGCAGAGTGGTAAAATCTTACTTTTTAACAGGATGTCTCTGGCAGTGGAATTGAAAATAGAAAAAAAAAAGGTGTAGCAGGCTTTAAGAGGCATGTGTAACACCACAGGTGAGAGGCGACTGTGACTTGAAGAGGTGGTAGTGCAAGTAATAAGCAAAGGTAAGATCCTAATTCTATTTTGAATGTTGGTCCGATAAAATATTGTCCAAGGATTGGAAGTCAGATACAAGAAAATGAGAGAATTCTAGATGTCACCAAGGTTTGGCATGAACAATCAGAAGCATGAGGCATTCATGAATTAACAAGGGGAGATTTTGGACGGCTAAGTTTAGGACCAAGATTCGTTGCTCAGTTTTGAAAATGGTAAATTTGACATGTATAAGAAACAACGAGTGGTCATTTAAATATGCATCTTACTTTCATGAGCAAGGTTAAGGCAGAAGGTTAAGGTAGAATTTGGGATTCACAACTGGATATATGGTATTTAATGTCACAAGACTTGATGAGATAATCAAGAGAGTAAATAGCATAAGAAAGTGAAGAGGTCCAACCAAGCTTGGTGGAGTGCAGATAGAAACACTCAAGGTTTAAGGAGATAAGGAAGAAGTGGAAATCAGTAAGGCAGAAGGATACTGAGGAAACTGTAATATCCTGAAAACCTCATAAATTTCCCTAAGAGGAGAGTCTTCAAATTCTGCCTATAGATCAAGATGAGATTTAAGGTATAGTTGGCTCCAAATGATTCAACTTCCATTTGATTAAATTTTCCATCAACTGTTTATTAATATTATTTCTAAGGGAAGAATACATTTTTCAGTTAAGAATGATTTTAATAGATGTTTAAAATTTATAAACAATGGTTTAAAAGTGCAAAAAAGAGAAAATGTTATTCTTAAAATTATAGATTAAAAATAGTATCTTGGTCACTATAATCATTGTGCTATAAAACATATTTCAGCTTAGCTCTTAGCAGTAATGTCCAATAAAACATAATCCTTTTATGTTTCAAAAACAAAAATTAACTCAATATTTAAAAAATATTTTATGTGTACAATTGTGTTAAGTGGATACACACATTATCTAGATGTAACTCATTCTGTGAAGCATATTTTAATTAGCCCAATATATTATTATTTTTATGTAATTTTCAGCCTGTAAAAATAAAACCTACACTCTTAGAGATTATTGTTGTAATCCATTCTAGCTTCTAATTTTAAATAAAGTTTTCTTTGCTCTAACTATAAAAGGACTGTAGTCATTCAATAGTTACTTCAAATTCTGACTCTAAACCACATCCCCAACTACAACATCTCTCTGTATCTCTTGCCTCATCCATCTACATTTTACTCTGAACTTACTCTCTATCCTCTGAGCATACACCTTTTCAGAATTTTTTTTTCAGCTCTGATTTGGAACATGGTCCCAGCTCACTTTAAAAAGCAAGCATTATATTCATTGCATTCTCCTGTTTCTCAAAAATTTGAGAGCCATATTTTACTCTTCTTCCTGACTCAGACTCCTATTTTGTATCAATTTCTTTTCATTGTGTCAGCACTAGGAATTATCTTCCCGACTTACAGATTCCAGGCTCTTTTGCTTTTTTCTGCCAAGATTTTTGAGGTAGTTTTAGGCTTCATTGTGTCATGGGGATTTTTTTTTTTGTCCTTTTTTGTTGACTGAGAACTTGTCTCTAACTCTCTGCTTTGCAGAACTGTACTTATCAGTTGAGCCAGTCCCTGAAGGAGAGATGGGGAGATTGAGCTAGGTTTGAAGTTTTGTGTAAGATATAAATGAGATCATGGTGTATTATATTATATATATTTTTTTGAGGTCCTTTTTCAAAGTCCTCTTGTAATGTCTCGCAGGCTAGTATCTGCTGTTACCATGATGTATGGTTTGATTTATTCTTAAGGACTTAAGAATGAAAGCAGACACTGAGAAAAATAATCAAATACAATATTAAAGTAAAACATACGTCTAGTAATGTAATGCCCCATCTAGTTTTCTGTTAGTGGGTCAGGGCACACATTCCCCATTTGCTGTGAGTGTGACTGGGTGCCTCTATTCTCGGTTGCTTTGAATTAATGACTGCCGTTCTTCTATAATGGATTGATCATTGTCCTTGGCTGGCTGGAGTTGATTCACCAGGAAGGTTACCTACTCCCTTTCCCGATGATTGACTGGTACTGAGGAACAAAAAGCTGACCCCTTGTTTTCTTACTTCGATGAACGGTAACTTTACTGTCTTATTTATGTTCCAGAACACTCTTCTTCTACTCCTATGCCTACCAAACTTCCCCATATGTAGTTAGGCAAAAAAATGAGGAAAAAGTAAGATCCATAACAGTGTGAATACTTTGGGGTCACTTGTGTAAGATACATTTTACACACTAAATAAACAGAAAATAAACATTTGTGTTTTGTTAAACATAGAATATCTCTGGAAGAATACACAGGAAAACAGTAACCTACCTTTATTACGGTAATTGAGGCATTAAGGAAAATGTATTAAGACATACATTTTATTTTCCTTCAAATATTGTATTATGTACCAAGATTACTATTTCAAAAGATTTAATATTGTTCATTTTTTTTAAGTGACTTTTTTTCCAGTGGCTGCTTCTAGTTTTTGGAAAGGCTAGCCACTTTTAAGAATTAGACATAATGTCACAGATAGTCAGATTGTGATCTCCTTTGGTCTGGGACGGAGAAAAGAAGTGGGAAAGGATCAAAAGTTGGATATAAATAAAAGTCCTGATGGGTTGGAAGCTGTCATAAGTTTAGAGAAGAAACCAGTGTTTGAGGAGGCCGGACGTGGGTTCAGCTGCCTAGTTACATGCTAGGTACCTGAAATCCACCTCTTTTGTAAATCTAGAGTACTAGAGCCTATCTGCTCCGTGGAACAAGTGTCAGTATTTGAGTGGGTAGTTAGGGCAAAGCAGTTAGTCTGGCAAAAGGCTTACTGATACATTTCTAAAATATTTTATGAATTATGGTATTTTTATTGGACAATTTGCACTTATACAATGTCAAAACGGTATGTAAATGAAAGAAATATAGTTAGCCTTCCATGTCTGTGGGTTCCATATCCATGAATTCAACCAACCACAGATTGAAAATATTTGAAAAAAAAAAATACCCACAACGTTCCAAAAAGCAAAACCTAAATTTGCTGCATGTCAAGTACTCTGTTGAATCTCCATGAAGTAATATGTAGGCATTTTATTGGGTATTATGAGTAGTTTAGAGATGCTTTAGATTGTACCTCAGTTATATGATAATATTAAGGCATTTTATACAAGGGACTTGAGAATCTGTGAATTTTGGTGTCTATGAAGTTTCTGGAACAAGTTCCCCATTCTCCCACGGCTACCAAAGGACAAATGTATATAGGAAAAGTTTTGTTTTGTTTTCCTGAGGGGGGGAGAATATATCAAATCAATAGAAAAAATATTAAATTAAAATATTTTTGAAAAGATATCCACAATGAAATATGAGCAAAATTATATTTAATTCAAATATATTGAAAATAAAAAGACTAAGTTATTCATTAGTATCTTAAGGTTTCCAATATATTTACTAAAACCTAAAAAGTAACTGTGTTGGAAAATTAAATTATGTTTCATTATATGCATATTTATTCATTTTGTTTTGTCTTATCTTTTATTTTCACAAAGTTCTTCCAAGCCTTGGTGTCCACTATGTCATTAAATAGCAGGGGCTGTGATTAATAGACGTGAGAAATGCCACCTGGGCAGGGATTTGATAATAATTTTTAAAAATGTGAGGTTAGGTTAAACACTATAAAAATGTAGTGTTTGACCTTAAACATTTCTAAGAATAATTATTAAGTGTAGACACTTTCTGTGATAAATATAATATACTCTATTCCTAGTAGTTTCATGGAATACCACAGTGGCTCTGAATATATAAATGTTCTCCATCTCAAATGTTTTCTTACAATCATTTAAAACTTTTTTACACTCATCTATGTAACTCTAATTTACAATTATGTATATATATTTTATATATATAAAATAAAATAATATATATTATACTTTAAGTACTGGGATACATGTGCAGAATGTGCAGGTTTGTTACATAGGTATACATGTGCCATGGTGGTTTGCTGCAGCCATCAACCCATCATCTACATTAGGTATTTCTCCTAATGCTATCCCTCCCGTAGCCCCACACCCACTGACAGGCACCCATGTGTGATGTTCCCCTCCCTGTGTCCATGTGTTCTCATTGTTCACCTCCCATTTATGAGTGAGAACATGTGGTGTTTGGCTTTCTGTTCCTGTGTTAGTTTGCTGAGAATGATGGATTCCAGCTTCATCTATGTCCCTGCAAACAATATGAACTAACTCTTTTTTATGGCTGCATAGTATTCCATGGTGTATATGTGCCACATTTTCTTTATCCCAGTCTATCATTGATGGGCATTTGGGTTGGTTCCAAGTCTTTGCTATTGTGAATAGTGCTGCAGTAAACATACATGTGTATGTGTCTTTATAGTAGAATGATTTATAGTTCTCTGGGTATATACCCAGTAATGAGATTGCTACGTCAAATGGTATTTCTGGTTCTAGATCCTACAGAATGGGAGAAAATTTTTGCCATCTATCCATCTGACAAAGGGCTAATATCCAGAATCTACAGGAAATTAAACAAATTTATAAGAAAAAAACAAACAACCCCATCAAAAAGTGGGTGAAGGACATGAACAGACACTTCTCAAAAGAAGACATTTATGTGGCCAACAAACATTTGAAAAAAAGCTTATTATCACTGGTCATTAGAAAAACACAAATCAAAACCACAATGAGATACCATCTCATGCCAGTTAGAATGGTGATCATTAAAAAAATCAGGGAACAACAGATGCTGGAGAGGATGTCGAGAAATAGGAATACTTTTACACTGTTGGTGGGAGTATAAATTAGTTCAACCATTGTGGAAGACAGTGTGGAGATTACAAGTATATTTTACATGACAAATATGTGCCTGGCTCTCTGCTAAGGCATATAAATGTGCAAGATACTGTTTTTGATGAAAGAGCTTCATACTCTAGTGGTGGAATTAGGCATGATATAAAGCAGTATTATGGGCTGGGCATGGTGTCTCACGCCTGTAATCCCAGCACTTTGGGAGGCCGAGGCGAGTGGATCACTGAGGTCAGGAGTTCGAGACCAGCCTGGCCAACATGGTGATACCCTGTCTCTACTAAAAATATGAAAATTAGCCAGGCGTGGTGGCATGCTCCTGTAATCCCAGCTACTGGGGAGATTGAAGCAAGAGAATTGCTTGAACCCTGGAGGCAGAGGTTGTAGTGAGCTGAGATCACGCCACTGCACTCCAGCCTGGGGAACAGAGAAAACTCCATCTCAAAAAAACAAAACAAAACAAAAAATCCCTGCAGTATTATGAAGTCTTTCTTCTTGATAATGCATGCAAAAATTTTGTGCCATGGTTACTTAGAGATTGAAAAAGACATAATTGGGAGTCCTGGTTACTTGTATTTATATAGAATGTTAATATTAGTATCATATCAAGAGACAATTTTAAGAAAAAGTTTCTTGCCTGATTAGCTGAAAAAGTCACAGTTATGAAACATGTGTGTTTTGAAATCACCATTTTTGCATAATGATTTGACAGCACTTTTTTATTACATATTCCATACAGTTATAACAGACAGAAACATTGCTTTACAAAGGAGAAGAATAAAAACTGCAAGCACCATCTTCAATTAAACTGAAGATAACCAAAACCCATAAAGTGCAAATAAGTGCCAGGGCTACCAAAACAGAGGATCTAATTTCAACTTCACGGAAAGGCTGAAGGTTCTGAGGATTCTGTGAACACAAAAATCTTATTCCTTCACCATATCTGATTCATGACCAGAAAAGAAACTGCTGGAAATGAAATGAGAAGGAAAACAAAAGAGACAAAATATCAGTTTTCAGCTGCATTCCAGAGATGTTCAACGATACCCAAGATCGTTGAGCAATTCAATCCAAGTGTTTTCATTGTTGTACTTACCAAAAAGGGGATTAAATTCTGTTGACTTTCAGTATCCCTTTCCAGGATCATTTATCTGATGATGCTTTAGCTCATAGCTAATTAATTTTCTTAGGCAAAGAGTAGGCTCATTTAAAACACTCCTTTTTAAAACAAATAAGCAAAAAAAAAAAAAAAAAAAAAGCAAAAAACCCACCTCTTATATAAAAATCAAAAAGGAAAGGAGACTATTTTAAACAGAGATAATAGCCATTGCTATTATTAATAGTCTCCTTTATTTTTTGATTGGACTGCTTGAGCACTCAGTTACTAAATGCTTCATCCCGCTCCAGTCAGGTACTCAACCAAGTGCTCATGCATTCCTCACAGCAACCCAATAAGGTAAATGGTATCATTATTCCCATTTTTTTAACATTACAGCAAAGTTTATGAAAGATTAAGTAACTTGATCAAGGTTACCCAGCACAGAAGGGATTGTATCCCAAGCTGTATGGCTCCAAAATCTGTGCTCTTAGTTATTTTCCTCTATTGCATCTGAGAAAACAAAAGAAGATGAATGATAATAAAGCTAAGGAAAGAAAACAATTGAACCATTACAAAAATGAGATATGCATTAAAAACATCATGAACTGGAAAAGATACCACTGAACATGAATCCAATGCCATGGAGAACAATCTGGTGAAAGTCATACAAGGAAACAAATATGTTCTGCATATGAGTGTCAAACAAAGGAAATCCAGAATATGCACAGAGTGCCTTATTGAAAACACTAACAGTTAAAGAAAACATACATCTATTAAAGATATAAAAAAGACAACTTTACCTAAATAAAACCACAAATATGCGTAGTGGTAATAAATACCATGTTTTAAGAAAGATTCATGCCAGATGGTATACACAGAGATATATTCTGGTTGAGTTTATTGATCTTGTTTCTGCTCTTTACTCCTTTTTAAAAATGTGTTTTCCCAATGCAAATCAATTTTATAACATGAAAAACTACTAAGAGTCAAAGCATAGATACACAGATAGAAAGTATAATCCAGAAGAGATACACAATGCCTACATATGAAGCAAAAGGAAGTGTTCATTCCCACACATAGTGGCTTGAGACCTATTGGTTTTAGTTTTCTTCAATGAAGTTTCTAAAGATGGCAAAAATTGTCTTTGGTTATTAATACTACACTGGCCATATTGGATACTAGAATATTGAAGCAACAGTATGTGATGGTTTGAATCAAAAACTTCATGAAATGTCTATTTCTGAAAGTTATCTGTGCATTGTAGAAGTTGTAAAAGATTTACCTTATAGATCAAGCCCACTTTAGGATTAAGAATGGATTCTAACTACAACTATAACTTATAAACAAGGAGTTTCAAAATGTGTCTATTCTGATATATAAAGTTAAACAAAAAGTACTTACAGAAACAGTATGAGAGAGAGAGAGAGACAGTAAACTTAATGCAGTTTAACATCTTTGCTTCCCAAATACATGGTTTAAATTATATTTGACTCTTTCAAATGCCTGTCTCTTAATTTCAAGTTTTGTCAAATATGCCTTCAAAACAAATATTTTTAAAGTTGTTAAATTTATTGAACATATGCAAACATAAAAATATTTTAAAATTTAGTTGAAGTCAACTTGGGATGAGAAATACCCTTTTACTTTATCTCTGTCTAAGCAAGACATACTAATTACACTTGGATTTGGGATGCATTGCAGTCAATGATGGCACTGGCACATATCACTTACTACACAGAAAGTCGAATGAAAAGCCTAATCCAAAGCCCAGAGGAAAAAAAATTCAGTGAGGATGTAACAATGTAAAACATTTTTTAGACATCAGCAGAAAATTAGTATTTTCAAATAATATGGAAGATTTACAGTAACTAGCTGGAGATTCTTCCAATGTACAAAAGAGACCATGCGAGCTTTATATATTACAGAATTGTTTTATGGCTGTATAGATTTGATGAACCAAAAAGGAAACTGAATCTCTATTCCATACCTTACCCTTTTTTTCTCTACATTAGGGTAAAATCCTCTTATTTTCAAGGTAGAATTCTACTTCTTCATATTTCTTAAGCCACCTTTAATGAATTCATATCTTTATTTGTGGATATCTCTCTTCAGTCCTGTACATGAAACTCTAGAAGATTAAATATTTGCATGTGCCATCTAGTCAAATCTTTCAGATACTCTTAAAACCAGTCACACTTGAAGTTCTCAACATTTTCTGCATCAATAATATTAGTGGTATTAGTAGGTTCAGAAAAGGCTTATTTTTTTCCTTGCCATACTGGACTTCTAGATGCCTTTTGGATTGAATTTTACAAGATGAGAACAGAAAGTAGAGATAGTTCTTGTCCTGAGTTTCTTAACAGCACAGATGTAGAGTTAGAAGAGTAGCAAGCCAAACCACGAGGGGACTAGCTGTAGACTTTGGGTCACCGGCACCTCTTTTGGTGGTCTTTGGCTTTGAGGCTATTGTGATGACCACTGTTGGAGCTGGTGTGTCAGTTACTGGATTCTGTGACCCCTGTGGGTAGGAGCAGTGTCAGAAGCAGCACCCTGAGCCTGAAGGAGGGTCCACCACAATAGCAACAGTAGCTATGAATGTGGTGCAGTTCTCTCCCTGCTTTCTGGGCCTCTCCCTACCTTCCACTCCCATTATAGAGCCCTCCTCCCACCCCGGTGAAGCTGCCACCATCAGGGGACTTCCTACCTGAAGACCTATGGGTACTCTGAACCATGGCACTGGGAAGCAGTGAAAATATGAAACTTTTAAATGTGAAGAAAGTATTCACCAAGCATTCATGTAGAAAAATATGTAAGCTATGAAAATAACTAACGAAGAGAAAAATCAAGTTTGGCTTAGATGTCTCAAGAGCAGTGTCAATTCCAATTCATAGTAATGTAACGGCATCTGAATGCTAAGTGACACAAAGAGTAAATCAAATGTTATACACAGCAAACTTCCATTCATATGTAAATGCAGAAGAAAGACATTTACAAACAATGCAAGAGCTCAGGGAATACAGTGCCCTTAGAGTCTATGGAAAGGTGTGGCTTGAAGATGAGATACTATCAACTAATAGTTGATAAAATAAGGCATTCAGGAATAGAGGAACATGTAAGGAAATAGCCGCTGGTGAGCAATAAATCCATTTACATGTGAAAAGATACTATAATAATAATAATTATGATATACAAAAGAAAAGTTATAAATCATGAAAATACAAGATAATGTTATATATTTGCAAAAAAAGCAAAACATGGAAATAAGTGAGGGAGAGAAGGTGGGAGGAAGTATCAGTGTTCAAAGTAATTAAATTATATAATAATGTGATGAAAATTTTTAAAAGAACTAAAAAAACCTGTATATTTACAGATGGCAAAACACATACATATATGTACCAAAAACAAAACAAAGAAAACCCAGATTGTATAGCCAAAGGAACTAGATTTCTTCACCGGCATTTTCTTTACATAAAAATGTGTGACTGTATTTTGAATTTAAATACATAGCACAAGCAATGGTTTAATAAATATATTAGACTTTCTATGGTATCTTAGGAAACACTGTTCTCAAATACTTTGTGAGATTTTTTTTCTCCCAACATTGATAACTTCCTTTTGCTCACATTTTGACAAGTTTCTATAGCTTTCTAACCATTTTAAGGTATTGACTTAGGCAATTTAAATCAATCTTTAATTTCACATTGCATTCAATGTTTTTCTACTCTCCCTAGACAAGAGACAAAACAACAGAAAGGAAATAATTTGTTTCCATCCTGTTTGCTCCACATTCTTCCTCCCTTGCTTCTGCAAATCAACTCCAGGGATAAAAACGGAAGGGACAAAGCTTCCACAGGGAAAGGCTTTTTATTTAGTCAGTGCTGTTAGTCCTTTTATCTTGTATTTGAATTCTTTCTTTTACGAGAGATATAAAAGTGTAAGATCTTTAATGATGGTACCTTAATAGGTTCTTTGGAGGACCCCAGCACCACAAAATTTCCAAACTTCACCATTCTCTGAGTGTTACCTCTTCTGTTTGACTTTTTGGGAGGTCTTTCTTCAGGCTTGCATCTGCTGTTGAATGCCTAATGTCTACTCTTCTCAGCATTTAGGATTGCAACATGACATCCATTTGAAAATATACCCTTGTCCCACCAAACTCAGGAAGGAGACTTGGTACCACTATTGCCTTCTATGAATTTGCATTTTTATTGAAAATTGCTCTCTTCACCCTCCTACCTTCCGATTTTTTCAGGTGGAGATGAGCCACTCTCTCTCTCCAGACTGAAAGCTGAAGTCTCTGGTACTCCACTTCCTTGGCAGTGTGAGCCTGGCCTACTAATTTTTGAGCTTCAGTAAGAATTCCACCTGAGATTCAGATGCCTGTTGTAAGGGCAAATACAAATTTAAAGTAAATTTTTCAACCTTTGGGGGAAAAAAAAGGCAAGACTTTCCCTCCTACATTTTCTTAGAGCATTTACATTAGAAAATACGTAATTGTAAGGTAATTTTTTGTCTTTTGTAAACGTACGTAAAAACTTTTAAAAGCTAAATAATCCACTTGCCAGCTTTATGATCACAACATCTTTCTTAAGTAACTGGTAATCATCTCTTTGAAATGTAAGCATCAAGGAAGATAGTGCCCTTATCTTCCAGTTTATATGGAAAGTTAGGAGCCTAATTTGTCAGAGTACTCTGTTCCAAGGTGCAGAATTACCTCCTATCATAAAGATTGTCTTTGCAGTCTCTTAGTGGATTGCATGGAATGCATACCACATTCTGGTTTAATGCATATTCTGTGATAAAATTGTTTTCTTTCTCTTCTACCTTTGTGAAGAGGTTTTCTGAATCCGGAGAAAGCTTTTTGACACCTTATAATTGTATATAATTATGGGATACACAGTGATTTTACCATATAGGTAGATAGTGCTGAATGAAATCAAGCTACTTATCATTCCTATCACCTTAAATAGTTATCATTTATTCCTCCTTTCTAACTCTAACTTTGTAGCTTTGAACAACATCTTTCCATTCCCACCATCCCTTAGCCTATGGTAACCACCGTTCTACTTTCTGCTTCTATGAGGTTCATTGTTTTGGATTCCACATGTAAGTGAGCACATGCATTATGTGTCTTTCTGTTTCTGGCCTATTTCATTTAGCATTATGTCCTCCAGGTTTATCTGTGTTGAAGCAAAGAAGCTGAATAGTATTCCAG
Source organism: Homo sapiens (assembly GCF_000001405.40). Taxonomy (NCBI): domain Eukaryota; kingdom Metazoa; phylum Chordata; class Mammalia; order Primates; family Hominidae; genus Homo; species Homo sapiens. The sequence goes on along the minus strand of NC_000014.9, from coordinate 43,730,844 downwards.
TGTGTGTACACTAAGTCTGCACTTAAGTCATCAACAGGTTCTTGGAAACTGCAACTTTAAAGGAAATGATATGACAAAACCAGTTTTACCATAGGTTAATTGATATAAATGAGGTAAGTTTTTACAGCATATTTCTAGTCACAAAAACATCACCAAACTCAAAAAGACTCAAAAACATTTCTAATGTTAAACATTGAAATAAGTGTGAGTTATACGTACATTTAAGAAAGATGGATAAAAACAAGTAAGATAATTATTTACCCAGTCTTTGGTGAATCAGTGAGTGCTGATGGTTGTAGTGCTGTTGACTTAAATTAAGGAATAAATGTTTGCAAAGCAAAAGTTGTGAGGAGCATCTCCTACTACTATGCAGTTCAAAATGAAGCAAAAACAAATATGGTGTGCTTACTGAACGCTTTCATACACATCCTTTATTGTTGTGCATTATTATTGTACATGATTATTATATATTTTACAAATTTTTATTTTACAATAATTTGTTTCATTCAGTCAGTCATTCATTTTCTAACTAAGTTATTCCAGTTCTGGGTCATGGATGGCCAAAGCATATCCCCAGAGCTCAAGGCACAAGGCAGGAACTCACCCCAGACAGGACACTTTTCTATCACAGGGCCCAGTGTCTGTCTCTCTCTCTCTTTCTCTCTCTCTCTCTCTCACACACACACACACACACACACACACCACACACACACTCACTCTTACTCAGACTGAACCTAACATGCACATCTTTGAGAAGTGAAAGGAAACCAGAATACCTGGAGAAAACCCACACAGACATGACGAGAACACGCAAATTTCACACAGATGGCCCTGACTCTCATTAACTGATTTTTGACAAGAATGCCAAGACCATTCAAAGGAAAAAGGACAGTCTTTTTAAAAAATGGTATTGAAAAAAACTATATCCACATCCAAAAGAATGTAGACAGACCTTACTGAACTCTTATCTAGCATTAAATCCAGGTCTGGACTGAATATATTATATTTCCTGCCTCCCCTCTCACATGTCCCTTTTTTGTTCCCCTGTAGAGGATTAATTTCAGAAGTCACTTTAGCATTTTCCCTTAGGGAACAGGCAATTGCTGAATTCATTTACAATACCTGTATGACCTTAAACTTCCTATTCATTTCTTTGATTTGAGTTTCTTTTGACTTGTAAGCATGTGGGTAAGACACATGCTCAAAATTTTCTTTGTGGCTTAAATTGAAGGTGGATTTTGGAGACAACCAATCTAGAAATGCCTAGCAAGGCATAAAATTAATCGTTTAAAGCTAAGTTGTCTTACATATTCTGAAGTATCCTCAAAATTCAGGTGTCTTAAAGTTTAAAAGAAGAAAAACATGTTTTGCTTCTAATATGTGAAAAGTTATATATGGTATAGTCTATTCCCTGTAGTTGAAACAGGAAAAGGTTGTTATTGTGTAATAGATTTATGGTCAAACACCAGTCATTTGCATTCTGAAGCTGCTTCAGCCTGCTAAGTCCTCCCCTTTAGCTGACGCCTGTCTAGATGGCATTCACTCGCCAAGCCTCTTGTGGTTGGCTTTTGTGAGGCCACACTTGTGTTTCAAAGTTGATTGAGCCACCCTCAGCCCCATTTATACAACCCTCGTGCTTATGCCTTTGTTAAAACTTACGAGTCCCCTGTGATTGTTGGGGCCCATAGTCATTTTTTTGAGGTCTGGCACATTCAGCCAACACACTAGAAAACTGTTGATAAAACACAGAAATAGCCACTCACCTAGGGATAAAACAGTAGGCTGCTGTGACCTGCAAAGATAAAATATTAAGAAACTTAATGCTTCATATCTCTTGCCCCGGCCCATGCATGAAAACCAAATTGTAACAACTTTATATTTATACAATTGTAAAAATCAGATTTATGTCTCAAAATAGGCATCTAAAAATTGATAAAAAAATATCCTGCATATTGCCAGGTGTGGTGGCACACACCTGTAATCCCAGCACTTCGGAAGGCTGAGGCAGGCGGATCACTTGAGGTTAGGAGTTCAAGACCAGCTTGGCCAACATGGTGAAATCTCACCCCTACTAAAAATACAAAAATCAGCCAGGCATGGTGATGGGTGCCTGTAATCCCAGCTACCTGGGAGGCTGAGGCAGGAGAATCGCTTGAACCCAGGAGGCAGAGGTTACAGTGAGCTGAGATCACACCACTGCACTCCAGCCTGGGTGACAGAGTGAGACTCTGCCCAAAAAAAAAAAAAAAAAAAAAAAAATTCTGAATATATAAAAAGCTCTGAGCCGCACACATGCATCCTAATTCCAACAAGATTCTCCCTGTAATGTACACTTTACAGTTGTTCTTGTAAACGAAAAGGCCTTTTCCAATCTCCTCTTATTCTTCCACAAACAACCTACACTCCTTTATGAACAATCTGTCATTTGTAAAATAATGTCTGTATCTTTTTATTTTTAATATTCCATAAAGTATACCATTGTCAATTAAATAATTTAGATGATGTCATCAATTCACAATGCTTCTTAGCATAATATTCTAAATCCAATATTGGGATATCAAATTGCCTATATATATTTTTGCATATATATAAGTGCCTATATATATATATTTAAAATGTTTGCCTTTGCAAGTGTCTTCTTGTTTTTAATATTCTATAAAGCATAGCACTAAAGTATAAATACATACAAATTTATAATTGTTATATATATACATACACAAATATATCTACTATATATAATACATATATATGTATATATACATATATAAAATCAGATAGGAAAAAGCAGCTCCTTGTCAAAAAGTCATCAAACCTCATATATAAAAGAAAACATACTTCATTTATTTTAGCTGGTAGGGTAAATTATTCTATCTTGAGAAAAATTCTGACTGATTTAAGTACAAATTTGTTGTTAAAAAATAAACAGAAATAGAGTGAATATCTTAAATGTAATTATCCCTTATTACCATTTATTCTGATTCCATTGCATATTGTCTCCATATAAAATTCATATATCTTTCAATATTATAATTTAATATTACTCTAATATTATTTCAGCAATGTTTTAGAAAAACTTTAATACGTTATTTTCAGAGTTTGTCAAGATGGTCCATCTGTACCTGGAGTAGTTTTACTTTTCTTATGACAGCTGTGAATTCTACAGAGCTACCCTTCTTTCAGCCCCAGGCCCAATCTAGGGCTCCCAGGTAATTCCAAATCCCCCTGCTCCTTGATCAGATTTTTCTGTGTTTGGGTACATATAAGCGGGGATGGAGAATAACAAAATAAAATCACACTGAGGGAAGACATGATAGGAGGACGTGATGTCTTTTCTGTTTCTTTTCTAGATCATGTTTCTCCAAAATGTCAATTTCCCTTCAAACTGCTTGGAAGTAATTTCCCCTACCTTGCAAACTATGAGCTAGGTACATCATCTTTTTATATTTTAAAACCTGCTCCAAATATGTCACTTCTATTATTAACAAAGACACCTTTTTTCCCTATCTTCAAACTAGTAAAATGACAAAAAAGTAAATAAACTTTTAACTAAGAGGTTTTTATAAAATTTTGCTAAAAAATTCTGCCTGTTATGAACAAGAGAAAGGAAGAGGAATATTGTTATATAGAATGAAAAAGATGATTTGAGACATTGAGCAGTGTCTGTACTAGACAACTGTCTGGCTGGAGCCCTCCAGAGGGAAATTAAGAAGCACAAGCAGTACAAGAGGTAAGAATTGATTTTTCTTTTGCCTTGAAGTGTAAATAATGACACACTTCTTAATTTTCTTACATTTATTTGGTATAAGCACTAATGTACCCAGATTGGTTGAAAGTCTACTCTCCATCATTTTTTGGATCTCAGAGTAGAAGGTGGACAGGGTGAGTTACTAGCAATCCTAGAAAGAAGTCTCCTGGAGGCCAGGCGCAGTGGCTCACGCCTGTAATCCCAGCACTTTGGGAGGCCGAGGCCGGCGGATCTTGAGGTCAAGAGATTGAGATCATTCTGGCCAAAATGGTGAAACCCCGTCTCTACTAAAAGTACAAAAATTAGCTGGGCGTGGTGGTGCTCAGCTGTAGTCCCAGATACTTGGGAGGCTGAGGCAGGAGAATTGCTTGAACCTGGGAGGTGGAGGTTGCAGTGAGCCGACATCGCACCACTGCACTCCAGCCTGGTGACAGAGCGAGACTCCGTCTCAAAAAAAAGAAAAAAAAGAAAAAGAAGTCCCCTGGAATTCCAGCAGTTGAGTAAGAATTTGTGATTAGTGCTACCCTGCCCCTTGCCAATGTGGTCATGAAGCCTCCTGGTTCAGTCCTCTATCAAGGGAAGCAAGGCCTTTCCATGGGAAGTGTCTCTGTGCCCACTCCAGTCCGTCTACACTAAATTTAAGCACGAGGGTGATTCCCAACCATGTTTTTTTTTTTCCTGATACTCATATAGGAAAAACAAATCTACTATAAACATGTACACAGTGTAACTTTCTAATAGATTATATTAAGTCCTCAGTAAGTTAATGAAGTATCTCAGCCTTTTTTTTTTTTTTTTCCAAAAATTGAGACTAAAACTCATACTGCTGGCAGGAATCCGAGTTACCCCGAGTTACCGGTGGTGTATCTGTTTGGGTCTGCAGCAATTTCATTTCTCGCCTCCTGAGAAGAAAGAATTTGACTGAGGGGCATAAGGCAGAAGGACAGACAGAGGCAAGTTTCAGAGCAGGAGTGAAAGTTTATTAAAAAGCTTTAGAACAGCAAGGAAAGGAAAGGAAAGAAGGAAAGTACAACTTGGAAGAGGGCCAAGCGGATGACTTGAGAAACCAAGTGTGCAGCCTGACAGCTCGACTTGGGGTTTTATACATTGACCTACTTCCAGGATCTTGCATTACTTCTCCCCACTCCTAAGATTTTACTGAGACGCTGCTGATCAGTTTCAGGTGTTTTCTATTTAGGAGACTGCCTCGCCCTGGCGCCAGCTGAGACCAATTATTACCTTAGAGAAACCGTTAACAACCTCCTGAGCATCACCTGATGGTCGCCCAACACTCCTGGTGTGTGTGTGTCGAGGGAGATCTCTCCTGCCCTGCTTATACTTGACTAGCTACCCTCTGTAAAAAACCTATCTTGGGGACGAAAAGATTATATGTAATGATTCCAAGTATATTTAATTTTCCGAGATGTGGGAAGCCATAGTTGGCAAGACATTATTGTGCTTGTTTATTTACTTGTCTATTTTTTATATACCCATTATTATTATCAATATATTTGTTAGGCTTTTCCCCCCCACTCTTTACTTCATACAATGCCTCTCTGGACAAAAGAAAGAATTCCGCTGGTTTGTTTCCTTTGGCAATCTGCATGTCTCTGCTTTTTTCTATAATGGTAAGTGAATTAAAAGTTTTTACTTTTCCAAATGTACCTAAATATTATTTAGATATATTTTAAAAACTGAAATATAATTGCCTTTTCTATAACATTGAATAACAACAAAAATACTGAAAAGTATTACTCTTTATGTATGTGCATAAAAAGATTTATTGGCCTTTGATTGTATCACTAGAAATCTATTTCCTCTGAAACAATATATTTTCTTTTATGTCATGAGTTACTTTCTATAATAATTCACTGGGGTTGTTGTTTGTAGTATAATTAGTTATATATTATATTTTCAGAGGTTTACAGATTTCATGTTTGTCTAAATTGTACTAATAAAAAATGACGACTATAGACATTTAATTTTACTGTACCTTGAAGGTTAAACCTTCCTCATTAAATAATGTATTTCTAAATGCAATCCCATATTGAGCAATTTCTATTATATATGTTCCTTGTGAATATGTCAACAAATTTTTCATTCCCTAGTCACCTGAAAGAAAATTTTCAAATAAAAAGAAATTGCCCCCAATGGTACAGCGTAATAACTGTTATGTTGATGCAAGCTTTGATAAGAAGAGTACATAGATTGGTGAACCCTTGAGGCCACTAAGGAAGGCTGCTGAGTTAACAGAGTCTGCAAGGTTAGACCTCCCTTGCATGTAATTGGAATTGGCCTTCAGGGCCCCATGTGGACTCATAAACGATACATAATGGAGTACCCAAACTTTGGTCATTATGTAGTATTCAGTTAAAATAGTAAAGTATTTTTGTTCTATGTAAGGATGGTTAAAAATATTAATTTTCTCTGGGAGTGGAAAGCTTCTACTTCTTCCTTGCAAAGCAAAACATTCTGTGAACTCTCAATTTTTGAGAAAATAGTTCGAATGTTCTTGCTGGAGTGAGTCAGCAAAGTGATGCCTCTTAATGACACTGAATGGCCCCTCATAGCTCTTGAGGGTGTGATTCCATCAGCCATCAAGTTTGATAAAAGTGAAACATAAAATATAATTTGGTGAGATATATGTTAAAATAGTTTTTATAGAAAAGTAAAATGTAAGTGAAATAGTATATAGTACGTTATAAATATTCCATCCATATATATCACAACCAATTTTTCTCCTATCACAGAGATATGTTTTTCTTAAGCATCCATTTATAGGTGCATATACTCAGACCTAAGCAAATATTTCTCACATTTTTGGCTCATGAAGTACTATGTTGTACGTAAGATAAAGGAGCACAAGCCAGGATCCGCTGGAATCACTCTCCATGTGCTGCCCAGCAGCTCTGCTCCAGGTGGAACTGTGGAACTTTCTTTATTACCTTTAGCCCTCTGCCAGCAATAGCACCTGGATGTACTTTAACGTCAGTCACTAGGCTGTATTTTAGGCAGAGGCCTGACAGGAAGGAAAGACATATTGTGCGGAAGTGCAGACTATTTCACTTTTCTTTTATGCTTGGAAGGGTAGTAACTAAAAGCTTTACTTGTTGAGAATTTGACCTCCAGTATAAACATAGGATGTCCATAGTTCTTGTCCATGTAATAGCTACCCTCTGGAACAAAATCTCTTCATTATATAGGATTTACAGGATGTCGCTCAGCTCTCTGCAGTTGACAGCTGAGCAATAAAATGACTCCCCAAAGGCTACTTGCAGGCTTGACTGGGGTTAGTCCTGATGTCAGCCATGGCGAGGAAAGTCAGGCTGATCTCTCTCCTTGTTTCATTATAAGGAGCCTCAGCTTTGGGAGATTTAACTTCTATTGAGATTCCTTTCAGAATACATATGCACCAAGACTTTTATTTGCCATGGAAATTTTTTTCTTGGTTAGATGTACCCACATATTTAAACATTCAAGGTAAGAGTCCTAAGGAGGTATATTAGTGTGATTCAATATTAAGTGGGGCTTTTACATATGGGGAAACGGTTTTCCATAACTATTTATGGAATAGATGTGTATTTACTCATTCATACTTGTACACGTGTACTATTGCTAATTTGACAGTGAAAGCTAACAGTAAATTTTCTGCATCATTTTTCTTTCTGAGGTGTGTATTAGTTTTCTATTTCTGCTGTAAAAAATTACCACAAACTTCATAGCACAAAACAGCAAATATATATATATATATGTATATGTATGTGTGTATATATATATGTGTGTGTGTGTATATATATATATTTATATATTATAGTTCTGTAGGTCAGATGCCCAACACAGGTTTCACAGGACTAAAATCAAGGTGTTGGCAGGGCTGCATTTCCTTATGGAAGGAACAGGGGAATCCATTTCCTTGCCTTTTCCAGCTTTTAGAGACTGCCGGCATTCCTTGGATCATAGAATAGCCTCTTTTCTCCATTTTCAAAATCAGCAATGGTGACTTGAGTTCTTTTCACATCCTATCACCTCACTTACTCTTCTGCCTCCCTCTTCTATTTTTAGGGAATCTTATAATTACATTGAGCCCATGTGAATAATACAGGATAATTTCTCTATTTTAATTCAGTTTGTTAGCAATCTTTAATTCTGTCAGCAACTTTAATTCCCCTATGCTATGTAACATAATGTAGCATATTTCCAGCTATCAGGGATGAGCACATGGGCATCTCTGGGGAGAGGGACATTTCTCTGCTTACCACAAGGTATATGAAATGTCAGAATCTTATTCAGTCTGGAAGGGTTTAGCATTAGGCTTAAGTGGTTGCTGTTGTCAGTAGTACTGTTTCTGCCATTGAAGAGTATTCTCCATCTGTCAGTCACTGTTCTCCCTGCCTGCTCCTTACAGAGGCCCCAAGGTCACTGGGCTTTATGACCTGCTTCCGTGTGCATCCACACATCCTCTCCCCATGTGAGAGGCCCATCTTTGGAGCCATTTGTCATGGTGTCTTAGTTCCTGCCCATGGCAGAATTATGGGATGCCCATCCCACTCTTGGAATCAGCTGGTGTCCACTTTAAGGAATCCTCCAGTAGGGGCTGACCACTCCTCTTGCACTGGATGCACCAGCTTCTCTTTTTGCCTTCTATCTGATATGCAAATTTAAATATTGAACACAGTTAATCTTAAAACTCAAAGGCCAAAGCTGTGGTTGGGGGATGTCCTTCATGGCTTATTATCCCAGAGTGGTTAGAAGAACCTGGCCTTTGGGCGCGGTGGCTCACGCCTGTAATCCCAGCACTTTGGGAGGCCGAGGCGGGTGGATCATGAGGTCAGGAGATCGAGACCATCCTGGCTAACAAGGTGAAACCCCGTCTCTACTAAAAATACAAAAAATTAGCCGGGCGCGGTGGCGGGCGCCTGTAGTCCCAGCTACTCGGGAGGCTGAGGCAGGAGAATGGCGTGAACCCGGGAAGTGGAGCTTGCAGTGAGCCGAGATTGCGCCACTGCAGCCCGCAGTCCGGCCTGGGCGACAGAGCGAGACTCCGTCTCAAAAAAAAAAAAAAAAAAAAAAGAAGAACCTGGCCTTAGAACAGTAAGGCTTAGTTACTGTTTCAAGAAGGAAAACACGTGAAACAAAAATTTCCAGTCTTTCTAATATGGTTTGGATATTTGTCCCCGCAAATCTCATGTTGAAATATGACCCCAGATGTTGAAGGTGGGACCTGAGGGTGGATCCCTCATGAATGGCTTGGTGTCTTCCCCATGGGAATGAGTAGTTCTCACTCTGTTGGTTCACTTGAAAGCTGGTTGTTAAAAGGAGCCTGGCACCTCCTTCCCTTTCTTGCTCCCTCTCTCACTGTGTGACATGTTCAATCTCTCTTCACTTTCTGCCATGAGTAAAAGCTTTTTGAGGTCTCACCAGAAGCCTAGCAGATGTAGGTGCCATGCTTGTACAGCATACAGAACCATGAGCCAAATAAAGCTCTTTTCTTTATATTTTATTTATTTATTATATTTATTTATTATATATTACCCAGCCTCAGGTATTCCTTTATAGCAACATAAAACAGATTAATACATGTTATTTCCTTGAATATCCTCCACTTTTCCTGTTCTTCCTTATTTTCCCTCTTTTCTTGTTCCTTTCTTGTCCTCAAGTACTTTCTACTATATAGAGAAGATATCCTATGGTAGATAATTTATTCCTATTGTAGTTATTCTTATGTTGATGAAACTAGTCTCTACCTCCACATGCTACTTCTTTTCTCTAATATTTTATATATTGCAGAGAAGGTTGGAGGCATAAAAGATGCTTTGTTTCCTGCAAAAACAGACTAAAAATTAGAGTAAAAAATTATCAGGTGTAGACATAGAGGTGTATAGTAATATAACAATAGACAAGCAAAAGTAGACATTCTTTGGAGGCAAATTGTAATAAACTGAAGCCATAAGTGAAATAAATGAATAAAAACAAGATAGTGATGAATAAGGGTGATAATTGAAATGTCCCTATTTTAAAAAGAAAAAGAAAAAAGAAGTGCAGGAAAAGCAGGACAGAAGTCAAGGAGAGACAAAGAGAGACAAGGAAGGAAGGAAGGGAAAGAATGAGAGAAAGAAAAAAAAGAGAAAAAGAGAAGGAAGGAGGGAGGGAGAGAAGGAAGGAGGGAGGGAGAGAAGGTAGGGAGGAAGGAAGGAAAAAAAGGAGAGAAAGAGGAAATATGAAAGGAGAAAAGGGAAAAGGAAAGTAGAAAGACCTAAAGTGAAATGCTATTTTTATACGAATACAGTTGTCTTTGAGAGGGACACAGTTTTTTTTTTTTATAACGAAATAAACTTGTGCCATCAAATATTACTGACATGACAACACTCTAGAAGAAACTTAACGATATCAAACAGGAAACTGATGCTCTAAGGAAAAGTGATGGCATCCGTGTGAAATTCATTAGTGCGCTATTTAATGCATAGCCCAGGAATTACTATGCTGCACAGCACAAGAAAATTCACTGTGGAGTCACTGCACTACATATAAATTTAAAGTGGAGCAGAGATTCGATTTTGAGATACCAAAGATGTTTTAGTAGCGATTTGCTTTAGTAGTGTTGCCCTAGGATACTATTTTTTAAATATGATAATTACCTTGCAAAATGTATAGCTATGACCAATTTATTTTTCTTATCTTGCCTTTTTTCTTTTCTTACTGAACTGTAATTGTTTTTGCAGTGGTTCATGTGGAAATATTGTACGCTACAGGATAAAAAATATTTTGATGCTTTTATTACTTCTCTGATACCAAAGAACATAGTGACCTACATTTCTATTTCTTGGATACTTCCAAACTTCTTGAATCTCATCTTTTTTACAATGTCATTTAAAAAATCAGTACCTTGTTCACTGAAAATTCTGTTAGTTTATGTATTATGATGCTTACAATAAGAAAAAATAGTTGAAGACATTTAATGTTTTTATTTTATTGTGTATTTATTTAAAATACAGGCTAAGCATCCCTAATTTGAAAATAGGTAATCTGAAATGCTCCAAAATCTGAAATTTTTGAGCACCAGCCTGATAACACAAGTGAAAAATTCCACACTTGTCCTCATGTACACAATTATTAATTTTGTTTCATGTAAAAATTATTTGAAAATATTTTATGAAATTAACTTCAGGCTATGTGTATAAGGCGTATATGAATGAATTTTGTGTTTAGACTTGGACTTATCCCTAATTTATCTCATTATGTATGCACAAATATTCCTAAATCCAAAGCATTCCAAAATCCAAAACATTTCTGCTCCCAAGCATTTCAAGTAAGAAATAGCCAACCTGTAATACATTTTGTAGTTTGTGATTGTAGGCCATAACAAATAATATCTCTCAATTTAAACAAAAAATATAATAGCTAAAGTTTCCATTGTTTTGCTTTCTTGACAAAACAGCAGTTTATCCTTTTTATTGCTGTGTACCCAAACCTCCTGGAAGATTATGTGGTACATAATACACTGTCACAGAATATTTGCTAAATGTATGAATATATAATATTTCATGGTGGCTCCAACTTAATATGTCACTGGCATATATTTCTCTTTATTTAAATGTAAAACTCGAAGAAAAAAATGAAGAGTTAATGTCTCACTTATATGACTAGATTCACTGTCAACCTTGCTTAGTTTTATTGTAAGCAAGTTCATTTATAAATCCTTGAAAATTACTGATTGTAGAATGTTACAATGCAACCTCTGAAATCATGAAGGAAAAAAGCATTCCACATTTGTATGTGCTTCTGAACAGATGACTGGTCTACAGGAAAAATCAACCCTCGGAGCCACCCTTTAGCAGGGAAGATTTTTTGTATAGGCATCCAGGAATGATGATTTTGTATCTAGGAAATCTAATGTGTGGCCAGCACTCTTTGGGAAAACCTATCTCATAGTCTAAGACAAAAAAGCCCTCTAGTTTCAGCAACTAAAAAAGGATTTTCCATTTTTTTCATTTATTAATTCTTATGTTCCAAGAATGTAATGATGATTAAGGCGTAGTCCTTGATCTCATGGAGTGGAATACATAATGGGGAACAGAGAGAAAAACTCACTTTAGGGCCACATTGAGCATGTGTATTGATCTAGAACAGTTGTAAAGAAAAAATTTTGAGGAATATTGAGGAAGGGCACCAAGACTCTGTGAAAATGGATTTCCTGGGCCAGCAAAACAATGCATCAAATGTGTTTCACACTTCAAAGTTAAGACACAGAGTCAAACCATATCAATGCTATACGTTAGATTTCCAAAGTGTACTCATCCTGTATAAATGAAACTTTCTATTCTTTAACCAATATCTTCCTATTTCCTTCTAGCCTCTGGTAAAAACCATTATACTCTCCGCTTCTATGAGTTTAACATTTTTTAGATTCTGCTTATAAATGAGATCATGTAGTATTTGTATTTCTGTGTCTCATATATTTCACTTAACTTAATGTCCTCCAAATTCATCCATGTTGTTACAAATGACAGAATTTCCTTCTTTATGAAAGCTGAATAATTTTCCATTCTCTTGTGATAAATACACAAATACATTACGTTAGCCATTTATTTGTCAATGACCATTTATTTTTATTTCATTACTTGGCCATTGTCAATAATGCTACAATAAACATAGGAGAGTGGACATCTTTTCAGCATAGTAATTTCATTGCCTTTGAATACATAGCCAGAAGTGAAATTGCTAAGCCATACAATAGTTCTATTTTTAATATTTCTTTTAGGAACCTCCACGCTGTTTTGCATAATGGCTATACCAATTTACCATCCCACCAACAGTGTGCAAAGGTGCCTTTTTCTTCACATCTTCACTAACACATAGTATCTTTCATCTTTTTGATGTCAACTATTCTAATGGGTGTGATGTAATACATGATTTAAGTTTCTATTTGCACTTCCCTGATGATAAGTGAGATTGAGCATTTTTTCATATACATATTGGACATTTGTCTTCTGTTAAAAAAGTGTGCTTAGGTTCTTTGCTCATTTTTTAATTGGGTTATTAGAATTCATTTTTTAAATGAGCTGTTTGAGTTTCCTATATATTTTGAATATTGACCCATTATCAGATACATCGTTCGCAAATACTTTCATCACACTTCACTCTGGTGATTGTTTCCTTTGCTGTGCAGTAGCTTTTTGGTTTGGTGCAATTCCATTTGTCTCTTTTTGTTTTTGTTGCCTGTGCCTTTAGGGTCATATCTAAAAAAATCAACACCTAGGTCAGTGTCAAGAAGCTTTTTCCCTGTGATTTTTTACTAGTAGTTTTACACCTGAAGTCCTTATAGTTAAGTCTTTAATAACCCATTTTGAGTTCACTTTTTTTCATGGTGTAAAGTAGGGTCCAATTTTATCATTTTGCCTGTGGATATTCAGTTTTCCCAACGTTTATTGAAGAGACTGTCCTTTCTCCATTGTTTGTTTATGGCACCTTTGTTAAAGATCAATTGACCATAATGGTGTGAATTTATTTCTGGGCTCTCTGCTCCATTCCATTGATCTGTGCATCGGTTTTCATGCCAGTAACATACTGTTTTGATTACTATAGCTTTGCAGTATAGTATAAAATCAGGTAGTGTGTTGCTGATATGGTTAGGCTTTGTCTCCCCACCTGAATTTCATCTTGAATTGTAATCCCCGTAAGTACCCAGGTGTCCAGGGAGAGACCTGGTGGGAGGCTTTTTGATCATGGGGGCAAGGTCCCCCATGCTGTTCTCATGATAGTGAGTGAGTTCTCATGAGACCTGATGGTTTTATAAGTATCTGATAGTTCTTCCTCCACATGCTTGTTCTCTTGCCTGCTGCAATGTAAGATCTGCCTTTTCCCTTTCCACAATGATTGTAAGTTTCCTGAGGCTTCCTCAACCAGTGTAACTGTGAGTCAATTTAACCTCTTTTCTTTATAAATTTCCCAGTCTTGGGCAGTCCTTTGTTGCAGTGTGAAAATGACTAATACAGATGCCTTCAGCTTTCTTTTTCTTGTTCAAGACTGATTTGACTATTAAAAGTCTTATTTGATTCCATATAAAATTTAGAATAGTTTTTTCTACTTCTGTGAAAAATGCCATTGGAATTTTCATAAGGTATTGCATTGAATCTCTAGATCATTTTAGATTGTATAGATATATCAGCACTTATAATTCTTCCAGCCAATGAACATGGTGTATTTTTCCATTTGTTTGTGTCTTCCTCAATTTCTTTCGTCAGTGTTTTATAGTGTTCAGTTTACAGATCTTTTCACCTTACAGGTTATATTTATTCATAAATATTTTTATGCCATTGAATATAGATTATTTTCCTAATTTCCTTTTGTAAATTTATTTTATTTTTGTATAGTTCAATGTTAGCATATAGAAACACAACTGATTTTTATATGTTGATTTTCAGTTCTACAACTTTACTCAATGTTTATTGGTTCTAACAGTTTTTGGTGGAATCTTTAGGGTTTTATATTTATGAAATCATGTTATCTGCAAATAGAAACAATCTTACTTCTCCCCTTTCAATTTGGATGCCTTTTCTTTCTTTTTCCTTTGTTAGTTACTCTGTGAGGTTATTTTGATGTATGTACCCTCCAAATCTCATGTTGAAATGTGATCCCTAATGTAAGATGTGGAGACTGATAGGAGATGTTTGGGTCATGGGAATGGATCCCTCTCAAATGGCTTAGTGCCCTCCCCATAGTAATGAATTCACATGAGATCTGGTTGTTTAAAAGAGCGTGTTACCCCTGCCTCTACTTCTGGCTTCCTCTCACTCCATGTGATATGCTGGTTCCCCCTTCACCTTCAACCATGATAGTAAGCTCCCTGAGGCACTCACCAGAGCAGATGCTGGCACCATATTTCTTGTACAGCCTGAAAAATTGTGAGCCAAAATAAACATCATGATTCCCTCTTAGTTGGTTGTATTATTCTAGTTGTTTATGCATTTCTTGTAGGTTATCTGATTTGTTGGTATATAATGGATAATAGTCTTATGATCCTTTGCATTTCTGTAGTATCAGTTGTAATGTCTTTTCTTTCATATAAAATTTTGTTTATTTTAGTCTTCTCTCTTGTTTTTCTTATTTTAGCTAAAGGTTGGTAGATTTTGTTTTTATTTTTAAAAAGTAAACTCTTCATTTCAATGATCTTTCCTGTTGCTTCCCTAGTCTTGATTTTAGTTACCTCTGTTCTGACCTTTATTATTTCCCTGATTCTACTGACTTTAGTCTTACTTTTTTCCCTTTTTCTAGTCCCCTGAGGTGTAAAGTGAGGTAAGTTATTTGACATAGTTCTGTTTTTCTTTCCTGTAGGTATTTATTGTTATAAACTTTTCTCTTAGAAGAAAACTGCTTTTCCTGCATCCGAAAGTTTTGGTACATTGTATTTCCATTATCATTTCTCTCAAAATTTTTATTTTCCTTTTAATTTTTTCTTTAATCCATTTGTCATTCAGAAGTGTGTTAATTTCCAATTATATTAGAATTTTCTAGTTTTTATCCTGTAATTGATTTCTGGTTTCACACCAATGTCACATTAGACACTTGATATGATTTCAATCTTAATTATGTTAGGACTTGTTTTGTGGCCTAACATATAATCTATCCTGGGGAATGTTCCATGTGCACTTGAACACTGGGAAAGAAAGCACATTCTGCTGTGGTTGGATAGAATGTTCTGTATATGTCTGTTAATTATGGTCTATATGGTCTATAATATTGTTTAACTCTGTTGTTTCTGTATTGATTTTCTGCCTGAATGATACATCATTCCTGAAAGTGGGTTATTGAAGACCCCAACTATTATTGTATTTCTATCTATTTCTCCCTTATGTTAAACATTAAATATCCATTAATATTTGTCTTATATATTTAGGGGCTCTTATGTTGGGTACATATATATTTATAATTTTTGTATCCTCTTGATGAATTAACTTCTTTATTATATAATGACCTTCTTTGTCTTTTCTTACAATTTTTATCTGAAAGTCTATTTTGTGTGATAATTATAGTAGTGCTGCTCTTTTTTGGTTTTCATTTGCATGAGGTATCTTCTTCTATCCCTTCAATTTCAGCCTATGTATATCCTCATAACTAAAGTGAGCCTTTGTAGGCAGTGTATACTTGGATCTTGTTTCTCTTTTTTTTCCCTTTAACCCATTCAGCTACACTGTGTGGCTATTAATGGGAAAATTTAAGTCATATATATTAAAAGTAATTATTGGTAAGGAAGGACTTACTATTTCTGTTGTGCTAATTGTTTATATTCTTAAATATTATTTTAGGTTCAGGAGGTACCCGCACAGGTACAGCCTGAAAAATTGTGAGCCTAAATAAACATCTGACTGTGTAATTTAAAATGACCTGTCTTCAAGCTATTGCATCCTTTCTTTTGTTTGATGGAGTCTGTTGTTGGTGACCTGTATAGAATATTTTATTTTAATCACTGTATTCTTAATTCAGCTCCAGAATTTTTATTTGGTGCTTTTTTTTTATAACTTCTTTTTCTTTCTGGAACTTCTTATTTTGTTCAAGCAGTTTTCCTCACTTCACTTAGTTGTCTGTTTATGTTAGTTTGTAGCTCACTGAGGTCTTTAAAATGAATATTTTGAACTCTTTGTCAGGCAGTTTTCAGATTTCCATTTTTTCAGGTTAGATACCAGTGCCATATTTTATAATGGCCTTGTATTGGTGTCTGTGCTTATGAATAAGTAGGTACCTCATTTAATCTCTATAATCTGACTTTGGCAGCAAAGCTATTTACCAATCAACCTGTCCAGATATTCTGGGCATGCTGACTAATAGGGTCCACCACTGAGTTTGTTTTTGAAGTCCTTGGGTAGGCTGGGCGAGAGTGTGAATATTTTGGGCTGGGATTGAAGCCTGGGTCCATGGGGACCAGCCAGAAGCCTGGATCTATGGGGACTAACCTGTTGTTAGAGCAGGTGTTGAGACTGAGTTGATAGTGACTGGCCTAGCACTGGCTGGGCCTGGAGCCTAAGTCTGTAGAGTTGGGCCATGGTCTGGGACCTGAAAGGAACATCTTGAAGCTTGGATCCTCAGGGATGTGCCTGGAGTCTCGGTTTATGGGTCCAGCCTGGTTCTGGGTCTACTGGGACAGACCAAGATCCTGGGTCTGGCAGAGCTTATGTCTTTAGGGACTAGCCTGAAGATTGGGGTTACAGGGTATGGCCTGGTGTTGGGGCAGGCCTGGAGCTTGGGTCTGTATGGGCTGCTGTGGTATTGGGTTTTACTGGGGTGGGCCTGATGCTGAGGTCTTTAGTGTGTTGGGTGCTCACTTTACTCTCCCCACCCCGCCAAGTAGAGGGTATCTCTCTATATGCTGTGATGTGTAACTTGAGGGAGGAGTGATGTGGGTAATGTAAAACTGCCTTCTACCCTGTTCAGTGCATCTTTTCTCATTTCTTTGCTTCACCCAGGTACTGTAATCTCTCACATGGATTCTTTAACTCTTGTGAAGGTATTTTCAAATGTAGATGGTTGTTCAGATTGGTGTTCTTTTAAGGAATGAGCACTGGACACTCCTATTCTGCAATATTGTGAGTGCCTGTTTTTGACACATTCTTGACAAATGAATAAATTCTAAACACTACACTAAAGATAAAGCCATGGTGGCTCTCATCAAATTATTTAAAACTATTTATTTCAAGTATACAAATTGTCCTATGACACACTATACTAGAATATGTCAATTTTTAATTTATTTTTTAAATTTTCCTTGCTCATAATTTGTTTCCGTACATGAAAAGTTAATTACATACCTAGTTACTCATTTCATATGTTTTTAAAATTCTCTTGTAGTGATCTGGAATTTCCTGTTTTGATATATACACAACCTATCTTTTTGGAAAATGTACATAAATGAACCAGTGGGCTCCATTTAAATATTTGTTGATGGTTTTTAAAGTGTATTGCACAGTGTACTTTCCTGGAAAGTCTAATGTGATCTGAATAGTCATAAAAATTACCTTAGTTATATGAAGTCATACCTATATTCATAACTTGATTCTTTAATAATGATTGCTTAATTTCTGATGTTCTTGGAAATCCAGTTAAGCTTTATTGAGATTAAGTGTAAAACTAAATTTGGTGACCTTTATTATGTTCCAGGCAGTTTAACCCTATTTATCTGTGTATACTCAATTTAATCCTCCCCAAAAGTCTATGAGGTACAGTAAACACTGAATAAATGTTATCAGTTATTATGCATCAATCTCTATTTTGCTAATAGCTTTTTATGTACAAAAATTGCACGTATTTGATGTGTACATCCCTGAGTTTGGACATATGTATGTATATGTATGTATGTATGTGTGTGTGTGTGTATGTGTGTGTGTGTGTATGTGTGTATACCTGTGATACCATCAAAAAACTCAAGGTACTAAACACATCTATTGCCTCCAAACATATCTGTTGCCTCCAAACATATCCATTGCCTCTTGTGTCCATGTGTGTATATGTGTGTTTGTGTTCGTGGTAATGTTAAGAGCATTTAACATTAGATCTATCCTCTCACTAATTTTTCTTTTTTTTTTTAATGAGACAGGGTCTAATTGTGTCACCCAGGCTGGAGTGCCATGACATGATCATGGCTCACTGCAGCCTCCACCTGCCAAGTGCAAGTGTTCCTTCCACCTCAGCCTCCTAAGTAGCTATAGCTACAGGTTTATGCCACCGTGCCCAACTAGAATTGGAGTTTTACTATGTTGCCCAGGCTAGTCTCACATTCCTGGCCTCAAGTGATCCTCCCACCTCAGCCTCCCAAAATGTTGAATTAGCAACAATGTGCTGTTACCCACTTAACTCATGGTACCTGACAATCACCATTCCATTCTCTGCTTCCATAAGGATTACGTGTTTAAGTAACTTATATAAGGAGAATCACAGTTTTTGTTTTAGTGTGACTGATTGCTTCCTGGTTGCTTTTGAATACATAGTCTCACTTATACTCACCAAAAAGCTGTCAGTTTGGCACTATGTTTATTTCCATTTTTTCAGATGAGGAAATGGGAATAAAAAAGTTAGGCTAAGTTTCTTCAAGTGAGATAGCTATTTCACTTCCAAACCTGTATGCTTAAACAGTAATACTGACTGAACCAAATATGGGCAAGGTCCTGCCTTATTTTCACCATAATACCATGACAGAATGAAAAGAGCATAGCTTTAGTTACTGACAGACATTAGTTTGTTTCCTAGTCTCAGACAATATATTTAACTTCCCACATTTCAGTTTCCTAATCTGTAAATTGTAGAATTATCATGAGGACCAGAAAAACCAGCTATGGGCTGAGAGTATTTTGTAAATAGAGTTCTTGTATTATCAATTACAAAACAATATTAATTATTATAACATATAGTTGAGTGACTTGGGACATTAGGGTAAACGATGAATCATTGCAGGAAAAACAGAAATTAGATGTAGATTAAGAAAATATAATTTTCAATGTAATGAAAAGCCATTTTATTTTATAATTCATGAAAATGGTAAGGTTTCCCAAAAGTGCATTTAAGCATTGACAAAATAATAACTGCCTCAGTTACCCAGATCATCTTTAACAAAGCTAACGGGTAGATCTCTGAAAATTGAAAAAGGCTTAGTTTGCACAATACTGAATTAGCTATTTGACTTTCTTTATTCTCCTTCGAATAAGAGCTATTTGACTGTTTGTATTGATTGTTTCTGTATCATTTGATCATAGATGTCTCTACTATTCAAATCACTAAATTGTTCTGACATGCTAAGAAAGATTTTTCATTGTCACAGGAGCCAAAATAAAAATCCATGTTAAATACAGATAATCAAGCTCGTAAAACAACTTCCAGATTCTAGGTACCCAGAATTATACAGTCTTCAATACTTGTAAAGTTGCGACGCAGGATATTTTGTATTTGAGACCTTGTCTCTTAAAAATGTATTCCCAATACCACACTTTTTCCCACAAAGGATGAAAAGTGTAGGACAATGTCTTTCTTTTACAATGTATCAACAGAATGTAGAAAAATGTCAGGCACCTGGTGTCATATTCCTAAATATTTGTATCATCTTTATTTTAGTTTCATTGCCCTCAACTCCAATCTTCCTGGAAATCTTCCAAATTTACTCCTTTCCCTTCTTATTATTTGCTACTATTGTACATACCTCCTTAAGCTCCTGTTCATGAATGGATCTATAAAACTGGCCAAAGAACTATAATTAAATGGTGGATATAAATAATATGTGAAAAAATGATCATGATTTTAAAAATCAACCAAAAGATTAGTAATTATGTCAAAATCATTTCTTCTTGATCATAAATTATGTAGATAATATATTCCCATTGCTTCTCAATATGAACTACTGAAATTGATAGTTTACTTATAGAATGTTAATATGGCATGAATATTTATAAAATATTTACATACTCTATATCTCCTTATTAAATATAATTGATTTAAAATGAAAATATCTCATTTTAATATATTTTGAACACATTAAAACTTCTCAAATGAACCCATTTCAATTCTGCATGTAATTTTTAATCTTATTTTTCAAGCTATATTGGAGAATTCTGCCCTGTAAAAGTGATTATATACAACCATTATTAGATTGTCATTTTTATTAAAACAGAATTCATGAAAATTCTCTTTGGAAATATTTGAAAAATGGTTGAATTTAATATATTTATGACAACATCACTAAATTATATCATAGACTAATAGTTTTTAAATATTGCTGAATATCAGAATCATCTGAGGACTTGTTAAAAATGCACAAATCTGTACCCTATATAATGCCTGTTCAGTCGAATATCCAAAGGAAAAGTCTGGCATCAATATTTTATATAACATAGATTTCATGTGCTTCTGACATTAAAGCTACTTTGGAAATTACCAGTATAGAAAAAGTATTTATCTTGTATGAAGTTTATGACTTTATACAAGATAATTATATCTTGTATTATTAGCTTCAAGTTATAATTAGCTTACCAGTCATATTTTACAATTAGCTTACCAGTTATATTTTACAATTATCTTCAGTTAGCTTACCAGTTATATTTTACAAATACCTGAAGCTCATATAAGATATCCTTTTTATGGTCATTTAGGTTTTAGATTTTATGCTCTTTCTCATTAAACTAAACTGTTTCATTAAATGTCTTAGGTAGAGGCAATGTATACCATTTTTGTCCACATACTTTTTTAGTAGAAGGTGGTAGAGAGTGTTATGTCCGTTTCTTCTCCTCTTCCTATATCTACAGTATTTGCCATGTGACTTTGCATTTCCTCCCACAAAAGGTCAAAAATGTGTCCTTGACCCACTAATGTTGGGCTTAGCCATGTGATTTACATGGGCTGACAGAATGCGGTCAGAAATGATGGCATGTCAATACTCAGCTTCGATTGTTAGTAACATTGTGTATTTTTCCTATCATACGTGCATGTCTGCCTCCTCTATGAGAAGAACAAAACCCTTGTAGCTGCTGCTTCTTCACTCTGGGGCTCAGAATGGCACAAAGCAGAGCCATCCTAGTCAATGCACAGAGGCATGAGTGTACATAAAAGCTTATTGTTATACATGGCTGAGATTTTGTGATTATTCATTATGTAACACCATAATGACCAGAAGTAACCAATATAAAAACCTGGAATAATGTATTCATAGTCTAATTTTATTAGTCCATTTTCATGCTACTATAAGGACATATTTGAGACTGGGTAATTTATAAAGAGGTTTAATTAACTCACAGTTCCACAGGGCTGGGGAGGCCTCTGGAAACTTACAATCATGGTGGAAGGGGAAGCAAAAATGGTCTTCACAAGGTGGAAGGAGAGAGAAGAATTAGAGCAGAGCGAGGGGGGAAGCCTTTTATAAAACCATCAGATCTTGTGAGAACTCACTCACTATCACAAGAACAGCATGTAAGAAACTGCTCCCATCATTCAATTACCTCCCACCGGGTCCCTCCCACCACACATGGGGATTATGGGAGCTACAATTTAAGATGAGATTTGGGTAGGGACACGGCCAAACCATATTATTAATATTACAATGCCTTAATTAAGAATCAAAAATTCCCACCAAGGCAATTTAACAGTCATGCATTTAAACTTTTCTAAGTGGATTGATAATGGCAAATGTGTTCTATATGAAAGGATTAGAGATATTTATAACTTACAATAAGCTATTTTTACTATTTCTTATTTATCTTTGTATCTCTGGCATCAAGTCTTAGATTGGGAACAGGGTTAGCACTTAAATTTTATTGAATAATTAAGTGAAATAGTGAAATACAAATAAATTGATTTGAGCTGATGAATTTTCCTTTGATTTCTGGAAACGTAATATTTTAATGCTGAAAGATTCTGAATGTATCTGTTTTCAATAAAGCATGATTGCACTATTTATAACAGCTTTTTAGTTTTCATACATAAATAATAAAAATACTTAAGATTCTAATATTTTTATCTTTTTAACTTTGTAGCATATAACCTAATATTTCAAGAACAAAATAATTGCCATTTGTAATTATAACTGTTTTCTAGTATATTAAGTATTGTTTTAGGATTCGTTCATTAACAATCTCAGTAATACTTTATTTTTGTCATTTTGACAGTCAGTGAGCCAGAAATTCCAGGTGAATGGCATTTGAATTTTGTGTAACTGTATACTGAGTATGATTACCTCTGTTAATGACTTACATGGTATTGAATGTAAATATCTCCTAACAACAAGATTCAGATCATTGTGATTCCTGGCACATCTAATCCACAAACCTGACTAGCAATCATATATTCTTTTTTTGTGGATGGACCCTTGGATTTATTTGAGCATGTTTGATTTTTTACTGTGCCAGTGGCAAAGTTCAAATAATTGATAGGCATTATAGAAACCATGGTAGAATGTTACATCCTTATTATCTATGAGTAAAAAAAAAACATGTTTTGTAATTCACAAGTTGCTAATTTTAATGCTTCTCCTTTGTTTTGATGCTAAATCAACAAATACATCTAAAATGCATTCGAGTGTAATTCTCTTATACTTAAGTTTTGGAATTGCTCTGTGATAACACCTTTATCATGAACAAATTCCCTTATTATTTTGTATTTTCTATTTAATATGCAAACTTTTATTAATTGTAATATTTTCTACTCTTGCTATTTCTTTGAGATACTCCCCAAAGTAAATTGCTCTTTCTCCCAATTTCTTTTTCATAAGCATATCTATGAAAAAGAAACTGAATATGTTTTGGCCTAATTTTCCACCCGATTTGCTGCCTCTCAACAACTCCTCTCCTTGTGATTTGCATTCTGATACCACTTTTTTACTATCTTCCTCATTGGAGTCATCTACCAAACTCTAGGAAACTCATTCGTTTCCTTCAGCTTTTCAGCTCATGGATCACAATTTTCTTAATACAACTCATCCACTACTATCATTTTCAAGATCTTAAAAATGCACAGTGAAGATTCTTCTAAAATTCCGGTCTCAGTGTTTTTTGAATTTGTTAATTACAATAATTTTCACTGTATTTTAGGCAAGCAAAAACTAATATTAAAGTGTCTGTATCAGAAATCCTCTACTTCTTATAATTTCAATTCTAAATATTCTTATTCTAAAATATTTTTTCTCACCACATACTCATGTTTTCTCACTATTATCATTTGATTATTTTTATTTAGGGGAATTCTTATTAATTTGGCTGTTGTAAACATTAAGAGTCCTCAGTTGCACTGTGGCTACCACTTATATTTTACCCAGTGTGATCTGAATAATCATTCACAACAAGGTACTCAGAACCTTAGATTTTTTTTCCCCCTATAGTATGTATCTTCCAATTGCAGGGCTTTGGTAAGCTCCACCATTTGTTTCAGCATGAAAAATTACATTTTTTCTGAAGTTGAAAAAGTGTTCTGACTTGAGTCTATTTTTAGCTAAATGCTGTATAATATCATCTGATCAGTCACCATGATTCAGCAAGTTTTATTTATAAGTTGATGTGAAGTAGCCATCCCCATAATGGTCACTCTCACTAGAGTAGGTTAATCCTCCCAGCTCCCCTTTTGTTACTTCATTGAATGTAATATATTTTTTCCAGGTCAACTGAGCAGAATTTCACTTACCTGAAGATGAACCCCAATAGAATGTCAGACCTGTATGAATTTTGCCCTGAGCTTTCATGTCACTCTTGTTTTTTCCTCCAAATCCTGAGAATGTATTTCACTTTGTACTTGCTAACATTATTACACTGTCTGTAATTTTGTCATTTCCAGCCTCCTGCAAATCTTTTATAATTGTTAGAGATGGTCTCAGATGATCACAAAACTCATAACACAAAGTCTAGATGTAGACATAATGAAGACATATTTATTTCTAATGCATATAACCGAAAAAGAAGGGTAACAAGGACAGCCCTCTCTTCTAAAGTTGAAGCTCTGTAATCTGTATGACAACTTCAAGAGGTTTTTAATTATTGGTATTAATTGACACTGACAAGTCAGAAAAGACACAGCATATTAGACCCAGAGATAATTTTGACATTGAGACCTGTTTTATAAATTTGTTTATAGAATTTTCAACTCTGTTAGCCAACTCTACATCTGAGGAAAGGGCACTATGTGTTATGCCCTTTGTTGCATCCATAGTGAATGGCAGCATGTAAGATGAATTTCAAAGGTATAGTCTTACCGAAAGAATGAGTGATAAAGGTATTATGGTAGCCCCTTGGTTATTTTCTCCTTTTGTTCACTATGTAGTTTCTACATTCTATAGTATCTCTCAAGACCTTAATTTCCTTATCTGAAAAAAATTAATATATAAGTAGTATATTTGTATTACTAATATAAATTATTTTGCGGTATTCTTTAGAGGATAAGTGAGTTAATACATGGGATATACTGGTAATAGAAATTCAAGAACAAATTAACACATAGCTGTAACTTATTCTTCAGCTATCTTCTCTGGCTTCCTTCTGCTTTATATCTTACTCTCTAAGATAATCATTATTTTAATATGAACTCACCTATGTGTTTTAAAGGAGATAGTATTATGTGCGGAGTTTGTAAGTATAAAAATCTCTTTTTAACAAAAGAGATTTTTCTTGATGCATACTGTGTCATACGGTTAACATCTGAATTAAATTTCTTTCAAGAAATTTCAAACTTAAATGTGATTTTAATTTCTTAGAGTTTATATTCCAAAAATTGGACTAGATATTTAAGTCAATTATTTTGACTATAAGTAAAACATTTACTCATGTACACATTCATTCCATAAATATGTATCAGATGTCTATTGTGTACCAAGCCTGATTCTCATGATGGAGTATATGATAATGTATAAAATAGATGAATAACAAAGACAAAGGTACCCTATTTAGCTGATGTGCTAGTGATACTATCTCAATATCTAACTGTCTGATGTCTGGAGTCTCATATTTATAATTCACAAAGGGAATATTTTAAAATTTAATTTAGAAACATATAGAAACAAAAGTTATTATTTGAGCCCAAAACAACTAAGTGTTCATATTTGTTTGTGGTTTTAATTCCAGTTGGTGATAGGTGGTTATGTTGTTTATAGATTTTTATATAATTATAATTTTAATGTGAAAATTAATATTACATAGATTTTCTTCCAGAAATTAATTTTATATAATAAATGTTAATGGTAACTGCAGATAGAATTCTATTTTTAATAATTAAATTATATAATTTTTAATGTCGGCATACTTGCTTATAAGTTCACATTATCTAAATATTGTTTTAGCTTGTGATATTCACTTTTATATATTTGGGAATAGACTTGGGTCTTAAAAATGGAAAACTTTATTTTTGATATAATTCAACAATTGATGGAAATTTTTTTGAAATTTGATTTGAAATTTGATGTTTGATTTAATTGCAAACATAAAATTTAATCCTCAAATACTGACCTAATAAATGTGATTGAAATCTTATATAATTTATATTTAAGCAAAAATAAATGCAGAATATAAATTATGTTGCAGCCAGGTGGGGTGGCTCATGCCTGTAATCCCAGCACTTTGGGAGGTAGAGGTGGGCAGATAGCTTGAGTCCACGAGTTAGAGATCATCCTGGGCAAAATGGTGAAACTTTGTCACAGCAAAAAAAAAAAAAAGACAAAAAAAATAGCTGGGCATGGTGGCTCGCACCTGTAATCCCAGCTACTTAGGAGGCTGAGGTGGGAGGATCACCTGAACCCAGGAGGTTGAGGCTGGAGTGAACTGTGATTGTGCCATTGCATTCCAGCCTGGGTGACAGAATGAGACCCTGTTTTTTCTTTCTTATTTTTTTAATGTGTTGCTTTGATTTACAGCTGATAATAGTGAAATCTGAGAGAATATAATCTTTAAAAAATCTTAAAATATATGTTAATTAATCTACCACATTTTCTTTTTTTTTATTATTATACTTTAAGTTTTAGGGTACATGTGCACATTGTGCAGGTTAGTTACATATGTATACATGTACCATGCTGGTGCGCTGCACCCACTAACTCGTCATCTAGCATTAGGTATATCTCCCACTGCTATCCCTCCCCACTCCCCCAACCCCACAACAGTCCCCAGAGTGTGATGTTCCCCTTCCTGTGTCCATGTGATCTCATTGTTCAATTCCCACCTATGAGTGAGAATATGCGGTGTTTGGTTTTTTGTTCTTGCAATAGTTTACTGAGAATGATTTCCAGTTTCATCCATGTCCCTACAAAGGACATGAACTCATCATTTTTTATGGCTGCATAGTATTCCATGGTGTATATGTGCCACATTTTCTTAATCCAGTCTATCATTGTTGGACATTTGGGTTGGTTCCAAGTCTTTGCTATTGTGAATAATGCCACAATAAACATACATGTGCATGTGTCTTCTTTATAGCAGCATGATTTATAGTCCTTTGGGTATATACCCAGTAATGGGATGGCTGGGTCAAATGGTATTTCTAGTTCTAGATCCCTGAGGAATCGCCACACTGACTTCCACAATGGTTGAACTAGTTTACAGTCCCACCAACAGTGTAAAAGTGTTCCTATTTCTCCACATCCTCTCCAGCACCTGTTGTTTCCTGACGTTTTAATGATTGCCATTCTAACTAGTGTGAGATGGTATCTCATTGTGGTTTTGATTTGCATTTCTCTGATGGCCAGTGATGGTGAGCATTTTTTCATGTGTTTTTTGGCTGCATAAATGTCTTCTTTTGAGAAGTGTCTGTTCATGTCCTTGGCCCACTTTTTGATGGGGTTGTTTGTTTTTTTCTTGTAAATTTGTTTGAGTTCATTGTAGATTCTGGATATTAGCCCTTTGTCAGATGAGTAGGTTGCAAAAATTTTCTCCCATGTTGTAGGTTGCCTGTTCACTCTGATGGTAGTTTCTTTTGCTGTGCAGAAGCTCTTTAGTTTAATTAGACCCCAATTGTCAATTTTGGCTTTTGTTGCCATTGCTTTTGGTATTTTAGACATGAAGTCCTTGCCCATGCCTATGTCCTGAATGGTAATGCCTAGGTTTTCTTCTAGGGTTTTTATGGCTTTAGGTCTAACGTTTAAGTCTTTAATCCATCTTGAATTGATTTTTGTGTAAGGTGTAAGGAAGGGATCCAGTTTCAGCTTTCTACATATGGCTAGCCAGTTTTCCCAGCACCATTTATTAAATAGGGAATCCTTTCCCCATTGCTTGTTTTTCTCAGGTTTCTCAAAGATCAGATAGTTGTAGATATGCGGCGTTATTTCTGAGGGCTCTGTTCTGTTCCATTGATCTAGATCTCTGTTTTGGTACCAGTACCATGCTGTTTTGGTTACTGTAGCCTTGTAGTATAGTTTGAAGTCAGGTAGTGTGATGCCTCCAGCTTTGTTCTTTTGGCTTAGGATTGACTTGGCAATGCGGGCTGTTTTTTGGTGCCATATGAACTTTAAAGTAGTTTTTTTCCAATTCTGTGAAGAAAGTCATTGGTAGCTTGATGGGGATGGCATTGAATCTGTAAATTACCTTGGGCAGTATGGCCATTTTCACGATATTGATTCTTCCTACCCATGAGCATGGAATGTTCTTCCATTTGTTTGTATCCTCTTTTATTTCCTTGAGCAGTGGTTTGTAGTTCTCCTTGAAGAGGTCCTTCACATCCCTTGTAAGTTGGATTCCTAGGTATTTTATTCTCTTTGGATCAATTGTGAATGGGAGTTCACTCATGACTTGGCTCTCTGTTTGTCTGTTGTTGGTGTATAGGAATGCTTGTGATTTTTGCACATTGATTTGTATCCTGAGACTTTGCTGAAGTTGCTTATCTGTTTAAGGAGATTTTGGGCTGAGACAATGGGGTTATCTAGATATACAATCATGTCATCTGCAAACAGGGACAATTTGACTTCCTCTTTTCCTAATTGAATACCCTTTATTTCCTTCTCCTGCCTAATTGTCCTGGCCAGAACTTCCAACACTGTGTTGACTAGGAGTGGTGAGAGAGAGCATCCCTGTCTTGTGCCAGTTTTCAAAGGGAATGCTTCCAGTTTTTGCCCATTCAGTATGATATTGGCTGTGGGTTTGTCATAGATAGCTGTTATTATTTTGAAATATGTCCCATCAATACCTAATTTATTGAGAATTTTTAGCATGAAGGGTTGTTGAATTTTGTCAAAGGCCTTTTCTGCACCTATTGAGATATTCATGTGGTTTTTGTCTTTGGCTCTGTTTATATGCTGGATTACATTTATTGATTTGCGTATATTGAACCAGCCTTGGATCCCAGGGATGAAGCCCTTGGTCATGGTGGATAAGCTTTTTGATATGCTGCTGGATTTGGTTTGCCAGTATTTTATTGAGGATTTTTGCATCAATGTTCATCAAGGATATTGGTCTAAAATTCTCCTTTTTGGTTGTGTCTCTGCCCGGCTTTGGTATCAGAATGATGCTGGCCTCAGAAAATGAGTTAGGGAGGATTCCCTGTTTTTCTATTGATTGGAATAGTTTCAGAAGGAATGGTACCAGTTCCTCCTTGTACCTCTGGTAGAATTCGGCTGTGAATCCATCTGGTCCTGGACTCTTTTTGGTTGGTAAGCTATTGATTATTGCCACAATTTCAGCTCCTGTTATTGGTCTATTCAGAGATTCAACTTCTTCCTGGTTTAGTCTTGGGAGGGTGTATGTGTCAAGGAATTTATCCATTTCTTCTAGATTTTCTAGTTTATTTGCGTAGAGGTGTTTGTAGTATTCTCTGATAGTAGTTTGTATTTCTGTGGGATCGGTGGTAATATCCCCTTTATCATTTTTTATTGAGTCTATTTGATTCTTCTCTCTTTTTTTCTTTATTAGTCTTGCTAGCAATCTATCAATTTTGTTGATCCTTTCAAAAAACCAGCTCCTGGATTCATTGATTTTTTGAAGGGTTTTTTGTGTCTCTATCTCCTACAGTTCTGCTCTGACCTTAGTTATTGCTTGTCTTCTCCTAGCTTTTGAATTTGTTTGCTCTTGCTTCTCTAGTTCTTTTAATTGTGATGTTAGGGTGTCTATTTTAGATGTTTCCTGCTTTCTCTTGTGGACATTTAGTGCTATAAATTTCCCTCTACACACTGCTTTAAATGTGTCCCAGAGATTCTGGTATGTTGTGTCTTTGTTCTCGTTGGTTTCAAAGAACATCTTTATTTCTGCCTTGATTTCGTTATGTACCCAGTAGTCATTCAGGAGCAGGTTGTTCAGTTTCCATGTAATTGAGCGGTTTTGAGTGAGATTCTTAATCCTGAGTTCTAGTTTGATTGCACTGTGGTCTGAGAGATAGTTTGTTATAATTTCTGTTCTTTTGCATTTGCTGAGGAGAGCTTTACTTCCACGTATGTGGTCAATTTTGGATAGGTGTGGTGTGGTGCTGAAAAAAATGTATATGCTGTTGATTTGGGGTGGAGAGTTCTGTAGATGTCTATTAGGTCCTCTTGGTGCAGAGCTGAGTTCAATTCCTGGGTATTCTTGTTGACTTTCTGTCTCATTGATCTGTCTAATGTTGACAGTGGGGTGTTAAAGTCTCCCATTATTAATGTGTGGGAGTCAAAGTCTCTTTGTAGGTCACTCAGGACTTGCTTTATGAATCTGGGTCCTCCTGTATTGGGTGCATATATATTTGGGATAGTTAGCTCTTCTTGTTGAATTGATCCCTTTACCATTATGTAATGGCCTTCTTTGTCTCTTTTGATCTTTGTTGGTTTAAAGTCTGTTTCATCAGAGACTAGGATTGCAACCCCTGCCTTTTTTTGTTTTCCATTTGCTTGGTAGATCTTCCTTCATCCTTTTATTTTGAGCCTATGTGTGTCTCTGCACGTGAGATGGGTTTCCTGAATACAGCACACTGATGGGTCTTGACTCTATCCAATTTGCCAGTCTGTGTGTTTTAATTGGAGCATTTAGTCCATTTACATTTAAAGTTAATATTGTTATGTGTGAATTTGATCCTGTCATGATGATGTTAGCTGGTTATTTTGCTCATTAGTTGATGCAGTTTCTTCCTAGTCTCAATGGTCTTTACATTTTGGCATGATTTTGCAGTGGCTGGTACCAGTTGTTCCTTTCCATGTTTACTGCTTCCTTCAGGAGCTCTTTTAGGGCAGGCCTGGTGGTGACAAAATCTCTCAGCATTTGCTTGTCTGTAAAGGATTTTATTGCTCCTTCATTTATGAAGCTTAGTTTGGCTGGATATGAAATTCTGGGTTGAAAATTCTTTTCTTTAAGAATGTTGAATATTGGCCCCCACTCTCTTCTGGCTTGTAGGGTTTCTGCCGAGTGATCCGCTGTTAGTCTGATGGGCTTCCCTTTGAGGGTAACCCGACCTTTCTCTCTGGCTGCCCTTAACATTTTTTCCTTCATTTCAACTTTGGTGAATCTGACAATTATGTGTCTTGGTGTTGCTCTTCTCGAGGAGTATCTTTGTGGCGTTCTCTGTATTTCCTGAATCTGAACGTTGGCCTGCCTTGCTAGATTGGGGAAATTCTTCTGGATAATATCCTGCAGAGTGTTTTCCAACTTGGTTCCATTCTCCCCATCACTTTCAGTTACACCAATCAGACGTAGATTTGGTCTTTTCACATAGTCCCATATTTCTTGGAGGCTTTGCTCGTTTCTTTTTATTCTTTTTTCTCTAAACTTTCCTTCTCGTTTCATTTCATTCATTTCATCTTCCATTGCTGATACCCTTTCTTCCAGTTGATCGCATCGGCTCTTGAGGCTTCTGCATTCTTCACGTAGTTCTCGAGCCTTGGTTTTCAGCTCCATCAGCTCCTTTAAGCACTTCTCTGTATTGGTTATTCTAGTTATACATTCTTCTAAATTTTTTTCAAAGTTTTCAACTTCTTTGCCTTTGGTCTGAATGTCCTCCCATAGCTCAGAGTAATTTGATCGTCTGAAGCCTTCTTCTCTCAGCTCGTCAAAGTCATTCTCAGTCCAGCTTTGTTCCGTTACTGGTGAGGAGCTGCGTTCCTTTGGAGGAGGAGAGGTGCTCTGATTTTTAGAGTTTCCAGTTTTTCTGTTCTGTTTTTTCCCCATCTTTGTGGTTTTATCTACTTTTGGTCTTTGATGATGTTGATGTACAGATGGGTTTTTGGTGTGGATGTCCTTTCTGGTTGTTAGTTTTCCTTCTAACAGACAGGACCCTCAGCTGCAGGTCTGTTGGAGTACCCTGCAGTGTGAGGTGTCAGTGTGCCCCTGCTGGAGGGTGCCTCCCAGTTAGGCTGCTCAGGGGTCAGGGGTCAGGGACCCACTTGAGGAGGCAGTCTGCCTGTTCTCAGATCTCCAGCTGCGTACTGGGAGAACCACTGCTCTCTTCAAAGCTGTCAGACAGGGACATTTAAGTCTGCAGAGGTTACTGCTGTCTTTTTGTTTGTCTGTGCCCTGCCCCCAGAGGTGGAGCCTACAGAGGCAGGCAGGCCTCCTTGAGCTGTGGTGGGCTCCGCCCAGTTGGAGCTTCCCTGCTGCTTTGTTTACCTAAGCAAGCCTGGGCAATGGTGGGCGCCCCTCCCCCAGCCTCGCTGCTGCCTTGCAGTTTGATGTCAGACTGCTGTGCTAGCAATCAGTGAGACTCCGTGGGGTAGGACCCTCTGAGCCAGGTGCCGGATATAATCTCGTGGTGTGCCGTTTTTTAAGCCGGTGGGAAAAGCACAGTATTCAGGTGGGAGTGACCCGATTTTCCAGGTGCCATCTGTCACCCCTTTCTTTGATTAGGAAAGGGAACTCCCTGACCCCTTGCGCTTCCCGAGTGAGGCAATGCCTCGCCCTGCTTCGGCTTGCACATGGTGCGCACACCCACTGACCTGCGCCCACTGTCTGGCACTTCCTAGTGAGATGAACCTGGTACCTCAGATGGAAATGCAGAAATCACCCCTCTTCTGCGTCGCTCGGGCTGGGAGCTGTAGACGGGAGCTGTTCCTATTCGGCCATCTTGTGGTAATCTACCACATTTTCTATAGCTTAATGCCTTATAACAGAAAATGTTAATTGAAAAATATTTATATTGGTAATTATTTGTTAATACTCAAACGTTTCTTGTTTTAAATCTAATCAATAAGATTTAGTATTAACTTTCATAAATCATAAATTTAGTTTTTAAATAAGACTCGTTTGTAGAGAAGTCCTAGGTTCACAGAAAAATTGAGCAGACAGTACAGAGTTCTCATATATTCCCTTCTTCCTCACATTCACAGCCTTCTTCACTGTCTGCTTACTGCACCAAAGTGGTATATTTTATTATAATTGATCAACCTACATTAGCACATCATTATCACCAAACGTTCATAGTTTACGTTAGGATTTATTTTTGGTGTTTTAGATTCTACAGGTTTTGACAAATGAATAATTACATATTTTCACTCTTATAGCATTATACAGGATAGTTTCACTGTCCTGAAATCCTGCATTTCATCTATGTATGCCTCTAACTAACAGTAACTGTGGATCTTTTTACCATTTCCACAGTTTTGTCTTTCTCCAAATGTCATGTAGCTTGAGTTATATAGCCTTTGCAGATTGACTTCTTTCACTTAGTAATATACATTTAAGGTTCTATGTGTTTTCATGTCTGGATAGCTCATTTCTATTTAGTGCTCAATAATATTCCTTCATCAGGATATACCACAGTTTATTCACCTACTCAAGGACATCTCAGTTGCTTCTAAGTTTTGGCAATTATGAATGAAGCTACTGCAAATATTTGTATGGAGCTTATGATTGGTCTTATTTAAATTTTTTTAATTCGCAAATTATCATTGTGTACATTTATGGATTAAAAGTGATGTTTTCTTTTGGGTAAATGGCAAGGAGTATGATCCATGGATCACATGATAAGTGTATGTTTAGTTTTAAAAGAAACTGCTAAGCTCTCTTACAACATGGATATACCATTTTGCATTTTCAGCAGCGAAGAACAAGAGTTCCTGTTGTTTCACCTCCGCAGTAACATTTGATATCGACAGTGTTCTGGACTTGGCCATTCTAATAGGCTTGTAGTGGTAATCTCATTGTTTTATTTTGATTTTTCTAACAACACATGATTTGGAGCATCTTCTCATAAGCTTCTTTGCCATGTTTATATCTTCTTTGGTGAGGTGTTTGTTCAAATTTTTTCTTTATAAAATTGAGTTGTTTGTTTTCTTTATGTTAAATTTTAAGAATTCTTTTATACTTTGCGTAATAGTCCTTTATTGGGTATGTCTTTTGTAAATATTTTATTCCAATCTATAACTTATTTTCTCATTCTCTTGACAGTACCCTTTTAGAGCAGAAGTTTTTAATTTTAATGAAGTCTAGCTTATTGATTATGTCTTTCATTTGTTTATGATGTTTGTGCTGCTGACAAAAAAGCCGTTGCTATTCTGTCTTAGTCCACTAGGTCTGCTCTAACAAATACCATAGATTGTGTAGCTTATAAACTACAAATATTTATTTTTCATAGTTCTGGAGTCTTGGAAATTCAAGATCAAGGTGTCTACAGATGTAGTGTCTAACTGAATCCCCACTTCCTTTACAGATAAACATCTTTTCTCTGTGTCCTCATATGGTGGAAAGGGCTAGATAGCTCTCTGAGGTCTCTTATAAAAGCAGTACCCTCAACAATGAGGGCTTCACCTCACGATCTAATCACTTTCCAAAGGCCTCACCGTCTAACACCATCATCTTGCGGGTTAGAATTTCAACATATGAATATTAGAGAGACATGAACATTCGGACCATAGCACATATTAAAGGTCATCTAAACTTTCTCTTACGTTAAATTCTAGGAATTGTATAGTTTTCATTTTACATTTAGGTCCATGACCCTTTTTGAGTTAATATTTGTAAAGAGTGTAAGTTGAGTTAATATTTGTAAAGAGTGTAAGTTCCATGCTTAAATTCACTTTTTTTTTTTTTTTCTGAGACGGAGTCTTGCTCTGTCGCCCAGGCTGGAGTGCAGTGGCGTGATGTCTCTCACTGCAAGCTCCGCCTCCCAGGTTCATGCCATTCTCCTGCCTCAGCCTCCGGAGTAGCTGGGACTACAGGGGCCCGCCACCACACACAGCTAATTTTTTGTATTTTTTAGTAGAGACGGGGTTTCACCATGTTAGCCAGGATGGTCTTGATCTCTTGTCCTCGTGATCTGCCCGCCTCGGTCTCCCAAAGTGCTGAGATTACAGGCGTGAGCCACTGCAACCGGCCTTAAATCCACTTTTATGAATTTATGTGAATGTTCAGTTGTTCCAGCACCACTTGTTGGAGAGTGTCTTTCCCCACTTTGTTGTCTTTCTTTTGGCCAGACATCAGTTGATTATATTTATGTGGGTCTATATAAATAATGATTTTTTAACATCTTTCATTTTACGCTTCCTCTTCTTTACTGTAAACATTGCTGGCACTAATCCTTCTGTCACATTGCCCCCAAAATTAGTCTTTCCTTTTATATTACCAATTCTATTTCAAATGAAATTTATATGTGTTTTCTACTGACATTTTTAGGTAAATTATTAGAATGATTGGTCTAGGAATGCTGTTTCTATATCTTCACCACATTATATAATGCCTCGCAGCAGCTCAGGTATTTATCAGAAAATGTTTGTGAAAAGCTCAAATATTGCTTGCGCTCTACTCATTTAGGCAATTTTCTGAATGACTGATGTGCCAGGCACTAGTCTAAGTGTCATAATATCCTTTGTAACTTGTGTTTTAGGTGGATTTTTATATACCTGTACATATGTGTATGTATTTGTGTGTACATGTGCACATATGTATGTATGCACACATATATTAAAATAATTTAATGAAAATATGTGCATAATGTATGTTGGAGCAGAGGATAAGTCATTAACTATTTAGGAGAAAGAAGAGCAGATATTTGAATATAATCACTGAAAGATTAGTTTAAGATGACTGCTGTGAGGGTGTAAGGGGAGGCAATATTCAGGAAACTGCAAGTAGTTTAATACAGATATAGTATACCCTTTGAAGATTCATTCAGTAACGTATCTGGACAAGCAAAGGAGGAAATATTATTAAAAGTCTGGTATGATAGGCAGATGAGATTTTTATTTTTGAGGTGAAAATAATATAAATGAGTCATGCTACATTCATATTTTTCGAAAGGATAATACTGATAGCAGTGTGGCAAAATGACTTAAGAGAGTAAAAGTCAAAGACAGGGTACCGATAAAAGGTTTTCTACATTTCACTTACTGAGATTAAATAAGAACCTGAGATCAGCTCAATGATGATGATCTGGAAAATTATTTAAAGGTCGAATAATAGCATTTGATGAGTGTTTGAATTTGCAATACACGAGGACAGGAGGAATTTAAGATGGCTTTTGGTTTTCACCTGGATTCATGGGGAGTGGTTTTCAGAGGCAAAGAATAAGGAGGCAAAGCTCAAGTTTGGAGGGGTGTGAAAATTAGACATGTTTTTTAAAGCTTTGCTGTGAAATAACCACTCCAGTAGAGATGTATGTTATATTACAGGATAAATTAGTCTAGAATCCAAGACAAATATCTGATCTGGAGATAAATGTTTAAGGATTATAAGTGTTTAGGAGAGGTCACTAATTGCCTCAAGAAAAACTACTGATGACTTCTTTATTCTCAACCATGAGTTTTACTTGTAGTTTATCAATCTTAGTCATCCTTTTTTAGATACCCTCTTTTCTGCACATGGATTTACTTCCTTTGCATTGTATTTATTTTAAATAATATCTCCCTTGTTTTTTAAGGCTTTACAAGCTTCAAGGAGAAACTCATAATAAGTGCAAATAAGTTTTAGTTTGTGGTGATTACAACAGGAAGTTAATATTTTTATTTTGGATAGGTCTCTAGCCAAAGCACAATCCATTGAATATTATTTATTGTTTATTAGAGATATTTGGTTAGGGACAAATTAATGGCAATGCATTTCATGTGAAAATAGCTAAGGTAGACTTCAGTAATGTTGCGTCCCATTTGTATTTACCAGTAAAAGCATTGATTTCATAGTACTGACATATCCTGTACAGAATTCAGAAGAGAGAAAGAAAAATGTAGAATGGTCCACATATTTTATTAATATTAATGCTCTCCAAAGGAAAGCAAAGTGTTCCCTATTGTCTGGGGAATTTGATTGGTTTAGACATGTCCCCTATGACTCCCTACCCTGAAAACTGGAATAGGAACTTACAGAGAAAGCATCCTCTCTCCACATAAATAGACATGTAACATGCTAACTCGAGAGCAGTTAATCATAATATTTTTCAAGATGTATAAGGTAAAAACAAAAGCCTCAAATCTCCAGTGGCAAGGACAGAAATAAATGAGATAAGTGAATGACGGAGCAAGAGAGAAGATAAAGTTTTTTACCTTTTTTTTTGTTGTTGTTAGATTCCACATATAAGTGAAATCTTTTTCTTTTGTGTCTGGCTGATTTCACTTACCATGTTTTCTGGGTCCATCCCTGTTGTGGCAAATGGCAGAATATTCTCATTTTTAAGAAAGGCTGAATAATATTTCTTTTGTGTGTGTGTGTGTGTGTGTGTGTGTGTGTGTGTGTGTGTGTGTGTGTGTGTGTGTATACCTCTGGTTTCTTTATCCATTCATCTGTTCATGAACACCTAGATTGTTTTAATATCTTGGCTATTGTGAATAATGCTGCAGTGAACATAAAAGCACAGATATCTTTATGAGTTGGTGATTTTGTTTCCTTTAGCTGTATACCCAGAAGAGGGACTGCTGGGCTACATGGTAATTCTATTTTTAATTTCTTTAGGAATCTCCATACAGTTGTCCATAATGACTGCCCCAATCTCCATTCCCACCAACAGTGTACAAGGGATCCCTTTCTCCACACCCTCCCCAACACTTGTTAGCTCTTGTCTTATGATGATAGCTGTCCAAATGGGTGTAAAGTGATAGATCATAATGGTTTTGATTTGCAATTTCCTGACAATTAATGATGTTGAACACTTTTTCTAATACCTGTTGACCACTTCTTTGGAAAAATTTCTATTGAGATCTTTTGCACGTTTCTAAATGAAATAATTTGTTTTTCAGAGCGTTACTTTAAAAGGTCTTGGGCCTTGTATATCACAGTACTGTGAAATAAAGATAGGAAGATTTTTAAAAGAAATACTGGGCTAATTTGTGAGCATAGGGATGAGAAAACTTCCTTTTCTTGTCCCAAAGTACATGTAAATACAACCTGAATTTTATAGTAGAGTTCACATATTATAGCTAAGTGTTTATAGCAATAAAAAATGTATTGCTATATGCTATCAGGAAAAATAATTTTATTATTGCCAGATTAAATGTTGCTAACCACCACACATTTTTGCTTATTGTAACAATTGTTTTTATAATATGAAGACTTTAAAAAATACATATATGTAAAGACTAGTAGGTATTTCCATTTTTGCATTACGTCAAATTTAACTTTTATGTAATTTTGCCTTTTATACTGGAAAGCAAAACTTTTTCCAAGGATATTTTGAGTATTCTTCTTCTCCTTTATTTCCTTTTTCTATTAATCTATTTTATGTTTGCCATGATGTATTTTTATTGTCAGAGGTTTAAGTTTCTTTATTGCAGGGCTTCATTTCCACATGAAGTCTTATCACATTCCAAGTTCTTTTACTCATATTTCTGCATTAGCCGGTTTCTAAAAATTAACCTTGCTTAGGCTGTTCATTTCTGCTGACACATAATGGCACTGCTGCAGAAGGTTTCTAAATAGAAACCTGCTTGCCTATGCACTAATAGCATTTCCTACAGGCTGTTTTATAAAGAAGATTCTAGAAGGAGGTATGAAACTGAAACTTTTGTTAAGATAAAATAATGATAAGATTTTCTTTGTTGGGGTGAGGTGGGGGACAGACAATAATCATTACCCAAGGTCAGAGCTGACCTTAGTAATTTTTTTGAATTGAAAGTCCAGATATTTCTTTTGTACCTTTTCAGTCCTATCATCTTCTTTTTCTCTCTACCTAAACTCTTTTTTTAGGTGTATTTTATTTTTTTCCCTGCACTACCCCTTGAACCTGGTTGTCTATTTTTTTTCCTCTCATGAAGAGAGAACCAACTAATAAACTCTGACACCCTTCTTCTCTGACTTCTCTAGAATGATCCAAGCTCTCTGTTCTTTCACTATGGAAGATCCATTCTCAGGGGTATTGCTGAGGCCTAGGAATACCTAATTTGTTGGGCGATACCACATTGGAAATACTGGAGTTCTTACTAGCCACATATAGGGTTTGCAAAATCACAGTGGACATGAAGCTGACAGATATTAGAAGGCTTCTGTCAGTCAAGAAAATAATACAAATGCCACACACAATTCAATAAAAATGTGTTGTGTTAAATATGTAATAATACTCCCTCTGCAGATAATTTCTGGGCACCTTGCCTTATTCTACAGAAAATTATCAGCATCTACTTCCATCACATTTTCATGAGATAGATAATCATAAATTTTGCTTTGCTGGAAAAAACTGAATATTTTTGTGCCTCGTTCTCCATCCAAATAAATTTTAATATTAGGACTCAAGGTTTGGTCTCTTATATCTTGCCTTCCTACCTTTGCTGAGCTTCTATTATTGCAGTTTAACATGAATGTTTGAAACTAAACAAAAAAGCAACAATTTGAAACAAAATACAGCTTTGTCTGACACCTCTTTGGGACCCAACACTTGTGGGCTTATCTCTCTTTAATATCATTCCAAAAAGATAAAGCTCTAATTTGCATATTCTTAGTTTTAAAAAAAAGTGCAAGCTTCTAGGAGTATGGATGAGATTTTGAAGAGTCACTGTTCAAAATGTTGTTTCTTAACTCACCTGTCTCAGCTGGTTTTGAACATACACACAAACCCTCTATTCCTACCACATACTCTTAGTCATGCCTGGATGCCTGGTGTGTTCATTATCTCAATTAGGCAGAGAAACAAAGGGCAAAATAATTTAGAAGTCTGATTTAAGGACATGGTGACAGACTGGTAATAATAATCTTTTCTCTCACTTCTTCATCAAGATTAAGAGCATTTATGCACAAATTATGCTATGCTAAGTGCTTGTTGGTGATGCAGGAAAATACCAAATACACAAATTTTGTAGGAGATAGATTTCATAAGAGTTAAATTTCAATTAAACCTATATCTATATTATTGTTGATTTTACCAAATTCAGTTTAAAAAGTTATCTTCATCCAACCAATATTTTTATGATCCGCATCAAAGAGCCCTATCCTGTAGATCAAAATATGTCAGGGTTTTTTAAAGTTTGATATGGCCTCCAGCAGGACCCAGGTTAGACTCTACTAAGAAATAGTAAAAATGTATGATGCCTTGGAAATTGTTCAAAAATTCTCTCTGCCTCTCATTAAACACTCAGAATTTTATTCAGAATTATGTATAGAAAGCAGGCCAGTTTAAAGAAGGCAAGAAGGGTCTGGAGGGGATAAACAAGAGAATCCAAAAAATGAGAATAGAGGCTTTTTCGTGTTTATGGCATAATTTTATTCCACGTGTGCTATGTCATCAGCCAAGGGGCATCCCAGAGAGGATTTTGGGAGTTCTGAGAAGCTGGCATCTCGGGCGAATCACATACTATTTAATATCAATTCTCCTGCTTTGAGAACATACAATATAGGGCAGTTACATTTCATTTGTAATTTAAAAATGTATCTGTTTCAAGAGTATCCACTGGCATCTTTATGTGCTTTCTCATTCTGATGCCTAACCAGTGTCATTTCTTAGATGTTTATAACATTGTTAATATCCACTTTTGGGTAGATTGCAGAGATTTGATCTTCAGCCAAGACAAAACAAACAAACAAACAAACAAACAAACCTGCAACATGTCAGCTGCCATGCCCATTTTTTTGTAAAACAAGGCCAATGTGTCCTCAAGACATTGAAAAAATAATGTCTACTTTACACAAATTGACAAGGGACTGCAATTTACATGATAGCAAACTAATCTAAAGAAAAAGTCAATTTAAATTTTTATGTTGGTATCATACCAACACTTAATTATTCTGTGCTCTAAGGCTAAGTGAAAGATTTTAATAGGAGAAGGGGTTAAAAAAGAAAGGACAAAGAAAAAAACTTTAATTAAAAAAACTTTAAATATCAGTGTGGCTCTGACATCAGAGAGTTAACAGCAAGATTCAAAAGTATTTACTATGCCAGAAAAGCAAGAATTATTTTAATTGCGGCCTCTGAGAGATATTCTAGCTTATATTTCAGGTGAAAATATTAAAACACTCAAGACTAATGCTCATTAAAATATGTTTTGAAAATATCTTTATAAGAAGTTGGTGTTTTCAATAATAAGTATATAGACTGGATACAGTGGCTCATACCTGTAATGTCAGTGCTTTGGGAGGCTAAGGCAGGCTGAGGTGGTAGTTGGGTGAGGTGGGGAATGGCTTCAGGCTAGGGGTTCCAGGCCAGACTGGGTGACTTAGTGAGAATCTGTCTCTACAAAAAATTTGAAAAATTAGCCAGGCATTGTGGCACAGGACTGTAGTCCTAGCTACATGGGAGGCTGAAGTGGAGAATAACTTGAGCCTAGTAGTTTGAGGTTACAGTGAGCTATGATATCGCCGCTGCACTCCAGCCTGGGTGACAGAGCAAGATACTGTCTCTTAAATAAAAAATAAAAAGCAAATTATATAAAAACACACTTAAATCCCTTTAACAGGTAAACTTTAAAACATACACAATTAGACTGTGCGTAACTTTTTTACTGCTATTTTTAGGACAGAAACATTGTTAACTCTTTTTACAGTTAATTTCTAGGAATCAATAACTGGTTCAAAAAAAATCTTATTTTATCACTTCCACTGGGGATGCATAAGGGTTTTAACCACTTGAACTATATTGTTCAGATGCTATCATCAGGCTAATTTTAAAATTCTTCATGTACTGAGGGTAAAAGCTTTCTGAGTGGCAATTCATATGTAAAAGATCAATTACAGGTAATAGATGCTTTACTGTAGTCAACACAAATTGTCAAGTTACTGGAAAAGCACAAGGGCACGCTGCATTGGAAGCTTCTGTGTGTGTTATATTTGCCTATAATTTAATTGTATACAATAGATTTTAGAAAGAAAACTATAAATAAGTAGATATCGTTTCAGTGCTGGAAAGTAGAATGAGCTTCAATTGGTATGATTTAATTCAATTATATGTTTTAATTTTAATAAAATTATTTTCACTCAATTGCTTCATAGCCTAATCTAATTACTATATTCAAGGGATGTTTTAGAAGTTTAAATGAAGCAAAAATATTGAAATTACTCTTTTTTAATTAAAAATTGCATTTAATAATGGAGTGCAACAAATAAATATGGGCATATTATCCCACCAAACACATATATACATTGTTTTTAAAAGTAATGTCTTAGTAACAATCTTATTGTTTATAATAATAAATAAGTAAATAAGTATTATAAATATTAGTTATAGTGTCTGGAATTTCAAAATTACTGTGACATGTTAAAAATATTTCTTAAGATTATATTTGTTTGTACTATGTGCTTAAAACAAAATATTAAAATATGTAACCATTATTAGCATACATTAAGTGGTCTGTATTTGTTGAATAGATGTGAATTATTTAAATTCTATTCATGTATTTTTCAATTTAATCATTTTCTGAAAAAGAGATTGCACCCATGTAAATCTATTTTTTAAATTTAATTGGTATCTTCAAGTGACATTTGTGATCACTCATGAAGGACTGAAATTTCAAAACATATGCTTTTGAGTATGAGCTTTTATTATTAATAATTTTAGAGTGGGTTTGATGGGGCAGTGATATTTGCTAATAAATAGACTGCAAACTTTCTAAGCATATATATTTGGATCGTATTTATTTACTAGCAATGAAAATATATCTTTACATACATAATATAACTAAATAAACTTATAGACAGTGAGGTACTATTTCAACTCCTTGATTTAGAGCAATACAATAGAAAAACAAAAACAACCTAGTGAAAAGCCTGGTGAGATGATTTGTGATTCTGTAACCATTTCTCTGGAGCTATCGGAGCCATCTACCATGTTATCTTCCGGTTGGTTTGGCAGTACGTTAAATCAAGTCATTTAGGCTCCCTGAGGCTTAGGAGAGCTTTTGGGCCAGTTGCATTTCTGTCCATCTTAGAGGGAAGAAAGGGCTTACCCAATGAACTTCCAGGGCTTCCTCTAAGTGTACGGCATTTGTTTTGACCAAGTAATATATTTAAAACTTAGAACTATCTGTGAATTGTACATTCTTCTCATATGGTTTAAATTTCCCATTCTCCTTAACTACAAGAGCAGAAAAGCTGTTTCTACTAGTTCCTCATGTCTAATATGTAAAACAAAGCTCAGAAAACGTTGGAGACATGTATTTCTCATCATGCTTCTTGTACAACCTTAGCATATTTTGCTGTCTTTGAGAAATGTTAACTTCTTCCACTTCAGTAAGGCTTCCAAAACTCTGCTCAGTTGCTTCTCTGACCTAATATAATAGGAATGTCCTCATACAAAACAGTTTATATCTTAGTTAAGAGCATGAGTCAAAGTTCTGTTTGAGATTTTAAAGAATGATCGGTGCATACTACTGAGAAAAATGCCATTAGCAGCTCTAAGGCTAAACTCAAAAAGGGCGTGGTTATTGGTATGTTCCACTCCCACAAACCCAGGTACCAAAGATTCTGTACTGGTTTGAAAACATTGAAAAGAAATGTCAAAAGTGAGGAGGGAAACATAAAAAGGAGTTTTATTTTGACAGTAGTACCTCAGTTTTTGCCATACAATGTTTTTTCTCTCCCGAGTTCTCTTCTTGGAAGAGAATTGCGGACATTAGATTGGCTCTTTTCCTTGACCATGAAAAGGAGAGATAAGAGGGAATTCTGGAATAATGTGTGAGTATTTGAAGGAGAGAAGAGTCTTCTGTGCCCTACAGCATATTGACTGTTTACCCTTCAGACTTGCTATCTGGCTAGTGCAGAACTAATGCAGAGATATTAGTCACATCATCCTTACTTCCTCATGTTCTTGGTTCTAAAGATATATGTGAGTTGAATATTTGAGATCTACAGACTTGCAAGGGACTAGAGTGAGTTGTAAGGGAGAAAGAGACAAGCAAATTAGATGACGATGGGGGCTAGGTCAGCTGATAAGTGTTGAGAGTATGTTTAAGATTAAGTTTGCATCAACCGCACATCCTCTGTTGTTGATGACCAATAGAATGAAGACTAATTAAAAAGGGAATTAGCAGCCTTGGCACTACCTACTGGGTCTGTTCATATTCTAAACTATAAAAATCTAGCAACACCCACTCATAGGGGGCACATGTAACTAAATTTAACTCCCTCCTTTCGCTTTATTATTCCCTAAAGCCAGAAGCACAAGAGACCAAGAGATAATAGTGGCAGTGTGGGAAAGCATATTACAAACTTACCTCTCCAAGACTCTGAGCCAATGCTATTTCTTAGTGGAAGAAGGTGGCGCTTTGAATCAAACACAATGGAAAGACTGAAATAAATAGGTTTAAGTCTTAACAATAAAACAGTTGACTGAAAAAACAATTTGTTATTTATGGGGTGCATTATTTAGGGTCAAGTTGTTATTACAGACTATGTATTTTACAGTCACAAAAAACAATATACTTTCAGGTATAAAAGTATAATTTTCAAAAAGTTAAAAATATAGCTATTGTATATATGTAGACTGGACATTAGACAAAGTTTTTTATAACTTATTAAAGAGAGAATTAGCAAGGTGTAAAGTTCTTCAAAATATGTGATGAAATCTTCATAGTGAGTGGAGAAAAGAATGCTACATAAATTTGTTAAGCTGGAGCACAAATTACTCAAGGTCTCATAGAGCAATTAAAACATCCTTCGGGGTAATATTCTCCAACTGACAGAAATCCTTTGCATCTCTAATGACAAAAAAATCTATATCTTTGCCTGTAACTTCAAGGAATCTGCTTCCAATCAATATTCAATGGTAAATCAAACAAAGGTACATTCCATAAAAAAATGAAATAATGCTTGTATAGGCTTGTTATGCAGGGGTCATCGTGTGTGTGTGTGTGTGTGTGTGTGTGTGTGTGTGTGTGGATGTGTGTGTGTGTGTGTCTGTGTGTATAACGGGCCAGATAATAAATATTTTAGGCTTTGTAGTACATATGGTATATAATGCCACTACTTAGTTCTGTCACTGTGGTGCAAACGCAGATATAGACAATACAGAAACAAATGAGTAGCTATTGTGATGGTTAATGATAGGTGTCAACTCTACTGAATTGAGGGATGCCCAGATACCTGGCAGAGCACTATTTCTAGGTATGTCTGTGAGGGTGTTTCTGTAAGAGATTGACATTTGAGTCAGTGGACTGAGTAAGGAAGTTTCACCCTCACTTCACGTGGGTGGGCACCTTACAACTCCTAAGGACCCAGATAGAACAAAAAAGGTGGAGGAGAGATGAATTTGCAAACAGGCTTTTTCTCTTCTGAAGCAAAAATAACCATTTTCTCCTGCCCTTG
This sequence comes from Homo sapiens, assembly GCF_000001405.40. Taxonomy (NCBI): domain Eukaryota; kingdom Metazoa; phylum Chordata; class Mammalia; order Primates; family Hominidae; genus Homo; species Homo sapiens. Next base: position 43,686,075 of record NC_000014.9, on the reverse strand, counting down.
GATATTAGAACTTCAGGTTATTTGGCTCTTGCACTCTGGGACCTGCACCCATGGGCCCCTAGTGTCTCAAGCCTTCAGACTTGAGTTGAATCATGCTGCCATCTTCTCTGGTTCTCCAGCTTGTACACAGCACATTGTGGGACTTCTTAGCCTCCGCATTTATGTGAGCCATTCCCCTAAGAAATCCCCTTTCTTCTGTCTATCCATATACCTAACTACCTACCTACCTACCTACCCACCTACCTACCTCTCTAATCTATCATCTATCTATTTATGCTTTTCATTCTGTTTTTTCTGGAGAACCCTTCCAATTCAGCTACATTTCAATAAAATTTTACTTACAGACACTGAACTTTGAATTATATATAACTTTATGTATTGCAAAATATTATTCTTATTTTTAAAATTATTTCAATATGTGAAAAACAATGTTAGCCTGCAGCTTATATAAAAACAGGTGGTAGGCCAGATTTGGCCAGCATATTATAGTTTGGAAACCCTCATGTTAGACAGTACTCTGTGACATTTAAAGGCCATGCAGTCATCATTTTGCCTTATGTGCATGTTCTCTTAATGCATGATTCTGTATAAATAAGTTGAATATTTTCAACCACCTTTGTTCTACCTACAATCGTAAGCTCTCATTTAAAAATTATTTAAATGTGTCACCCCTCAACTATAAAGACAAGGGAAAATGATGAGCATTGAAAACTAGTTTTTCGAGCTTTAACCTTATGTAACCTTTGACAGGTGAGTCCCTTGGATTCTTCGGGTCTCTCACAGCTTAGATATGCATGGGCTTAACAATTTCTAAAATCATTCTTAAATATAAGATTATTTTTTATCAGCAAATCTGAAACAAATGAAAAAATTTTAAAAACAATGATTTCTCTACATTTTTCACACTTGTAGAGCAATTTATGTCAAGTGAGAATTTTACTTTGAACCTCAAGCTTTTGTCTACATTATCTACATTTTATACCATTCAGTGGTTGAAGAGATTTGCATTTAGAGTTACTTAATGTGATTCTCTTCATGAGATTTCAAATTAACAAGTATGTGAGCCCTACAGGTATTTAGAAAACTAGGCATTATTGGAGGAAAAGTACAATTAAAATGAAGTTATATGAGATATTGACAATTACAATTTTATTACATGATTTTGAATGTTGAATCCACAATAGAGAGAAAAAAGGCATCCAAGCCTAAATGAACTGTCCAAAATAAATTCTACTTCTATGAAAGCTTTGTAAGCAAAATTATTTCAAAGGGGAGATGCTAGATTAATTAGAGATTGCTATAAGAATATAAACAAACAAATATTTTAGACATATTTGAGGCATGAAAATGGCACTCATGGCTCATTCAGCCATATAAAACTATTTAGAATCTCACATATTCCAGAGAATACATGAATTTTGAAGTTAACAATGAATTCATTCTTAATTGTAGAAATGATATATATTAAAAAACATATTCAATTGCATCACTGTTAACAAGGCTGGTTACACTAGCATAAAAAAATTGTAAGGTGATAGTTGACAAGAAAGTATTTAACAATCTCCCTTTTTAATCACATTGTTTCATAGAGAGAGATAATTAGCCTATCTGAAAGTTACAAAGTTACAATCTGAATGGTAAGAGTTCTATTGCCATGTGTTTAGGGACAGAGAGACAGTGACTTATCTAAACATTTAATTTAAAATGAAAGTTTGTATGAGAAGTTTGTTATTCAAAAGTATTTTTCTCCAAATTATCTTTATTCTCTCTCCTCATCTATTCAATGAGACAAATATTCAGTTTTAATAAAAGTGGCTTACTATGCACCAAAAATTCAGTGAACTTACTGTTCATAGAAATATAATATAAATGGAAAAATCCTCATTTTTATCTTTTTAAATTATTTTATGGGTTTGTCACATATACCAAGGAAAGGTAAACTTAAAAAATGTCATTAGTAAGGACTTGTTGAATACACATTAATATAAACAAGAATTTAGAACAGCTTAAGAATGACAGAAACTTCTCTAATTATAGTTGTTCTTTTTAATTGCATTTTCACATTGTTTAAATCACTGCAAGACCCACATTCATTATATGCCTAAGATCCTAAGATGTCTGAAACACTGTACTAGATAGAAACATTTTTCTTTTTTTTTCCTGAGACGGAGTCTCGCTGTCGCCCAGGCTGGAGTGCAGTGGCGCGATCTCAGCTCACTGCAAGCTCCGCCTCCCAGGTTCACACCATTCTCCTGCCTCAGCCTCCTGAGTAGCTGGGACTACAGGCGCTCACCACCACGCCTGGCTAATTTTTTGTATTTTTAGTAGAGACAAGGTTTCACCGTGTTAGCTAGGATGGTCTCGATCTTCTGACCTTGTGATCCGCCTGCCTAGGCCTCCCAAAATGCTGGGATTACAGGTGTGAGCCACCGCGCCTGGCCCTTTTGTTGCTTTTTAACAGCAAAGGAAGAAAGATGGGGAGAAAGAGGAAACGGGTGAAAGAGAGAAAGCAAAAGTAACAGAGCGCTGCTATTTCTGAATTGGGAGAGTAAAAATGTCAATAAATTAACATTATAGGACAGTTCAAGAGTTAGAAGAAAGAAGAGATCATAAAATATTGTCATAATACAAAGTAAGCATTTTCTTGTACTTGGAATTATAATATTGGGAATAACTTATATTAAAATTCCTGGAGTATTGATGAAGCTATATTATGTAAGTTAACCTGTATATTTTAGTGTAGAAAAATAATTAAATATAAATAATATTTAATTAATACTTATAATTTTCAGTTTAAATGTTTATCAATATTCAGATTGAATAAATATATGATCTAATGTTCATCAGAGTTAAAAATCATTAAATTTTAGATTAGTAAAATATAATTTTAAACAACACAATAAACTAAATGGTTCATATCTCAGCTTAAATAATATCAAGATAATATTTCAAACATATTTTAAGTGATTTTTCCATTTTTATATCAACTTTTCTCATGTTAATATGCCTGTCCTAATTCACATTTATTAAAAATTGTGTATATGTTAAATAGTCTATGTGGTTTTCTGGTGTTAGTAAGAATTGCTTTTGGTTACAGGAGTTTTCTGCTTATGGCCATATCTATAAATGTATATTCTCCCAAACCAGCTATGTAATTTGAATGCAAGCTCATCTTAATTTGATAAGTTGCTTGTCAATATTGGCACATAGTGGAAGTGAGCAATAGAATACGCATGAATTTGAACAACTTTCTTACTTATCTCTGGTGATAAATTCGATATCAGCAGATCACTTGTAAGAAACCTTGTAAAGCATGCATGCCATCTTTAATTAAATGTACTTAAATACTTTTCTACACAAATTAATTTTATATAAACTATACACGCATGATTTCTAGTAATTTTAATGTGTACTTTTATTGAAGTCATTTTTAATATAAATGCACCAATTTTATATGCCCAAATTTATAGGTATACATACATATTTACTAATACAAATAGACAGTATAACATATATCAAATGAACATCTTAAAAGCATGCTTTAAAAATAGTTGTATAGAGAAGTTCTAATATTTTCTTTCCATATCTTTTAGAATACTTTCATTTTTCCCCTTTTAGCTACCTTTGGAGGCCATTACTCTAGCTCAGTAATGCATCACCTAGAAATGAGGGGAGATGGATTTTCTGCTGCTCCAGTAATATATACCAGAATTTTGGGGTTATTGGTAATATATGTATTTTTTAAATAAATTAAAAATCACTGTTCTGGAAAAAGAAACTGGTAGCGTCTGAATCCTACAGATTTTTTTCTCTATTATGCATCTAAGAATTCTTTTGTCTGCAATCCTCTTTCAAGGAATGAGAACTTTTCTGTGCAAGAAAAGGGAGCCAGAGACAAGTTGCATCATTTAGAACACCTGCCACTCCAGATATTCAACACTCAAATCTGAATCTAGTAACAAGGATAGTTTAGGAATTCTTATATATTCTGCAGGTACTCAGAGAAAAATGAAATTCCTAAAATAACTGAACTCATTTTCATATTTGTAACTTGTCAATAATAAATCTGAAGTTAATAATTATTAGTCTGTATCTTCAGTCATCTGCTGGCTGATATTTATGGGAGTGATGCGGTATCTTCCCAAACAATGCAATAATGTACATCAAACAGAAGCCGTTAGGAATGGAAATGTATTGTTGTAAATAACCGAGGATGAAAACCACTTAATGGTGCCATTATCATCATATTATAATGCCTATTGCAACTTTTAGAAATTGATTGTATTATTCAACTGCTCGCAATGATTTCTAATGATTCTTTAAAACTGAATTGTGTTTTACCTTCTGAAAATATGTGTTCTGGGCATCTCACCATATAAAATGTAAGTTGATAAGCCTGATTAAAATATCCAGACTGCTTGATTAAAACTCTAATAAAACAACTTTAATTATCTCAGTAGGTAACTAATGACTTCCATCTCAGCTTTGGCTCACTAAATAAAGGTAGAAATACGAAAAAAAATTCTGTGTATAAGATAATAGAATGACTTTGTTTTCCATCAAAATCAGAGATTGTCTCTTTATGAGGCATTTGTACACATAACAGAAAATAAATTCTTTGAAGTAAATGTGTATATATCAAGACTACATTCATTTTTTATATAAAACATGAACTAACTTTGTGACCTAAAATGACACATCATTTATACATGTATTTTAATTCAAGCAAGAAGCTAAATGTTATAATTAACATAAAGCTCTTCTCATCTCCTATTTATATATAACACACCCACTGGGGTCTGAAAAGTGGGTTGCAGTAAACACTAATCCGTTATTGAGTGGGATGAATTACTCATTAATTTTCTAAGTAATAGAGCTCAAAGCATTCTTTCTTCTTTCGGGTTTTGGAAAGACAGTTTGCCAGCCCTTTGGGGTTTCCTTGAAAATTCTAGGTCAGGCATCAGATTCTTTCATATAGAATAAATGTCACTTCTGGAAATAATGTGTGATAAAGGATGTCATGTCTTGAAAGTGTCAGGCTTTAATTTACTAAATACATGGCAACCTTGCCCTCTTACTTACCTAATGATATGTACATCCTATAGCTAAACTGTGAACTAACCAAAAGGAATTAAAAGATTGTTTCCCCCCACCAGAAAAAGCTTCCCTGTGAGCTATGAAATAAAGTCTGAGTATTTTCATTGGTATACTTTCTCCTTGGTTGACTCATAATCTATTATTTAAACAGCCAGAAAGCTGAAGAGAAAAACAAAATTGTGTTGAATAAGCCTTTGACTTCATAGTGTTATAAAAAATCATATAGTGACATAAGAGGTCAGCCAAAATACATTATGCTCCCAGCTGGTAACTGGGTTTTTTTTTTAATAAGTTTACTTGACTGGCAAATTTAGAGGAAAATTAAATAATGATGATCAAGGAGGATTAATTGTGACATTTAAACTTAAAGGCAATTTAAAAGGCAATTTGGGAGAAGGAATATAATATGCATTTTATATAATTTAGTATATAATGGAGTCTACTTGCATATATTGCTAATGGTTTTTATGGCTGCCATATTGCACGAGGCCTAGAATAGGTATTCTCAAATTCTTAGTTTTGTGTCCTGGTATATTCCAAGGCACTCCAAGTTTTCTATGAATTCATAGAGACTTCAATTCTTATAATTTCCTCTGTAGTCAAAACCAGTACTTACCAGTTAATTATAAGTCTGATTTGGAATGTGAAAACAAAACAAATCTAAGCAAAACAAAACAAAATTAGAATCCATCTCATGATTAGTTCTTCCAGCCAATGTCTGCGCCCTTAGAAATTTTCAAAAATATAATTAGCCCTTCTTGGAGAATGGTTTTCTATTTATAGTCATATCGCTTCAGCTCCAAAACTATAGGTATAGGATTTCTCCCTCTCTGAACCCTCCAGTATAAAAAGTCACTACACCCTCTAGCTTGGTTTCCTTGTTATCTCATGTTGTACTATCTCCATCTTTTCCCAGGATACCAAACTCCTTAATTCCTATGCTGATAAGGAGTCTCACCCTTTTTCCTCTTTACTCCTCTATAGCAAAGACAGTTTACTATGTACTATTAGAACTATGACTCAACACACAATCTGCCTCCCTTTTTCCCCCACAACAGATGAATAAAGTGAATAGATAATATCCCCTTCACACTTGAACCAATCTGTGCACCTGGCCCTGGCACAGAGCTACAGCCACTGGCCTTGACACATTACTCAAAGGCTCTATTATGAGAGTGCTGCCTATCACACTTTATGAAAATTTATGTTGTGGAAATATTTTACTTTATGATTTCTGACATTCACACAGCTCAAGCTAAAACTTATGAAAGGTATTATTACATAAATGACTATGGCATGGGGTACTTATCATTTGACTTAATCAAAACTTAAATAACATAGCAAGTAATACAAGAGGCAGTTGGAAATATTGAAATAATAAAATAGCGCTGCTTTTTAAAATTTAAATGTTTATAAAACAGAGATTTTATTTATTTGTACTATTATTTTTAGTTCAGGGCTACAAGTGCACATAGGTGAACTTGTATCATGGACATGTTGTACAGATTATTTCATCACCCAGGTATTAAGCCTAGGGCCCATTAGCTTTATTTCCTGATTCTCTTTCTCCTCCCACCCTACACCCTCCAATAGGCCCCAGTGTTGCTGTTACCCTCTGCGTGACCATGTGTTCTATCATTTAGCTCCCAATTGTAAGTGAGAACACTATTCACAGTAACAACAGTGCTTTTAATAAATTCTCCTATTGAACTGTCAAAATTTTAAAAAAAGGCAAATATATTGTTACATGGTGTTCTAGTTTTAAAATTCTAGTTGGTTGTTAGGGTTTTCCACATTTTTTTCAGTATGTTAGGACTCTCTGGCCCTATTGGCAGCCAAAATATTTTCTGATGTCCTCAATTTCATGAGTTTTGTTGACAGTTAATATTGAATATTATTCAAAGATTTAAAAATACTGGAAAAAATTGACTTCAGTAATAGCTTTTATCCATATATTCACATATCTTACAAATAGAAAAATATAAACTTATTTCATAATAAATTTTAAGTAGTATGAAAATTTTCTAAATAGTTTTATTTTCAATAACAAGAATGAGTTTGAAGATTTCTTTCACAATAAAATAACCAAAACAATAGTTTAGAGTTGATATAATCATGTTGTGTTTATAAATTTTTATGAGTAACAGAATATGAATTTATTTGTATTCAAAAAAAGAATGCTAGCAATAAAAACGTACGTTTCAATCGGCCTAATAAAAGTTGAAAGGAATTAATCTGCTAGTATTCTGAAATTAAATAATACATTGAGGGCAGTCTGGGTTTTAATTCTATCTTTAATTCTTATCATTTGCTGTGTGACATTAGACTTGTTAGTTTATAAGGCTATGTTTTGGCTTTTCCCATGTTAAGCTGGAGATAAATTTTTTTGTGGTTTTTGGCATCCTACATTCCTATAAGGATATGTACTAGTCTTTTGGTATCAGTGGGGGATTGGTTCCAGGAATCCCCATGAATACCAAAATCCACAAATACTCAAGTCTCTGATAAGAAATGGTTTAGTATTTGCACATAACCTATGCACATCCTCCTGTATATTTTAAATAATCTCTAGATTACCTATAATACCTAATATTAATACAATGTAAATGCCATGCAAATAGCTGTTATACTGTATTGTTTAGGGAATAATGACAGGAAAAAAGGCTGTACATGTTCAGTACAGATGCAACCATCTATTTTTTAAAACATATTTTTGATCTGTGGTAGGTTGAATTCATGAATGTGCAACCCACAGATTTGTAAGGCTGATTTCCACGTCTGTGGCTTCAACTAACCTTGAATTAGAAGTGTGTATATATATCATTATATGTGTACTGACCACATACAGACTTTTTTTCTTCTCATTATTCCCTAAACAATACAGTATAACTACTCTTTACACAGCATTTACATTGTATTAGGTATGATGAGTAATACAGAGATAATTTAAAGCACACAGAAGGCTGTGTGTAGATGATATGCAATTAACATTTTACATCTGGGACTTTAGCATTTGTGGATTTTGGTATTCAACGGGGATCCTGGAACCAATTCCCCATGAATACCAAGGGACAACTTAACAAGGCTTCAATAAATTTTAGATTTTTTCCCCTCCAGACATGTTAAATAAGAAACAACTGTCAAGTTAGATGTCTCAAAATCAATGAAAGATAAAAAAGTGACATGACTCAATGGGACAGATGACAAAGGACAGACAGGGCCTCATACTTGACAGAGAACTGTCAGGCTACAAACAATATTTAAAACATCTGTCTCTAAATGCCTCATGCCACAGATTCATACAATTGAAGTGATAAAAGTTTCAACCTAGCCATCTCAAAATGAATCAGAGCCAGAGTTCTGTGATAAATATTTTTTTTGTTTGTCCACTTACCTTCTAACCCCAGAGATATTGGTGTATTTTTTATAATCTTATACAAAACACTTTACTCATTAGTTTATATCCCCATTCATATCTCTCTCCCTCTCTCTGTCTCTTGTTGCTTGTTTCCTTTCTTCTGCTTCTTTGTAATTATATTATATTAAAGACATTGAAATATCATGTCAGTGAGAAATATCAAGAGTTCATTCTTAACCTAATAATACTTTTCTCTGAATTGTAGAAACTAATATATTAATAATAAAAAACTAACCACCCCCAGAAAATGTTTAAACTGGAGTGAAAAATTAGAAGAGAAAGACACATTACCAAAACTCCACAGAATGAAAGAAAATATTTACAAACTGTTCATCTCACAAGGGATTAATAACCAGAATATATAAGAAGCTCAAACAAATGAACAGGAAAAATATAGTAATATGATTTAAAGATGGACAAAAAGTTTGAATAGAAATTTCTCAAAAGAAGACATAAAATAGCCAACAGGTATATGAAAAAATACTCGACATGACTAATCATCAGAGAAATGCAGATCAAAACCACGAAGATATATCTTCTCACTCCAGCTTTTATCCAAAAAACAGGCAATAACGAATGCGGGAGAAGAAGGGTAGAAAGGGAAACTCTTGTACACTGTTAGTGGAAATGTAAATTAGTACAGCCACTATGGTAAAGAGTATGGAGTTTCCTCAAGAAACTGAAAATAGAACTACCATATTATTCATCAATCCCACTGCGTGTATATGTTCAAAAGAAAGGAAATCACTATATGGAAGAGATATCTGCCCCCCCCCCATGTTTAATGCAGCACTATTCACATCAGCCAAGATATGGAATTGACTTGTGTCCATCAATGGATGAATGGATAAAGAAAATGTATACACAATGGAATATTATTGAGCCATAAAAAATAATGAAATTCTGTCTTTTGCAACAACATGGATGGGATGGGAGGACATTATATAGTGAAATAAGCCAGGCATAGAAAGGCAAATTTCAATACTGTGAAATTAGTTTTCACTCATGTGAGAACTAAAACTTAAAAAAATAATAATAATTCTTGGGGATAGAGAGTGGAATGATGGTTACCAGAGTCTGGGAAGGGTAGTGGGGAGGTAGGGATAAAGTTGGGATGGTTAATGTGTACAAAAAACAGTTGGATAGAATAAATAAGGTCTAGTATTTAGTAGCATGTTATAATGACTATATTTAATAATTTGTATATTTTTAAATAACTAAAAGAATAAAATTGGAATGTTTCTAATACAAAGAAATGATAAATGGTTGAAGTGATAGAAGGATACCCAAATTACCCCAATTTATATTATGACATGCTGTATGCCTGAATCGAAGCATTACATATATTCAATAAATATATACAACTATTATGTATACATAATAATTAAAATTTTTAAAAAATAAGTAAAAAACTAGAGTTATATTTAAAATTACAGGTAATCATAAACTCTTAAAAAATAAGCTCAAAATAGTGAAAACCTAGGCAATGCCATTCAGGACATAGGCATGGGCAAAGACTTCATGACTAAAACACCAAAAGCAATGGCAACAAAAGCCAAAATAGATAAATGGGATCTGATTAAACTAAAGAGCTTCTGCACAGCAAAAGAAACTATCATCAGAGTGAACAGGCAACCTACAGAAAGGGAGAAAATTTTTGCAATCTATCCATCTGACAAAGGGCTAATATCCACAATCTACAAAGAACTGATTTACAAGATTTACAAGAAAACAGATTTATAAGAAACAGATTTACAAGAAAAAATAACCCCATCAAAAAGTGAGAAAAGGATATGAACAGACACTTCTCAAAAGAAGACATTTATGCAGCCAACAAACAAGAAAAAAGCTCATCATCACTGGTCGTTAGAGAAATGCAAATCAAAACCACAATGAGATACCATCTCACGCCAGTTAGAACGGCGATCGTTAAAAAGTCAGGAAACAACAGATGCTGGAGAAAATGTGGAAAAATAGGAATGCTTTTACACTGTTGGTGGGACCGTAAATTAGTTCAACCATTGTGGAAGACAGTGTGGCGATTCCTTAAGGATCTAGAACTAGAAGTACCATTTGACCCGGCAATCCCATTACTGGGTATATACCCAAAGGATTGTAAATCATGCTACTATAAAGACATACGCACACATATGATTATTGCGGTACTGTTCACAATAGCAAAGACTTGGAACCAACCCAAATGCCCATCAATGATAGACTGGATAAATAAAATGTGGCACATATACACCATGGAATACTATGCAGCCATTAAAAAAGGGATGAGTTCATGTCCTTTGTAGGGACATGGGTGAAGCTGGAAACCATCATTCTCAGCAAAATAACACAAGGAGAGAAAATCAAACACTGCATGTTCTCACTCATAAGTGGGAGTTGAACAATGAGAACACATGGACACAGGGAGCGGAACATCACACACTGGGGCCTGTTGGGGGATGGGGGGCTATGGGAGGGAAAGCATTAGGAGAAATACCTAATGTAGATGATGGGTTGATGGGTTGATGGGTGCAGCAAACCACCATGGCACGTGTATACCTATGAAACAAACCTGCATGTTCTGCACATTACCCCAAAATTTAAAGTATAATTTAAAAAAAATACAAAAACAAATAAAAATACAAATAATAGTAATACAAATAGTTTTACTTTTATAGTGAATTATAGCCTTGTACTTCTTTTGGGTTATATTAAGGGCAAGAATCTTAGGAAAGTGAAAAAGAAATCTCAGTTGTAACAAGTCTATAAAGCATTTTAAAATTGCAAGAGAGTTAAAAGAAAATGAATTTGCCTGTAATGAGTCAAGTTCCTTTTAAGACATTGTAGCACATTTTGTACCAGATACTTCTATTATTTCCAAGTCTTAATGAAGAAATTAAGCAAAGTATTTTATTCTCTAGGTATAGTTTACAATTAATACTAAGATTAGTATGTTCATTTAGTGAAGTTTTCTCTTTCGAACTAACAGAAACATTTTTCTGTCATATATGTTTCAGCTAAAATCTACACTAAAACATATTTTATAGCCCCTACTTTGTGTTTTAATTTAATGAAAACCTTAACTTCAAGATTGTACTTGCGCAATAGCTGGTAAAATTAAAAATGAAAAGATCAGATGACACAATAAATGCACTTTAAGACAATTAGTTTTAGTTTTAAAATGCATTTATATTGTTTTATTATGGCCTATTTCCTCAGTGACAAACATTATTTGGCCAATTATTTGAGCACTATTTTTTCATCTTACTCTGAGTCAATAAAGTCAATGTATTTTTGTTAATAGACCCAAAATGAGTTATAACAGCAATAGCAACTAATTGAGGATGAAAATGTGCCTGTGACACAAATAGGTATTATCATTAAAATATCTCATTTAAAACTAATTTATTCATTAAAAACTGAGATCCCCAAGAAGTTATATAATTTTCCAAAATTTTGACCATGGCGTATATATTAGTCCATTTTCATGCTGCTGATAAAGACAAACTGGAGACTGGGCAATTTACAAAAGAAAGAGGTTTAATTAGACTTACACATGGCTGGGGAAGGCTCACGATCATGGCAGAAGGCAAGGAAGAGCAAGTCAAATCTTACGTGGATGGTGGCAGGCAAAAAAAAAAAAAAAAGCCTGTGCAGGGAAACTCTGCCTTATAAGGCCATCAGATCTTGTGACACTTATTCACTATCACAAGAGCAGTGCAGGAAAGACTCGCCCCCATAATTCAATCACCTCCCACCAGGTCCTTCCCACAACACACAGGAATTCAAAATGAGATTTTGGTGGGGACATAGCTGAATATATTAATAAGGTAGATTTTGAACAATATAAGTAATTATTAGAAAGAAAGATTTTAAATGATCTAAACATCTCAGGATTGACAATAAGTATTATGTTAACCATAAGTATTAATATTTATCTAATATTTTATAATTAATAACATTTACATGTGGCAGGGCATAGTGACAGCTCAAAACTTCATGATTAAAACTACAGATTCTGAAACCTAAGTATCTGGGTTTAAATCCCGGATATGCCTTTGTTTTTCTTTGGTCTATAAAACATCAATTAAATATTTTCACTTTATAATTGCTTTTGAGAATTATGTAAGTAAATACATGTGCAATGTTTGCAATAGCACCTGCTTCATAGTAATCCATAAGTCAATAAATGTCATCTATTGGAGTTATTTTAATTACATGGATTATTTATGCCTTAAACAACATCCTGTATAACAGAAGTATATTAGACACAAACCTTGAGCAATTTTTCAGATTCCCAGACCTCCTTTTCAGAGGCACTGCCCACCTTCTGGACAGTGTTGTCATAGCCTTTGCTGATGCTCACACAAAGCTCTTCATGCTGCCTAAAGTTGAAGTCCTATCTCTGAATGGCTATGACACCTCACATGCCAAGTTCAATCTATGTCACATTACCCTTCTTCCAAATTTGAATAAAATGTGGCACTTCTGGGTATAGACAATGGTTTTCTGAGCCACCCCCATAGAGCCAAATACCAAAACCTAGAGCCTTCTACATAGTAACCTTTGTTTACCATTAGAATTGCCTAGATTTGCTGAGACTATCTTGTTACATGCTGTTGTCATGTGTAATCATTAATAGTAACCCAAGGTACTCCAGTTTCTTTGACAATAAATTTTGTGGCTACCCTAATGATGAGAAAGAGCTGGCATTGATATTGGTAAATGAATAAACCAATAAATAAATGGAACAGAATGGAGAAGCCAGAATTAGATCCACACAAATATAATCAATTGATTTTTGACATAGGTCAAAAGCAAATTGAGAAAGTACAATTGGACAATTATAAAAAATGTAAAAAAAACCTTGACCCATATCAAGTTTTTGTGCAAAATTAATTAAAATGAATCAGAGATATAAATAAAGTAACTAAAATTATAAATTATTACAAGAAAATGTAGAAGAAAATTTTTGTGATCTTGAAATAGAAAAATATTAAGATATAACCCGAAAAGTATGATCCATAAAAAGAATGACAAATTAGACTTTATCACAATTAATACTCTCCAAAGACACAATTAAGAGAAAGAAAAGAAAAGACACAGGCGGGGAGTAATTATTTGCAAATTATATATTTAATAAAGTACTTGGATCTAGAATACAAAAAGAACTGCAAACTCAAGAATAAGAAAATAAGCCATCCAATTACAAAGAAGGAACAAGACCTGAACAAATACTCTATCAAAAAAGGGATGCAGATGGCAACTTAGTTCTTAAAATGTTGTTCAACATGTCTAGTCATAAATTAAACCACCACAAGATATAATCACAAATGTTAGGAAGTAAAAAAAATGTGAAGTAAAATGAAGAAACAGAACAGTTCAATTCTTTTTTTTAATTTTATTTTTAGTTTGAGGTTCATGTGCAAATTTGTTTCTATAGGTAAACTTGTGTCACGGGGATTTGTGGTACAGATTATTCCATCACTGAGGTATTAAGCCTTATAAACATCAGTAATTTTTCCTGATCTTCCCCTTTCTCTGAACCTGCATTCTCTGGTAGGCCCCAGTGTCTGTTGTTCCCATCTATGTGTCCATGTGTTCTTATCATTTAGCTCCTGCTTGTAAGTGAGAACATGTGGTATTTGGTTTATTTTTCCTGTATTAGTTTGGCTCAGGGTAACAGCCTCCAGCTTCATCCATGTTTCTGCAAGGATACAATCTGATTCTTTTTTATGGCTACAGTATTCCATGGTGTATATGTACCACATTTTCTTTATCCAGTCTACTATTTATGAGCATTTAGGTTGATTCCATGTCTTTGCTATTGTGAACGGTGCTGCAATGAACATATAAGTGCATGTGTCTTTATGCTGGAATGATTTCTACTCCTTTGGGTATATACCCAGTAATGAGATTGCTGGATCAAAAGGTAGTTCTGTTTTTACATCTCTATGGAATTGCCACACTACTTTCCACAATCGTTGAACTAATTTACACTCCCACCAACAGAGTGTAAGTGTTCCTTTTACTCCACAACCTCACCAGCACATGTAATTTTTTTTCCTTTTTAATAAAAGGCATTCTGATATGTGTGAGAGGATATTTCATTCTGGTTTTGATTTGTATTTCTCCAATAATCAGTGATGTTGAGCTTTTATTCGTATGCTTCTTGGGCACTTACATGTCTTTTTTTTGAAAAGTGTTCATGTTCCTTGTCTACTTTTTAATGGGGTTATTTTTTTCTTGTAAATTTGTTTAAATTATAGATGCTGGATATTAGACCTTTGTCAAATGCATAGTTTTCAAGCATTTTCTCCCATTCTGTAGGTTGTCTGTTTACTCTGTTGATAGTTTATTTTGCTGTGTAGACGCTCACAAGTTTACTTAGATCCCATTTGTTAATTTTTGCTTTAGTTGCAATTGCTTTTGGTGACTTTGCTATGAAATCTTTGTCCATTCCTGTGTCCAGAGTGGTATTGTCTAGATTGTCTTCCAGGATTCTTTTGTATTTTACATTTAGGTCCTTAATTTATCTTGAGTTGATTTTTGTATATGGTGTAAGGGAGGGATCCAGTTTCAGTCTTCTACATATGGCTAGCCAGTTATCTCAGTATCATTTATTGAACAAGGATTCTTTTCCCCATTGCTTGTTTTTGTCAGCTTTGTTGAAGATCATATGAATGTAAGTGTGTGGCATTATTTATGGGCTCTCTATTCTATTCCATTTGTCTATGTGTCTGTTTTTGTACCAGTACCATGCTGTTTTGGTTACTATAGCCCTGTAGTATTGTTTGAAGTCAGGTAGCATGATTCCTCCAGCTTTGTTCCTTTTGCCTAGGATTTCCTTGGCTATTCAGGCTCTTTTTTGGTTCCATATGAATTTTAATTTTTTTCTACTTCTGTGAAGAATGTCATTGCTAGTTTCATAGGTATAGCATTGAATCTATAAATTGCTTGGGGCAGTAGAGCTATTTTAACGATATTAATTCTTCCTATCTATGAGCATGGAATGTTTTTCCATTTGTCTGTGTAAACTTTGATTTATTTTGAGCAGTGCTTTGTATTTCTTTTGCCTCCCTGGTTAGCTGTATTTCTAGGAATTTTACTCTTTGTGTGGTTATTGGGAAAGGGATTGCATTCCTGATTTCGATCTCAGCTTGCTGGTTGTTAGTGTACGTTGATTTTTGTATCCTGAGACTTCACTGAAATGTTTTATCAGCTAAGAAACTTTTGTGCCATGACTATGGGGTTTACTAGATATGGAATCATATCACCTGCAAATAGTGATAATTTAACTTCCTTTCTTCCTATTTGGATGCCCTTTATTTCTTTCTCTTGCCTGACTGCTTAGGCCAGGACTTCCAATACACCACTTATATTTAACATAGGAGTGGTAAAAGAGGGCATTCTTAATCTTGTGGCAGTTTTCAAGGGGAATGCTTTCAGCTTTTAACCAATCAGTATGATGTTGGCTATTGGTTTTTCACAGATGGATCTTACTATTTTGAAGTATGTTCCTTCAATACTTAGTTTATTGAGAGCACTTATCATGAAGGAGTGTTAAATTTTACTTAAAGCATTTTCTGCATTTACTAAGATAATCATGTGGTTTAGTCTTTAGTTTTGTTTATGTGATGAATAACATTTATTGATTTGTGTATGTTGAACCAACCTTGCATTTGAAGCCTACTTAATCATAATAAATAAGCTTTCAAATGCGCTGCTGGATTCTGTTTGCCAGTATTTTGTAGAGGGTTTTTGCATCAGTGTTCATCAAGGATACTGGCCTGAAGTGTTTTTTGTTTTTTGTTTTTGTTTTTGTTTTTTTTTTGATGTGTCTCTGCCATGTTTTGGTATTAGAATGGTGCTGGCCTCATATAATGTGTTAGAGGAGAAGTTGCTCCTCAATTTTTTGGAATAGTTTCAGTAGGAATGGTACCAACTCTTCTTTGTACATCTAGTAGAATTCAGCTGTGAATCTATCTGATCCTGGGCTTTTTTTGCTTAGTAGGCTATTTATTACTGTCTCGATTTTAGAGCTCATTAGTGGTCTGTTCAGAGATTCCATTTCACCCTGGTTCAGTCTTGGGAGGGTGTATGTGTCCAGGAATTTATCCATTTCTTCTACATTTTCTAGTTTGTATGTATAGAGGTGTTCATAATATTCTCTGATGGTTGTTTGTATATCTGTGAAGTCAGTGGTAATATCCCCCTGGTAATTTCTGATTGTGTTTATTTGATTATTCTCTATTTTCTTTTTATTAGTTTTACTAGTGATCTATTTATTTTATTTTCTTCAAAAAAGCCAGCCCCTGGATTAGTTGACCTTTTCAGTTTTGTGTGTGTGTTCTAATCTCCTTTAGTTCAACTCTGATTTTGGTTATTTCTTGTCTTCTGCTAGCTTTGGGATATTTTTGTTCTTGGTTCTCCATTTTTTTAAATTGGGATGTTAGGTCATTAACTTGAGATATTTCTGAGTTTTAAATTGAGCATTTAGTGCTATAATTTTCCATCTTCATGTTGTCTTAGCTATGTCCCAGAGATTCTTGTATGTTGTATTTTTTTCCCATTTGCTTCATAGAACTTCTTGATTTCTGCTTTAATTTTATTATTTACCCAAATGTCATTCAGGAGCAGGTAATTTCCATGTAATTGTATGGTTCTGAGTGATTTTCTAAACCTCAATTTCTAATTTTATTGTACCATAGCCCAAGAGAGTAGTTGTTATGATTTCACTTCTTTTGCATTTCCATTTTGCATTGGCAACTGTTTTGTGTGCAATTATGTGATTGATATTAGAGTATGTGCCATGTGGTAATGAGGAGAATATATATTCTGTTGTTTTGGGTGGAGAGTTGTGTAGATGTCTATCAAGTCTATTTGATCTAGTGCTGGGTTCACATCCTGAATATCTTTATTAATTTTCCACTTCAATCATCTGTCTAGTATTGTCAGTGGAATTTTGAAGTCTTCCACTATTATTGTTGGTAGACTTTGTGGGTCCTTTTGAACATCTCTAAGAACTTGATTTATGAATCTTGGTGCTCCAAAGTTAGGTGCATATAGTATAAGATAGGTCTTCTAGTTGAATTGAACCCTTTACAATTATGTAATGTCCTTTGTTTGGTCTTTGTTGATGTTTGCTGGCTTAAAGTCTACACTGCCTAAAATTAGAATAGTGGCAACCCCTAATTATTTCTGGTTCCCATTTGCTTGGTAGATTTTTCTCCATCCCTTTATTTTGAACCCATATGTGTCTTTCCATGTGAGATGGGTCTTGAAAACAGCATACTGATGGGTCTTGATTCTTTGTCCAGCATGACACGCTGTGTGTTTTAATTGGGGCATTTAGCCAGTTTACATTTACAGTTGGTATGGATATATGTAAATTTGATCCTGTCATCATGATGTTAGCTAGTTATTATGCAGACTTATTTTGTTGTTGCTTTATAGTGTCACTTGTCTGTGTACTTCAGTGTGTTTTTGTAGTGTTTGGTAATGGTCTTTCCTTTTCATATTTATTGCTTTTTTCAGGCGCTCTTGTAAGACAGATTGTAGTGGTAACAAATTCCCTCAGCATTTGTTAGTCTGAAAAGGCTCTTATTTCTCATTTGCTGATGAAGCTTATTTTGGCCAGATATAAAATTATTTCTTTATTATTATTATTTTTTGAGATGAAGTCTCACTCTGTTGCCCAGGCTGGCTCTGTAGCACAATCCTGGCTCACTGCAACCTCCACCTCCTGAGTTTAAGCAATCCTCCCACCTTAGCCTCTCAAGTAGCCAGGATTACAAGTGTGTACCACCACGCCCG
Source organism: Homo sapiens (assembly GCF_000001405.40). NCBI lineage: Eukaryota > Metazoa > Chordata > Mammalia > Primates > Hominidae > Homo > Homo sapiens. The sequence goes on along the minus strand of NC_000014.9, from coordinate 43,667,750 downwards.
GCTAATTTTTGTATTTCAGTAGAGATGAGGTCTCACCATGTTGGCCAAGCTTGTCTTGAACCCCTGGCCTCAAGTGATCCACCCATGTTGGCCTCCCAAAGTACTGAGATTATAGGTGTAAGGCACCACATCTGGCCAAGATATAAAATTCTTGGTTAAAATTTCTTTTCTTTAAAAATGTTGAATAATGTCCCCTAACCTTTTCTGGCTTGTACAGTTTCTGCTATGAGGTCTGCTGTTAGTCTGATGGGCTTTCCTTTGTAGGCAACCTGACCTTTCTCTCTAGCTGCCTTTCATATATTTTCTTTCACTTCAATCTTGGAGAATCTGATGAGTATGTCTTAGGGAAGATCTTCTTGTGAAGTATCTTACAGGGGTTGTCTGCATTGCCTGAATTTGAATGTTGGCCTCTTTAGCTAGGTTGGGGACATTTTCATAGATGATATCCTGAAATATGTTTTCTGCATTGCTTCCCTTCTCTCCATGTCTTTAGGAACACCAATGAGTTGTAGATTTTGTCTCTTTACATAATCTTATATTTCGCAAAGGTTTTGTTCATTCCTTTTAATAGTTTTTTCTCTATTCTTGTCTGAATGTCTTATTTCAGAAAGCCAGTCTTAAAACTCTGAGATTCTTTCTTTCTCTTGGTCTATTCTGCTATTAATACTTGAGACTGCATTATGAAATTCTCAAAGCATGTTTCTCAGGTCTATGGGGTTGGTTGCATTTTCTTCAAAATTGGCCCTTCTGTCTGTCAGCTCCTGTATCATTTTATGGTGATTCTTAGCTCCCTGGGATAGGTTTTCAGTATACTCCTGCAAATCAATGATATTTGTTCCTATCCATATTCTAAATTCTATTTCTGTCATTTTAGCCATTTCAGCCAGATTCACAATCATTGCTTGAAAGGTAGTGTCATTTGGAGAAGAGAAGTCACTCTCTGGCTTTTTGAGTTGTCAGAGTTCTTGCCTGGTTCTTGCTCATGTTTGTGGGCTACTGTTCTTTCAGTCTTTGAAGTTGCTGTCCTTTGGATGAGTGTTTTTTTTTTTCCTTTTATTCTATTTGATGACCTTGAGGGTTGCATCGTGGTATAAGGTGGGTTCAACGAACTGGCTTTGTTTCTGTAAGATTTTAGGGGGTCAGTGCTCAGCTCCCAACTCCTGGACTGGATGCTCTAACTCTGGGGGACTTGTATTGGACCCTGACTTTGTTCTCTGGCATCTCGAATTTAGGAACCTACTGTACTAGGGTGGCCAACATGCTCACTACACTCTGATGGGTGGTGCCAGCCAAAGCATATCATAGGATGGTGGCAGTGAGATCCATCCTTGTTTGCATGTGCCAGTGGCAGTGGCAGCATGGCAGGATACAGCAGTGTGCTAGCGAGTAATGGGGTGCCTACCTCTGTATTGGTGCTCACAACAGTTGCAGAGGCAGCGTGTTTTGGTGGGCGGTCTGGGGGCCCCCACTGGTGACTGTGTGTGTGTTTGCACTGGTAATGGGTTAGCATTGGGGTGGGGGACTGACAGGCAAGGGTCTGTGTGCACCCTCTGTGCACGTTCATGTAGGGTAGCGTGGCCACTCATGGTGCGGAGGGTCCACTATTCTCCTTGCCTAGTTTCACTCCAGCGGCAGTATTAGTGCAGGGACAGGGCACTAGGGGACTCTGTGCCCACCGGACTTCGACTGCAATGGTGGTACGTCGGGGGAGGCAGAGTGCATTCCCATCAGCAGCAGTGGAAGGGCAGGGTGCACATGCACATGCATGCTGTCAGGGCAGGGAATGCAAAATCCTTCCAGGCACTCATGTGCTGGCAAAGCAATGGGGGGAGCGGCTTTGGGCCCAGGGAAAGCTGTAGTGGAGGGTGAGTGGGAGTGGGCTGATCTGTATCCATGGGGCTGACCTGCTGGAGGCCTCTGTGGATCAGGCATGGTCTACCAGCACAGGAGCTGTCATGTGGGTCCCCAGGGAACTGAGTCTGCACTGCAAGCAGGCATGGCCAGGCTGGGGTCCCAAAGAGGCCAGCAGACCAAGAGTTGTTCAGGCCAGACTGTCCCTATCTGATGGGCAAGACTGCCCTGCAGAGTTTAGGTCTGACACTTCCCCTAGGGCTGAAGTCTCCTATGGGAGCAAGTTGAGCCTAGGAAGATGGCCATCCCTAGCCATGCTCCCTCTGCTACAGGTGCTCCTGCACCAAACTCTTTGGGCTCCACATTGGCTAGCATGCTTCCCCTACCACTTCTCTAAGCAGCTCTCCCTGCAAACTCGAGCACCCATGGTGGTCAAGTGGTCTCCCCCTGCTGGGATTCCAGAGGCTTTTGGCAAAAGCAGGTTACTCCTTAACAGTTCAACTCAACTTCACCTCTGGAGTTTTTAGGGGCCAGCAAGGAGTTCTGGTGCTGTGCTTGGTAGCCAGGTGCAGAGTTCCCAGCTTCCTTCCCCTTCAGCTAGCTCCTATGTTTTCTCTCTGTTCATTCTCAGTGCATTCCCTCTGAAGTTCTGTTAGGAGTCCACTAGTTGTCCCAGTCCCTCGGTGGCAGCTGTTCCAACTGGCTGCATCTAGTTGGCCACCTTATCCACATCTTAGTTCTAATTCTTATACATTGCTGATGGGCAGCCACTTTGGAAAACAATATGTAACCTTCTTTTAAAGCTGTATACTTACCACGTGACCCAGCAATTTTCTTAGAAGTCCTAAGTACTTACTAAGAGAAATGAAAACTTATTTTCACATAAAAACCTATATGCAAATCTTTATTTATGATCACCAAAACAGTAAAAACCAAGAAGGAAATGCTGCTTTTTTTCCAACTTTTGTGTATACACACAATGGAATAATACTTAGAAATAAAAAAGAACAAATTATGTAGCAATATGCTTGAGCCTCAGTGGCATTTTGCTAAATAAAAGAAACCCAACTCAGAATTCTGCAAAGGGAACCATTCCATTTATATGACATTTTAAGAAGTCAAGGTTATTATAACAGAAAACAGATAAGTGGTTGCCAGAGTCTCAGGGAGAAAAGAAAATGGCTATCAAGGAGCATAAAGAAAATTTTTGTGGTTATACATTAATGTTTGCCTTGATTATGGCTACAATGCTACATAGGTTTTGTCGAAACTCAGAAAATTGTACAACAAAATTTAGTTTTAGTCTATGTACATTTTAGGTTAATCATAAAGGGGAATTATAAAAAGAAAGAAATAGAATGAGATCACAATGAATTCTTTTTACTGAGAAAAGGGAATTGAAGTCTCCTAGAAATTTGTAGATAAAACAGCAAAATAGCATTTGAAGTATTTCAAAGTATGCTGCTTTAAAATTCCCATTAGGCAATACTAAATATAATAACTTGTTCCAAGTTTATAAAATATTAATTGTGCATAACAATAGTATGCAACACAAATCACATCTTATCTAAGAATTTGGAGGTCATACAAGTATCAAAAGACCTTCTGTTTTATTTTCAGTGTTTTTTAATGAAGATCATTTTTGCACATTTCAATATTTATTTTCTCATCCTTTTTATTTATCCCCAAAATAGACAACATTGTCAAAGGTATTTTATAGCTGAGTTCTAGTTCTAAGGCTATACTTTTCTAATATTTTATTAGAAGCAATTTATACAATTTTCTATTCACTCATTTATCCATTGGTAGAATAAAAAAATAGTACACTTGGTACATTGTCCAGATTATATCTGGAATTTAAAATTTTTGTTTTCTCACAAACAATGCCACCCTATTGAACAAAAGCAAGTTGATCACAAGCTGTGGTATTGTTAAATAATAACAAAGAGTACAAAAACCCATTGCACTGGAAGCTGATGGAAAGTGTTACATTATTGAGTATTAATACTGAAACTGGCTTTAGAAATGAACTAATAAACCATCTATGTAAAAAAAACAGAAAACCAAGGCCAACAAGTCCAATATACTTATTCAAGATGTGCATCTAACCAGGCGCAGTGGCTCACGCCTGTAATCCCAGCACTTTGGGAGGCCGAGGCGGGTGGATCACGAGGTCAGGAGATCGAGACCGTCCTGGCTAACATGGTGAAACCCCGTCTCTACTAAAAATACATAAAATTAGCCGGGCGTGGTGGCGGGCGCCTGTAGTCCCAGCTACTCTGTAGGCTGAGGCAGGAGAATGACGTGAACCCAGGAGGCGGAGCTTGCAGCGAGCGGAGATAGCGCCACTGCACTCCAGCCTGGGCGACAGATCGAGACTCCGTCTCAAAAAAAAAAAAAAAAAAAAAAGATGTTCACCTAAATGATGTCAAAGGCTGAAATCAATCATTTCCCCTCCATATCATCAGTTTATGACCCTTTTTACTAAGATGCATAAATATTTTGAGCAGATTTATTTATTAAAAATATACCATTATAATTTATATTGATACTACTTGGCAAATTATTTTTCAAATTGAAAACTAGTAAAATCTGAAGTAGACTTCTAGCTTCTGTATTTTATAAGTTTTTGACATCAAGTATAATATTCATATTTATCTGCATAAAAAATTATAAAGTTAAATTTACAAGTAAACACACCATCCAATATTTATATGTGAACATACAAGAATATACAAATAAAAAGTTAAATTCTCTTTTGGTCTTAAATGGGAAAAGATTTAGTAATTCTTAAACAGAAAGGCATATTTACTCTTAGAAATCTGCTATGCTATTTAGCCTTCCCTCCTGTTAATGTTCAACTCTTAAGACGCCTCAAATTAGCATGGAATATAGAATTTATGGATTCAATTTATGTTAAAATTGTTTTTTTACAAGTTAGTATAGTGAATGGAATAATATATTTTATTGGCATTAAATATTATGCTTTCTGACGTAATTATGCTTCTTGGGTGCATGTATTTATTTTAATAACTACATTTATTAAATGGAAATAATTGAATTTAAAGGTTTTCATATTTAGTACATTTTAAATCCTGCTCTCTTAACCACAATTGTACTTCAATTCCTTATTTAATTTAGTCAGCTGAAATATAATTTTTTAAAAAGATAAATTGGTTCTTTCTGAATTATAGCATATTCATAATATTTTGTAGCCTCCTTTACTCAAGATATAATAGAAATTGCTCTACTATTTTCAGATATATGTGGTAGAGATAAAATGTATAATGAACATGAATTTTATTTTTCCTGTAACTATCTTGCTTTTTGTTTTCTTTCTGATATGTAGTTATAGGATTCTTAACTTATAATTCAGACATTTCCCCCAGGACATGTAGATGTCAGTTTATTTTTTTAATGGACATTTGTTGAGCATATTGACAGTGCCATAACATTTTCACAAATTTTCATTTTATTCAGTTGTGCTGATTGTATTTTATCACCTTTCTTCATTCTTTTGCCTGACTTTTTCCTTCTCCTGGTAAGAATGCTTTTTCAAATTTCCTTCCATATACTTTTTACTTATTTCCTTGATGAGTCTGCATATTACAATATTTAATATTAACCTGAATTTTAATTTTTATAGTTTATATTATTTTTCTCTTACTCTCTCCTTTTCTCATCTGTCTGTCGTAGTTTGTTCTTTTAGCCAGATTTTTAAAAATGATCTTTTCTTGTTATGTAATGTCACCGTTACTTTCATAATTCATTTAGTCTGTGTTTTCTAGTATTTTATGAGAATATAAAAATGATGTTGTTTTACATTTTATTGTTTTCTAGGGTAAACAGTCTTCAGTAGAATCAGTGTTATGTTCTTTCTCCTTATTTTCGAGTGCTACAGAATAAATGCAGTGGAAAAATTTTACAAGCCCTAGACTAGATTCTTCTCCCTATACTTCTTTCTAATTTTTCTATGACAGGTGGAGAGTTTCTGTGAGAATTTCTTCTCAGTGACTGACCTTGCATACTCATAGCTGCCCATTTCCGATAGTGAATTTCTAGTGTTTCTCAATCATTTTTTGATAGTGCAATTTGAAAGGCTCTCTTATTCCTAAAACATGGCCATTTAATATTTGTAGTGGTATATATTACTTGATAATCTACAGCTATCTATAGTTCTTTCCTGGCTAGAACTTGAGAAGACACTTCCCACTACAGCACTTTCCTTTTGGAAATTTAGGAAGTTATGGCCCTGAAATCAAATCACTCTTTTCCTTTACTCTGTCCCAAGCTAGTCTGCAATTCTGGAGATTATAAAATTGGCATGGCTATCTACTCAGAGATATTAACAAGAGAGATAATGGAGAGAATAACGTTCTGTCTGCTTTGGAAATCTGCTTTTCTACCTTGTGGCAGTGGTTCTCAAACACTTTAGTCTTGGGGTCCTTCACACTCTTAAAATAATTTAGGAACTCAAACCATTTTATTATTTGTATTAACTATTTTAGAATTTAAGACTGACACATTTTCATATACCATATGAAATGTTTATGTGTTTAATGTTTAATCTATTCAAAAATATTAGAAAAACAATTTTAACTTAACATATGATTTAAAAATAATTATATTTTCCAAAACAAACAAGAAAATAATGAGAACAGTTGTACTATTTTGTATTGGCTTATTAGAAAACATCTGGATTTTTATATCTACTTCTTATTCAGCCTATTGCAATATTACACCATGGTAGGCTCTGAAAATTTTTACTGCGTATTTGGTGAATGAACGAGAATGAGAAAGGTAAAAAATATATTGTTATTTTTATAAAAATAACTCTGACCATGCAAACTTCCCCCCTTTCTGACAAAGCTACTGGGTATACTGGTTTTTGTTTGTTTGTTTGTTTTTGTTTTTTTTTCAATTAGCTCTTAGCTTGCTACTGGGCTCCTATTGAAGCTAAATGCCTGATTTACAGAGGCTAACTTTCTGGACTGATATTTCCACTTTGGGGTGAATTAATTCACACAGTTTATACCAATGACCAATAAGGTGGGTAGAAGCTAATAAGTTATGGTTGTAGAACAGGAATGGTATATACGGATCAGTCAGCTTGGTTCCAGTGGTATCTTGGCTATACAAGATTAAATAAACAAAGTTAACACCAACCCTTTGGGGGATTTTTTTCCCCCACTTTGTCATCTGAAGCAAAGCTGGTCTTTCACTGGTATCTTCATGTCACAGAGAGTCCCATAAATTTCCGGTCTTACTGTAGTAATAATGTATTCAACCAAGCTTAAACCAGATGGTGTCCATGGTACAGCTATGACTGTCTAAACTTAGTGCCAGTTTTTCCAAATTAAAAATGTATGTGGATGCTTCATTCATTAGGCGGAACCCAAGTGATTATCATTGTTCTGGCTAATACCTTGTGATGAAACTTGTTAGCATTTTACTGATTCTTGGGTTTTTAACTATGGTCTAGTCTGACAGTTGAAAAACTACAGATAAGAATATCAAAGGAACTATCGTTTGGAACCTTACACTGAACACAAATCACAGTTGTTGATCTGATCATTTGGGTCAACCATGTAGATGCCTGGTACAGACCTATTCTCTTATCAGACTATTTGGAATCAAGTTACTGGTTGAGCTTGTACACCCAAGATTACAAATATTTCTCCCTGGAGTCACCTTTATGCAATATTTGACAATGAATCCATCATAGACTGGACACAGAATTAACAAACTCTACATTTTTTGATGCAGAGACTATCACTGTGTACAGTATTTATGACTCATGTGAAATTTGACTTTTTTGTTTTATGCTTAAGGAGGACATATCATACCAGGCAAGGACCCTACATTCTTCTGACATTGACTACATTTGATCTTTAAACCAGCATTGGGGTTATCAATGGTGTCTTAATGGCTGTTGATATTTGTTCAGGTTATTATGTTGCTATTACAATAGAATCCATTGATTCTGGCTACATACTTACGCCTCTTGAAACTAACTTGCCGTTTTCAGTTTCCCATACCATCTTCACTTTGATAATAGCGTGAGTTTAATAACAAATACCACCTAGCATTAGGCTGAATGTCAAGGTGTTTGATAGCTCTTGCATGCTTTTATCATCCACAGGCTTCTGGTATCGTTGATTATTAGAATGGCCTCCTTCAAAATGGACTTAGAAAGATTTCTTGCTTTACCTCCTTCACCTACTCCTGATCTGCACAGACTAGTAAGGCAATTTGGTCACTGAATGCCATTGCCTCAAGAAAGATATCACCTCTTCTTAAACGATTCTTAGATAATAATCAGGATGAAAGGGATTTAGTGTTATACAGACCTATGTTGAAAATTTGGGACTCTACTCTATCTTGACATGGTAATGTTTTTTTTTTTTCCTCCTATCAGCAACTCAGGGTCAATTGATTGGTATACATTCTGCATGACAGTGTGTCAAAAAGTATGCTGGATTTAAACATAATTCTTTTTTTAGCTACCTTGGCCCCCTATTGAAATAATTTAAGAATAGTGGCCTCTTGGTAGATTATACTGCTTAGTAAGCTACCCTACAGTGGCACATATGCTTACATAGACCAAGGTTTGGGACATAATGCTTTAATGTACATTTTATAAAAATGTTCCTCTCACTAAAACATGTGACTGTTCTGAATAAAATATTTCTATGCAATAAGAGAATTATTGGAAAAATGGTGAAATCATAGCTATCAGAATAGGAAGTTCTGATTTGTAGTAGTGAAGGAAAAGCAATAACCCAAACACCTGGAATAGATGGAGACAATAGGGATAATGCTGTTTTGTTTTCTTTTTCAAGAGTCTATGGAAATTTTAGCCTGTAGAAGAATTCCCCAGTGCATGAAGGACACTTTCAATCTGTACCACAGATTGATGCAAGTCCTACTTGGGATGCCCCAACAATAATAAAAAATACTATCTTTGCACAATTTGCAAACTTTACTGTACTTATTTTGTGGAAATTATGCATTAGCCTGATTCTCTCTCAACTATATGACTTGTACTCCAGGGGTGATTATAAGAGAACCATGAGTGTTTAAGGAAACACCACCAATAGATTATAAGGTGACTATGGTGATCTCTTCAAATCAAGGCTACCCTTACTTAGCTGAGCTTTCAGGAAGGAAAAGTAACTTATTAATATACAACCTATAGACAGTTATCCCTATGAAGGGAGTCATCCAATAAGAAAGTGGTAAAAAAATTGTTCTTGACTTCAGATAAAGTCATTAATAACATCACCTCTGCCCTGAAAGACATTCAGGTACACTTCAACTTATTGACCAAGATTATTACAGACACCAAACTGCCCTAGACTTTCTCCTTGTGGACAAGACAGAGTCTGCACAATCACTAGAAAATTTAGCTGTACCTGGATTAATGCTTTGGACCAAGAGGTAAGGTCAAAATAACAATTTATGGAGAAACCTGCATGGCTTTCTAAGGTAGACTCTGATGTTTTTAATTTTCTTTTCAGCTGGTGGTTCTGTTCTCTTGAAAGCATTGTTGATGTCAATAATGCAAGATTGGCCTTGGCCAAATTGAAGAGATTTCCTCCCATCCTTTGTTGGTCACATTTATCACAATGAAGATGACTTTGTACACTCTTGGGAAAATGCAATAAGAAGCATTTTAGTACAAGTGCAATCCTCATGAGTCTCTTGCATTTTTGTACAACTTTGTAAGAAAAGGTGTTTGCATTGCAAATACTCTTGAAGGAGACAGTGCCATCCTCTGAAAAAAATTTGAAAGGCCAGGTATATTTATAGACCTGAAAGACAGAGATAAAGCTCTACATGGAACTCTGCAGCAATGGGTATGCTGAATGGAATGCTGAATGCCCATTATAATTATTATTTTTTTTAGTTGTCTATACTCAACAGTTCCCCTCCTATAATAAAACTCACTGCATGTTAAGGTGTCACCTGATCCTTTCTATCACCTTGTGGCAATTGGAGCTAGAAGAACCAGCATGATGCCATTCTGGCTAGCATTACTGCTGTGAGTAATAAAATGGTCTTCTCTTACCCAGAAGTCTTGTGTCTTCTTTCAGCTTTTGTGAAACTGTGGCAGACTAACTTGGTAGCTTACAGATATGTTAAAATCTCAGACCCTTTCCAGTTCTTGACAGTTGATACAAATTACTCTAATCGATGTTCTTATATTCAAAACTTTATCATCACAGGACATTTTGTCAATTAGGTTTTTTAAAATTTATTTCCATAAGTTATTGGGGAACATGTGGTTGGTTACATGAGTAAGTTATTTAGTGGTGATTTGTGAGATTTTGATGCACCCATCACCCAAGCAGTACACACTACACCCTATTAGTAGTCTTTCACCCCTCACCTCCTCTCCGTCCATTTCCCCTGACTCCCCAGAGTCCATTGTGTCATTCTTATGCCTTTGCATCCCCACACCTTAGCTCCCAGTTATGAGTGAGAATATATAATGTTTGTTTTTTCACTCCTGAGTTACTTCACTTAGAATAATAGTCTACAATCTCATCCAGGTGGCTGTGAATGTCACTAATTCATTCCTTTTCATGGCTGAGTTGTATTGTATCATATATATAGATAGATATATGATATATATGAAAAAGAAAAAAGAAACTGTAATATATCACAGTTCTTTTTTTTGAAATGAAGTCTCACTCTGTCGCCAGGCTGGAGTGCAGTGGCGCGATCGCGGCTCACTGCAACCTCCACCTCCTGGGTTCAAGCAATTCTCCTGCCTCAGCCTCCCGAGTAGCTGAGACTACAGGTGTGTGCCACCATGCCCGGCTAATTTTTGTATTTTTAGTACGGATGGGTTTTCACCGTGATAGCCAAGATGGTCTCAATCTCTTAACCTCCTGATCTGCCCGACTTGGCCTCCCAAAGTGCTGGGATTGCAGGCATGAGCCACCACACCCAGCCACCACAGTTTCTTTATCCACTTGTTGATTGATGGGCATTCAGTGTTGATTCCATGTTTTTACAATTGAGAATCGTGCTGCTATAAATATGCATATGCACGTATCTTTTCTGTATAATGATTTTTCTTCCTCTGTGTAGATAACCAGTAGTGAGATTGCTGGATCAAATGGTAGATCTACTTTTAGTTGTTTAAGGAATCTCCACAGTTTTCCATAGTGGTTGTATTAGTTTACATTCTCACCAGCAATGTAGACATGTTCCACGTTCACTGCATCCACGCCAACATCTACTGTTTTCTGATTTTTTGATTATAGCCATTCTTGCAGGAGTAAAGTAGTTTCACACTGTGGTTCTGATTTGCACTTCCCTGATCATTAGTGATGTTGAGCATTTTTTTCATATGTTCTTTGACCATTTGTATGTCTTCTTTTGAGCATTATCTATTCATGTTCTTAGCCCACATTTGGATGGGATAGTTTGTTTTTTTCCTGTTGATCTGTTTGAGTTCATTGTAGATTCTGGATTATTAGTTCTTTGTCAGATGTAGCGATTGTAAAGATCTTTTTCCCACTATATGGCTTGTTGGTTTACTCTGCTGACTGTTCTTTTGCTGTGCAAAAGCTCTTTAGTTTAATTAAGTCCCAGCAATTTATCTTTGTTTTTATTCCATTTGCTTTTGGATTCTTGGTCATGAAATTCTTGCCTAAGCCAATGTCTAGAAGGGTTTTTCCAATAATATCTTCTAGAATTTTTATATTTTCAGGTCTTAGATTTCAGTCCTTAATCCATGTTGAGTTGATTTTTGTATAAGGTGAGAGATGAGGATGATTTCATTCTCTTACCTGTGGCTAGCCAATTATCCTGATACCATCTGTTGAAAAGTGTGTTCTTTCTCCACTTTATGTTTTTAATTGCTTTGTTGAAGATCAGTTGGCTGTATCTGGGTTTATTTCTGTGTTCTCTGTTCTGTTCCATTGGTCTGTATACCTGTTTTTATACCAGTACCATGCTGTATGGGTGATTATGACCTTATAGTATAGTTCAAAATCAGGTAATGTTATGCCTCCAGATTTGTTTTGTTGTTGTTGTTTTTGTTTTTGTTTTTTGCTTAGGCTTGCTTTGGCTATGCCAGCTCTTTTTTGGTTCCATATGAATTTTAGGATTGTGCTTTTCTTATTCTGTGAAGAATGATGGTGGTGTTTGGTGGGAATTGCAATGAATTTGTAGATTGCTTTTGGTAATATGGTTGTATTCACAATATTGATTCTACCCATCAGTGAGCATGGGATGTGTTTCCATTTGTTTGTGTCATCCATGGTTTCTTTCAGCAGTGTTTTGTAGTTTTCCTTGTAGAGGTCTTTCACCTCTTTGGTTGGGTATATTACTAAATATTTGATTTTATTTGCAGCTATTATAAAAAGGGTTGAGTTCGTAATTTGATTCTCAACTTGGTCACTGCTGGTGTATAGAAGAGCTGCTAATTTGTGTACATTAATGTATCCAGTAACTTTGCTGAATTCTTTTATCAGTTCTAGGAGCTTTCTGGAGCAGCCTTTAGGGTTTTCTAGGTAAATGATCATATCGTCAGCAAACAGTGACAGTTTGACTTTCTCTTTACCAATTTGGATGCCCTTTATTTCCTTCTCTTGTCTGATTGCTCTGGCTAGGACTTCCAGTACTATGTTGAAGAGGAGTGGTGAGAGTGGGAATCCTTGTCTTGCTCCAATTCTCAGAGGGAATGCTTTCAACTTTTCCCATTTAGTATTATGTTGGCTGTGGGTTTGTCATAGATGGCTTTTATTATATTGAGGTATGTCCCTTGTATGCCAGTTTTGCTGAGAGTTTTAATCATAAAGCGATGCTGAATTTTGTCTCATGCTTTTTCTGCATCTATTGAGATAATCATGTGATTTTTGTTTTTAATTATGTTTATGTGGTGTATCACATTTATTGACTTGCATATGTTAAACCACCTCTGCATCCCTGGTATGAAACTGACTTGATCATGTTGAATTATCTTTTTGATATGTTGTTGGATTTGGTTAGCTAGTACTTTGTTAAGAATTTTAGCATCTGTGTTCATTAGGGATATTGTTCTGTAGATTTCTTTTTTGTTTATGTCCTGGTTTTGGTATTAGGGTGATATTGGCTTCATAGAATGATTTAGGGAGGGTTCCCTATTTCTCTACCTTGTGGAATAGTGTCAATAGGATTGGTACCAATTCTTCTTTGAAGGTCTGATAGAATTCTGTTGTGAATGCAACTGGTCCTGGAATTTTTTTGTTGGTAATTTTTTAATTACTATTTCAATCTCACTGCTTTTTATTGGTCTGTTCAGGGTATCTAATTTTTCCTGATTTAAGCTAGAAGTGTTGTATCTCTCCAGGAATTTATCCATCTCTTCTAGGTTTTCTAGTTTAATGTGTATAAAGGTGTTCACAGTAGCCTTGAATATTTTTGTATTTCTGTGTTGTCAGTTGTAATATCTCCTGTTTCCTTTCTTATTGAGCTTATTTGGGTGTTATCTCTTTTGTTCTTGGTTAATCTTGCTAATGGTCTATCAGTTTTATTTATCTTTTTAAAAACCAGCTTTTTGTTTCATTTATCTTTTGTGTTTTTTGTTTGTTTGTTTCCATTTCATTTAGTTCTGCTCTTATCTTGGTTATTTACTCTCTTCTGCTGGGTTTGGGTTTGGTTAGTTCTTGTTCGTCTAGTTCTTTGAGTTGTGACCTTAGATTGTCCATTTGTGCTGTTTCAGACTTTTTGATTAAGGTGTTTAGGGCTACGAACTTTTCTCTTAGCACCACCTTTACTGTGTTCCAGAGGTTTTGATTGGTTGTGTCACTATTGTCGTTCAGTTCAAAAAAATTTTAATTTCCACCCTGATTTTATTTTTGACCCAATGATCATTCAGGAGTAGGTTATTTAATGTCCATGTATTTGCATGGTTTTGGAGGTTTCTTTTGGATTTATTTTCCAGTTTTATTCCACTGTGGTCTGAGAGAGTGCTAGATATAATTTCAGTTTTCTTAAACTTTTTGAAGCTTGTTTTGTGGCCTATTGTATGGCCTATCTTGGAAAAAGTCCCATGCACTGTTGAATAGAATGTACAGTCTGCGATTGTTGGATGGAATGTTCTGTATATATCTGTTAAGTCTATTTGTTCCAGGGTACAGATTAAATCCATTGTTTCTTTCTTGACTTTCTGTCTTAATGACCTGTCCAGTGCTGTCAGTGGAGTATTGAAGTCCCTCACCATTACTGTGTTGTGGTCTATCTCTTTGCTTTGGTCTATTAGTAATTGTTTTATAAATTTGGGAGCTCCAGTGTTAGGTGCACGTATGTTTAGGATTGTGATATTTTTCTGTTGGACAAAGCCTTGTATCATTATATAATGCTCCTCTTTGTCTTTTTTAACTGCTGTTGCTTAAAAGTTTGTTTTGTCTGATGTAAGAATAGCTAGCCCTGCTCACTTTTGGTGTTCATTTGCATGAAATGTCTTTTTTCCACCCCTTTACCCTAAGTTTGTGTGAGTCTTTATATGTTAGGTGAGTCTCTTGAAGCCAGCAGATAGTTGGTTGGTGAATTCTTAGCCATTCTGCAATACTGTATCTTTTAATTGGGGCATTTAGGCCATTTACATTCAATGTTAGTATTTAGATGTGAGGTACCATTCCATTCATCGTGCTATTTGTTACCTGTATATCTTGATTTTTCATTGCTTTTGTTTTTGTTTTTTCAATTGTATTTTTGTTTTATAGGTCCTGTGAGATTTATGCTTTAAAAAGGTTCTTTTTTGATGTGTTTCCAGAATTTGTTTCAAGATTTAGAGCTCCTTTTAGCAGTTCTTGTAGTGGTGACTTGGTAATGGCAAATTCTCTCAGCATTTGTTTGTCTGAAATACTGTATCTTTCATTCATATATGAAGCTTAGTTTTGCTGGATAAAAAATTCTTGGCTGCTAATTGTTTTGTTTGAGGAGGCTGAAGATAGGACCCCAAAGGGTGTGGAGTTTCTGCTGAGAAATCTTCTGTTAATCAGATTTTGCCTTAAAGTTTTCCTGGTACTTTTGTCTCACAGCTCTTAAGATTTTTTCCTTCATCTGAACTTTAGATAACCTGATGACAATGTGCCTAGGTGCAATGATCTTTTTGCAATGAATTTCCCAGGTGTTCTTTGTGCTTCTTGTATTTGGATGTCTAGGTCTAGAGAAATGCCGGGGAAGTTTTTCTCAGTTATTCTCCCAAGTATATTTTCCAAACTTTTAGATTTTTAGATTTCTCTTCTTCCTCTGAAACACCGATTATTCTTAAATTAGGTCATTTAACATAATCCCAGACTTCTTGGAGGCTTTGTTAATATCTTCTTATTTTTTTCTTTGTCTTTATTGGATTGGGTTAATTCAAAGACCTCATCTTCAAGCTCTGAATTTATTTCTTCTGATTGTTCAATTCTATTGCTTAGACTTTCCAGAGCATTTTGCATTTCTATAAGTTTGTCAAATGTTTCCTGAAGTTTTTATTGTTTTTTTATTTGTGCTATCAATTTCCTTGAATATTTCTCCTTTCACTTCTTATATCATTTTTGGATTTCCTTACATTGGGCTTTGCCTTTCTCTGGTGCCTCCCTGATTAGCTTAATAATTATACTCTTGCATTCTTTTTCGTGTAAATCAGAAATTTCTTCTTGGCTTGGGCCTATTGCTGGTGAGCTAGTGTGATTTTTTTATGTGGCTTCCTAAGAGCTGAGCTGTTGTGATTGTTATCTCTGTTCTGGATCTAGCCATTCAGCAAGTCTACCAGGCTCTGGGCTAGTACTGGGGGTTGTCTGCAGAATCTTGTGATGTGAACCATCTGTGGTCTCTCAGCCAGGGGTACCAGCACCTGTTCCAGTGGAGGTGGCAGGGGGTGAAATGGGCTCTGTGAGTGCTCTTAGCTTTGATGGTTTAATGCTCTATTTTTGTGCTGGTTGGCTTCCTGCCAGGAGGTGGAACTTTCCAGAGAGTATCAGCTGTGGTAGTATGGGGAGAAACAGGTGGTAGGTAAGGCCCTAGAACTCTCAAGAGTATATGCCCTGTGTCTTCAGTTACCAGGGTGGGTATGGAAGGACCATGTGGTGGGGCCATAGATAGGTGTGTCTGAGCTCAGACTCTCTTTGGGCGGGTCTTACTTTGGCTGCTGTGGGGGATGGGGGTGAGGTTCCCAGGTCAACAGAGTTATGCTCCTAGGAGGATTATGACTTTGTTTACTGTGTCATTCAGGTTATCAGGGAAGTGGGGAAAAGCCAGCAGTCATAAGCCTCACCCAGCTCCCATGCAACTGGAAGGGCCAGTCTTACTTTCACCATGCTCACCCCAACAGCACTGAGTCTGTTTCCAGGCAGTGAACAAGCAGGGCTGAGAACTTGCTCCAGAGTACCCACCTCCCAGCTGCAAAGCAAATAAAGCTTTCCTTCTTTCCCCACCTGTGGAATCTGCAAGCCAGCTTCACCCCTCCCATCGAGTTCTGGTCAGGAGGCTTCTGGTTGAGTTCAAATTGCTATAAAGTTCAGCTGGAGCCTTCCTTCTCCCTGTGGCCTTTTCCCAGTACCTCTGGCCACCCTCCCGAAGGACCTTTGTAAGGCCAGGCAAAAATGGCTTGCTAGGGGACCCAGTGATCTCCCAGGGCTTTTTCCAACTGCTTCCTCTTCCCCTATATTTTGCTTGGCTCTCTAAATCGACTCAGCTCCAGGTAAGATCAAAATCTTCTCTTTTAATCTAAGCCTTCAGCTTCCCCAGTGGGGGTGTGTGTTCAGGGGCAGATAATCTCCCTTTCCCACTTCCACAGTTTGGGCACTCACAGTATTTGGGGTGTCTCCTGGGTCCTGCAGGAGCAATCTGCTTCCTTCAGGGGTCTATGGATCTTTTCAGGTTTGCTGCAGTCATTTTCTGCAGGATTTATTCCAGTCATTCTGGAGCAAAAATGCACGATGCAAGCCTCCACACGTTGCTCTGTCCATCTGAGTCGGAGCTGCAATCTTGTCTTACTTCTAGTTCGCCATAATCCACTGCCCTCGAGGTTTTCTTTTTTTTTTTTATTTTAATTTTGTTGTGTACACTATTTAACTTTCAAGATATTCAAGCTGCTACTTGGATTTAATGAGGATTTGAAGTAATGGGTTTGGCTTTCTCATATTTCTGGATGCCATTCTCCCAAAATGTTGACTTTATTTGTCCATTACAAAAATTGCATAGAGTGATGAAGTTATGGCAGAACAAAGAAGAGGAAAAACAGAATGAAGAAGACTGAATCTGACTTTTGACCCAAGTCTTAGGGAAGTGAGATTGGATCGTAATGTAGCAGGAGGCTTAGGATCTACCCTGTGGGGATAAAATAGATTGTTTGCAGCTTGAAGGGAGGAAACCTTAAGAAGGAAAGCCTGTGAGCATCAGGAAAAGAATATGTGGCTTGTAAAAGAGGTCAAAGAGATTTTAATTCTCTAAGGGAATTACCTCTGTTTTACTTGCTATTTACTATTTATTAGGGCCTAGTCTCCACAAAGTTAGATATCATCTGGCAGATTTATTTCCAGTACAAAGGATAACCCCAAAGTATATGTTTTATTGTGATTTTGCCCATAATAAGTGAATACATCTGCTCTTAGAATGGTTCCCCAATCTCTCCATTCTCTACCTGATGATCCTAGTGGATGAGAAAATTAAGAATGGAAAATCTTACCCTCCACTGGCTGGAGCAAATGAGCTAATGATACTGCCTACCTAACTGAGCCTTCTATGGGACAGACACCTTTATCTCAAGCTTCTCGATGTTAACACCACAACAGCAAGCCCTAGCTTTAGGGACAAAGCCTGCAGCTTTCAAGCTCTTCTGTTTATGGCTGAGTAGGTTTAAGTGTTCAGCTTTTGTTTGGGTAGTTATTATTGGCTTCAGCTAATCAAGTTAGTTTAATCGTTTCATATTTGTGCATCTATTGTTTCAGAATCTGGGGAGGAGATAGATATTAAGAAAAAACTGTTAAAAACTTAGATATATGGCAACAGGATGGTGTATATCTTCTGCATGTACAGTAGCATTGTATAATTGGCTTACCCAGGAGATTTTTATCCTCCTAGTGATAAACCTCTGTTTTACCTGTTATTTACCATTTATTAAGACCCAGGTCTCCATGACATTAGATGTTAACTTGCAGGGTTTTGTGTTCAATAGAAAAAAAAAATTGCAACATTTATAGTTTACATTAGCTTGTTCTGTATCAAACCTATCAATCTCATTGCAACATTCTTCATCAGCATCAATAAATAGTGTTTCATAAATGTGTGCTGAACCTGTTTTACCATCTCAACAGTTCTCATAGTAATGAGTTAAAGAATTGTGTATAAACACAACAAATGTATTTTAAAGTGGTGCAGCATCCCCTTCATAACTGCTTCCTGGGTGAGTCTTGGAGTACTTTGAAAACAGTGATAGTGGTTGAGGTATGAGCTCTCACAGGGAACATTTTGTATTTTACAGAGTGTTTTCAGGAGAAATATCAGTCATGATAAGAATTATGAACTCTGGAACGAAATAAAAAATGGTGAAGACATTTTTATGTTAGCATTTTAAGGCCTTTGAAATAGAATTAGTATCCAAAATAACCATGCCTATGACCAGTCCTACATTAACAAAGAAAAATAAAATAAAATTTCCCCATAGCTTATGAATTTTCTCTTGTAAGTGAATGGTTGCATGCATTCAGGGATAGAATCAATGAAAGGCTAGAAATGGAAATGTCCTAATGTTTAAAGAAAAAGATCCTAAGTAGATTTCCTTAGGTTAAGAGAGCATTTTAATGGTTGTGCAATGCTTAGGAAAGCCAAGAAATATTTGGGGGCTTAGATTTAAAACTAAACTCTTATAGACATGAACTTAATGCAGGTTTAAGACAATATATGAGAGTTGAAAAGAGGGGGACTATGTGGGTATTTGGAGTGGGGATAAAAAGAAAGACAGGAAGAAACAAGGAGTAACAAAGAAATAGGCCAGGCGGTGGCTCACGCCTGTAATCCCAGTACTTTGGGAGGTTGAGGCAGGCGGATCATGAGGTCAGGAGATCGAGACCATCCTGGCCAACATGGTAAAACCTGGTCTCTACTAGAAATATAAAAGTTAGCTGGGTGCGGTAATGCTTACCAGTAGTCCCAGCTACTCAGGAAGCTGAAGCAGGAGGATTGCTTGAACCCAGGAGGCGGAGGTTGCAGTGAGCCAAGATTGCGCCACTGTGCTCCAGCCTGGCAACAGAGCGACACTCTGTCTCAAAAAAAAAAAAAAGAGACAGACACAGAAGTAAGCTATACACAGCCAGCTAGAAGATTCCATGGTGAGAACTTTTAAAACATAGACAAGTGATACTCAATTTTAAGTTAGAGCCTGTACTATGCACTGCTTTAATCCTCTGGACTTACTGCAAACCGGAATAACAAACAAAAATTGAATTCATTTGAAAAATAAAGGAGAAGAAGAAAAGAGGTAAAATTGTTTGGAAAAATAATGCATTTAATATATTTTTTTTTTTCTGAGATGGAGTCTTGCTCTGTTACCCAGGCTGGAGTGCAGTGGTGTAACCTTGGCTCACTGCAACTTCTGCCTTCCAGGTTCAAGCGATTCTCATTCCTCGGCCTTCCAAGCAGCTGGGACTACAGATGCATGCCACCATGCCTGGCTAATTTTTGTATTTTTAGTAGAGATGGGGTTTCACCATGTTTGCCAGGCTGGTCTCAAACTCCTGACCTCAAGTGATCTGCCTTCCTAGGCCTCCCAAAGTGCGGGATTACAGGCATAAGCCACTGCATCCAGCCAAGATAATGCATTTTTAAAGAAGTATTACCAAAATGCAGATGTAGAATGCTATCGAAACAGAACATAGAGCCTAATATGTCTGGGAGAAACATACGTTTCCTGAGAATCCTTGTATGCAGGGTGAGGAATTGCTCCCTGTCACTTGCAGGATGCTTCAAATGAACTGCAGACATCATCCTTAGTATTAATGAAAGAGTGATCACAATATTCTGAAGGACACAAATAATATATCTTCTAATAAAGATTTAGGATTTAAGCCAATTTGGTGAATATAAATTTGAAAATTTCTCCTTTAATGTTACTAATTTTTACTGGCCACTTATACTTATCAGTTTTGTGTTGGCTGAAATATCTGTTTTGCAGTGTTTCTTTGACCTCAATAATGATGTAGAAATTTCTTCTCAGTCACTTTGCAAACCAGGGACCTCCAGCCAATGATGCCCTGCCCGGGCCGCACTCTGCCATGCTGGCATGCCCCAACTCACCTTTGTTATAGCTTGTACCCATGTTTGGTGGTTCCTGAGCTCTTGTACCACACACAAGAAGAATGAGGATATGCTGGACACAAGAGTGGTCCCCTTACCTGAAGGTGGGAAAGCACCCCCTTGTGGCTGGATCTGGGGCCCTTTATGGACTCAGAATAGGGAGTGTGTGCTGACTGGTTTATTGGTATGCAGAAAAGGCTAAAGTGAAGACATCACCCAAGGTTCGGCACGACAGTGTAGAAAACCAATTAGGAAAGGGTTGGTATATGTAAAATAGATGAACAGTGGGGATCAATCAGAGGAAAGAGGCAAATGAGAAGACAAGTTCTCAGTCTGGTCTGAGGATTTAACTCATAGCTTGGCTTTCAGGCTTTAAACTGTCTTTAGCTTGGAGGTGGGGTTTCACCAGGGACCCGCCCCTATCTGCCTAGCCACTAGGATGCCTCCTGTTACTCTCAATAAGACTCTGAGGCATAAGATTTATATTAGTGGTAAATAGATATAAAAACTTAATATTTTTAGAAATCAATACTCATTCCTTTATAAATAAATTAATCCATGTTTATCTTATTTCTCTAGAGAGATGTGAGTTTTGCATAAAAGACATAATTAATATCCCTTGTTTGAGGATAATTTATTATTTCTCTGGGCACTATTATGCTTATATCTATTCTCTAGAAAAGCTTACTGCTATCACATGTGAAAAGACTATTGTGCAATTTATTAAAAGGAATAGACTGTCTGGTTACAATATAATCTTTTTAAAAGTTCTATTCTTCTGTAAAATCCATTAGTATTCTTATTTGAATAAATGTGACAAGTCCAGAGCTTAACAATACACAGTGCAAAGTGGTCTCACCTTTAATCTACATGAGTAGTGAGATCAGAGGGAAAAAACTCCTTTAGTTTTTGTGAATTATTCTGAAATGACTTCTTCTTGCATGACAATGTGAAATTGAATTCAACATTTAAACCCATTTCATACACACACACAAAAAACACATGCATGCACACATAATGCTGTAAAAGAGGAATCATATAACACAGTGAGACAAATGATGGAGAACATTGATGAAAATTCGAACTTCCTACTACTGTTTTTTTTTTTTTACAATTTAAAAATAACTTTATCATTATGTAATCCTCATTTGTCCAAGAAGCAGTTATTGATGCATACTCCACTGGACAATGCATTAATACTAGAGATAAAGAGATGAGTAACAGAGTTTCTACATTTGAGATGTGTACAGTCCAATGAGAATAACTATGTATTTATATACACATACATATATATATATATATATATATAAAAGATGTCCCCCTTTTGCAGAGAAAGAAACTAAAACTAAATGCTGGTGAGGCCTAAATATCTTACACTCACTTAGCTTCCAGGAGACAGAGACAGGACTTGATTCAATTCTTTGTCTGAGATTCTTCTAGTCATAGATCAATGACTCTCTCTCTTTTTCAAATTTCAGTAGCCTTTGGAGTACAAGTGGTTTGTGGTTACATGGATGAATTCTGCAGTGGTGAAATCTGAGATTTTGGTGCACCCATCATCTGAGCAGCGTGCGCTGCACCCAATATGTTGTCTTTTATTCCTCATCCCACCTCCTAACTACCCCCAACCCGAGTCCCCAAGGTCCACTTTATCACTTCGTATGTCTTTGAGTCCTCATAGCTTAGCTCCCACTTATAAGTGAGACCATATAATGTTTAGTTTTCCATTCCTGAGTTACTTCACTTAGAATAATGGCCTCTAGCTCCATCCAAGTGGCTTCAAAAGACATTATTTTGTTCTTTTTTATGGCTGAGTTGTATTCCGTGGTGTATATATACCATATTTTCTTTATCCACTCATTGGTCGGTGGGCACCCAGGCTGGTTCCATATCTTTGCAATTATTAATTGTGCTGCTATAAACATGTGTGTGTTTGTGTCTTTTTGACATAATGACTTCTTTTCCTTTAGGTAGATACCCTGTTGTGGGATTGCTGGATCAAATGGTAGATCTACTTTTAGTTTTTTAAGGAATGTTCATACTGTTTTCCATAGAGATTGTACTAATTTACATTCCCACTAGCAGTGTTCCCTTTCACCACATACACATCAACATCTATTGTTTTTTGACTTGAATTATGGACCTTCTTGCACGAGTGAGGTGGTAACTCATTGTGGTTTTAATTTATATTTCTTGATGACTAATGATGTTGAGCATTTGTCATGTTTGTTGGCCATTTGTATATCTTCTTTTGAGACATGTCTATTCATGCCTTTTGTCCACTCTTGATTGCATTATTTATATTTTCTTGCTGATTTGATTGAATTCCTTGTAGATTCTGGATACTACTTCATCAGAGGCACAGCGTGCAAATATTTTCTACCATTCTATGGGTTGTCTGTTTACTCTGCTGTTTATTTCTTTTTGCTGTGCCGAAGCGTTTTAGTTTAATTAGGTCCCCTTTATTTACTTTTTTTTGTTGCATTTGCTTTTGGGTTCTTAATAATTATTTGATCCATCTTGAGTTGAGTTTTGTACAAAGTGAGAGATAGGGATCCAGTTTCATTCTTGTACACGTGGCTTGCCAGTTTTCCTAGCACCATTTATTGAATAGGGTGTCCTTTCCCCAATGTATGTTTTTGTATGCTTTGTTGAAGATCAGTTGGCTGTAAGTATTTGGCTTTATTTCTGGGTTCTCTATTTTGTTCCATTGGTCTACATGCCTATTTTTTTTTCCATTTGAAAACACAGATGATTTTTTACTATGAAAGTACTATGATTACTTTCATAGTAATAATATATGACACAAACAAATAGAAACAAATTTGTAGTTTTCCTTGCAGAGATCTTTTACCTCCTTGGTTAAGCATATTTCTAGGTAATTAAGATTTTTTGCAGTTGTAAAGGGGATTGAGTTCTTGATTTGATTCTCAGCTTAGTTGTTGTTGATGTATAGCAGTGCTACTGATTTCTGTACATTCATTTTGTAAACTGGGACTTTACTCAATTAATTTATCAGATCTAGGAGCTCTTTGGATGAGTCTTTCGGGTTTTCCAGGTGTACAATTGTATCATCAGTGAACAGCAGTAGTTTGACTTCCTCTTTTCCAATTCGAATGCCCTTTATTTTTTGCTCTTGAGTGATGTTGAATAAATGTGGTGAAAGTGAACATCCTTGTCTTGTTCCAGTTATCAGGGGGAATGCTTTCAAGTTTTCTCCAATCAGCCTGATGACTGTGGGTTTGTCATGTATGGCTTTTATTATTTTGAAGTAAATCCCTTCTATGCCTAGTTTGTTGAGGGTTTTCATCATAAAGGGATGCTGGATTTAATCAAATGGTTTTCCTGCATCTAATTGAGATAATCATATGTTTTTAAAAAAAATGATGGTTTATGTAATGTATCACATTTACTGACTCGTGTATGTTAAATCATCCCAGCATCCCTGGGGTGAAGCACACTTGATAATGATGCATTATCCTTTTGATATGCCATTGGATTTGTTTAGGTAGTATTTTTTTGAGGATTTTTGCATCTATATTCATCAAGGATATTGGTCTGTAGTTTTCTTTTTTCTGTTATGCCTTTTCCTGGTTTTGGTGTTAAGCTAATATTGGTTTCAAAGGATAATTCAGAGAGGACTCTCTGTTTATCTTTTGGAATAGTTTCAGTAGAATTGCTACCAATTCTTCTTTGAATGTTTGGTAGAGTTCAGCTGTATATCCATCTGGCCCTGTACTTGTGTTTTGTTGGCATTTTTTAATTACTGATTCAATATTACTGTTTGTTCTTGGTCTGTTTGGGGTTTCTATGTCTTCCTGATTTAATCTTGTGGGGTTGTATTTTTCCAGGAATTTATCCATTTCCTGTGGATTTTCTAGATTGTGTGACTAGAGGTGCTCACAGTAGTCTCATATAATCTTTTGTATTTCTGTGGAATTGGTTGTAATGTCTCCAGTTTTACTTCTAATTGAGCTTATTTGGCTCTTCTCTCTTCTTTCCTTGGTTAATATCACTAATGATCTGTCAATTTTGTTCATGTTTTCAAAGAACCAGATTTTTGTTTTATTTATCTTTTGTATTATTTTTGTTCCAATTATATTTCGTTCTTTGATGTTCATTTGTATTTTCTTCTGCTGGCTTTGGGTTTGGTTTGTTATTGTTTCTCCAATTCTTTGAAGTATAACATTAGGTTGTCAATTTGTGCTCTTTCAGATTTCTTAATGTAGACATCTAATACTATGAACTTTCCTCTTAGCATTACTTTTTCTGTATTCCAGAGGTCTTGATAAATTGTGAAACTATAATCATTCATTTAAAAGGATTTTTAAATTTCTGCCTTGATTTCATTGTTAACCCCAAAATTATTCAACACCAGATAATTTAATTTTTATTTATTTGTATAGTTTTGAGGGGTTTGCTTGAATTGATAACCAGTTTTATTCCATTGTTGTCTGAACGGTACTTGATATAATTTCAATTTTCTTAAATTTATTTGAATTTATTGAAACTTGTTTTGTGGCCTATCATATTGTCTATGTTGGAGACTGTTCCATGTGCTGATGAAATAAATGCATATTCTGCAGATATTGGGTGGAATGTTCTGTAAATGTTCTGTAAATATCTGTTAAGTCCATTTGTTCTAGAATATAGTTTAAGTCCATTGTTTCTTTGTTGACTTTCTGTCTTGATGACCTGTTTAGTGCTGTCAGTAGACTATTATTGTGTTGCTCTCTATTTCATTTCTTTGGTCTGGTAGAAATTGTTCTATAAATCTAGGAGGTCAAGTGTTTGGTGCATATAATTTTAGAATTGTAATATCTTCTTGTTGGATTGATCCTTTTATCATTACATAATAAGCTTCTTTTTCTTTTTTTATTGTTGTTGCTTTAAAGTCTGCTTTGTCTGATATAAGAATAGCTACTCCTGCTTGCTTTTAGTTTCCATTTGTGTGAAATACCTTTTTTCACCACTTTACCTAAGTGTATATGAATTCTTACGTTAGGTGAATTTCTTAGAGACAGAAGATATTCGGTTTGTGGTTTTATTAATTCCACCATTCTGTTTCTTGTAAGTGGAACATTTAGGCCATTTACATTCAATGTTAATATTGAGATATGAGGTACTGTTCTATTCATCGTAATAGTTGTTACATAGATATTTTGTCTTTTTCATTATGTTATTGTTTTAGAGGCCCTGTGAGTCTTATGCTTTCAAGAAGTTCTATTTTGGTGCACATCGACCTTTTGTTTCAAGACTTAGAACTCCTATTTGCATTTCTTGTAGTGCTGGTTTGATAGTGGCAAATTTCCTCAGTATTTGTTAGTCTGAAATAGAACTTATTTCTCCTTCATTCATGAAGGATACATAGTTAGTTTTGCTGAATACAAATTTTTTTACTGCCAGTTATTCTGTTTAAGGAGGCTAAAGATAGGGCCCCAATCTCTTCTAGCTTGTAATGTTTCTTCTGAGAAGTATGCTGTTAGTTTGATAGGTGCTTTTTTATAGATTACCTGTTGCTTTGGTCTTACAGCTCTTAGAATTATTTCCTTCTTGTTAACTTTAGGTAGCCTGATGTCTAGATGACTTGGTGATAATATTTTTGCCATGAATTTCCCAGGAGTTCTTTCAGTTCCTTGTATTAGGATATCTAAATCTCTAGCAAGGGCAAGGGAGTTTTCCTCAATTATTTACTCAAATAAGTTTTCCAAACTTTTAGCTTTCTTTTCTCCCTTAGTAAGACCGATTATTTTTGGGTTTGGCTATTTTACATAATCATATATTTCCTGGAGGCTTCCCTCATTTCTTTTGATTATTTTTTCTTTATCTTTGTATGATTGGGTTAGTTCAAAAGGCTTGTCTTAAGCTCTGGAATTCTTTATTCTACTTGTTCTAGTCTACTGTTCAAACTTGCCATTGAATTTTGTATTTATCTAGGTGTGTCTTTCATTTCCAGCAGTTCTGATTTTTTGTTGTAGTTTATTTCTTTTCCTATCTCTCTGAAAAAATTTTTTTACTTATATCCTGAACTGGTTTTTTTTTTTTAATTTTTTAATGTTATTTTTCACCTTTCTCTGGTATTTTCCTTGAGTAGCTTAATAAGCTACCTCCTAAATTCTTTATCTGGTTCTTCAAAGGTTTTATCTTGGTTTGGATTCATTGCTGGGGAACTTGTGTGATCTTTTGAAGGTGTTATAGAACTCTGTTTTGTCATATTGCCAGAATTACTTTTCTGGTTCCTTCTCATTTGCATAGACTATTTCTTCTAATTGCTCTTGAATTTGTTTTTTATTTGGCTGTTTTTGTTAATTTCTTTTTTTCCTTTTTAAGGATGTGACTTTAATGTTTATACTTTTTATAGTCTAATTTGGTTCTTGGTGCTTTTCACTGTGAAAACTCTGTGAGTTCTTTGGTTATAGAGTATCTGTATGATGGCTTTCTCAGATGCTGGGTTTAGTAGCTACCTACTTGGTGTGTGGGCAAGTTCACTGTGTCCTATGGGGTTGGGTTGACAGAGGTCTCTTGAAGCTTATCCTGTTCTTCTGTTGTATTTACATTTTATTTAGTTAATTTTTATCCAATATTTAATTTGCTGAGTTGATAGTTTAGGCTTTAAGCCAATAAGGGTGGTATCTCTGGGTCGGAACTGGTTGTAGCTAAAGCAGGTGGGTAGATGCAATACCCAATGGTGGGCAGAGGTCCAAGCTTTGATGAAAGTGGCTGGTAAGCTCCCAGTTAGATGCACTGAGGTTTTACCAGGGTGAAGGATGAAAGCTACTTCAGCTCTTCTGCAAGGCCAGCAGGAAAGCTATCCACCTCCCAGCCTCACTCGTGTCCCAGTGTTTTGGCTATTCAGATCAGACAGGCACCTGTTTTTGTCTGTAGGAATGTTGCTGTTCCAACTGGAAAGGAATTGTGAGTCTGCCTCCTGTGCAAGTCTGAACTCAGGGGGTGCTCCTCCTGTGGAAACGCAGTCTCCCTGAAATGTTCCAGAAAGGCTGCCTATAGGCGCGCCCATACCGAGCTCTTGTGAGAGAAGCCCCAGTTGTGTCTGTATTGGTGGGTGAGGGGGCAAAAGAAGACTCCTTCAAGACTGTTCACAAGCATCAAGGCTGCCTGACTGTTGGGGTAAAGGTGCAGACTTCTCCTGCTGAGCCCAACACTGCAGTTGTGTTTCTGCTAAAAGAAACTTGACACCAGCAGAAAGATCTAGGACACAAGGTCTGCCATCCAGATGCTTTTGTCTTATGGGGTGTTCTCTTGATATAGTGCTCTCCCCTTTTCCATAGGAGTAGGAGTTCCTGAGAGCCAGACTATAGTGGTTGCTATTGCTTTTCTGGTTTTGGCCACCCAGTGAGGCTGCTACACTCCAAGCTGGTGCTGGAGAATGTCTGCAAGGGATCTGGTGATGTGACCAGTCTTCAAGTTTCCCAGCAGCAGGTACTAGTATCAGTTCTGATGGGAGTGGCAGAGGAGTGATATAGACTCTGGTAGGTTCCTTGGTTGTAGATAGACTTAGTCTGCTAGCTTTCTTAAATGTTGGTTGTAATAGTAGTGTATTTGTCACGTGGACAGACTAAGGACTTCTGGTTGGCCAGCGTGCTGCTAGCAATAGTGATAGCTGAGGTTACACATCAGTTTTCTCCTTTCTGGGCACAGTGTTATTCTACGCAGAGATTCTGTAATGAACTGTGTCAGTTGACCTCCAGCAAGGAGGTGGTGCCTGCAAAAGAGCACCAGCTGCAGTAGCAGCAGTGGAATTTGAGCTTGCCCTATGTTGCCCAGGGGAGGTATTCTGGTTTCTCAGGCAATGAGCTGGGCCATAATGCTCCCCAAAATTTATGTATTTCTTTTAAGCTATGAGGGCTGATGGAGAGACACAAGTGAAGGCTGGGTCAGGTAGGTCTGTGCTCTGACTCTCCATATGCAGTGCAAGCAGCAGCCCCTACGTGGGTCTGGGTGGGATTCTCCAGTGTCTGAGGTAATGTTCCAGAGGGGAATATAACTGTCTCTGCTGCACAGAAGAATTCTCACAGGGAGTGGAGAGTAGCAGGCAGCAGTAAGCCTCACCCAGCTCCCATGCAGTTGACAAGGCTGGTCTCATTCCCACAGTGCTTTGCTAACAGCACAAGGCAAAGTTCTAGCAGTCTGAACTAAGAACTCAGAGCTTTCCCAGGCCACAAGCTTTCCTCTTGGAGATAGCAACTGTGATTTGTTGTCCACACCCTTCCCCATCCACTTACAAGGCCGGGGCAGCTCCTGTGCTCATGTCTGCATCACATATCCCCCTCGCACCCTGGGTTCTTGCAAAGGGAGTTCATTCCCACTTGAGAATATATTGCAAAATTCAGTTGGGAGCTTCTTTCAACCTCTGACCCCCACCTGAGCTAGTTGGCTAACCACCAAGGTTCCCTGTGAGATAAAATAAGGAATGGCTTCCCTTGGTTCATGCCGGAGATTGGAAATACCTGCATGGCACTTCCTGCCATTGCCTCTGCTTTTGTATTTCGTGCCACTCCCTAAATCAGTTCCAGCTCTGGGTAGGGTTAAGGCCTTTCCCCAGATCTGAAAATCTGGATTTTCAGATTCCCCATTGGGGATGTGTATCCTGGAGGCACTATCTCCCCCTCTCACTCTCTAGGGACTTACATTGTTTCACCTGTCTCACAGTGTAGTCTGCTGTCTTCCATTCATTCAAAGGGTCTGTAGAGTCTTTCAGTTTTCTGTTAAGTTCCTGTGTTGCTGCTTGGAAAAAGGTTCCTGGTGTGAATTTCTACACATTATTTTGTTCTTCCAAGAGTGAGAGGCCTGCTAACACTACCTCTAATCTGCCATATGGAAGAAAACAAAAACACAAACAAAACGCTACTTTTATAGAACAAAGAGAGATTGGATTTGTATATCTACAGGTATCATTCAAGGTTCAGTCAAGAAACAGAAGTCTCTCTAGCTACTTAGAGCAAGTGGATTAATATAGGGAAATGACGACTTAACGTTTCCCTGTTAGAAAATCTGACAAGGTAAGGTCTGGGATTTTGTAAGAATTGGAAAAGCAAGATTTGCATGGAGCCTTCCACTTTTCCCAGTTGCATATAATTCCAAAGTGGTCCTAGTAGAACCCTTAAAATTATGGGTACAATCTCTCATTGGCCATTAGCTGAAACCTATGTCCTTGCCTGAGGTGCTTCAGAGAATAATGACTTTTTCCATTTTCTCAATATTTTGTGATATCTCTCCTTGATTAGGATTAACTACAATCCTACTAGCAAGAACTAATGGGTGATAAATCATGAGTATTTATATTCTTATAGTAGATGATACTGAATATCAACAAATATCTGGCACTGAATAAAGAGAGTGCTGACTCTGAAAACATTTGGAACATTTTGATGTTTCTAATTAAGTCTAATTAAATATCTAAGTAAAGGGACTAATTACTAAAGTTACAATAATCATCCTTTTAAAAAGGTTATTTTTCTAATGGGAAATGTAATCACACTCATGAGGATTAAAACAAACCAAGTTACCATTCTTTATAGTATTCATAAATTTGCCTATTAAAGGGTATAAACATAAAACATGTTTATATTTGCTCTCATTTTTTAAAAGTCTATGAACAGAGGTATTAAAAATAGTAACAATGATTACTTGCTTTGTGTGAAGAATTGGAAGGATTAGGGGCAGAATAGTTGGGGAAAATCTACGTGAGTGAAATTTTCACTACACAGCCTTTCATAATTAAAAAATTAAACTTTGTAATTGTGAATGCATTTCTCATTCAAACAATATTTTTAAAAGAATGATTACTTCAGCTTTTGTAATTTTTTTTCTGATACAAACATTCACAAGTGCATGGCTATAAAATAAATTATTAGAAATTAAATTGAGTCTGAGGCAGCATCAGCAACATCTGGCAGGTTGTTAGAAATGCAAAATATTACCTAAACCTCAGACCTACTGAATCCAAATTTCCAGAGTTGAGACTCAGGAGTCCATATTTACCTAGTACTACAGGTAATACTTATACATGCTGATTGAGAGAAACCACTTTCATACATTATGGGCAAACCTTTCTTTAAGACTAGTAACTAAACTTTGGAATTTTGCCAAGCTCATAACTAAAAAAAATAGTATCATAGTGCCTTTTATCTTTTAGTTGTACTGTTATTTTTCTATATCTAACAGCATAAACTTACTTGTACTTCATATAAATGGAATTGCACATTATGCATTTATATCTGACTTATTTTGTTCAACATGTTTGTGAGAATCATCTATATTGTCATGTGTCATTGTAGATTATTGATTCTCATTTATCTAAGTCAGATATGCATTCATGTGAATATACCAACATCTATTTGTCAGTTCAACTGATGAATGGTTTTAAGGTCCTTTGAAGTTTGGTGGTATTATAAATAATGTAGTTGAACACATCCTATTATATGTATTTTGGTAAATATATGAATACAATTCTTTTGGGTCTGTATCTTAAATTAAACTGTTGTTGAGTCATTCGGTATGCATTCATCCGATTTTCATGCATATTGCCAAGTATTTTAAAAGTGTTTGTTCAATTTTACTCTCACATCAGCAGTGTATAAGGTTTGGTAATTGAGCTACATTCCTGACAACGTTTGGTGTGTCAGCCTTTTTAATTTTAGCCATTCTTGTGGTGTGTACTGGTGTCTCATTGTAAGTTTAATTGCATTTACCCTATGACTAATAAAGTTGAGCGCCCTTTTTATGTTTAATTTTAATATTATTTTTAATGAAGTGCTGTTTCTCCAGGGGAAGCCCATATCCAGTGACTGGCTAATATGCAGTACACAAACACATAGCTTCATTATCTCAAATTGGGAACAACTCTGAGGGGATATTTTAGCTCCATTTCTCTCCATGAGATTAAATAAGACCTGTATTGCAATTGTTTCCCAGTTCAATTTCTACTTCTGACCAATCCTGATTCTTTCAGTCTCTTGCAGTTGGCTCCAAAAACACTTCTCAAAAAACTCCCTACATAAAATTTTTATCTCAGAGTTTCCCAGGAATTCAGACCCATTGCCAGTTAATGCCTAAGAGTTTAAAAATATTTTTAGATCTTTGAGTAGTATCATTGTCAGCTGTCAATAAGGATCACTAGCACTCACCAGTGCTAGTGAAGTTATAATAGCACCAAGAAAGTTGTAGCAGTGCAATTGTTAAAACTGTCATTGGGGTGGGCTAAGTTAAATATTGATGGATGAAAATATACTGGTATAATTGTATCTTGTCACTTTTTGTGTAGTTTGGAAGTGAACATAAGTACTTTTGAATTGGGTGGTCGATGCTGGTTAATGCATTGGAGAAGGCCAGGGGAAGATCTGAGAGTGATTATTCACCAGATTAAGGAGTTTGAAAATTAGAGACCCACCTTAGAATCATATTGAAAACAAAAACACACAAAATAACTCTTCTTTCCTGCAACTAGAAGGCAAAAAAAGCTAAGGATTTTGTTCAATATTTAATTATTAGGGTATCAGAAAACCATAGAAGCGTGTATTCTCTAATCTGGTAAATTTCTTGGGCAAGATCTTGTTTGGATTCGGAAATGTGGGATCCTCAGACAAGTGATAGAGAAGTATGTATCAATGAATCTAATCACTATTAACCTACATATTTATCTGAATCCTCTTAGCCTGCAATATACCTCTCTTCTTATTTTTATATATGATTCCTCCATGCTTAAAGATCACGCAGAAATGTCATCCTTGCAAGAAAACATGTACTCCTCTAAGAATTTTGTCTAAACTCCTACCTCCAAGCTCTAAAGCCCCTACCTAAAGCCAGGTCACAATACAATACAGCTATGGATGATATCTACTTGTTAAGAGAAGGGAGGAGCCATAAGTTTTGAAGACTCTGGAGGACCAGCCAACATGTTCTGGAGGAAGCCAATTTATGCCTGGGACTGGTTTCTGAAGGTTTTAAGTCAATGCAGGTGGAATATAAAGTTGGATCAAAGTGCATTTATCAGTATAGAAATATGCACTTCTGTCACATGATACACTTACTCATACTTGATCCACTAGCAAAATTTTTCTTTCTGTTCCCATGACCTTACACTTTGTTGGCCTATAAGTCTTAGTTCCAAAAGGAAGAATGCTTTCACCAGGAGATAATACAATGATTCCTAACTGGCCACTTTGGATTCCTTATACATCTGAACCAATGGCAAAGAAGGGAGTTACTGTGCCAACTGGGGTAATTAATCTTAAATACCAAGGAGAAATTGAACTCCTACTTCATAATGAATATTAAAAAAGGAGTCTGTTTCAAATACAGGAGATTCCTTAGAGCATTTCTTAGTATTAATATGGCCTGTGATTAATGTCAATGAAACAATCCAACAACCCAATCCAGGCATGACTACTTATTGCTCATAACTTTCAGGAATACTAGTTTGTATTGTTCCACCAGATAAAGAACCCCAGCAAGCTATGGTACTTGCTGAAGGCAAAGGGAGTAAAGCATAGGTAGTAGAAGAAGGTTATTAAAAATACCAGCTATGACCACATGACCACCTGTAGAAATAAGAACTCTACTTGCCATGAGTACTCTCTCCTTATTTTGTTATGAATATGTATGTGTTCATGTGTGCATGTATATGTATATATATAGGCAAATATATTTACTTTTTCTTCTATTTCCTTATGATATATCATAAGTTGTACTGAATTAATATCAAAGTATTTAAGTACTGTCAATTCTTCAATTCTGTCAATTTTACTTCATGGTATTTAAGTTATGGGATACCAAGATGAAGTGTAAACATCACTCAAGGACTTTTCTGGGGAAGTGTTTTTTGTTGTATGAAGAATAGTTGTATAATGTTAGGCAGAATTATGACCTAGTTATTGTCTTTATTTGGAGATGAAGTATGGTTTAAGGAGATGGTATACAGCACTAAATTAATAGTGTTTGGATTTTGATGGTTAATTTTATAATTTTGGATTGTCTAATTTATCGTACTTAAAAAAAACAAAACTTCTTTCCTGCCTTCATTTGGATTAATAAAATATTTCATTTATTATTCATTTATAGATTTCTTATACATACTGTATGTTTGTACACTATTGGTTAATGCTCTGGTATGAATGTGCCCCCTGCAATTCATGTGCTGGAAACTTAATCCCCATTACAACAGTGTTAGGAGGTGAGGCCTAAAGGGAGGTGTTAGGACATGAGGGCACTGCCCATATGAAGGGATTAATGCCATTTTAAAAAGAGCTCGCAAGAGCGGGTTTGCCTTTTGCTTTTCTCCCACGTGAGGACACAGAATTCATCTTCTCTCTTGCCCTTTCACCTTCTGCTATGTGAGGTCACAGCAAAAAGTTCCTCATCATGTACTGGAAGCTTGGACCTCCCAGCCTCCAGAAATGTAAAAATAAATTACTATTTGTATAAATTACTCAGTTGTGCAGTTGTGGGTTTTCTGCTATAGCAGCACAAAATGAACTAAGACAGTTACCTTTTAACAACAGCCTTGGCATATGACAGTCTAATGCAAATTAATACATTTAGCACTTCCCTGAGAGTGCTAGAAGTTTAGAACTTTTTATCTCCTTTTATTCTGTCCCCATTTGCATTAATCCTGTCACGGATTTTCTAACTGTAATTTCAGCTCCAGCATACATCATGCTATTATTTGTACAGTCAATAGAGATTGATATTTACCCACATATTTACATTTTCTAATTTTACTTACACTGCTGTCTTTTCATTTTTCTGGGATCATTTTTCTTTTGTCTTAACAACTTCATTAGTTTCTATTTTAGTGCAGGCCTATTTGCAACAAATTACTTTATAAATCAAACATCTTTATTTCACCTTCATTTTAAAAGATAAAAACATATTTATATATCATCATTGTATTTTCACTGAGCATAGATTTCTAAGCTGGCAGTTATGTTCATTCAGCTCTGTTAAGATTAAAATATTCCTTCTGGATTTGATCATTTCTTCCTTTTTTTTGTGAGACAGCCTTCAGTTTCATCACTGCTTCTTTGAAGATAATGTGTCTTTATTCTCTGGATGACTTGACGTATTTTTTGACTTTCAGTTGTCTCACTGTGATATTCTTAGGTATGGCTTTCTTTCTTTTTATCTTTGGTGATGTTTGTAGTAATTTTTACATCTGTGTCTTGATTTCTCCCTTCAGGTGTTTCAAAACCATTAATCATTATCTCTTCAGGAATTGACTAGCTTGCACTCTTTTCGCTATTTTTCTGCAGCTTCCATTGTGTCTATATGTAATTTTAAGATTCTGCTTTCTTTGATTCTTTTCCTTTTTTTGTATTTTTATCTCCTTACTCTTTTCCTGCTACAATCTGACAATGAGTTATATTACGTTTTCTTAATTCTTCTCTGAATCTAATTTGCTATTAAATTCATATTGAGGTATTTTTTTAGTTCCATAGTTTCCATTTTGATATGTTACATTTCAATTCTCATATAAAATATAAAATCTTGACCGGGCATGGTGGCTCACACCTGTAATCCCAGCACTTTGGAAGGCCAAGGCGGGCAGATTGCCGGAGGTCAGGAATTCGAGACCAGCCTGGCCAACATGGCGAAACCCTGTCTCTACTAAAAACATAAAAAATTAACTTGGCATGGTGGTGGGTGCCTGTAATCCCAGCTACTTGGGAAGCTGAGGGAGGGAGAATCGCTTGATTCTGGGAGGCAGATGTTGCAGTGAGCCGATATCACTCCATTGCACTCCAGCCTGGGCAACAGAGCTAGACTCTGCCATAAACACACACACACACACACACACACACACACACACACACACACACACACACACACACATATAAAATCTTGTAATCTCTTCTCTTCAACATATTAATCACAATTATTTTATAGTCCATATCTGCAAACCTTATTATCTATCAATCAACTGCATTTCTTTCTGTTTGTGTGTGTTGTTCCTGTCTCCATGTATAACTTATAATTTATTATTGGATGCTAAATATTATTTATTAAAATTTTAAATGCTCTACTTAATGTTATCTTCATACACTGTAGGCATTGTAGTGTTGGGGAAGATTTTGCTAAATCAGGCATTAGAGTTTCGCTATGTTAGGCATTAGAGGTGGGGAAGATACATTTATTGTGATATTTGAGTTTAGTACTAAGTTTCAGTGTTTGTGAAAGCTAGTCCAGCACTAACTTGTCATTACTTCTGTAGTATAGTACTTGAGGAAACGCAACTGAACACCTGGATTGTACCAGAGTAACTGACACTCTCTTACATGTGCCTTAAAAATCTAAATTCTTCACCTCATGATAATGACATAATCCAAAGCTCTGTTTGGCCTCTCAACATTTTGTCAGCTGCCTATAAATAGGTGAATGTCTCAAGAGAAAAGTCTACTCTGAATGTCAAGACCCCTTCCCTATGCTTCCTTTCTTTCATAATTTTGGCTGCTCAGCTTCTAGATGTCAAGTTCTCCAGTTCTGTCTTTTATCTTTCTAGCTCCATGAAACTACAGAAGCCACTATCTGGCTTTCATACAATTAGCCATTGCTTTCTGATTAGGTTCTGCCTTTGCATCAGGAAATATCTATAGGAGATAGATATCCCAATTACCTAGATTTCACATTGTGTACTTGTATCAAAATATCACATGTATCCCTTAAATGTATAAAACCAACATGTATCCATAAATATTAAAAATTTAAAGTCAATTTTAAAATAAAAGAATAAAAAAGAAAGCACCCCAGGAGGAAAGCATAGCACAGTGTAGAGTTTGCCATAAAATGTTTTACTTTTCTTGTGTCTTTGGTCAGTTTAATGTTAGTTTGACTTTTCTTAAATCCATTAAAAGGGATAATTTCTGATTGTTGCTGTACTGTCTCTAGTATTTGTTCTTGATGGATAGTTTACCCCATGTAAGTTTGCAGAGAATAACCAGACAGAGCTTTACATTACTGCTGCCAAGTGTTTAAATCTGTTGCTGCTGAGCTTTTGCATCAAAGAACTCTCTCAATGTGTGTTTTCTTTCTACTTCTTTCTATCAGCACTGCTTTAATTTGAGCTGCACTTGATAAATTTAGAAATGTATTGGCATCTTAGACTCATACCTTTCTCCTAGAGTCCATACAAATTAAGTATGTATTATAATTTTAACCTTTTTATTACTTTGCTGCATTTGGATAACTTTCAGTAAGCAAAGTGGAATACTGATGCAAACAGCCCTTATCCTAGAAATATAAGCTGCACTTTTTTTTGAGACGGAATATCTCTCTGTTGCCCAGTGCACTCCACCACTCTGGAGTGCAGTGGTGCGATCTCAGCTCACTGCAACCTCTGCCTCCTGGGTTCAAGGGATTCTCTTGCCTCAGCCTCCTGAGTAGCTGGGACTATAGGCGCCCGCCACCACGGCTGGCTAATTTTTGTATTTTCAGTAGAGATGGAGTTTCACCATATTGGCAAGGCTGGTCTCGAACTCCTGACCTTGTGATCTGCCCGCCTCGGCCTCCCAAAGTGCTGGGATTACAGGTGTCAGCCACCGCACCTGGCCCATAAGCTGCACTTTTTAAGGTGATTCATATAGTTGTCTTTGAAGGTGGTACTCGTATTGATGTAATCTATGTGAAAAAAATAAGATAATCATAATACATAATATATATTTTTTCTTAGGTTGAAATAATGATGTGAGGAGATCTAACACATTTCATCTATTAAGTACATACTGTTTTCAGAATCTGTGAAAACAAACATGGAAAAATTTTGCTCAAAAATATATCATGTATGATGGTTAATATTGAGTGTCAATTTGATTGTATTGAAAGATGCAAAGTATTGTTCCTGGGTGTGTCTGTGAGGGTGTTGCCAAAGGAAATTAACATTTGAGTCAGTGGACTGAGAGAGGGAGACTCATCCTCCATATGTGTAGACACCATCTAATCAGGTGCCAGCACAGCTAGAATAAAGCAGACAGGGGAAGATGGAAGAGGAGACTTGCTGAGTCTTCTGACCTTCATCTTTCTCCTGTGCTGGATGCTTCCTGCCCTCAAACATCAGACTCCAAGTTCTTCAGCTTTTAGGCTCTTGGACTTACATCAGTGGTTTGCCAGGGGCTCTTGGGCCTTTGGCCACAGACTGAATCCTGCACTGTCAGCTTCCCTACTTTTGAGATTTTGGGACTCAGACTATTTTACCACTGGATTCCTTGCTCCTCAACTTGCAGGTGGCCTATCATGGGACTTTACCTTGTGATTGTGTGAGTCAATTCTCTTTAATAAACTCCCTCTCATATATACATATATCCTATTAGCTATGTCCCTCTAGAGAACCCTCACTAATACAATGTGAAAAACATGTACATATACAAATATTTGCATTAAGTATGCATGGTATGATATGTTCTAGGTAGAAATACAGCAAAGTAGTGGGTTTTAGCATAGAAATTTGACCTCAGAAATAGATGATTCAAACATTAATTATATCATTATTATATGTTTGATTTATGTATTGTCCTTAACCTCAAGTTTCATAATCTGTAAGTATAATTTCCATAATTATTAATTGATATATATGAGGATTACCATAATAAATTCACACATTTAAATCTCAACAATGTATTTGCCCAACATTATTATCATAAAATATTTATGTTGCAGGAGGCTAACCTAATTAACTCTTATCATGAAATAGAAATGATGAAGAGAAAGAATAGTGTGATTTCATCTGAACTTTTCTCAAGTATTCTCTAGCTGTAAAAATAAGTATTGAAAGAGGAATCTAATTAGAGAAGACAGAATATGCCAATCTTAAATACTTGGGGCTCATCATGGATTTGAAGAACTATTAAATATGATTGGCATGGAAGCTGTGTTATGAAAATGGTAGGAGCTGAGACTGAGCAAAAAGTTGAGTCATATCAAGAGCCTCATAGATAATTCTAATGCTTTGGACTTTATCCCCTATTGGTTGATGGGAAGAGAATTTAGGTTAAGTAGTTAGAGTGACTATATTTTTATTTAAGAATGAATATCTTGGCAAAATTCAAATGATCAAGTCTGTGGACATCACATACAGCTTGTATTCCTCACTAGTGATAGAGCATATTTCTAAACATTATTGTTTGGGAGCATATAATAGGCTTCATTTTAGTCAAAAGCTTTCATTAGTTGGAGTTCTTACAAAATAATTCTAAGTTATTGGAAATAATAGCTAATCATCTCTCAGAATTATATTACAATTCCAAAGTAAAAATCTATTTATTAGTTTGGTCAATCAATAGGCATTGGATGTTTTGGTGACATTTAACACAAATATTCAATAATATAGCCAGTTGTTTAATAACTATGATTTATTTCAAAGTTTTCATAATCTTATTTTGCATTCAACTGTTGCTCTGTTTTTATTATCACAATCTGAGGAATTCTTGTAAATGAATTGTGAAAGTTAAAAAATTGCTTGAAAGTAATTCTTGGTGAAGTTGTATTAGTATTATTATCCCAAGAAATAATATATAGTCAAGTAATTTTTTAAATTAACTTATTTTTAATTGAGAAATGAATATTGCACATGCTTATTGGGTATAATGTTTTGATTGAAATATACATACAATGTGAAATGGCTAAATAAGACTGATTAACATAAGAATTACCTCACAAGCTTAGCATTTTTTTGTATGGTGAGAACACTTAAAGTCGACTCCCTTAGCAATTTTAAGAATACAACATGTTGTTATTAACTATAGACATGATATTATATAGCAGATCTCTTGAATTTATTCCTCCTACCTAACTAAAATTTTGTGTCCTTTGACCAACATCTCCCCAAACCCATCCCATTGCCCTAGTCCCTGGTAACCATCATTCTACTCTTCATTTTCATGAGTACAACATTTTTAGATTCTACATAAAATTGAGATCATGTGATATTTGCCTTTCTGTACCTGGCTTATTTCACTTAACATAATGTCTTTGAGGTCCATCTGTGTTATCACAAATGATAGAATTTCCTTTTTTAAGGCTGAATAATAGTCCACTGTGTGTATGTACTACATTTTTAATCCATTCATTCACTGATGGGCACTTCGGTTGATTCTATATCTTGGCTATTGTGCATAATGATGCAATGAACACGGTAGTGCAAGTATCTCTTTGACATTGATTTTATTTCCTCTGCGTTTATGCCCAGCACCCAGATTGCTGGATAATACAATAGTTCAATTTTTAATTTTCTGAGGAACCTCCATATTGTTTTCCATAATGGCTGTACTAATTTGTATTCCCACTAACAGCGTACAAAAGTTTCCCTTTCTCCACATCCTCACCAACCCTTATCTTTAGTCTTTTTTATTATAGCTATTCTGACAGGTGTGAAGTAATACCTCATTATTGTTCTCATTTGCATTTCTTTGATGATTACTGTTGCCAAGCATTTTTCATATAACTATTGGCCATCTGTATGTCTTTTGAGAAATGTCTATTCAGGTACTTTGCCCACTTTTAAATTGGGTTATTTGTTTTATTGTGACTGAGTTGTTTGAGATTCTTATATATTCTGTATATTAACACTATTAGAGGTACGGTTTACAAATATTTCTCACATTTCTTAGGTTGTATCTTTATTCTGTTGTTTTTGTTTTTGTTTTAATATTGTTGTACAGAAGCTTTTCAGTTTGATGTATCCCACTTGTCTTTCTAAAATTTTGTAGGTCGTGATATTTTTATCCAACAAATGACTGCCCAAAATGTCATCCAGCTGACATTACTTCCCTCTGTTTTCTTCTAGTAGTTTTATAGTTTCAGGTCTTACATTTAAGTCTTTAATCCATTTTGAGTTGATTTTCATATGATGTGACATAAGGGTCTAACATATTTCTTCTGTACGTGAAATATCCAGTTTTCCCAACACTACTTGTTGAAGAGACTGTCCTTTCCTTTTGTGTGTTCTTGGGACCTTTGTTGAAGCAATCTCATAACTAGGTATAAACCCAAAGGGAAATAAATTATTCTACCAAAAAGATAGACACACTCATATGTTCGTCGCATCACTATTCACAATAACAAAGACATGGAATGAGCCTAGGTGCCCAACAGTGGTGGACTGGACAGATGAGATGTGGTACACATACACCATGAAATACTACACAGCCACAAAAAGAAGAGAATCATGTCCTTTATAGCAACATGGATAATGCAGGAGGCAATTATCCTAAGCAAATTAACACAGGAACAGAAATCCAAATACTGCATGTTCTCACTTGTAAGTGGGAGCTAAACATCAAATATACATGGACATAAAGATGGGAGCAATAGACAATGGGAACTACAAGAATGGATAAAAGCGAGGAGGAAAACATGGACTGAAAAACTACCTAATGTGTACCATGCTCACTATCTGGGTGACAGATGGGACCATCCATACCCCAAACCTCGGCAATACACAGTATACTAATATAACAAACATGTACATGTATCCCCTGAATCCTATATTTTAAAAAATTAAACTGACTGCAAACTTGTAACATTATTTCTGGACTCATTCAAATAGGTATTTAATAATGTATAAAGATTGTAAAGTTTTAGTGAAAAAAACTAGGTATTTTAATGTACTGAGAATTATGCACTCAATTAGCCAGACTGTTGTGAAATTTAAAAACATTTCAGCATAATAAAGAATTCATTATTCCTATGGATTATCTCATTATCCTCAAATATAAAATTCAACATTAATGTTGATACATCTTATATGTTATCACTAATTTTAAATAATTAGAAATGTATTAACCATTGAGTGAAATATTTTTCTGTCATGCCACATCATGTTATTCTATGAATGATAGTTTGTGTATTTACAGTAGACATTTAAATTTAAATTTAGCTATTAACTTTTATTATCTTTCCTTGGGGGTGAGTTTATGTTTAAGACTAAAGGATATATATTTTCTTCATTAATTACTACCTTAAATATTATGAAAGCAGGTTTTTCTGTAAACATAAGCTAATTGAACTTGAATTTAACATATGATTAAGCAAAATCTCAAAATCATATTTTATTTTACTTAAATCAAGGACTATCTAAGCTACCTAATAATACATATTCTTTTTTATTTTCTAAGGAAATACAGTTGACTATGTCAGGTAGAGTGATTACTGTAAAGTCAGAGTGACTTACAGTAATAATTTACAACCCTAAGAATTTCTGTGAAATAATTGATTATTCTGGGGATTATCAGAGCATTCTTTTCCAGTTTCAGATAAGATTTCAAGGACTACAAACTTATAATACCACTTGGGCACAGGATTTTGAATAGAAATAAAAAAATACACACTTGAGTTTGAAATAATAAAAATTGCTGAAAACTTTACATGAAAATGGAAAACATTTTAGTATTCTTGAAAATATCTCAATTCCAAAACTGTATGGAGTAATAAAAGTACTCAACCATGCTTAGAAGACATCATTCTGGAATTAAACTTCTATGTTCTACAAAATAAGACATTTTAAGCCCTGGTGCTCAGGTAACCCATCAAATTAAAGCAGAAGCAAAATTAGAAAGCAATTATGAAAAGGTGAAAGTAGCTGAATGATCTGTTTTTTATTCTCATAAAATATTAGTCAATGTAAATATTTTGTAACTAAATAGACTTCCAAATCTTCAGAGTAGTTATCAAATTATTAAATCTTTAGTTATGATGTGGTATGTATGTGTGTGCGTGTGTGTGTGTGTGTGTGTGTGTGTGTGTACAAAAATTTACATGAATATATGGGGCTTGTATTCAAATGCTGTAGAGTGAAATCTAGTGGGTCTGCATGGAAAGAGAACAAGGAATGAAGAAGTTAGCAGATAAGTTGTATTTTGAGTCAAGTTTACATGAGTACTTCCCAAACTGGGAGCCTCTAGATGAAACCTCAGTTTCTTAACTTTAACTCCACATGTATTCATCATGCTGTCTATGTGTTTGTATATGTGTATATGAGTGTGTGTGCATACATATACAAACAAATATGTGTGTGCATTTTTTGTTGTATATTTGTTGTTGTTATAGCTGACCAAAATCTTCCAGAAGTAGTGATTCATAGATCAGGAAGTAGATTCGTGAAGCTCCTGTTACTGCTGGTACTGATGCATGTTTTTCGACAAACTCATAAAATTTGTGACTGTGCATGGCAGGGCATTATTTTAAGTACTCAAACATGAGCGTATGTTTCTAGATAGTTACGTTAAATAAAGTGTTATGTTGAATCTTTGTAACAGCAGTTAACCTCTATTTGAGGTAACTG
Source organism: Homo sapiens (assembly GCF_000001405.40). NCBI lineage: Eukaryota > Metazoa > Chordata > Mammalia > Primates > Hominidae > Homo > Homo sapiens. Next base: position 43,625,329 of record NC_000014.9, on the reverse strand, counting down.
TAATTGCATTGCTTACTAGGAAAATATAAATTTTGACTGAATTGAGACTGTCAAGGTAAAAATGCACGTTAAAATTATAAAAGATAACTATGAAAAAGGTAAAGGGGATCAATCAGATCGAACACAGGAAAGCAAGAAGAAAAAAAAGACAAACCTTGCAAGAATTAAAATAATACAAAATAGTATGATTTAGTGAGTGAAAAGAAGCCATTAGAGATAAATTTTTAATATGCTAATTAAAATAGTCTCAGTGTAGATAAAACACATAATATACAATGTACAAAATGTAGCTGCATGCTCTTTACAGGCTTAATGCTGTTATTTATAGGCAGAAAGCAAACACCCAAATCAGGCAACTTTGGATAAGATTCATTCAAAATAGTTATTGAAAATAGGGTATGCTGTAATTTCTATTTCACATAATAAAGAGCAGAAAATTAGCAAAATATATAGGAACTGAACAATCACATTTATAGAAATCTGACCACATATTCCTATTTTATAAGTGCATGTGAAATATTAATATTTGATTATATACTAGACAGAAAGATGCAAGGTACCCAAGTCTTTGAAAACCTGAAACACCACCAGTCTCTTTTAGTCTTTTTGTTTTCTAATGATATGAACAATATTGAGTTACAAACCACTGTTAATTGGATTTTCTAATATTTTTAGCCAATAGTCATATAAATTCACAGTGCCTAGGCCAAACATAACTACATGAACAAAAATGTTTATTGAAGAAATTGCACTGCTTTTGCTTGCAATCCATCCTGATAATTTTCCCATTAACCGATCATTCCCAATTAAATTGAATCTAGTGAACAGACTTGGCAGAAGGGAGTACAGTTCAGTAACATGGTGCATCTTCTAAAGAATAATGAGATTACTTTTTCGTTGCAGATTGTGTGATTTGAGACCTTGAAATTTTTGACGGCTTGAGTTCTATCAGTTATGTCTATATTTTGTTTATTGAGACAGTTAATTCCTTACTGTACATGCTTTCGTTGAAACAGATTTCATTTTACTCTGGAGCTCTGGAAAGGATAATCCTTTTATTATTAGGTGGAAAAAGACTTCAGGTTTAAATAACTTTATATAAAATAACATATTTTATTGCATTATATATAATATTATACAATATTTTGTTACTTATTTTTCTAAGGGTTTTAAAAATGTGATATCTAATTTTATATTTTCAACTTTCTAACTTTTAAAATTTTAAGAAAAACATTTAAAAAGGCCAAGAAGACTCAGATTACTTGGTTGGCACTTTTTTGCCTGGCATTTGGTTGTCCTTTCTCTTTATTCCAATTTTACAGCAGTTCCACCACATTTATTTTATTTTATTTTTCAAGTCATTAGTATCTTGAAGATGCCAGCAGAGTTGTGTTGTACAACTATTCCCACCATTTCCTTTGCCTTGATTTAAAAATTAATCTGTTAGAGTCTTATATTCATTTTCCTTAAACTTACTTTTAAAGAAGAGTCTTTTATATAGTTTCATATTTAAGAGGACCTGTCCAAATTTTTAATTTTGTGTTTCAAACACAGCTCTTGTCAATAACTGGATTTTTAAATTGTATTATTATTATTATTATTATTTATTTTTAAAAATGGAGTCTCGCTCTATTGCCTGGGCTGGAGTGCAGTGGCACCATCTCGGCTCACTACAACCTTCGCCTCCCGGATTCAAGCAATTCTCCTGCCTCGGCCTCCCCAGTAACTGGAACTACAGGCATGCACCACCATGCCCAGCTAATATTTTTTGTATTTTTAGTAGAGATGGGTTTCACCATGTTGGCTAGGCCAGCCTTGAACTCCTGATCTCAGGTGATTGACCTGCCTCAGCCTCCCCAAGTGCTGGGATTACAGGCATGAGCCATGGTGCCTGGAAATAATTGGATATTTTTAATAATATACTATGAAAACTCTGGGAATCAGATGCCCCCTCCTTTCTCAGGATTTATCATTATTGCTGTTTGCCTGGACTAATTTTCTAAAATCTTTTTTTTATTCTTTTCATGTGTGGCCACTAACATCTCTTCTCTATTAGCTTAGTGGCCTGCTAATGCTTGGACAGAGATTTTTTTTAAATGTCTTGGACCAATATTTATCTCACTATTTCTTAAGGAGCTCTATTTGAATTGAGGCATGCCTTCAATGATCTGGAAGTTTACACCTCTACCTTAGCTTCCACTTCCAGCTTGCACAGAGCCTGAATTACTGTCAGAAGCCAGAAATTAGGGTTTTCTCTCTTTTCTGTGTGTGGCCCCCATTAATATATCAGAGAGCTTTTCAAGGCCCCCAATGAATATCTCATTTTTCAGTTTTTAAAAAATTTATTGGCCAATCATATGTTTGCTCCACTTGATGTTACTGCCTCATACTACTACAGTAGTCAACAATTTCCCCTGATTTTTTAGACAATTTTTTGATGATAGAAATTTTATCACTGAGGGAAATCTGAGTCAGTTCAAATAAAACAAGGCTTTTCACAGGAAATTGCCAGACAGGTCAAATAGTAGTAATTCTCTTGGGATGGGTCTTTAGGGAACACAAATTATTTTTTGCCTCTCAAGTGTCTGCTTGGATGCCAGTTTTCTCAGCTGCCATAATTTGACGTTACTGATTACTAAGAGTACCACAAAGATGCAGAGAGAGATACGGGATGTAGGTACATTAAAACAGTACAAACATCCCTGTTCTTACTGAAACTCATCTTATTTTCTTATTTAATTTTATTTTTTAAATTGAAAAGTAATAATTCCACATCTTCATGAAGTACATAGTAATGTTTTAATACCTATACAGTATAGTGAGCAGATCAGGGTAATTAGCATGTCTATTATCTCAAGCATGTATCAGTTATTTGCACTAGAAACTTTCAATGTCCTCTAGCTATTTGAAACTATATCATATATTATTGTTAACTGTAGTCCTTCTACAGTGGTATAGACTACTTGAGCTCATTCCTCCTATCTAGCTGTGATTTTGTAACTGTTAACACATCTCTCCCTATCTTTCTCTCTCCGTCCCAGCTCATATTGTTTACATGTTTGTCCACTCCAAATCTCATGTTGAAGAGCAATCCCCGATGCTGGAGGTGGGACCTGGTGGGAAGTCTTTGAGTCACGGTGGCAGATCTCTCATAAAAGTCTTGGTGCCAAGTCAAAGTAATGAATTTACCCATATTTCAAATAAAAAAAATTTTGCTGTTGAAATGTTTCTGATCATTGAATTTTTACAAGCTTTGGTTAATTTTCACAGTTAGGAAAAATGTGATTTTTGACAATATTTGCCAGGACTCTTGTTACTTGTATGTGGGGTCAATTTTGGAGGCTCTTATTCTGTCACCCTGGAAATGTTTGTTTCTGGAATGTTGTTTTTAAAGAAAGTCAAGTCTCTTTAAAAATCTCCACTTTTAAAGGACATTGGTAGCTTCAGATAACATTCTCTCTAGACTATAAGCTTTTAGGTTATTTTTAGATTAGTTTTAATGTGTCTTTTCATTTAGATATTAAAGATATGTATGAATCCTACGCAGAAAGATTTAGAGATACTGATGATACAAGTTGAATACGTCAATATCTCATTGTCTGAATTGGATAAATTATTCAATTAATCTATAAATATTTTGTTCTAATATATTTAAATGATACAATAATCTTCACTAACTACATTTCTCTTAAAATCTCTTAAAAGATGATATTTTTGGTTTGAATTTTGCCTTCTTTGTTTTTGTGAAAGTATTATCTAAAAATTATGTAAATTATACACTGTGTATGCCCTAAGGAAGTCCAGAAAAAAACAGTTCTAACCTTGATGATTCATATAAGTATCTGGGGATATGCCTCTGCTTGTCTGCTTATTCTGGGTCCTGAATATTGGTGTCACATTAAAGTCATTGTATTCTACCTTACATCATGAAAAGTGAGAAATATTCATAGGTAATGCTATTGATTCTCAAGAAGCTTTAAAAAACTGATGTGGAACTATTTCTGCAGTATTAAGTTAGGGTGTTGTGTTTGCAAGTAGATGCCCAAAGAATGTAGGTGTCACATGCTCGTGGTTAGTGAATTAATATTTTCATAGCTGTTAAGGAAATCTCAAAATGTACCTTCAGAATTTTTGTTTGAGGAAGAACTGAAACAAGTTAAGAGCTGATAACGTTTAAATTGGTCATATAAAATCCTGTGCCAACAAAATAGAAAATACAAGTCAAAATATATGCAGACAATAAGTAGATACAGAATAAGATATACAATAATTATTTATGCCATTTTACTACCAGTTATTTAAGATAAGTATATTAGATCTGAAAGCTGTATCATATACTTACTCTAATGAAATACAAATTGTTATTATTATCCCTGATTTTTAACTGCAAATATTCATTTGTGTAAAATAGTCTTTTTTTTTTTTTTTTTTTTTTTTTTTGAGACGGAGTCTCGCTCTGTGGCCCAGACGGGAGTGCAGTGGCGCAATCTCGGCTCACTGCAAGCTCCGCCTCCCGGGTTCACGCCATTCTCCTGCCTCAGCCTCCCGAGTAGCTGGGACTGCAGGCGCCCACCATCACGCCCGGCTAATTTTTTTTTGTATTTTTAGTAGAGACGGGGTTTCACCGTGTTAGCCAGGATGGTCTCGATCTCCTGACCTCGTGATCCGCCCGCCTCGGCCTCCCAAAGTGCTGGGATTACAAGCGTGAGCCACCGCGCCCGGCCAAAGTAGTCTTATGATAATACTTATTTTCCATTTTACCCTGAATTTTTACTTTCCATTTCCATATTTTTTTGCCTTAGCTCTTGGAGTATTAAGGGGAAATTGTACAAGTTGTGAGTGGTTCAGCTATTCTCCTCCCAACAAAGTGACACAGGTAAAATAATCATGTACATCTGACCTTTCAAATGTAATACTCCAGTGATTGCCAAAAGGCCAGTTCGATGTTTTCCTGTGCTGCTGCACTTTCACATGTAATAATCAGTAGTTGACATTTATAAAACTGCTGATGCAGTCTGGTAACACCCTGATATCTGAGGTGTTATATAATTCTATCTTTAACATGGTAATGGATATGTAAGTGTGTTAGAGGTTAACACTTGAGAACTTTGATCAAAAACTTCTATCACTTAGTTAACCAAGTATTTAAAAACATAATTTTATAGTTATTTGCTGTGAACACACAAATTCATATTCATTTTATTCAAAGTAACCATTTAGGTAAATCAGTAAGAAAAATATCACATAAAGAAGGTTGAAGACAAATGTAAAACACTTTTTAATAGTTGAAAACTCTTAACATAATTTTTCACTTTCCTTCTATATCATTAAATATAATGTTTATTTGGCAATAATTTTCCCCAAGAAGGCAAATGGGAGATCTCCATGGGCTGCAAAAACAAACAAACAAACAAACAAACAAAATACCTTATTGAAATATTTTTAACATTTTTATAAATTTCATCTAGAAAAATTATTTCTAATATGGTCTCATTTTAAATCAAATAGAGGATAAGTGAATACTATTTTAATATAATAATAATTTGCCTAAAATATCTAGATTTAGAATATTTTCATTCATCAAATACATGTGCATAGTTTTAACCATCCTGGGGAATTTCTTCAGGCTCACAGTTACACAGAGTTTAGGAAATGCAACTTTATCTAGTATTTATATCTCCATTTAATGTGTTTTTCAAAAATTAGAATATCTGTTTTCAATTATTTACATTATAAACATTATTATTTTTCTCATGTTTAATGCTTGAGACCCTTACAATTAATAGGAATCATATTTTCAACTGGAACATTCTTCTGGAATTTAACCAGATACAAATAGATATAGTTACATGTGTTACTTTAAATGCATTTTCAAAAATATGCAAGATGACATTTTATTAAATTTAGAAATCAGTGAAATTTACTGATGATGTCATAGAAAATATTTGTGAACATTTATGTTTCTTTCACTCTCTGTACAACAAATTGACCAGTTCAGACATATTTCTGAAGAGACACCTACATAAATACAGTTACAGATAAACACAGGCCCACCAACAACATCTCAAAACTGACATTTGAGCAGTTGCCTACTACCACACGCACGTGCACATGCAGTACTCCAGAAAATTTAAAAAAATGTGTTATTCAAGATACACTGTTTTATGTTGACAGAACAGCTATCACTGGAAACTTCATGTTTTGTCAAATAGATGATAAATCTCTGGAAGAAAGTTTGACTAGAGTGGTTCACACCACTAGGGTATGCTTAAATTTAACCTGAGCTTCTTTTTGAAAGTTAGCATGTGATGGTTAATACTGTGTGTCAACTTGATTGGATTGAAGGATGCAAAGTATTCTTCCTGGGTGTGTCTGTGAGGGTGTTGCCAAAGGAGATTAACATTTGAGTCAGTGGACTTGGAAAGGCAGACCCACCCTTAATCTGGATGGGCACAATATAATCAGCTGCCAGCAAAGCCAGAATATAAAGCAGGCAGAAAAAAAAAATAACATGAAAAGGCTAGATTGGCTTAGCCTACCAGCCTACATCTTTCTCCCATGCTGGATGCTTCCTGCCCTCAAACATCGGACTCCAAGTTCTTCAGCTTTGGGACTTGAACTGGATTCCTTGCTGCGCAGCTTGCAGATGGCCTATTGTGGGACCCTGTGATTGTATCTATGTATATATCTCATTAGTTCCGTCCCTCTAGAGAACACTGACTAATACAGTGCCGGCTAATAATTTTTACTGAATACCTATTGTGTCCAAATTGTGCTGTATTTGTTGAGACAAATTGATAAAGAGAGAAAAGGATATTTAGTAGATGTATGTATGAAATGGCTTGTGTATTAGTGCCTTCTCACACTGCTGTAAAGAAATACCTGAGACTGGGTAATTTACAAATAAAAGAGGTTTAATTAACTCACAGTTTTGCATAGCCAGAGAGGCCTCAGGAAACTTATAATCATGGCAGAAGGCACCTCTTCACAGGACAGCACAAGAGAGAATGAGTGCCAGCAGGGCAAATGCCACATACTTATAAAACCATCAGATCTCATGAGAACTCACTCACTATTGTGAGAACAGCATGGGAGAAACCACCCCCATGATTCAATGATCTCCCACAGGTTCTCTTCCATGACAAATGGGGATTGTGGGGATTCCAATTCAAGATGAGATTTGGGTGGGGGCACAGCCAAACTGTATCAGTTTGTTCACAATGTAATTTGTCCAAATTTATTATTTTGGTTAAAATATATTTATATGGAGATTATTCCTGTATATCTGGGAGAAAGAATATTACGTTTAGTAATCACAGAGTGATCAGAGATAATATATGTCCAGTTGATGTAAGAATTCAATGCTGTAAATGTTAAACTTGCCAGCCATAATCTACTGTATACAATGGGCAGAGTCAGTACTAGGGGAACAATGAATCTGAAAATGAAACAGGAAGAAACAATCTTGAAAAGTAATCTGAAAGCAAATTCAGTAACTTCAAAAGCAAAAGATTTTGAAAATAAACTATTTTATTAAAAATCAATCCATCAAAATAATTTTAATTTCATCTAGCTATATTTTAGTTAAAATAACTGCTCTTTCAAGTATCATTTAGATGAGTATATATTAACAATTTTAACAATTTTGATAACCTAACAGAAAGGTAACTCTTGACCAGAAAAACTTGTGGAAGGTTGTTTAGGAAATGGATATCATTCTGCGTGTTTCAATACAATCAAATTGACCCTTAATATTAACCATCATATTTACTAAGACTGTTTCCAGATATGAAGTCCTGACTGTGAGTTGTCCAGGTTCTTAGTGCATTTAACAAAGAATTGAACAAAATGCATAAATAAAGCAACAGAAAACAGAAATAAATATTTATTAAGGCGAAAGTATACTCCACAGAGTGAGAGTGGGCTCAAGCAAGCAGCTCAAGAGCTCTGAATATAGTATCCCTTGGGGTTTTATTGACTAAAAGAATTTGGCAACACCTGTAGGTACCCTTTTGAGGCCTCTAATTGGTTACACCCTATGCAAATGAAGACTTGGCCCATGACCAATCAGAGGCTGAAGTGGAGGCTTGGTTCATGGCCAATCAGAGGCTGATGTTTTCCTATCGGTTTAATTCCAAAAAGTCAGACGTAAGTTGGTCTTAGGCTCCCTGTCTCCAGATTGTATTCTCTTGCCTCATTTTCCCCTGAGAGACATGATCCCTGTAAATTTTTATGGAAGGCAGAGAGACTGATGGTCTTTCTTTTTTAAAATTTATTTATTTATTTGTATTTTACTTTAAGTTCTGGGATATGTGTGCAGAATGTGCAGGGTTGTTACATAGGTATATATGTTGCATGGTGGTTTGCTGCCCCTATCAACCCATCATCTACATTGTAAGCCCCACATACATTCGGTATATTTGTCCTAATGGTGTTTCTTCTGTATCTGCTTCATGCTCATTGGGATGCCGTGCCCAGTTGGGGACCATAGAACTCTTGTAGACTATGGAAGTGTTGCCTGCTCTCTCTAGTGAAGACGGGGTGACTTCTCGATGGCTTTGCCTGACATAATTATCTGGAACTGGCTGGTAGCTCTGCTGCATGATCATTTGGAGTTTAATGGTCTTTAGGTGAGAATAAATAAATCTGGTTAAAAGATTTTAAAAACATGGTCCAAACACCAATGGAAGTATAATTACTAACAATGGGCCAGCTAAGGGAAGGAGCCATGAAGCCCAACTTAGTGTCCTTGTCCAGAAGCCCCATGATTCAGACAATTGTTGTTGCATTTTAGAGGCCTGGTCAGCTAATTTTGGGGCTGCATTCCTTACTAATCCTGATTGGTTGATGGAAAGTATATAAGCCAGTTTTTTTTTTAAAGCTAAGAGATCCATTCCTCTTCTATTTTGTAAAGCTACTGCTGCCAAGAAATCTACTTAATTTTGTAAGGTGATGATATTAATACTTTGAGCATTGTCTTCCATGCTGTCTGAAAGATCCTTAGACAAGTGTTGTTAATAGGATAGGGAAGTTGCAAGACTGCTAACGCCCATTCCTACACCTGCTGTTATTCCTAGCCCTACCAAAAGGGAGTATTCCTTGTATGGTTCATTTGTGTCTGATGGTTGCAGTTAAAGGTATAATGAGAGACTGGTTATTGGGAGCTATATTGATTTTAGGGGCTAAATAAATGAGAATACAGGTTCCTGTCTAATTGGCTGGTAAACATAAGTAGGAACTTGTCCTACACAGGAAAAAGTCTCCTTTTTTTTCAAGACAGAAGTTGTTCTCTATGGTGAACATATGGGTTAGCTTGTTTCTGCTTTCCCTAGTTGTTAAGGTTCCTACTAAAGTAGCCCTGGTTAAAGGCTGCAAACATTTTGGGAAGTATCCTGAGTTGCCCCAGTAGTCTTGCTTTTCCAGTGGAGGCAGTCAAACTTATTGTCCACCAGCAACTGCCCAGAGGTTTTGTTTTTTTTTCATACTGAGGAACCAAAAGGCAACTAGATGTCTCAGGATTAGTACAGTCTTCCCAAGGAAAAATGTGAATACAGCCAGTGGGTCTACCTGGACAGTATTTAGTCTGTGTGTCCTTTAAAGTGCCCCCAACTAGGGGTCATTTTTATAAAAACTGTACAGGTTTTCTTAATGAGGTTATCTGGGTAAGTGCACAGCTCACATGATCATGTGAGGGGTTAATCTCCAGAGTGCAGTTGTATTGAGGACTTTTCAAGGTTCTCAGGGCCTAACCAAAATTTTGGCTTCTTTTACTATAAAGTAGCACCTGGAATTTTAATTCTGTGTGCATTGATATTGGGCCCCAAATGGGTTTTGAGGGGATGCAAACCCAGAAAGGTTGCTTTGATAATAATGAAGAAGGCTTACTTTTTGTTTTGTAACCTTTGTCATTTCCATACTTTTGAAGTTATACAAGTCATCCAGGTTCATTAATTTTAAAGGAGTTCCCCCCTTGCAGTTAGGGTGATAGGTCATTTTTTCAAGGTCCCAAGATCAGGCTGGGATTGGATGGCAGTATAAACAGTTCTTTGCCAAAGCTGGACTGGTGGTATTTAACAGTCCATGTGTTAAATTTAAAAAGTTCTTAATAAATACTCATAATTCATTAATTGCCGGTATATGCAGATTGTGACAAATCATTATAGAGCCAGAAATACTTTTCTGTTATTTTGTTATTTGAACAGGAACTTCAGGGGGTGGATATCTATACTGTCAGGAATCATCATTATAAAAATGAATGAAAACATTTTGCTTAATTGTCACAAAGGAAGTGATTCCATCCATTCGGAAGAGGGCAATTAAACTGTAGAAATATAAAAATAGCTACTATTATCCAGCTTACAGTAACTATGCAACAAAGACACCAAAGAGAGTTGGTAGGCGTTTACTTATCTTTTGACTGTCTTTTTAACAGGTACTTCAGGTCTTCCACAGGTTCACAGGCATAGCAGCTGGCAGGAGCTCTGGGTTTCAGGTCTGGAGCTTCAGGTATTGCAGGCTTAACCCTGGAAAAATGGATCCAACTGTCTCATTGTAGTACTTTGGCTGTGGAAGGCACAGCCAGCACTACTGAAAAGGGTCCCTTCCATTTGGGTTGTAGTTGTTGAGCAGGTGACCACTCTTTCTACGTTTTAACAAGTACCTTATCTCCTGGCCTGATCTTGGGTTACTTGTTATTTCCCGGTGTGGAGAGTCATTGAGTTCCAAACTCTTGCAAATTCTGCCGAAACTGTCCCAAGCTAACTAGATATTCTATTAGACTGGCAATTTCTGGATCAGTATTTAGATCATTAGTTAAAAATGGCCTCATATAACATTTCATAGGGGCTCTATTACTTTTTGCTCTTGGGGAATTACAGATCCTTAAGAGGGCTATGGGCACTAAGCTGACCCAAGTTTCTGATGTTTCCTGACATAACTTACCTAACGCCCATTTTAGAGTATGAATAGTACTTTCTGCTTTCCCAGAGGATTGAGGTCTCTGTGCTGAATTTAAATAGTATTTGATTCCAAGAGTCTTAGCAGTCCCTTGAGTCATTTGGGAGACTTAAGATGGGCCATTATCATTCTGGAGGCTTTGGGGTTACCCAAACTGGGGGATTATCTCCTTTAAGAGAACCTTCATAACTTCATTAGCATTCTCTCTTCTGGTAGGTTAAGCTTTAACCCAGCCAGTAAAGGTGTCAATTAGTACTTCAAAAACTTGTATCCTCTGCAAGCTGGCACATGGGGAAAGTAGAGTTGCCAGTCTTCTCCTGGGTAGGTTCCCTTTCTCTGAACTGATTATATTAGATGGGGTACTTTGCTTCCTGGATTGTTGAATACACATACTGAACAGGCTTGGAAGACCTGCTTAACTGCCAAGGCCAAGTTAGGCCCAATGAAGGGCCTGTTGACCATACCCAGAGTGGCCTCTCTCACCATATGGTAAGAGTTATGCAGGGTTTTTGTAACTTTTCATTGAGCTGTTTGAGGGAGATATAATTTTGATCCCATATATCATCAGAATCCTCATTTTTGACCTCCTTGCTCCTTTATTAACTGTTTTTCCTGTGATGTGTATTCAGGTTCTATTAGGGAATCATAGAAGGGAAGCAGTCGTAAGATTTGTTGAGACTGCACACTGAAAGCTGCTGCTTTGGCTTCCTTATCAGCCTTTTTGTTCCCTTGTGCTGTAGGGGTTAAGTCCTTTGATGCCCTCTACAGTGGATCATGGCTACAGCCTCTGGCAAGTGTATTGCTTCCAATAGCTGTAGAATTTCAGACCCATGCTTTATGAGGGAACATTTGCTAGTCAGTGGTTGCCTTACTTTCCGAATTGCAGCATGATTATGAGCCATGAGAAATGCATATTTGAAATTTGTATAGATATTTAGCTTCTTCCTTTTTCCCAATATGAGGGCTCAAATGAGAGCAATGATCTTAGCTTTTTGTGATGATGTGCCTGGGGTAGTTGTTGGGACTCAATGATGATGTTGTAATTTACTACCACATATCCAGCCAGGCATTCTCCATTGGACACAAAGCTATTGCTGTCTGTAAACCAGTTATCCTCTGAATCTGGGAGGGGCTGATCTTTTAAATGAGGTCAGCTGACATATGTGTATGTGATGACCTGCCTGCAGGAGTGATCAGTCACTGGGCCTGTGGGCAGCAATGAAGCTGGATTCAGGGTGTTACAGGTTTTAAGGGTAACCTCTGGATTATCTAGGAATATAGCCTGTTATTTGGTTAACCTTTCTCCCATCGTTCAGATATGTCCTTTTATTCCCAGGACTGACCTTACCTGATGTGGAGTTAACACTTTCAGTGGTTGACCCAGGGTGATTTTAGTGGCTTCTTCCACTAAAATAACAGTGGCTGCTATTGCCTGCAGGCAGCTTGGTCACTGTGAGGCTACTCTGTTCAATTTCTTTGAAAAGTAGATGGTTGGTATGGGTTCTGATCCCAATTTCTGGGTTAGTATTCCCACAGTTATGCCCTTTTTTTCCTGCTATATACAAGGAAAAATGCTTAATGAAGTTTGGGATGCCAAGAGTGGGAGCTTTGTTAAGAGCCTGTTTTAACTTGGCAAAGTTTCCCCTCATTTCTAGGGCCCACTCCATTGACTCATTTTCTGGCCCCCTTGTTGCTTTATAAAGGGGTTTTGCTATGACCCCAAATTTGGAACACATATTCTGCAAAACCCTGCCATTCCCCAAAAGGATTGAAGCTGTTTCTTTGTACTGGGGGCTCCTAAACCATATATATCTTGCACCATTCTGGGGATATTTGCCAGGCCTGGGGGATCAAAATATACCCCAAATATTAAACCAGTTGAAGGGTGATTTGAGCCTACTTTTTGAACACTTTGTATCCCCTGTGTGCCAGGAAATTCAGGGTCTTTTTCGTAACTTGATCAGATGTCTCCCAGGTTGGGCTACACACAAAAAAGTTATCTACATACTGGAGTGTACTCCTGTTTTCCAGTTGTAGATCCCTCAGATATCTTTCTAAGGCTCAGGCCAAAAAAAAAAAAAAAAAAAAAAGGGGGTGGGGAGCTGTTTTGAAAGCCCAGCCCGGAGGAAGGGAGTACTGTCCAGGTGTATTGTGGGTTTTCTCTGCTATTAGGATCTTCCCATTCAAAAGCAAAAAGTTATTGAGATTCCAGGGCCAGAGGGATAGAAAAGAAAACATTTTTTAAATTTTGGACTGAGAACTATTCTGTGCTCCCTGGCACTTGAGTTAAAAGAGTATATGGATCTGTCACTAATGGGTGGATTGGGATCACAGACTCATTAATTGCCTTGAAATCTTGTACCAAATGGTATTAGCCAGAAGGCTTTAAATGGGGGTATTACATTACAGGGAGAATTGCAAGGTTTTAGAAGACCATGGGCAAGCAATTTCTTAAGCACAGATGCTAGGACCTTTCTTGCTTCCAGTTTAACTGCATATTTTTAACTGGGGTCTTTAAGCTGTATTTTGACTGGCACTGCTGTTTTAGCCCTTCCAGGTCTCCCAGGATACAATGCTAGCAGGTTGACCTGCTTGTTGACATGGTCCGTAATATTGCCTGTATCACGGAACATTAGAAATCTTGCCAGGTGGTGCTTAAATTGCAGCAGTGCCCCTACTTATCCTGTGCAGAGATCTTGGTACAAAGGGGATGGCTCCATTCCACATCAATGCAGATTTCCAGGCCTTTGGAGTACCTGCTACCGTAGATTAGGAGTTTGAGCTGCCCAAACCTTCCTGTGAAGAAATCTTAGTGCAGAACGGTCCTCTTTACTACATGCCCAAGCAGATCTCCAGGTTTTTGGAGTACTCACTCTCCTAGATTAGGAGTTTAGGTTGCCCCAATACCCATGCAGAGAACTTGGAGCTAAAAGGTTCCACAGCTTCAAACCTAGGCATACTTGTGAATGCGTGGTGGCCACCCATTGATTATCCCTTGGTGCTGGTGCTTGTACCTGCCATTGCGGGGACCTGTAGGTGGGCATGCTAGGTCCAGCCCCACCCATTATGGTCCCCACCCCTCCAGTGCCTAGCAGGGAGTTCAGACCACTGTAATTTACATAGGTCAGCCATTTCCTGAGGCAACAAGAATCCTTTGGTGAATAAAGGAGTATCAAGAATATACCCAGCCACATGAGCTACAGCTGGCTCTTACCTATAAGTACCATCTACTGGCTTGTTGGTTGAACTGCGCAGCCCAATATTAAGCCTACCAAAAGAAGTGGATAGGGCTATAGAAGCAAAGACAAAAGACTCTACCCAGTATTCTCTATCACATAAGGAAGAAGGAAAAGGGAAAGAGAAAGAGCAAGAAAAAACCCACAAAGTATTATAGGGGAAAAGAGAAAAAGAAAAAAATTCTACCTGCACAAAAGAATTTTGTTTTCAAAAATTTAGAAGTGCATGCACCTTCAGATGAAAAGGAATCAGGGCAAAAATTCTAGCACCATAGAAAGTCTGAATGTATGACACCATGAAAGGAACACACTAGCTTTCCAGCAATGGTCCCTAACCAAAATGGAAACTCAGAAATGACAGAGAAAGAATTCAAAGCAAGTATTGAGAGGAAGTTCAATGAAATTCATGACAAGGTTGAACATTAACATGAGGAAATTTATTTTAAAAATCCAGGAAATGAAGGAATAGATAAATATTTTAAAAAGAAATCAAGCAGCGCTTCTGGAATTAAAAAAACTCACTTAAGACATTTTAAAATAGAATGGAAAGTTTTCTCAATAGACTGGCACCAACAGAAGAAAGAATTTTAGAGCTTGAAGACTGTTCTCTTGAACTAACCCAGTGAGAGAAAAATAAGAAAAAAATCTTAAAAATCAAGGTCTTTAAGAGATATAAGATTATGTAAACTGGTCAAATCTACAACTTATTGACATTCCTGAGAGAGAAGTATAAAAAGTAAACATTCAGGAAAACATATTTGAGGAAATAATCCAAGAAAACTTCACTGATCTTTCTAGAGAGGTAGATATCTGGATATAAGAAATCCAGAGAACAGCTGTGAGATACTATTCAAAATGAATATCACCAAGGCATATAGTCACCAGACTATCCAAGGTCAATGCTAAAGAAAAAATCTTAAAGGCAGCTAGAGAAAGAGGTCAGATTACATACAAAAAGAGCCACATCAGACTAACAGCAGACTTTTCAGCAGAAAGCTTTCAAACCACAAGAGATGGTTGGCCTATTTCTCTTTTAAGCATTCTTAAATAAAATAAGTTTTGTCATCTCACCAAAGTAAGCTTCATAAGCAAAGGAGAAATAAAAGGTTTTCCAGACAAACAAACACTAAGGGAATTTGCAGTCCAGGCTTTATAAGAGATTCTTAAGGGGGTTCTAAACATGGAAATGAAAGAATGATACTTGATACCACAAAAACACACAAGTACATAGCCCACTGAATTTTTAAAGCAACCACACAATAGAAACTACAAAGGAAAAAGCTAACAACTTCATGATAGGTTTAAAACCTCACATATTAACATGACTTTTGAATGTAAAAGATCTAAATGCCCCACTTAAAAGGAACAGAGTTGCAAGTGGGAAAAAAGGAAATGTCCATTTACAATTGTCAAGAGACATATCCCACACAGAATGACAGAAAACCCGTAGACTCAAAGTAAAGGGCTGGACAAAGATCTATCGTGAAAACAGAAAACAAAAAAGATCAGGAGTTGCCCATCTTACATTTGAGAAAAGAGACTTTAAATGAACAACAGTACAAAAGGACTCAGAAGGGCATTACATAATGATAAAGGGTTTAATTCAACAAGAAGACTTAACTATTGAAAATGAATATGCACCCAAATTTGAAGCACCCAGATTCTTAAGTACTTTTGGAACTACCAAAATACTTAGAAAGCCACATAATAATAGTGAAGAACTCCAACATTTCATTGTAAGCGTTAGACAGATCATAAGCAGAAAGCTAAGAAAGAAGTTCTGAACTTTACACAACACTTAACTAATAGTATATAATAGAATACTCTACCTATCAAAGAATATACATTCTTCTCATACATAAAAATGGCAGCAATAGAAACTGGGGCCTAGTAGAGAAGGGGAGGGGTAAAGATTGAAAACTATTGAGTACTAAGCTTAGTACCTGGGTGATGGGATTGTTCATGCTCCAAATCTCAGTGTCATTTAAATATACCCAGGTAACACACCTGTCTTGTATCCCCAAATCTAAAATAAAAGGTTAAAAGAAACTTTAAACATAGCACTCATGGTATGACTCAGTAATTCCTTTTCCAGAAATCTGCCCACATGATATTATTATAAAATTAATGTCTGTGTCTCCTCTACCAATCAAATGTTGAAGCTCTGAGCCTTAATGTGATAGTATTTGGAGTTGTGGCCTCGGGTTGTAATATTGAGGCCCACATGATGGAATTATGGCCTCATAAGAAGATAAAGAGACATCTCTATCTTTCTTTTTCAGACTCTCTCTCTTTCTCTGCAAGCACAAAGCACTGAAGAAAGGTCATATGAGGACATATAAAGAGGGTAGCTCTCTGTAAGCCAGACAGAGAGTGCTCATTAGAACCCAACCATGCTGGTACTCTGATCCTGTAATTTCAGCTTCCAGAACTGTGAGAATATACAGTACATTGCTATTTTTTAAGCACCTAGCTATGATATTTTGTTATGCCAGCCTCAGCAGACTAAGACATGAAAACCTACGTTCACACAAAACTGTACATGAATGTTTATAGAGGCCTTATTAATAGTTACTAAAAAATGGAATGAGTCACATGTCCCTCAACTGTGAAATGAATAAACAAAATATGGTACATCCAAATCTAAACAAGGAATATTATTCTTCTACAAAAAGGAAAGGAATATTGCTACATGTGACAATATAGCTGAATCTGAGAAAGAATTCAGACTCAAAAAGCTACATAATATATGATTTTATTTACATGAAATTCTCTTAGAGTCATACTTTATGAAGAGATAACAGATCAATAAAGGCAGAGTCCAGAGCAAGCTTATCCAACCCATGGCCCTGGGCTGTATGAGGCCCAGGATGGTTTTGAATGCAGCCCAACACAAATTCGTAAACTTTCTTAAAACATTATGAGATTTTTTTTTAAGTTCATCACTATTGTTAGTGGTAGTGTATTGATGTGTGGCCCAAGACAATTCTTGTTCCAATGTGGCCCAGGGAAGCCAAAAGTTTGGATACCCCTGGATTCTAGAAAAAAGTGGAGGGGTTTACTAAAAAGAGGCATGAGAAACTCTTTGGAAGGATACACCTCTTCTGTGTCCTGATTTTGGTGGTAGCTATAGACTGTATACATTTGTTTAAAAAAAAAAATGACTAAATTGGGTATTTCAAAATATGACTATATGTAAATTACGGCTTGATTTTCAAAATGGAAGAAATATATATTCAGTACTTTATACAAATCCTAGCATGCGATTAAGTGCTCAATCAATATAATCTAATAATATAATCTTTATTGTTTTCATAAAAATGTATAAAAATTAGTAAAAATTTAAAAATCAAAAACATCAAACAATTCTAATAAACGTTTCTTTGCTGTCCTTTATTATCCCTTCAAAACTTTTGTGGCTCCAATATCTAAAATTAAAAAATAATATTTCCCTGATATACATTTTAACTCATCATTTGAATAAAGTAACATTATATTTTACTCTAGGCATGTAATCTGTCATTTGCATAAATCTGTTCTAAAATACATCAAAATAGAATGTGAACACCAGAGTACAATTAATTGTACATATGGCTTTTTTGAGTACATTTATTAGAAACAGTTTTCTTTCACCTTGTCAATATTCTTCCAATATGATCTTCATTACTAAATCAAAATACTCCTACAAGAATTAAGTTGCATGTTAAATCTAAAGTTCATTGAATACTATTTTTAAAATATTTTCTTTTCTTTCTGTCCTTATAATCTGTTCCCATAAATATCTTTTCAAGCAATATTTAGTATACTTAGTCTTTAAATAAAAGGTGGTGTAATTATCCAGGTAGTAAATCTTTTAAAAATGTGGCACATATCCTAAAAAGTCAGTTTAATTGTTTTTACTCAAAGTTTTAAAATCTTTATGAAATGTACGAAACCTCAAGAAAAATGTTCGAGGAAAAAAATTACCCACATTTTTATTCGTGAATTATAGTTTCTGTTGTGAAATCTATAGCAATACTAGAGGGATTTTTATTTTAACATTAAGCCTTAAGGTAAATATTAAATGTGTTTTAAATAGAAAGGTAACACACTAGCCAATTCCAAGAAAATTAAAAATATCATATTTTTTATTTTATTATCATATTTGATAAAATATTATACTAATTAAGAAAAAAAGTATGCTTTCCAGAAAACAAAAGTATATTGAATAATCAAGAAAAAAAGTTAGAAAATGAAATTTCACAAAAAGAAAAAAGAAGAAAAAGCATTAAAAGACTCAGGAAAGACAAAAGACACCAATTTGTGGGAAATATTTTCAAAATGAAATGGAAAATTTTCTAATTACTTATTAGCCATTTGATTTGCACTATGATGTAGAGATCCAGCAATACTGAGGAAAATCATGTTAGTATATCAGAAATGTCACTGGATCATGAATTAGGAGACATATAATCATGCTTCAGTTTCTTATTATGTTGTTATTAATTTTTTTAAATTTTACTTTATGTTCTGGGATACATGTGCTGAACGTGCAGGTTTGTTACATAGGTACACATATGCCATGGCTGTTTGCTGCACCTGTCAACCCGTCACCTAGGTTTTAAGCCCTGCATGGATTAGGTATTTGTCCTAATGCTCTCCCTCTCCTTGCCCCCCAGCCCCCAACAGGCCCTGGTGTGTGATATTCTCCTCCCTGTGTCCATGTGTTCTCATTGTTCAACTCCCACTTATAAGAGAGAACATGCTGTGTTTGGTTTTCTGTTCCTGTGTTAGTTTGTTGAGGATGATGGTTTCCAGCTTCATCCATGTCGCTGCAAACACATGAACTCATTCTTTTTTATGGCTGCAACTTATGTTATTTTGGAAGATACATACACACAAATACATAGATGATAGATAGATAGGTAGATAGATAGATGATAGATAACTACATATTTGATCTATTATGTCTATTTGATTGAAAATAGTTTGTGCATGTAAATGCAAATCATGGAAGACATCATGTTACACAGTCAAAAAAATATATTTACTATTCTGTGATAGGCATATTTTGGGATTTGTTCTCTGAGGATAGAGTCATTTCTAAAAACAGTTCCCTTCCCTCTCCCACCAAAAAATGAATTTGCCCCATAGAGTGAAGTCGACCATTTTCATCTTATGTTCCTATGTACCTAGGAACCCACCCTTCTCCAGATAATGTGTCCTGAAATTTGGTATGAACTAAGTTCGGTTATGGAGAAAATCATACACAAAGGAGGAAGAAAAAAACAGTTTATAAGGACACAAAATATATGAAGCAGAGAAAAACAAATGTTAGAATTAGTGAAATGTTAATGATATTTGCTGCAATCCTCTTCCATCTTCAAATTTATCCATTTTAGCTCCAGGTGGCAGCTTCCAGCAGGGTAGCCTTTGCTCAGGACACTTGTAAATATACGGTGGCCCTGCAACTGGGGGTGGCAGGGTTGCTGCTTGCCCCGCTACATCAGAAGACTTCTTTGCTTTCCTCTCCTTCCTTGCCTTAGGTGTTTCCTGTCACTTTTCTGTTGAATTCTAGCATTCTCTTAGGTGGTCTATTCAAAGTGTGATTATCTATTCACTAGTCCGGTTCTTCTTTGTGGAGGAGGTTGAGTGATGAGTGCCTCTATTCAACCTTCTTGAAGCCCTCCCCTCCTTTATTTTATTCTAATCATAGTTATTCTAAATTCTCTGTCTCACAATTTTAATATCTATTTCATATCTAAATACACTAATTTTGTCTTTTCAGACAGTGTTTTTCCTTGTCATTTGGCATGCTTTTAAATTTTTTATTGACAGCTGGCCAGATTGTATGAACTGATTTAAATAGATCTTAATTGTAAGAATTTATTCTAATTTGGCTAGTACTTGGGTTGTTTCATTTAATAAATCATGTATGTAATGTTTGCTTTAAGTATAAAAGCCTTCACTTTTTTCCTCCAGTGTCTTTTGTCTTTATCTCCTTCCTTAGCTTTGGTGCTTTCCTATATACTGCTCCTTAAAGAGAGACTGTCTAGTAACTCTCAGCAGTAATCCACTGGAATTAACCTGCAGCCCCGTTGGCATGGTGGTAAGGTGTTAGTAGGAGCATTCCTAAACTTTAGATTCAGTCTCAATTGTTTAGTGGCCTTATGTCTTGGGATTGTGACTTTCACAAGTGTTTCTGTTTTTTCTCCAGTGGTTTATCTGTTTTCTCCTCGGGCCCTACTCCTTTCTCTTGCTGTAACATTCCCAATCTATTTCTTCCAAGCCTTGTTTCCTAATAAGAGTGTTTTTCCTGTTGTTCTTTTGTTTCTTTACTCCTGGAAGCCTGGAGAGACTGGGGCAAGGAGGAATTCACTTTTCCCAGATGACATATGATATCAGAATATACTGTTTCTTTCAAATCTTGAAATTGAAGTTCCTTCTCTTAGAATGTTAAGTTTTGCCACTGATAAGAACACACTGATGTTTCACAATCGTTCCTTTTTCCCTTCTTCTGCCAGTGCCATGAAGGAAACTTTCTTAAATCTTCATTAGAAGGATCTGGTGGGGTTCTCAAAGTAAAAGCAACAAAAGACTGGGCTTCCCCAAAGACTGGCATCCCCTAAGCTTGAGGCCTCCTGGAGTTTCTCATTCTCATATCTTACCCTTCAACTGATTATCTCTCATGCTCCCAAGATAGCCTCTTGGTGGCACCAGATGAGTTTTAATATATATTTGATAAATTTCTCCATCTGAGTATTCATCATAGTACAAATTGTTTAGTATTTCAAATCAACATTGATAAGAGACTTTAAATACAGAGCTGAGATTATCTTTGTTTCGTGAGTTACCTGTCAACCACATAATCATGAAAAATCTGTAAAGATGGGACAAGACCAGAAAGCAAATCCTCAAGGGCTGTTTGGGCAACTTCAAGTTATTTTATCCAGTTTCCCTTCTCCATGGATTTTGAATATGTTTTACTTATTGCATGTCTGTTTAAGAGTGGATTGAAGCATTCCTTTGCTAAAAAGTCACAGCTCTAACAGTCTCAAATACTACTTGATTTTCTGTTTTCAGTTGTCTCTTCACCCCCAATCTTCTGGAAGGGTACAAGATCTAATGGCATTCTTAAGTAAAAATTATTTAAACTTTAATAAATCCTTGAGTTTCTTTGGCCAAAAGTACTCCAATTAGCTCCAATGGCCATACAGCACATTTCTTCAAAGACATATTAATTATTCTCCTATGAATT
Source organism: Homo sapiens (assembly GCF_000001405.40). Classification (NCBI taxonomy): domain Eukaryota; kingdom Metazoa; phylum Chordata; class Mammalia; order Primates; family Hominidae; genus Homo; species Homo sapiens. The sequence continues at coordinate 43,603,900 of NC_000014.9, read as the reverse complement.
GGTAACTGGAATGTCTATGCATCTAGAGATTTTTTTCTCTCTACTACACTATGCCCTGCTTTGTGCAGACACAGTGAAATATTGTAAAGAGCTCACGTACTATAGTAACCTATCATCAACAAGTTGAGATTGCCTTCCCTCTTATGACTTTGAATAAGCATATTTCATTCATTGACAGAGAAATCAGAGAAAAACTTTGATTCCTTTGGAAGCAACTTTATCAGACCCTATTAATAATAAGTGGAGTAGTGAAACTCCAGGGAGTCAATCCTTGAGTTTACATTTCACAGTGAAAGACACAATTCAGAAGTGAACACAAGTCAAAGGATCCTCAAATACAGGACTTAATGTAAGAACACTGATACATCCTAGGAAAACAATTAATGCTAATAAACACACCTGACTCAAAACCTTAGCAACAAGCAGATGACATCAGATAGTGAACTATGTCTATTCATGGTGTTAAACCAAGACTCATATCTAATACCTGCTTTCTTTCTTTTTTTTTTTATTATACTTTAAGTTTTAGGGTACATGTGCACATTGTGCAGGTTAGTTACATATGTATGCATGTGCCATGCTGATGCACTGCACCCACTAACTCGTCATCTAGCATTAGGTATATCTCCCAATGCTATCCCTCCCCCCTCCCCCCACCCCACAACAGTCCCCAGAGTGTGATATTCCCCTTCCTGTGTCCATGTGATCTCATTGTTCAATTCCCACCTATGAGTGAGAATATGCGGTGTTTGGTTTTTTGTTCTTGCGATAGTTTACTGAGAATGATGATTTCCAATTTCATCCATGTCCCTACAAAGGACATGAACTCATCATTTTTTATGGCTGCATAGTATTCCATGGTGTATATGTGCCACATTTTCTTAATCCAGTCTATCATTGTTGGACATTTGGGTTGGTTCCAAGTCTTTGCTATTGTGAATAATGCCGCAATAAACATACATGTGCATGTGTCTTTATAGCAGCATAATTTATAGTCCTTTGGGTATATACCCAGTATTGGGATGGCTGAGTCAAATGGTATTTCCAGTTCTAGATCCCTGAGGAATCGCTACACTGACTTCCACAATGGTTGAACTAGTTTACAGTCCCACCAACAATGTAAAAGTGTTCCTATTTCTCCACATCCTCTCCAGCACCTGTTGTTTCCTGACTTTTTAATGATTGCCATTCTAACTGGTGTGAGATGGTATCTCATTGTGGTTTTGATTTGCATTTCTCTGATGGCCAGTGATGATGAGCATTTTTTCATGTGTTTTTTGGCTGCATAAATGTCTTCTTTTGAGAAGTGTCTGTTCATGTCCTTTGCCCACTTTTTGATGGGGTTGTTTGTTTTTTTCTTGTAAATTTGTTTGAGTTCATTGTAGATTCTGGATATTAGCCCTTTGTCAGATGAGTAAGTTGCACAAATTTTCTCCCATTTTGTAGGTTGCCTGTTCACTCTGATGATAGTTTCTTTTGCTGTGCAGAAGCTCTTTAGTTTAATTAGATCCCATTTGTCAATTTTGGCTTTTGTTGCCATTGCTTTTGGTGTTTTAGACATGAAGTCCTTGCCCATGCCTATGTCCTGAATGGTACTGCCTAGGTTTTCTTCTAGGGTTTTTATGGCTTTAGGTCTAACGTTTAAGTCTTTAATCCATCTTGAATTGATTTTTGTATAAGGTGTAAGGAAGGGATCCAGTTTCAGCTTCCTACATATGGCTAGCCAGTTTTCCCAGCACCATTTATTAAATAGGGAATCCTTTCCCCATTGCTTGTTTTTCTCAGGTTTGTCAAAGATCAGATAGTTGTAGATATGATTTTTGTACATTGATTTTGTATCCTGAGACTTTGCTGAAGTTGCTTATCAGCTTCAGGAGATTTTGGGCTGAGACAATGGGGTTTTCTAGATATACAATCATGTCGTCTGCAAACAGGGACAATTTGACTTCCTCTTTTCCTAATTGAATACCCTTTATTTCCTTCTCCTGCCTAATTGCCCTGGCCAGAACTTCCAACACTATGTTGAATAGGAGTGGTGAGAGAGGGCATCCCTGTCTTGTGCCAGTTTTCAAAGGGAATGCTTCCAGTTTTTGCCCATTCAGTATGATATTGGCTGTGGGTTTGTCATAGATAGCTCTTATTATTTTGAAATACGTCCCATCGATACCTAATTTATTGAGAGTTTTTAGCATGAAGGGTTGTTGAATTTTGTCAAAGGCTTTTTCTGCATCTATTGAGATAATCATGTGGTTTTTGTCTTTGGCTCTGTTTATATGCTGGATTACATTGATTGATTTGCATATATTGAACCAGCCTTGCATCCCAGGGATGAAGCCCACTTGATCATGGTGGATAAGCTTTTTGATGTGCTGCTGGATTCGTTTTGCCAGTATTTTATTGAGGATTTTTGCATCAATGTTCATCAAGGATATTGGTCTAAAATTCTCTTTTTTTGTGTGTCTCTGCCTGGCTTTGGTATCAGAATGATGCTGGCCTCATAAAATGAGTTAGGGAGGATTCCCTCTTTTTCTATTGATTGGAATAGTTTCAGAAGGAATGGTACCAGTTCCTCCTTGTACCTCTGGTAGAATTCAGCTGTGAATCCATCTGGTCCTGGACTCTTTTTGGTTGGTAAGCTATTGATTATTGCCACAATTTCAGCTCCTGTTATTGGTCTATTCAGAGATTCAACTTCTTCCTGGTTTAGTCTTGGGAGAGTGTATATGTCGAGGAATTTATCCATTTCTTCTAGATTTTCTAGTTTATTTGCGTAGAGGTGTTTGTAGTATTCTCTGATGGTAGTTTGTATTTCTGTGGGATCAGTGGTGATATCCCCTTTATCATTTTTTATTGCATCTATTAGATTCTTCTCTCTTTTTTTCTTTATTAGTCTTGCTAGCAGTCTATCAATTTTGTTGATCCTTTCAAAAAACCAACTCCTGGATTCATTAATTTTTTGAAGGGTTTTTTGTGTCACTATTTCCTTCAGTTCTGCTCTGATCTTAGTTATTTCTTGCCTTCTGCTAGCTTTTGAATGTGTTTGCTCTTGCTTTTCTAGTTCTTTTAATTGTGATGTTAGGGTGTCAATTTTGGATCTTTCCTGCTTTCTCTTGTGGGCATTTAGTGCTATAAATTTCCCTCTACACACTGCTTTGAATGCGTCCCAGAGATTCTGGTATGTTGTGTCTTTGTTCTCACTGGTTTCAAAGAACATCTTTATTTCTGCCTTCATTTCGTTATGTACCCAGTAGTCACTCAGGAGCAGGTTGTTCAATTTCCATGTAGTTGAGCGGTTTTGAGTGAGTTTCTTAATCCTGAGTTCTAGTTTGATTGCACTGTGGTCTGAGAGACAGTTTGTTATAATTTCTGTTCTTTTACATTTGCTGAGGAGAGCTTTACTTCCAAGTATGTGGTCAATTTTGGAATAGGTGTGGTGTGGTGCTGAAAAAAATGTATATTCTGTTGATTTGGGGTGAAGAGTTCTGTAGATGTCTATTAGGTCTGCTTGGCGCAGAGCTGAGTTCAATTCCTGAGTATCCTTGTTGACTTTCTGTCTCGTTGATCTGTCTAATGTTGACAGTGGGGTGTTAACGTCTCCCATCATTAATGTGTGGGAGTCTAATTCTCTTTGTAGGTCACTCAGGACTTGCTTTATGAACCTGGGTCCTCCTGTATTGGGTGCATATATATTTAGGATAGTTAGCTCTTCTTGTTGAATTGATCCCTTTACCATTATGTAATGGTCTTCTTTGTCTCTTTTGATCTTTGTTGGTTTAAAGTCTGTTTTATCAGAGACTAGGATTGCAACCCCTGCCTTTTTTTGTTTTCCATTTGCTTGGTAGATCTTCCTCCATCCTTTTATTTTGAGCCTATATGTGTCTCTGCACGTGAGATGGGTTTCCTGTATACAGCACAGTGATGGGTCTTGACTCTTTATCCAATTTGCCAGTCTGTGTCTTTTAATTGGAGCATTTAGTCCATTTACATGTAAAGTTAATATTGTTATGTGTGAATTTGATCCTGTCATGATGATGTTAGCTGGTGATTTTGCTCGTTAGTTGGTGCAGTTTCTTCCTAGTCTGGATGGTCTTTACATTTTGGCATGATTTTGCAGTGGCTGGTACCGGTTGTTCCTTTCCATGTTTACTGCTTCCTTCAGGAGCTCTTTTAGGGCAGGCCTGGTGGTGACACAATCTCTCAGCATTTGCTTGTCTGTAAAGTATTTTATTTCTCCTTCACTTATGAGGCTTAGTTTGTGTGGATATGAAATTCTGGGTTGAAAATTCTTGTCTTTAAGAATGTTGAATATTGGCCCCCACTCTCTTCTGGCTTGTAGGGTTTCTGCCAAGAGATCCGCTGTTAGTCTGATGGGCTTCCCTTTGAGGGTAACCCGACCTTTCTCTCTGGCTGCCCTTAACATTTTTTCCTTCATTTCAACTTTGGTGAATTTGACAATTATGTGTCTTGGAGTTGCTCTTCTCGAGGAGTATCTTTGTGGCGTTCTCTGTATTTCCTGAATCTGAACGTTGGCCTGCCTTGCTAGATTGGGGAAGTTCTCCTGGATAATATCCTGCAGAGTGTTTTCCAACTTGGTTCCATTCTCCCCGTCACTTTCAGGTACACCAATCAGATGTAGATTTGGTCTTTTCACATAGTCCCATATTTCTTGGAGGCTTTGCTCATTTCTTTTTATTCTTTTTTCTCTAAACTTTCCTTCTCGTTTCATTTCATTCATTTCATCTTCCATGGCTGATACCCTTTCTTCCAGTTGATCCCATCGGCTCCTGAGGCTTCTGCATTCTTCACGTAGTTCTCGAACCTTGGTTTTCAGCTCCATCAGCTCCTTTAAGCACTTCTCTTTATTGGTTATTCTAGTTATACATTCTTCTAAATTTTTTTCTAAGTTTTCAACTTCTTTGCCTTTGCTTTGAATGTCCTCCCATAGCTCAGAGTAATTTGATCGTCTGAAGCCTTCTTCTCTCAGCTCGTCAAAGTCATTCTCCATCCAGCTTTGTTCCATTGCTGGTGAGGAGCTGCGTTCCTTTGGAGGAGGAGAGGCGCTCTGGTTTTTAGAGTTTCCAGTTTTTCTGTTCTGTTTTTTCCCCATCTTTGTGGTTTTATCTACTTTTGGTCTTTGATGATGGTGATGTACAGATGGGTTTTTGGTGTGGTTGTCCTTTCTGTTTGTTAGTTTTCCTTCTAACAGACAGGACCCTCAGCTGCAGGTCTGTTGGAATACCCTGCCGTGTGAGGTGTCAGTGTGCCCCTGCTGGGGGGTGCCTCCCAGTTAGGCTGCTCAGTGGTCAGGGGTCAGGGACCCACTTAAGGAGGCAGTCTCCCCGTTCTCTCTGCTGGGAGAACCACTGCTCTCTTCAAAGCTGTCAGACAGGAACATTTAAGTCTGCAGAGGTTACTGCTGTCTTTTTGTTTGTCTGTGCCCTGCCCCCAGAGGTGGAGCCTACAGAGGCAGGCAGGCCTCCTTGAGCTGTGGTGGGCTCCGCCCAGTTGGAGCTTCCAGGCTGCTTTGTTTACCTAATCAAGCCTGGGCAATGGCGGGCGCCCCTCCCCCAGCCTGGCTTCTGCCTTGCAGTTTGATCTCAGATTGCTGTGCTAGCAGTCAGCGAGACTCCTTGGGCGTAGGACCCTCCAAGCCAGGTGCCGGATATAATCTCGTGGTGTGCCGTTTTTTAAGCCCGTCGGAAAAGCGCAGTATTCGGGTGGGAGTGACCCGATTTTCCAGGTGCAGTCTGTCACCCCTTTCTTTGACTCGGAAAGGGAACTCCCTGACCCCTTGCGCTTCCCAAGTGAGGCAATGCCTCGCCCTGCTTTGGCTGGCGCACGGTGCGTGCACCCACTGACCTGCGCCCACTGTCTGGCACTCGGTAGAGAGATGAACCCGGTACCTCAGATGGAAATGCAGAAATCACCATCTTCTGCATCGCTCACGCTGGGAGCTGTAGACTGGAGCTGTTCCTATTGGGCCATCTTGGCTCCTCCCCCCGCCTTCTTTCTCATTTTGTGGTTTGCACTCATTCTTTTTTTCATTTTCTGTAGATTCCTGGTTGTTATCAACTCATAATGACCTGACTCTTTTTTCTTTCCTTTTAAATGTATTTGTTAGATAAAAACATGCACATTCTAACATCATTCTTAAATTATCCAAAAGAGTAGTCACTGCCCTCAGTTTTACCTACTATTGAATATGCCATCCATTGCCAAATCCCCATGAGAAAAAAAAATGAACAAATCTGGTTTCAACAAATAAGACCACAGAAAATTACAACTAGATAGTGTTATCACTTTCAACTGTTTGGATAAATGGCCTTAAACAAATCACCCTATGCTAGTGTTATTTCTTTAAGAAGAATAAACCATTATTATAAACATATTGATTAGAACATAGGTGATTCCAAATTTGAATTCAACAACCTTCATAGGGCAATAGACAAAATACTTGCCACCTGCAAGAAATTAATAGAAATTCAAATATGTAACCAAGCTCATATCAGTATTTGATTCTGACTTTGTGTTGTGAGCTACTCTTTTTTATCCTGGATCTCTAAGTGCCTCTAGCAGATATTACTTCCTCTGTTACAATTTAGGAGTCATATTCTGAGACTTATCTGAACACAGAGAACTTGATTCTACAAATCACTAAGTTCTTAAAACTCTGGCTCAGGTATAACCTAACTAGAGTCAGATAACTATTGGCCAAAACCAGGCCCAGGAAGCTGAAGGCTCACACCAGCTTTCTGTTGGCTCAGGTCATAATTCTGCCAGTTTTCACTCCTATACTTTGCTCTGAGCTGGTCAAAACCTGTTTCAGCATTCCCAAAACCAGGACACCCACCTTTTGGCTATCCTGTGTGCTGGAGTGGTCCAGGAATGTCTTAGCATCCACTTAGTATCTCACTGAAGCCATCCAAAAGAAGTCCTTATCTCACTCAGCACACAAGACAAGCTCTAGGCCAGCCCTCTGCTGCCTTTCCAGCTCTCTGTACCCTGGAGGCATTCCAGCAGTCTATTTTTAATATAAGCTCACAATTACTGGTTGCCATAGACCCCAACACAAGCCAATCTCTAATAAATTCCAAATAAGTTATCCAGGGCCTTCTAAATCCCATGGCATTACTCAATGAGTATGGACTTGAGCATTCATTTTACATCTCTCTCCAGAGTCTAAAGTTCCTCAGTACTCACCCAGCAAGGGCAAACATGGGTAGAGTAGCAGATACAGATCTTTGGGTTTTGAAGAACTGCCACGGCCTAGGCTCAATCTCTGCTCCAGTGTGTCCACAAAAGAGAGAATAGGCCAATCCTCCACCCTGCTTTTAGCCCTAGAGCTCTGAGTGGATACTCTGTGCCTGCCAAAGCCAAGGTGGTACCATCTGTGGGCAGGAGCGATAACTGAATGCTGGGGGTATTTGCTTCCTTTACAACGCCATTCTGCTTATGGGCTTAGAGGTCCATATATTTCACACCAAAGCCCTCTGTAATCAAGTCCATTTCCATTATCACCATGCTGACCCATCACTTTCTCCCCAGGGTACTAGAGTCAGTAGAATTTCTGGTGTGGGATGAATAATTGAAATTCTGGGTATAAAGAAGTACCCATCCTTCTAACAAATTAAATTTCACCACTTTAGAGAAGATCTGCTCAGTATACTGAATAATCAATTCAATCACTGCAGCCATGTGAATGGTTGTGTTTCTTTATTTTTGGTTTATAAGAGGCAAGGTCCTAAAATGAATACAATGTTACAGGGAGTGATTTTTGTTTCATTTTTGGTTTATAACAAATTAGTGCCTAAAATGATTGCAGTGTTTCTGGAAGTAATCTTATTAACACCACTGATCTGAACAAGCTTTGCAAGGAACTTGATGAAATACATAAAGTTAACAAAATTGTGTGGTGCCAACTTCTGATATGTTCTCCATATATCTTGAAGTTTTTTTGACTTGATTCTGCACACTTAAAAGGTGTGTTCTTTATTCATACTGATGATTAAATGCAACCAAAATACAGGTAGTTTCTATGAATTAGGAGTTCATAGCATCTTCTAAAGCACAGAATTCTGAATAGAACTCATCCAGGTGAGAAGCAGAACATTCTAAAGCAGCTTTCAGTTTCTTTAACTTGGAGTCTCCAACTCCAATTCAGAATTATTCTTCCTCATGCCAGTCTCCAGGAGCAGCCTGGCCCAGGCTTCAAGAGTAATACCTCAAGTCTACTTTCAAAAGATTCCCAAAGACTGTTTTTTCCCTCACTTGTTTTGATTGGATCTCATTTCAAAGAGGGCCTTTTCTAAGACTGCTGATGTTTTTTTATGGTAATCTGCTTAAGTTTCTAATGAAGTGACAAGAGTTTGCCATTCAGCCCTTCTTTGGCCATACAAGTCTGCAGCAAACTGATCCTTGCACTATTGTACTTTATTTCCAGCTAAATTCCTTTCTTTCTTCAGGTGTCTATTTTGGATGTAAGCCTCTGAAAGTTAACTCCTAAAGATTTCTGAGTTTAGTTACACTCGATTCTGACAGAATCTTAGTCAAAAAGCAAAAGCAATGTAGCAAGCTGTTTCCTCTGTTTCCTGCTGTTAGAAATTTCTGCCTCTGCTAAGTCACATGGAGCATCTACAATATTTTCTTCAACAGTAACTTCATAGCGAGAGAGTTCTAGAGTCATCTGGTTCTCAGTATCTGCCTATGTCCAGCATCATCACCAAAATATAACTTTCAAGTTGAGCCAAAGCTCCTTTCATATTCTGAAAATTGATACCTATCCAAAGGAAACTATTCCAAAAAATAGAGAAAGAGGGAATCCTCCCTAAATCATTATATGATACCCAGTATCACCTTAATACCAAAACCAGGAAAGGACATTACAACAACAAAAAAAAGAAAACTACAGATCAGTATCCCTGATGAACATAAATCTAAAAATCCTCAACAAAATGCCAACAGAATCCAGCAGCATATCAAAAAGATCATCCACCATGATCTAGTGGGTTTCATAACAAGGATGCAGGGATGGTTTAATGCAAGTCAATAAATGTGATACACTACATAAACAGAATTAAAGACAAAAATCATATGAGCACCTCAGTAGACACACAAAAATCATTTGATGAAATCCAGCATCCTTTTATGATTAAAACCCTCATCAGCTTCGGCATAGAAGGGACATAACTTAAGGTAATAAAAGCCATCCATGAGAAACCCACAGCCAACATTATCTTCAATGGGGGAAAAGTTGAAATCATTCCCCCTGAGAACTGAAACAAGACAAGGATGCCCATTTTCAGCACTTCTATTCAACATAGTACTGGCAGTCCTAGCTAGAGCAATCGGACAAGAGAAAGAAAATAAGGGGCATCCAAATTGGCAAAGAGGACGTCAAACTGTTGCTGTTCACCAATGATATAATTGTATTCCTAGAGAACCCTAAAGACTCATTCAGAAAGCTCCTAGATCTTATAAAAGAATTCAGTAAATTTTCAAATTCTGAAAACTTTGGACTTTTTTGTTGGCAATTTTTTTATTACTGCTTCAATCTCACTATTTGTTATTTGTCTGTTCAGGATTTGAAACATTCGAAATCAATGTACACAAATCAGTAGCACTACTATGCACCAACAGCGACCAAATGAGAACCAAATCAAGAAGTCAACTCCATTTACAATAGCTGCAAAAAAAAAAAAAAGACAAAGGAAAAACTGAAAAATATACCTAACAAAGGAGGTGAAAGATCTATAAAACACAGCTGAAAGAAATCATAGATGACACGATGACACAAAGAAATGGAAACACATCTCATGCTCATGGATGGTTAGAATCAATATTATGAAAATGACCATACTGCCAAAAGCTCTCTATAAATTCAATGGAATTGCCATCAAAATACCATCATCATTCTTCACAGAACTAGAAAAAAAAATCCTAAAATTCATCTGGAACCATAAAAGGGCCAATGTAGCCAAAGCAAGACTAAGCAAAGAGGACCAATCTGGAGACATCACATTACCACCTGACTTTCAGCAATACTACAGGGCTACAGTTACCGAAACAGCATGGTACTGGTCTGAAATAGGCATGTAGACCAATGGAACAGAACAGAGAACACAGAAATAAAACCAAATACAGTCAATGGATCTTCCACAAAGCAAACAAAAGCATAAACTGGGGAAAGGACACCCTATTTAACGAATAGTGCTGGAAGAATTGGCAAGCCACATGTAGAAGAATTAGACTGGATCCTCATCACTCATCTTTCACAAAAATCAACTCAAGATAAATCAAAGACTTAAATCTAAAACCTCAAACCTAAAAATTCTAGAAAATAACATCCAAAAAACTCTTCTAGACACTGGGTTATGCAAAGAGTTCATGAACAAGAACCCAAAAGCAAATGCCAAAAAAAAAGATAAATAAATAAGAATTAATTAAACTAAAAAAGATTCTGCACAGCAAAATAATCAGCAGAGTAAACAGCCCTCAGAGTGGGAGAAAATATTTGCAAACTATGCATCTGAGAAAGGACTAAAATCCAAAATCTAAAAGGAACTCAAATCAGCAAGATAAAATACAAATAATCTCCTCAAAAAGTGGGATAAGGACGTAAATCGACAGTTCTCAAAAGAAGATATACAAATGGCCAACAAACATATGAAGAAATGCTCAACATCACTAATTATCTGGGAAATGCAAATTAAAACCATAATACAATACCAACTTTCTTCAGCAAGAGTGGCCATAATTTAAAAATCAAAAAATAATAGATGTTTGCATGGATGTGGTGAAAAGGGAACACTTTTACACTGTTGTTGGGAATGTAAGTTACTACAACCGCTATGAAAAACAGTATGGAGACAGCTAAAAGAACTAAAAGTAGTTCTAACGTTTGATCCAGCAATCCCACTACTGAGTACCCAGAGGATAAGAAGTTATTATATGAAAAAGACACTTGCACATGCATGTTTATAGCAGCACAATTTGCAATTGCAATTACAAAAATACGGAACCAGCTTAAGTACCCATCAACCAATGAGTGGATAAAGAAAATGTGTCATATATATATTCCACGATATATATACACATGTATATATATGTCTATATATGTATACATATATATGTATATATATGTGTATATATATGTATGCACCTATATATGTGTGTATATATATATGTGTATATATATCTTGTGGAACACTACTCAGCCATAAAAAGAAAGGAAATAATGGCATTTGCCGCAACCTGAATGGAATTGGAGACCATTATTCTAAGTGAAATAACTCAGAAATGGAAAACCAAACACTGTACTCATTTATAATTGGAAGCTAAGTTATGAAGATGCAAAGCCATGAGAATGATATAATGGAATCTGGAGATTTGGGTGGGGGGAGGGTGGGAAGTGGGTGGTTGATAAAAGAGAACACATTGAGTTCAGTGTGCACTGCTTGGTGATGGGTGCACCAAAATCTCAGAAATCACCACTAAAGAACATATCCACATAACCAAAACCCACCTGTTTCCCAAAACCCATTGAAATAAAAAAAATAAAAATTAATAAATAATAAAAATGCTAGGATATATGTTTCAAGGGGCCTGGTTATACTCTGTATGTCGTAGCAGAGGTGGACATCCCCTAACATCTGGAAAAAGAAAACATCTTGCTACATTGATATTAGACTGGGATTTGGTCAGAGCCAGGTGTAACTCACCTCAGAAATCTTTAGGAGTCAACATTCAAGGGTTCCCATCAAAATAGACATCCTAAAAAAAGAGATGGATGGGACTGGATATGAAGTAGAACAATGCAAAAACAAATTTGCTGCAGAATTGTGTAACTATATGACAGATCTATAACAGCTCTTCACAAAGAACTTCCCTTTCCTTGGCTCTGCCACTGATTAACGTGGCAATTGCTTAATGTGGTTTAACTACTTCACGGTGGCAGTGGTGCCAGAGTCTGCAGGGCTTGGGTCAGACAGAGCAGGGAACCGCCTGATGGCTCCCAAATTTTCACCAATGCAGCAGCTCCCCAGGCCAGTGGCCTTGTTCTTGCTGTGCCCCTGCAGCACTTCCAGTTGTGCCTATTTCCTTTTTTTCTGTTTTTCTTTCTGTCATTTTACTTTACGTTGCTTCCTGGTTAAAATGTCCAGGTTTAATTTGGAAAAATGACCTTGCCAGTTGTGTGAAATTTATGAAAGCATGGTCTTTCTATCAGGTGGGATGTGGAAGTGAGGAAACATATGGAATGTACGGGATACTATGTTGTTCTGAAACTAATTGCATAATTCAAATACAAACGACTAATATTCATACAGTTCGAATCTCTGCAGGAGAAATTCTTCTTTTTAAGATTTATTGTTCTTTCTTGTGAGAAAAAAAGTTTCTTTTATTGCCACTTTTGAAGGAAAATTTCGATTTTAACTTGGTTATCACTGAAGTGTGACCTCGAGAGGGATTTGCCTCTGTAACAAAGGCAATGGGGACATTTAAGCTGTCACAATAGAAATTTACTCTCTGTTTTTCAAGTCCCTTCTGAAAACATTATCTACATGTTTTTCACATATTCTGTAAGAGGAAAATATCAATATTAAAATAGAATTGAAGTGACTTTTTATCTCAATTTAATTTCTAAGAACTCTGTTCAGTATTAACCAAAAGGTTTTTAGTTAATACTGTCTTAAGTAATTATTGTTACCAGCGTGCCACTATTTTATGAATAAAGAAAAGAAAACATAAATGTTACTTTCAGTCCTTACGTAATATAGAGTTTGTCTGGTATGCTGAGGAGTAGTAAATATGCTTTAGATAAATGAATTTGTATAGAAGACAATTATATGGATACAAATTTGACAAAAAAATAGTTTGTTTATAATTCGTAAGTTCAGCATTCCAAAGTAATCAAGGTTATCTGAAGGTAATTCATCAGTCAGAATTCTTAAAGAATGAGAAATGGACAGTAAATTGACAAAATCTGCATAATAAAATAATAAATTATCAGTTCACACACTGAAGAAGGTATGCATTCTGGAAAATTTTCCTATGCAACATTTTTACTATTTTTCTTGCCAGTTCTTTTAATGGTTGATTCACATTCCACATAGAAATAATATAAGTTGTTACTAAAAAATTACTCAGTAATTTGTCACCTCTTACCTATATATCTGTCATAGTTTCATAGAATATTTTCTCCTAATTATATATTTTTTCTGAAAAAGTTTTGTCATCAATTTTCATATAGGCAAATAAACTGAAAAAAAATTTTTTTAAGTAACAGGCAGCTTTGATGGAATTCATCACAGAAAGAATGAATAACTATGTATTTACGTCAGTTCCTCAGAGGAAAAAATGTTTTACAATTGTGAGTTATATAAATAATTATTTGTGTTTTTCAAAAAGCATAATCAGTTCATGTCCAGTGAAGAAAAGAAAGAGAAACACTTAATTTCAAAAAAAGCTATTGTTTGAGGACAAAGTGCAGATGCTGGTGTTTGAATTTGATCAACTCTCTAATAGAAGATGTATAAGAAAATTTCAAAGGCATGAGGAAATATTAAAATATGCTTAACTTTTACAAAATCAAAAAGGACCATGTAATTGAATTTCATCCTTAGGCTCCTGTAAAATGTTTTAACTACACTCCGTTTTCATGCAGTCTGATCACCTTAGACAAAGGTTGCTATTAACAACTATCATTCCATAACTCATTGCTATGATTATTATAAAGTAAGGACATTTGTAATGTAATCTAATCTTGCATTACTAAATATTTTCTCTGTTACAGGTTACTAGGTATCAAAATGCTTTTCAAGGTTTTCTAAGAAATCTTAGTTGGTCTTTTATCTTGCAGATTCACTGAACTACATAATTGAACAGCTCCTAGCTGCTATAGCTTTTACTAAAAGTGCAGAACTTCGGTGCATGCACAATGTGCTCAAACCTCACTCAATCTTATTTTCTTTATGCTTATCGTTCTCTCAATTTAAATTCATTTCAACTTGAAATATTGTGTGTAATATATCATCTATTTAGAATGAGGCAGGAAATAAATGAAAAAATAGAATCAAAGAACACTAGATTGATAGGGCTGGCAGTTTACATAACTGTAAAGGAAAATTACAGGAACTGCTTAAGCAGTTTGCATTGTTAACTCAGCTTTGGTGTGGATGCTTTCAGATGTCAGTTATTTTTACTTTAAGATACCTTGTATAGAAGGTAGTTCAAATCTTGCTGCTACTTTTCCACCAAAGCAATGCGTATTATTTTAAATTAATTTTTCATTCCTTCCGTTAGTTTCAGTAGTTCTTCTATTAATATATCATGGGCTTCAAACACAACTCTGTATCCAGGATTTAAATAATCATTATTTACCATCTTTATCATCTTCAGGATGTTCATGATTATGATCTTCATTATATGAAACATCATCACCAAAGCAAATAACAAAAATTAAACGTTGCTATGTACCAGTCACTGAATAGAAGATGTGCACATATTGTGTTTGCATTTATTTATTACAAAAACAAGAGGCTTTTTATTTTGCTCATTGAGAAAATGTGACTGAACAGTTATTCAAAGAATGTAAATAGTCATCTCAGCCTAAAGCTGATGTGGAGAATACAAACCCCGATTGAGAGGGTGCAGAAGCCAGTTTTAAGGCACTGTGTCGGTTTTATGGCACTCTGTCCGTTTCACATATTGGATATACAGACATATTCTTAAGAGAAAATCAGTGTTCCATGGCAGTCATTCTTTGTTTTTCCAACTATATTATTTTCACCTACTCTTCCTCTTCCTCATATTCCTTCCAGCGTATGTACTCTTGATTAGCTAAAGTGTTTCAATATTTGTTTGACTTAGATACAGATAAAATAGTTTCAAAATACAATAGTTGTAAATGAGTGTGAGCAAAGTAGAAGAAAACTTTCTCATCTTATGGAAGTGACCTACATAAATTCTGTAGTTAATAACATAGCCAATGCTTTTGTTGGTCAGAATGTGAATACTTTTTTGGAATAGATAAGGATTTTTGTTTTCAATCTTTCTATTCAATATTGTCCTTGAGATGTTAGTAAGTCCAATAATGGAAAAAATAAAAAATAGTATACGACTTAAAGAAGAAGAAATAAGGCAGTTTTATTTTCAGTACAGTGTTCTACAGAAGAAAGCCTAAGGAATATACAACATACAGTTAGAATTAATTTGTGACATTTACTAGTTATAGTATCACTATAGAAAATTCAAATGTATTTCCGTATACTAGCAATAAACAACTACAAAATTAAAATATCATTTACAAAACACTGAAGAATATGAAAAATGTAGGGCTAAATCTAACAGAAATATGTGTAAGACCTCTATAGTTCTACAGTAAGAACTATAAAACTTTGGTGATAAAAGCATTAAGATGTATATAATATTTATGTTATGTACAGTATTTAAGATGTATACAATATATACGGATTCAAAAACTCAATATTGTTAAAATTTCAATTGTTCCAAAAATTATAATTATTAGAAATCATAACATATTTCTAAAAAATATTGTTTTAGAAGTTGACAAATTGATTCTAAAGCTCATGTGAAAGTTCAAAGTTATAAAATAGCTAGAACAGTTTTGAAGAAATATTCTAAACATTTTGAGAAATGATACAACCTTATTTTGTAATCAAGAGGTAGTGTGGTACTGACATAATGATAGACTAATATATCAATTAAACCACAGTGAACAGAAATAAACGTACATATACAGGACCAACATATATTTTTAAAATGCACCAAATTCATTTAATATGGAAAAACCATTCTACAAATTATTCTGGAACAATTGGCTAGTCATACAAATAGAATGAACCACACACAATTTGAGACTGATTTTAGATATTAACCTAAAGCTGAAGCTACACATCTTCTACAAGAAAACTAAGTATGATATCTTTAAAATTTTGGCACAGTGAAGATTTCCTAGAGGGGACCCAGGAAACATTAGCAATAAACAGCTTTATTTCAAAAAAATCAAAACCGAAACAAAAGCTAGCTAAGGAACGTAAGTATGCAAAATGGATAAGCAAGCAACATAGTGGGAGAAAATAATTGTTATACACATGTTTTTGAAAATATGTGTATCAGATTAGATGAAGACTTTTCACAAATGAATAATATTAACCAAGAAAATTGGCATATTAGTTTAATAAAGATTTCATAAAGAATGCTAAACATTTAGCTAGTAAGTATATGAAGAAACAATCATTATTATTATCATGGGAATGCAAGTTTGAATGCAGTTCTTGTGGGGGAGGAGTCCAGCTACTGTTCAAAACCCTATGTGTGATTTTTTCAGGCTTGACCATAGACAGTTACAAAAGCTTTACCTGGCAGGCCTCTCTGGAAAAAAACTGCCCTCTCCACACTAGAACAGGTGCACATCCAGTGCATTGCAGTCTCTGAAGAGAGTTACAGATAAGGACTCAGGACTCAGCTGACCTCCCTCCCCACCACTCAACCCACCACCACTTGGCCATGCTGGTGCTTTTTTGCATTCCTAACTTAGGCACCACGCATCTACATTTCAAAGACTGTCCGAAGCCTTTGGCAAAGGCCTTTCTCAATCATTTTAAGTGAAGGAGGGAAACAGAAATCTTGCTGCTCTGACTTAGTACCGGTTCTCTTTTATTCCTAGTTATTCCACCCTGTTTCTTCCCCTGGCCCCCAAGGTCCATAAAACTAAAGGAGCCTTTTGTACAAGCCTTCCTCTGAAATGATAAGAACTGTTAATTGAAAGTAATAGCAAAACCTGCAATTATTTTGCACCAACCTAATACCTTTCCTCCCCACATCCTCCTCATATATGCTGATCCACCTGATTCTGGACTGTTGTGCCAGTCAATAGAGGGAAATGGGGAAAAGGGGTGTTGGTGCCTTTTCCAATTTAGCCTTTTGCTGATACTATTATAATAAGTAATTAAAGGTTTAATTATTACTTTTATTGTTGGCTTTTTGCTCTAATTGACTATCGTGATGTCAGAGGCATCCCAACCAAAGAGACATCATCTTGAATAAGGGCCAGATAAAGCCAACCCTGCTGAGTTACATTCCCAGGAGTTTGGGTATTCTTGGTCACAAGATGTTTATGGGTGAAGAAATGAGTTAATGACGCTAAGT
The DNA here is from genome assembly GCF_000001405.40 of Homo sapiens. Lineage (NCBI taxonomy): Eukaryota > Metazoa > Chordata > Mammalia > Primates > Hominidae > Homo > Homo sapiens. The sequence continues at coordinate 43,586,734 of NC_000014.9, read as the reverse complement.
AACAAAATAAAGACTCAGTACATATCAAAAAGATTATGCCACTTATTCTTGCTTCAGGTGATATGTTAGGCTTAATTCTCATTAAGAAAGTTAGTTTTACTTATATTTTTAGTAAAACACTGATTTATCTAACAGTTAATTATTAGATACATCCTGTTGCCCTGCACTGTGTAATCCTTGGTCATAGGGATGAACAAGATCTCTCTTCATGGAGCTTACGGACTTCTGAAGAAGACAGTCATAAAAAGCATCTGTTAAGTGTGCTGAGTCTTATGGCAAAAAAAGAGAAATTTTGACTGCAAGAATATTATTTCAAGCAAAAAATGCTTCCTGAATGATTCTTCAATTTTGAGTGAATAATTGAGAATTCACAGACTAATAAAAAATATTATTTCATGTTCTTTAGTGCTATACCAGAATAGTCTGTATTTCCCCTTTTAAAATAATAGATCCCAAATGCAATAAAATCATAATTACTATAATTGTTATAACAATTATTTAAAATTTTAAAGATTATTATGCAGGCACCATTAAGTATTTATGTGAATAAACTATTTTTCTCAAAAATCATTCGGTCAGGTGGATGCTAGTGCTCACACCACTTACAATGCAATTCCAGTTCTATCTATAAGTTACCAGAATTTTCATTCTTAAAAAAATGTGTTCACTCTTAATAGTATGTAGATTATTAAAGTAGTATGTAAATTAAGCATAAATTAATCATTTTAGGCAGATATGAAAAGATTTTAAGGAATAATTATCCATTTGACCAACTTTTCAAAGAAAATTGGTTTTCAAAAAAAATTTTAGTAATACATGCAAATAGATTGTGACATAACAAAAACAAAAACATTGTTATAATGAACATTATGATTCTTTATCATAAATTTTATTTTGTTAGGAAAACATAATTTAGATACAAATTGTTGGTGACATTGTCTTCTTTCTACCCTTTCTTACCAAGATGAAGTACTTTCTCTAAGCACATACACAGTAATGACATTTTTTAGTTTCTTTATTCATTTAACAGTAGAATGACTTACCTGGTTATTAAAGCTGGAAAAAATAACTGGGTTTACTCGACAGGGCTACCTCTTCATCTTTGCAATTTATTTTCCAGTTTTGGAAGGCCTGCCTTAATTTCCAATGCCCATAACTGGGTGGGTAAGTCAGCTTACTTCTGGAGTCCAGTATGAGAACTGCCATGTCATTTAACCCAGGATATAGTATGAGCGATTTTGAATATGTTGATCTTTTTCTCCCATTTCTTTGTGTTATTTTTATTTTTTAAAAAGCTTCTGTGAAAGAGATGCTATCCATTAGAACTTATTGGACAACTAATGTTTACACTGTTTTTACATAATTATCTGTTTTGAGATCCATTTACTAAATAATATATTATTAAATTATTTGGCTGGGCACAGTGGCTCACGCCTGTAATCCCAGCACTTTGGGAGGCTGAGGTGGGTGGATCACGAGGTCAGGAGATCGAGACCATCCTGGCTAACCCGGTGAAACCCTGTCTCTACTAAAAATACAAAAAAAAAAAAAAAATTTAGCCAGGCATGGGGGCGGGCACCTGTAGTTTCAACTACTCAGGAGGCTGAGGCAGGAGAATGGCATGAACCCGGGAGGCAGAGCTTGCAGTGAGTCGAGATCGCGCCACTGCACTCCAGCCTGGGTGACAGAGCGGGGCTCCATCTCCAAAAAAAAAAAAATTAAGTTATTTGGGGTATTGTATCTCTGAAGCAGTTTAAGCCAATAAATCATCAAAGTTATCTTAGCATAGACCAACTTGTATTGCTATCATGCCACATTACATATAATAATTATAGTTTCAGTCGATTTTATGATATGATAAAAATAAAAGTGAAAATAAAGTGAATATTTAAAATTTTAACCAAGGCATTTATGTTTGAGTGGATAATAAATTTATAGCCAGCCTCTCCAATCTAAGTATTTGTTTTGTCTTTATTGTTATTTTTATTTTATAAAATCTCTATATTGCAAAGTATCAAGTAACCCAGTATTTGAGGCCAGGTGTAAATGCAAAAAAAGATGGGTGAATCTCAATGCCTTACAAATTACAATAACAATTTGAAGCTTTCATAAGTAGGTTAGGGAAATAAATTATTCACTGACTAATGTTCACAGGAAACCCTTATAAATTAGATCCTGATTGAAGGGTTTTTTTTCCTCCTAAAAATGATTAAAAATCAGCTTTTATAAAAATTTCAATTAGCACTTCTACTTTATGATGTTAATTCCTGTGTCATTTATGAAGCCTTATTTGGGAATATTCTAATCTTACAATTGATCAAATCTTCTCTTAATAAAAAGACCTCAAGATTTATTAAACATTCTCGTGATGAGGCAAATTAAGAAATTTTTTTACTTAAACAAATGGCATATATTGATTTACTTTGCATAACACATCGTTGCTTTAAACAGCAGGGGATGGTTATTTAAGGAGCTAAATTGCTCTGCAGGGTATAGATGGAGCAGGCAATGAATGGCTTCGATCAAGCCACCCACATTCTGCTGAAATGTTTGTGACTGTGGGATTATCAATACTATTACCTAAAATATGCTGCTAATTGTAATCCCTATTCAGAATCCAGGATAACTTAAATGACTTTTGACTGGTAAAGGCTTATAGCAGTGTTGAGACTCTATAATTTAACTACATTAAGGCCTCTCTTTGTTAATATGAAAAGATAGCTAACTACATATATAATATATATCATATATATAGTGTATACATATAGTGTATATATAGTGTGTATATATATAGTGTGTATATATATTGTGTATATATTGTGTGTGTATATATACATATACACACACACACCTATGCACAAACAGAGACATCAAGCATTATAATTCAGACATATTTCTTATCATGTCTGGGAGATTTAAGGTCTCTCAGATACAGTAAACTCTTAGGCTTACTTATACATAGGGCCTTTGTATTAAGACTAAGGAAAGATAAAATTTAGAGGTAAGAATCCAGGCAAAAGAGAATTAACTCAATTGTGAACTCTCATTATCAGAAGCAATAATTTGTCATAGAGCATATTTTCTGTCACACCAGTCATTACCAGGGTCAGGATCCTGAGTGTCCACCTGAGTCTTAGGGGAAGAGAGTGCTATAAGTAACTCATGAAGAACTGAAGTACATACTGCCCTACTGTTACAGGAAAGGGATCTTGATCCAGACCCTAAGGGAGGGTTCTTGGATCTCGCAGAAGAAAGAATTCAGGGCAAGTCCACCGTGCAAAGTGAAAGCAAGTTTATTAAGAAAGTAAAGGAATGGCCACTCCATAAAGCAGCCCTGTGGGCTGCTGATTGACCATTTTTATCATTGTTTCTTGATGATATGCTAAACAAGGGGTGGATTATTCATGCCTCCCCTGTTTAGACCATATAGGGTAACTTTCTGACATTGCCATGGCATTTGAATACTGTCATGGCACTGGTGGGAGTGTAGCAGTGAGGAAAACCAGAGGTCATTTTCATCTCCATTTTGGTTATGATGGGTTTTGGCCGGTTCCTTTACTGCAAGCTGTTTGCTCAGCAAGGTCTTTATGAGCTGTATTTTGTACCAACCTCCTATCTCATCCTGTGACTTAGAATGCCTTAACCATCTGGGAATGCAGTCTAGTAGGTTTCAGCCTCATTTTACCCAGCTCCTATTCAAGATGGTGTTGCTCTGGCTCACACACCTGTGACATTTCTTCCCTCCATTTTGTAAGAGAACCAGAGGGACTAAAATTCATCTTCTGTGACTTCTTCAGGCTGAATAGGGGCGATGATATTCCTGCCTAGCTATGAGAGTCTCTTGCATTCAGGGTAGAGGTGAGCTCAGTCAGAAGGCAGCAGTATAGTGAGGTCCATTCATAACTCTTGAGTTTTGACAAAAGGGGATTATCTGGAAGATTATTAGTAAGTGTTTAACTTAAGAAAACATTCAGTAAGCTTGTCCTGTATTCCTACACAAAGAGTATAAAAGCAATATATTCCATAAGAGTAAAGCAAAATAAATAAAGTTATTCCAAGTAAACTAAATTTGAAGGCTTTTCATGAACTGGGCAACTGTTGGAACTAAGCTGATATTGGGTTGTTAGGTGATTGTAATGTGCCCAGAATTAGAATACTGATCCAAATTTTTACATAACTTACCCTCTTGTTTCTTCTGAGCAGCAGTCAGAGATCACTGGTTGGTTCACAGGAATAAGCAGGGTTATTCTAAATTGCAGAAACAAACTTAAAAACAACTAATGAGCCTAGAATTTAGTAACAAGTGTACCATAGTTGTTAAAACATAATATTTCTCTCCCCAGTTTCCCATTTTTACTAAAAACAAATCATGGTAAGACTAATTTGCTTTATTATACTTGGCCTGATTATTTGTATAAAGTGCAGCAAGAATAATTATTTTTCACATAGGCTCTTTTTAAATTGGCTTTGTTGGAACTCTGTTCCATAGAAGAAATCTTAAATATGACTTTTTAAAGCCAAGTTCAGCCATGGGTTTGTACCCTCAAATACCTATGAGTTGTGTAAATTCCTCTCCTCTTGTGGGGTCCCAAGATAACTTGGGACTCTTGGACCTGTCAGAAAGTGAAATTCTTTACTTACCACAGGTCAGAAACCCTGTACAGGGACTGTTGCAGACAAGGTCTGAAGCCAATTTTCCAAGGGGCTTTTATTGGCTTTATAAGTCAAGTTTGATTCCTTATAGGAAAGCACAGCATTCCATTTAAAGTCTTGGTAAAATAACCAATTTCTCCAATTGTGTCCTGTTAAAAAGAAAACAGATTCTTATTGCACTTATGCAAATAACTATATTGCCATAAATTAAGAATGCTCACAAATAGTTTTCAAATTTTTGAGAAATCAGGTAGAGAGAAACAAACATGCTCCAAATTTTGTTCACAGGAGTATACTTTACTCCATTGCTAAAATCTGAAAATAGCTTAAAAGAAAAGTTTCCTTGACTCTGAAAAACAAAACAAAGGATCAGCAGCATTTTAAGCAAAATTTAAAATATTACTTCAGTTTTCTAATGGTTCAGTTAATTCAGTTAACTCCTGTTCCGTTTGGTTTTCATGAATATTACAGCTCTTCCTGAGAGTTCTGAATGCTGTTTCCTCTATTTGAATGTTACAATTTCCAAAGTTATTAGAAATCTGCATTTAAGAACACCTGCTAGAGTTGTACAGTTGATTATAAACCAACTTCTAAAGAGGATTAAAACAAGACAACAATTGTCTGTGGATGCTAAAAAGTTTTAGGACAGCCACTATTAAAGCACAATTGATAAGGGATAAGGAAATTTGGTTACTTCCATGGCACAAAAAATTTTACATAACAATTATAATTATTAATAACATACACTGAGATATATCAGAATTATAGGAGTTTCCCATAACTTTGGAACATATACCAATAACACATTTATTAAAATATAGTCCAAAGAGAGCAAAACACATTCATATTTCACATTTGATAATACTTCCTGTATGATTTTTATACCAAATAAGACAAATTTCACCTTTATGTTAGTGTACTATTGAGAGGTGAAGCCAGCTGGACTTCCTGGGTCAAGTGGGGACTTGGAGAACTTTTCTGTCTAGCTAAAGGATTGTGAATGCACCAATCAGCACTCTGTAAAAATGCATCAGTTGGTTCTCTCTGTCTAGCTAAAGGATTGTAAACGCACCAATCAGCACTCTGTGTCTAGCTAAAGGATTGTAAATGCACCAGTCAGCACTCTGTAAAATGGACCGATCAGCAGGATGTGAGCAGGGCCAAATAAGGGAATAAAAGCTGGCCAACTGAGAGAGCAGCGGCAACCCGCTCAGGTCCCCTTCCATGCTGCGGAAGTTTGTTTTTTCACTCTTCACAATAAATCTTGCTGCTGCTCACTCTTTGGGTCCGCACTACCTTTAAGAGGTGTAACACTCACTGCGAAGGTCTGCAGCTTCACTCCTGAAGTCAGCAAGACCACGAACACACCAGAAGGAAGAAACTCCAGACACATCTGAACATCTGAAGGAACAAACTCCAGACACACCATCTTTAAGAACTGTAACACTCACCGCGAGGGTCCACAGCTTCATTCTTGAAGTCAGTGAGACCAAGAACCCACTGGAAGGAACCAATACTGGACACGCTATTAATGATAAACCCAATTTTTAATAAAACTTTATAGACATATTTATGCAATTTTAATGTTTAACCATAAGGTAAGATCCTTACAAATCTTTTATAACCCTTTAATTTTTTTGTATATGAAAGAGCAGATCAGTGCTCTAAGAAAAACCTATTGTGTTTTTATTCCAATGTTTAATTTACAGAAAAACTGAATAATACCTCTTTAACTTTAGCCAGTATGTTCACACACAGAATCTCTTACAATCAAATTTTATAAACCTTTCACAACTTGTTTAAATCTTTAGTTTTATTTTTCTTACTTAAAACAATTCTTTAACACTTTAGGCAAAAAAAAAAAAATCCACATTTTCATGACTTCTTATAATCTTTCACCAAAAACACTTTTACTATCTTCACATACCTTGCATATAAAATTGTTTGTTTAGTAGTTTCAATTACATGTTATAATGTTAACTCTTAGCAACTTTTAATTTTGGTGAAAACCTTGGTAAGTTTGAGATTTTAATTATGTGCTAGGGGTGGAGCCTAGCCTAGGACGCACCAAGCAGAAGTGCAGATAAACCTGACTCTCCAGGATAGCTAGGGGTAGTGGCTAACTCCAAATGTCCCCAGGCCTTACCCAGCTGTAAAGCAGGCAAGTTGTACAGTAAGAGTCATAGTGGCATATTATGAAGCATTTAGGAGGCTTAACAACCTTTGAATTGTACAACATTTATTGTATAAATCACCTTTCATAAACCTTTTTATGACTCACAGAGACGATCTGAGACATTCTTAGACATTCTGACTTGCCCTAAACATCCCTCCTTTTAAACAACCAGTCATTTTACTTTAGAACAATAATTTACCATACAAGATCTTTTCTTATATAAAATCTCTTTCTTTATAATCTTCTTTGTATAGCTAGGGGGCGTGGCTAATTCTACATGTCTCCAGGCCTTATCTAGAATCTAACGGCTTTAAGGTAGGTAAATTGAACCATTGTTAAAAGTTAAAAAAGCAGTTTATGACCTTAAAGCATTTAGCAAACTTAATATCTGACCTTTGTAATTTATACTAAATGTTTTTATTTTATCAATAATTTTAAAGGTGTTTTTATTTCCCAAAGATTACTAAAGTTACATGAACTAAAAGACATTACAGCTTTTATTTTGCTTTTAAAATATTTGATTTAAGCACTTATTTTTGTTTAAGCCAATTAATTAGAGCTGTTTTATATAAACATTACACAGAACACATATATGGCTACACAGAAAGACCAAAGAAGATTACTACAGTAGTTGTAAGATTTTTTGTTTGCTAGTTTTTAAGCTTCTTAACTGGATTACTGGCTTTAGGGTGGAGCCCTTGGAAGAACAGGGCCAGGAAAGGGGTCTGTGGTGCCTCCTGTTTTTCCCAAAGAGTCCAGGCTGTTAGAGCTTGAATATTCACTTTTAATTAAACTGATTTTTTAACCATAGCATTCTTTAATAAAGTGCTTTTAGAATTTCTTATGCCTGGCTCACGCTTGTAATCCCAACACTTTGTGAGGCCGAGGTGGGCGGATCACGAGGTCAGGAGATCGAGACCATCCTGGCTAATACGGTGAAACCCCATCTCTACTAAAAAATACAAAAAATTAGCTGGGTGTGGTGGCGGGTACCTGTAGTCCCAGCTACTCGGGAGGCTGAGGCAGGAGAATGGCGTGAACCTGGGAGGCAGAGCTTTGCAGTGAGCCGAGATTGTGCCACTGAACTCCAGCCTGGGCAACAGAGCGAGACTCAAATCTCCAAAAAAAAAAAAAAAAAAAAAAAAGAATTTCTTTTGCCAAACGGCCAATATTTTTGGCTTTGAACGTTACCAAATGTATCCTCCCAGGGGCTTAGAGAAAGGAAATTTTAACAGTCCATGGAAGAGAATAGACAAGGTCACACAGATATTAAACCAGAAAAGACTTACTTTCTAGGTGGGGAATTGAACCTGGACCACCGTATGAAAGTGTGAAACCTTACCTACTGAGCTACAGCACAGGGTAGTTTCCAATTCCTTTCCTAGAAGAAGCCTAGAGTAGTTAATTTTGACCTTGCAAAGCCTTTTAACTATTTAATGTGATTTTTAGAGCTATGACACGAACCCTAAAATTTATGTTCCCTTGAAGGCGGAGACCAAAAGAAAGTACCACCACATCGTTAAAAGGTCAGGCTTCCAAGGACATAAAATAAAGTGGAGATTTCATTCAGTTTTTTGGTTCATTTCAGGGACCTGCAGCCACGTTTGTTACTGACCAGCTTTCTGGGTTGTTTTGAAAAGTGGGCTTACAGGTGTTCTAAGCCTGTGTTTTATCCTAAGGTACCCCTTGACACAGAAAAATGAATTCATAACACAAAATATACTAGTTTAAGACTAGCCTTAGAATTCTTTTTCACATTAATCAAAACTTTACAGAGGAGATAAATACTGATTTTTCCTCCCATTTATTCAATCATTTCCACAGAGAGAAGCAAGAAATCTGACTGGTAAGAAATTCTTACCCTTTTGCTGGCATGCCAGGCTTCTGTGTTCTCTTTCTCTGAGCAGCCCTAGTGGTCTGGCTTGTAGCACCATCGCCCTGGAGGCCAAGCCACATCATTAAGGAAACATTTTTTTTTCATTCTGGCCAGAACAAAATACATGTGATAAAACATAGACATTTAGCCACTCTACTTAGCACCCAATATCAAACTGGCAAGGCTTAAATTTGCCCCCAGATGGGCCCCATCATCTTTAATCCAACCTCCAACTTGGAGTTTCAATATGTGGTCTCTGGGCAATATGGTTGCCCTAAGTAACAGAAAAGATACGAAAGTAAAAGCAGAGGAGGAAAGCATTGCCTGTGGCAGGGTGGGGAAAGTGAAGAGCTTAGGAACTAGAGAAAAGGCCCACTCATTGCAGCTGACAATGAAAAGCTCAGGTGGCCACTTGTCGGTAGCAAAGGACTTTTTCCAGCAGTCTCATCAACTCTCACGTTTCCCCTTTTAGGGAAGAAAAAGCTGCCCATGTCCCATGATCCTGTACATGCCTAATCTTGTCACCCACAGCCATCAGCAAAGAGTGAAAGGCAAATTAATCCAAAGAGAATAGCAGTTAGCATCCTATAGTGCCAAACCTGTTCTTAACCAAGAGTGGCTTCACTGAGAGGGGCCTCTAACCACCTAAATCTTAGAAGGGACACTAACCCTCCCAAGTTGGGCCTCTAACCTAAGGTCGGTCAAGCGTCCTTGCCTTTTATTAAGAGGGGTTTCTAACCCACTCTGTGTTGAGAGAGACTCTAACTTCCCTAAAATGGGCCTCTAACTCAATTCTATTATTTACCTGGGTACCCCACCACTTACCCAAAGTCATCCAGTCAGTGCTGCCATCTATTTCCTTTGGGTTGAGGCATCTCCTCAGTATTGACCCTTTGGTGGTTTGCAAGAAAGATGTTACTGGACCCCACCACTTACCCAAAGTTAGCCTTTGGGTCAGGGTTTCCTCAGTATAGTCCCTTCCTGGTCACCAGAAAGATATTACAGGAAAGAGATTCCAGTCCAGACCCCAGGAGAGGGTTCTTGGATCTCGCACAAGAAAGAATTCAGGGCAAGTCCACAGTGCAAAGTGAAAGTAAATTTATTTAGAAAGTAAAGAAATAAAAGAATGGCTACTCCATAGACAGAGCAACCCTGAGGGCTGCTGGTTGCCCATTTTTATGCTTATTTCTTGGTGATATGCTAACCAAGGGGTGGATTATTCATGCCTCCCCTTTTTAGACCATATAGGGTAAGTTGCTGATGTTGCCATGGCATTTGTAAACTGCCGTGGGAGCTGGTGGGAGTGTAGTAGTGAGGACGACCAGAGGTCACTCTCGTCACCATTTTGGTTTTGGTGGGTTTTGGCCAACTCCTTTACTGCAACCTGTTTTATCAGCAAGGACTTTATGATCTATATTTTATGCTGACCTCCTATCTCCTCCTGTGACTCAGAATGCCTTAACCATCTGGGAATGCAGCCCAGTAAGTTTCAGCATCATTTTACCCAGCTTCTATTTAAGATGGAGTTGCTCTGCTTCACATGCCTTGACACTACTGTGGGACTCGTCCAGTGAATCTGAAGCCAAAAGTAAAGGGTGTTCTCCCCATCCCTTTATGCTGCCTTGGAGTGTTAGCAACATCCCATGTGGGAACTGTGCTGCACAGCAGAGCAGGAGAATGAATGATTATGCAGATCAGAGGAGAGAGTGGAGGAGACCAAGTGGTCCTCGAAAGCCCAGCAGAGTCAAGCAGCACTGAGGTACCCAGTGAAGAAGCAACTCTAATTTTGTTTTACGCTACAGAGCTGCAACCACACTTTGTAGGATAAATGCAATAATAGTAATGATAAATTTTCATTCAGATTGGGCACATACACAAACACTTGTAAAGCACCTTCCACAAATCTCAGACATGCTATCAGAGGACATCTTAGGTGCCAAGATTCTGCATTCCATAGGTGGACACTCAAGACAGTGAAAATGTCCGTCATTACTTTCCAGGGAGGTAAGACCAGAAGAACTCTGAGATATGCATATTAAAACCATGTAGTTTATTAACAGCTAATAAAAATAAACATAAATCAGAAAGTAGGTAAACATTATTTTTATTTCTTATAATTAGTACTATAGTATGTCTTCATAAGACTTTATATGTGTAAATTATTTATTTGTGAGAGAAGAATTAACTCATGTTCATGTGTGGCCCCTATTTATGTTCTCTTTTTTATTTCCCTTTTTTTATTATATATTTCTTTCAGTTTCATGAGACTATCTGCAGTGATATGAACACACATGTGGCCCAACATACTTTGAAATGAGAAAAACCTATATGATTTCAGATTTTACCAATTTGAATTATTATAACTGTATACACCTCTTTCCTGTCCAACTCACATCCAATGGCTAATTCTGCAGAGGTCCAATAAATATAGCCAGTTATCACCTTTTAATCTTTCCCTGACTTAGTTAAATCTCCTATGTTTCTAAAAATCGTTAATTCACTTGATATTTCTGAGGATTAAATAAAATAATGTACATAGAGTGCTTTTATCAATGACCAACATATATCAAGTGCTTGATGAATGTAACTCTTGCTTCTTTTGCTCCTGAGAATCTGCCGTGAACTAATTTTCTGGCTTTTCACAATTATAGTCAATCAAAATGCACATATATATATTTCAAACCTAATTCACATTCTGGAATTTATCTTGACAGTTAGAGGCTTAATGTAAGAAAATCTAGGTTAAAAGCTCAATAGTTTAGGATTAAATTTTTCCTCATTCAATTCTCAATTTCATCTTTTACCTTACTGTCATTAAGTGAATATGTGTTTCTTATGATTTCTGTGTCTCATCCCACAAACCAAGGTTTAAGGTTCCTGCTTTTCCTCACATGACTTTGATTATCATAAAGATAATGTCAATCATCTATTCAGTGACAATATCTACATATAAACTTTCACATAATCCTACAGCAATAAAAAATAAATTTAGTAATATTACTTTTAATTCAATTTCACAGAAGAGAAAATCGAATTCAGAAAGTAACTTGTTTGTGGTCAATCGACTGTGAGTGACAGTATTTGATTGTTAACTCTGGCTCTCTGGCTCCAGAGCCCTTACTCATCACCACTGTGCAATGCTGCTTCTCATAAAATGCTTAGCATAGTCCTCGGCACTTTAAGAAACCATAAATGAATATAACTACCCTTTTCCCCACTCACTGTTTAGATGTCAAGTTTCTCCATTGCATTACAGTCTTTCTGGGTTGATAACCTACATTTGATTTGCCAGTGCTCCTTGCTGCTTGATGACCTTACCTGAATTGACTTCTACTCTTTCCTTGATGCCAAAATCCTCACCAATATTATTATATATTTTCTTGAGACACGGTGTCACTCTGTTGCCCAGGCTGGAGTGCAGTTGTGCGTTCTTGGCTCACTGCAACCTCAGCTTCGTGGGCTCAAGCGATTCTCCCACCTCAGCCCCCCAAGTAGCTGGGATTACAGGTGAGCACCATTATGTCTGGCTAAGTTTTGTATTTTTTGGTAGAGGTGGGGTTTCACTATGTTGGCCAGCCTGGTCTCAAACTCCTGACCTCAAGTGATCCACCAGCCTCAAGCCTCCCAAAGTGCTGGGATTAAAGGCATGAGCCACTGCACCCGGCCCCGAATTTATTATTTCTTAAACACCTGTCCAACCACTAGAGATTTGCCTCTAATTTGTATCTTTTACATATATACCAAGAGCTAGTTATGTCTTTTCATGTCATCATAGGCTGGCCTTTCTGTTACTGAAAATGTTTTCTTTATCTATCCAAAGTTGTTATTTTATCTATGCTTAGGATCACAACCACCCTTGCCTTTATCAGACTCAGTTTTTGGGATTGTTTTTGGCAGACAGCCTTCACCGCTCAGTGACTGCCTCAGTTCTAGAGATCCACCTTACTCAAAAGTACAGCCCTTTCCTGCCAGCTCATATCAAATAACTCATCTGTTCAGATGGCTTTATAGATTCTATTTACAAATAGATTTCTTAAAATCTATTTATAATATCTGAAGTCTATAAAATATTTTTCTGTAGAAAAGTCTTTATAGATACACAGGCTCCTGTGAAGTTTCTGAAGGCTTTTATCTGGTCTGCATTGCAGTGGATATCTCCCTCTGCCCAATTCATCCTCCTTCCACAGGTATCTGTCCCATTGATACCAGGGGCAGTCTACTTGGGAAACCCACTTCACAACACAATTCAACATCTTATGCCTTTCCTGGAACTTTGAGCTCTCCCTTTCTATAGATTCCTTCTATTAGTATTTACATATATTCATTCAATTGTTTATTCCAATGATAACAATGATGGAAAAACCTCTCTTAACACTACATCATCCTAACCTCTCCCCTAATTTTAGCCATACATAGCAGAAGGCTAGAGTAATGGTCCACATCATCTAGCTGCATTGTTTATTTCACTCCTCACTGCCTCCTTAGTGCTTTGCTATTTGTTCAAAAACATGTTGTTACACTAAAACTGCACTTGTAAAGGTTCTCAATATCACCTTTCTTCTAAATTCTATATACATTCTTCCTTTCATACTGCATTTGAATTAGTCTTCTAAGTGAAACTTTGCTCCCTGAAAACCATTCCTATTTTTAACTTCAGGAAACCACTTATCTTGATTGCTGTCCTAACTCTAGAGCTATTGCTTTTCTATATTTTTGTAGGTTCTTGTTCTTCTCTCCAATGTTAAATGTTGCTGCACCTTATTATCCCATCCTCTGCTTGCCTAAATTCTTATACTTTATATTGTTTTTGCATAATATATTAATCTAATTATAAAACCTTTAAAATGTTGATACTATATGTCATAGGAAACATTTATATTACTGAAGAATGAGGAATAAATAACTTTTAAAATGTCAGACAAACAAAGCCATAGAATTTAGCCATACAAGGAGATTTCTTGAAGAACTAAAAGTAGGTCTACCATTGATTCCGGCAATCCCACTACTGGGTATCCATCCAAAGGAAAAGAAGTCATTATATAAAAAACACAATTGCATGCTTATGTGTACTACAACACAATCCACAATTGCAAATATATGAAACCAACCTAAGTGCCCATCAACTGATGAATGAAAAAAGAAAATGCAGTTTACATACACCATGAAATACTGCTCAGCCATAAAAAAGTGTGAAATAATGTCTTTTGCAACAACTCGGATGGAGCTGGAGGCCATTATTCAAAGTAGAGTAACTCAAGAATGAAAAACCAAATACTGTGTGTTCTCACTTGCTAAGCTATGCATATACAAAGGCATACAACACTCAGAAGGAGGGAGGGTGGGGGGCGTGAGGGATAAAAACCTGCATATTGAGTACAATGTAAACTACTTGAGTGACTGGTGCACTAAAACCTCACACTTCGCCACTACACAATTCATTCATATAATAACAAAAATCACTTGTACCCCCAAAACTATTGAAATATATTTATGCATGTGTGACTGTGTGTATGTGTATATATATATGTATATACACACATTTCTAAATATATGTATATATTTCATATATATGTATATATTATGTGTGTATATATTATATATAAAATATACACATATAGAAAAATGCATATACATATACACATGTACATATGTAGACACATTATATGTAATGCATATATATGTATATATGTATATACACACACATACGCATATATATGTATATGTGTATATACACACACATATATACACATATATATTGAGAGAAGTGTGCGTGTGTGTATGTGTGTGTGTGTGTGTAAGAATTTAGCCATACCAAACACCTGCTAACAGAATTTTGGAAAAATGGTTTTCAGGAAGAAGGAAGTTAGAATTAAAGGTGGAATATAAACAGGAATAGCATATAAGTAACTTAATAAACATACAACAATTCTCTATAAGGATTAACTTTTTAAATATTTGAATAATTTTAGTGAAAAAATGTGCTTATTGTACTGTGGTACCTGTTTTCTAAGGAATAGTTTTGCCGTCGAGGTAGTGAAGTATGAACTTCTTCCATGTTAAAGATGGAGCAGGTTCTGAATTGAGCTGGTGAGAAACATTATTATAAGTAGTTTCTGTCCATGTCTGAAGCATTGTTTTTAGCATCAGCCAAATGATTTATTGCAATTTTACAAATATATGTAAATTAAACACAGAATCTGCCCAAGAAAGTGATAGAATCTTATCAGATCCTTGTTTGTTTTAGTGCAATTTGTGATTGAACTTTGACAAGAAGTTTTGTTTAATTTTGGAACCACTATGAATTAATTTAGCAATGATTATGAATAACAACAAAAGATTGAGCCTACTGCAGGCTTCAGTTGTTAAGCTAAGAGATTTTAAACTATGGTAATGTCTTGAAATTAGCATTCCAAAAAATATATTTACTCAAATAGCCATTGTGTCTGATAATTTTTGGTATTTGGAGTTTTTAAAAAATATCAGTAAATTATTTGTGGTCCTATATTTTGTTATCAGGAATTCAAGGCTGGGCGCGGTGCTCATGCCTGTAATCCTAGCACTTTGGGAGGCTGAGGCGGGCGGATCACGAGGTCAGATCTAGACCATCCTGGCTAACATGGTGAAACCCTGTCTCTACTAAAAATACAAAGCATTAGCCAGGCGTGGTGGCATGCACCTGTAGTCCCAGCTCCTCGAGAGGCTGAGGCAGGAGAATCTCTTGAACCTGGGAGGCGGAGGTTGCAGCAAGCTGAGATTGAGCCCACTGCACTCCAGCTTGGGCAACAGGTGAAACTCCGTCTCAAAAAAAAAAAAAAAGGAAAAAAAAATTTAAGATTTCATCAAAATCTGTTTTCTAGAAGTGGAAGCAAACTTTCTTCTAATATTGAGAAGTTTTAGGTACTCCAACTGTTGAATTTTTATCTTCATAGATAATTCACATGGTAAATAAACATATATTTGTTAAAATATTTGTGAAGGAAACCTATTTGTTCACTTAAATATTGGAGGCTATGCTTGTCTACATAGAATTCTATGATTTTCAACATAAAAGATTTAATGAACCAACTTGAATTATTAACTCATTTTGAGCCTATATTTCAGTTTTCATGGATTAAATCTGTATGAACGAACTGTTTAGATTTTCTCAAAATTAGAAAATCAAAGATTGTTTCCTTTATGTGCTTTATGTGTTTAAATTTCCTTTTTTTTTTTTTTTAAATGGAGTCTCACTCTGTCACCCAGGCTGGAGTGCAGTGGCATGATCCCACCTCACTGCAACCTCTGCCTCCTCGGTTCAAGCGATTCTCCTGCCTTAGCCTCCTGAGTAGCTGAGACTACAGGTGCGTGCCACTATGCCCGGCTAATTTTTTGTATTTTTAGTAGAGACGGGGTTTCACAGTGTTAGCCAGGATGGTCTCCATCTCTTGACCTCGTGATCCACCCACCTTAGCCTCCCAAAGTGCTAGGATTACAGGCGTGAGCCACCACGCCCGGCCATGTGTTTAAATTTCTACAAGGTACAATAGAATTAACGCTAAATGACTAACTTTATTTTTATATATTTTTCAATTCAAAGCCAACTATGTAGTAATCTTCTTCAGAGGAGAAAATGACTTTATCCCCCAAGAAGACAAACCCTCCACCAAATTACTAATTTTGAAGCCCAATTCAGATTTTGAATATTCCAAGAAATAAAAATATTTAAATACACTTTGTATCCATTTTCATATTGTCAAACTTGAAATAGATTCTAGAATTATTTTTCTTTTTTTCCTTTTTTTACCTCAACTAAAAGCCTTGTGCATCAACTTTGTGAATGTCATGGAGATGAGTAATTACCAAAATCTTTCTAGTGTTTCCCCAACATTATTGATTGGGTTGAGAGCATCAGGTAAATATAAGGTGGGATCAAATTTTTAGGATATTGTATTGGAAGATAAATGGGAGGAAGATTGAAATAAGAATATAAACGAGATTTTGTTAACTCATATATGTATTTCTCAGCTAGAATATGCTGTTAAATTAGTGCAAGAAATTAAAGCTAAATACCATTAAAATTTTAAATATAAAATTACCATATCATGTAGAAATTTGACTTATTGGTAAATATACCCAAAAGAACTGAAAGTAAAGACTTAAACAGAAATATGTACATCAACATTTATAGCAGCATTGTTTATAATAGCCAAAAGGTGGAAATAACCCAAATGTCTATCAGGATATGAAGAGATAAACAAAATGTGGTTTAATATTTAATACATACAAAAGAATATTTTTCAGCCTTAAAACAAAGGACATTCTTCTACATTCTACAGCATGAATCAATCTTGAAGACATGCTAGGTAAAATAAGACACAAATGACAGACATTGTATGATTGTATGTACATGAAGTACCTGGAATAGTCAAATTCATAGACATGGAAGATAGAGTAGCAGTCACCAGTGGGTGGGGAAAGGAAGGAATGGGGAGTTATTATTTAATACATACAGAGTTCCAGTTTGTAATGATGAATGAGTACTAGATATAGATAATGGTGATGATTGCACAACAATGTAAGTATACTTAATGCCACTGAACTGTATACTTAAAAATGGTTAAATGGTAAGTTTTGTATTATTTATATTTTTGACAATATAAAAGAAACTTTACAGTACTATTCACATTCTGATTTTTATAGTCGTTGTAATTAGTTATTCAATTAGAAACACCAGGGATCATATTGAATAATGTTACATTTACGGTATAAATTTTATAACTTTCTTAAGTGCAACTATTTAATAGGCAAGGTGCAGTGGCTTACACCTATAATACCAACACTTTAGGAGGCTCCGGCAGGAGGATCACTTGATCTCAATTGGTCGAGGCTGTAGTGAGCTCTCTTTGTGGCACTGCACTCCAGCCTGGGTGACAGAGACCCTGCCTCAAATAAATGAATGAATGAATAAATAAATAAATAAATAAATAAATAAATAAATAATAGGGGTAAATGGTACATTAGCTGAGTAATATATGCATTGAAATGAGTCTACATTATCAAATAGACAAGGAGGATTTATATAAAGAACTATGTTCACATCAAATAAAGAAAAAATCATTAACGAGGGGGCCTTAACCACAATTTTTCTGACTAGGCTTTCCTTGACAAAATGGCTTTGACAAATACATAATTTTTAAAAATATAATTCTCTTCTAAAACCACAGAACTAATTGTGATATACTAGATTATCCTATTAGGCTATTTGTATTTTTAACCTGTTATGCCACATTTAATGAAATAACTTTTAGCCATAATGGAGTATATAGGGCTATATGAAAGGCTGCTACTTTTCATTTTAAACCTGCAGTTGTATGTTTCTATAGATGCTGATTTACAAACATTGCCAGGGTGGGAAGGCTGTAGTGTATGTTTGCTGATGCCCAGCAGAAATACACTGTATTTTTGTAGAAAAATGTATGGGTCTTTTATTCAAGTTTATCTGAGGAAAGAAGAGGATTAGTTCCACTAACTGTAGAACTGTATATGGTAGGGTGTTAACCTTGGGATGTTGTAAGAGATGGTACAAAATCATTGCAAAGGGTGATAATGTTATCAAATGTTGGAAATGCCTTTTGGAAATGCTTTACAGATGAACTAAATCTCCTAAAGGACTTAGGCATTTTAATTGTATTTAAGCACATAGGAATGGTCAATATTTATTTAGAGAATCTAGTAAATTCAAATAGGTTTAGAGATGTTGTAGGGAATCTAGATTGGAAATGATATTATGTAGCCATTTCCTGGAAAAACAGTTGAAAAGGGTACAGGCAGTAATGGGCTGTCTTCCAGTGCACAGATTTGTTTGTGAGGAACTGACTTTCATTCTTTACAATCCTATAAATTACCTGTCAGAAAACAATAATTGGGTCAATTTGTTTCTTTAGTAGAAATCTTATGTAGACCACGATTTGTTGCCTTTGGAAGGTGTCTACATTTCTAGAATGGCACATCAGAAAGCTCTTTACTAATTTGTACCCATTAAAGTTTATCCTGCTCTCTTTTCTTGCTCTCTTCCTCCCACTACCCGTGCCTTTATGTATGCATATGGTATCAAACTTACTACCCTAAATATTAGACTTTCTTCCAAAACCTTACATCATTTCACATATTAATTCCTTCTTTATCTGGGATGTGGGTAAATATTTTTACTTAGGAAGGTATTAGAAGGTAAAATTACTAGTTATTACTACTTTCTCAGGCATTTGGCAAACAAATTAGCTATTTTAATTTTGTCCTATCATAAGAAAAGCATAAATACCATAAATAAACTTGGCAATTTTTATCAATTTAAGTGAGATGAGGTTATTGTAACATCATTTCTTTATTGTCACTTTTATGATGAAAGTCCTTAGTACACAGAAAATGTTTCATCAATTTTTATATTTTAAAAATGTAGATTAGACAAATGATTCATTTTTTATGTTTTACAGATGTCTCCTTACTAGCCATAACATTTAAAACTAAGCTATTCAGTGCTCAAAATGTAGTTCAGATGGTTCAACATTTCAATAGTCCTTTAAAAAAAAAGTATAGGCAGGGGGCGGTGGCTCACGCCTGTAATCCCAGCCCTTTGGAAGGCTGAGGCGGGCGGATCACGAGGTCAGGAAATCGAGACCATCCTGGCTAACACGGTGAAACCCCGTCTCTACTAAAAATACAAAAAATTAGCCAGGCGTGGTGGCGCTGCCTGTAGTCCCAGCTACTTGGGAGGTTGAGGCAGGAGAATGGCTGAACTAGGGAGGCGGAGCTTGCAGTGAGCTGAGATGACGCCACTGCACTCCAGCCTGAGCGACAGAGCGAGACTGTCCCAAAAAAAAAAAAAAAAAAAAAAGTATCCATCTCAATTTATAATAAGTGCTGTAAACAAAAATAAACATGACTAGTTGGGAGAAAAATATAGTTATTTGTTTCAGTTAGAAGTTAGAAAATGTTCATAAATTGTCACAAGCCACACTAAGATTGTTTTTTGCTGAAAAGCCTTCTAGGTCTGCTTCCAAGCAAAACTTAACACAAACACCCACCTAATCTTGTTCACTTCCTAGGGCAAAAGAAGATACTCAGTCATGTATTCTTTCTTTAATTCAGCATGTAATTATAGGCAACTGAGAGGTCAAAAGTAGCAT
This sequence comes from Homo sapiens, assembly GCF_000001405.40. Classification (NCBI taxonomy): domain Eukaryota; kingdom Metazoa; phylum Chordata; class Mammalia; order Primates; family Hominidae; genus Homo; species Homo sapiens. Next base: position 43,566,867 of record NC_000014.9, on the reverse strand, counting down.
TAAGAAACATTGAGGACACTTGGGGTGGAGGAATTCCCAGGTTTCCTACGAAAGTATATACAGAAAAAGTTATTTAGGAAGTAACTAGCTATGCAATCTGTGATAATCCTTGAACTATAAACTTCAGATATATCAGAGTTTCAAATAAATTTGCCACGTATTTTTTATCATTCTTTGCTCACCTTGTCAAATTAAAGTTCTTTCTTCTCAATTCAATAGAGTAAGAATTTAAAGTCATAATCCTGTTTATTCTGAAGGAAGCAACAACTGTATTTGCTATGAAGGATGGAAAAACTATTTTATTTACTTTATTCAGTTTATTTTTTAAAAAACTTTTTTTTTTTTTTTTGTGACGGAGTCTTGCTCTGTCGCCCGGGCTGGAGTGCAGTGCTGCGATCTCGGCTCACTGCAAGCTCTGCCTCCCGGGTTCACGCTATTCTTGTGCCTCAGCCTCCCGGGTAGCTGGGAGTACAGGTGCCCGCCACCACGCCCGGCTAATGTTTTTTTGTATTTTTAGTAGAGACGGGGTTTCACCGTGTTAGCCAGGATGGTCTCGATCTCCTGACCTCGTGATCCGCCCGCCTCGGCCTCCCAAAGTGCTGGGATTATAGGCGTGAGCCACCGCGCCCAGCCTTAAAAAGCTTTTTTAAATGTCAGAATAATTCAACTATGCATTAGAAATTATCTTAAGTACAAAATTTATATAAGCTGATCATTTAATCAAAGCGTATTCTCACTTAGGTGTGTAATCATGCAATTTTTTGTCAAAATATGTGAGGTGGTTCAACTTTATCATACTATAAATCATGTCCCATTAAAAGGCAAAAGAAAGACTAATTTTTAAATTATTTTTATTGTTTAAAAATAAAATTTTTACTTTGAACTTCTGTTAGCATTGTCATATAGAAAGATAAAGTATGTGCTCATACCTTTTCCTGAAATCTCTATTCTATTCCATTCATTCATTTTTCTATTCTTGTCTAGTCTAGACTTTTTATTATTATAGGCTTCTAATATCTAGAAGTGTTTACGTTTTATTGTCTTGACTATTTCCAACAATTTCCAGGCTTTCACATTTCTAAACAAATGTTAAAATCAGCCAGTCACTTTCAATTTTAAAAATCTGCAAAAATTTTTATTTGTTGGAATGCCAATTTAGGGAGAATTGGCTTCTTTGCATTATTGATTTTTCTAAGCCATGATCATTGAATAACCTTCAATTGTCTTTGCGATTCTTTAACTTCTCTTAGTAATGATCAGCAGTTTTTGGTGAAGTGGTCTTGCAAGCCTTTTAATAGATTTATTTTTGGTTACTTGAATTTTTAACTTCATCAAATATATGTATAGAGCAAGCATCATAAATGTAGAGCTCTCTGAATTTTGATGCTGTGAATATACCCTTAAACATACATAACTAGCCTTCAGGTAAAGAATCAGAATGGTACCAAATGATTGGAATGGAAGCCAGTGGCAAGAGGTATTGACACCTGAAAGAAGAAATTAGTGTGGGTGAGGAGATGCTGCAGCACTGTATCCAGGGCAGGTAGAGTAGCTACATGGGAAGAACATAGCTTTGTAAACCCTTTCAAGTTAAAAGCTGGTGCTGAGAAGAGCCAAGGTGCTTCCTCCATGGCCCCTCAGTCTGCTGGGCTCTTTACATCTCCACCGCTATGATCCCTGTTTAGACACGAGACTTCCAGGGTTTCCAAATCTGGTAGGCTCTTGAATGCACCACCTGCAGACTTCACAAGTCCATAAAATAAATACTACTCTAACCTCCAACAGCACAATCTTTTTTTTTCCTATAGAGATGAAAGTATACAAAATTTACTATTATACTTTGGCATATGTTACTCCTAATTATGGTTCTAATATTAATTCATATTTTTTTCAGTAATGACAAATGGTTTATTCAAACTGTTATAACAACATTATTGTTAAATAAGATTATAAAAAGCTTATTTTATTACAGGGGCCTATATTTACAACTACTTCCTCAAACAGGAAATTACGATTTCAAATTACTATGTAAAAATATTTGTAACTGGATGACTAATAATGCACATGAAGTCTAATTATGGATGAATAATTATCATCATAAGAAATTGTATAGAGTGAGCAGTGGAAAGAGTGAGAGAAAACCAATAACTAATTAACATGTTATCTTTCAAAATAAAATGAAGCAACAGGAACCTGAGACAAGTGCACATTCACTGACAGCTGGCCAGATTTTAGCATAGTTTCTTAGATTAGCATAATGAAGTCAATTGAGTTTAAGTAATAGCTCCCTTTAGAACTTAAGTCATTGATAAATGAGGCATCCATATCCAACTTATGCATTTTAATTATAATGATGTATTATTAAATGTACCAAATTTTAGATTTTAAATTATATGACAACTGTTAAGATGTACAAAATAATCACAGTCAAAACCCTTTTCCCCAATTTGAGAGTTCTTTTTTAGCTCTCAAAATTTTTACACTGGAGATAAGCTAGGAAAGAACCAATGCAGAATCATTTTGTTATGTAGAATGTTAAGATGCTGCTATATTTATAGATGTTCCATGATTTCTACAATGTGAAAAATTGTATCATTTATACCATTTGCCATGTGCTCATGCATTTCCAAACAGATTTAGGGATATAAGGTATTGCAAAAGCCAGTGCTGAGAATCCTCCTTCTAAATACTTTTACCCATTACTAGGCTATTTTTGTGCTACTGTAGGTTATTAAGTCGTAGTCAAATTAAAGTGTTGCTGTTGCAAACATCTCTCTCTTTTTTCTCTCTCTACACACACACACAGAGAGAGAGAGAGAGAGAGAGAGAGAGAGAGAGAGAGAGAGATTTATCTAGAGTCTTATTTTCCCCTAGAAATGGAACACATGAAAAAAGCAAAATGATCAGGAGTCCTCCTGTCTTTACCTTTATTTTTAACACTTTATTAAAGAGATTTCTATTTCTGAGAACACAGTGCATGATTTTACAACCTAAACAAGTGAATGGATTTTCATTCCAAATATCTATACTTTATATGTTTCTTAAATAAGATTTCAACACTGAGTGATATATCTGCATTTGTAATGATTTAAGCAGTGCACAACCAGCTTATATTTTGTAGCAATTTTTATTTTCATATTCATTTGTAACGGCATTTATTTCTGGAGCTGGCTTTATTTCAAATCACTCTCTTTGTAGTTTATTTGTGTCTTTCCCTTGAGACATTTCCTTAATGGGAGATTTGAGAAGTCAATAAGAAAACTGAGGAGGTTATTGAATTTAATAGTCAATCACCTGTTTGGGGCTTGATCACTTCACCCCAATATTCTTCTCTCAAAAGGAGACAATCTGTGGCGTTTATCTTCTGTCTAGAGACACTCAGGAATTTCTCTGATTCACTTTTTCTCACCTACATTGTATTGCTCTTCTAAGTTCAACGTTGGGTGAAATGATTTTCCCTTCAAAAAATACTAGGCAGTTCAACTACTTCTCCCTTTTACTCGCTAAATAAATCAGATGGCTTGGAATCTTCCGGTCTTTATTTTACCATGTTTTGTTACTTTGTGTTAAAAATTACATTTTGGGATGTAATTTGCAGCATATTTGAAAATGGCATTCATGCTTTCTCTTAGCATGCTGTCAAATAAATGATACAATTATATGTTTTTACATACAGTTTAGCTTAGTTAACTACTTAAGAACCATAATTAATTAATCATTTACTTACTGCTATTTAAGAATATTTTTCAGAGGTATTTGGTTTAGCAAGTTATTAGATATTCAACAAAGTTTTAGATGGGAAAGAAGGAAGGTTTTTGTATTTCGAAATCCAGAGACTTCTGAACAATTGTTAGTAATTCTGAAGGGTTAGTAATCTGTTTTTTTCACACCATTTGTGTTAGTTGAAATATTCAAGAATGCAGCCATTTTAATCCGTGTTCTTTCACCTAGCGTAGTGTTTCTGAGGTTCATTCTTATTGCTGCATATATCACTAATTCATTCATCTTTATTCCTATTCGCCAATTGATTGATACGTTAATTACTTCCTATTTTTAGCTACTATGAATAATCCTGCAATAAACATTAAATGAACGTTCATGTATCAGTCATTACAAATGGTTCTCAACTTACAATGAGGTTACATCTCAATGAACCCATTGCAAGTTGAAAGTATCGTAAGTCAAGACATATTCAATAGACCTAGCATCATAGTTTAGCCTAGCCTACCTTTAAGTAGCCACTTCAGCTCCTTTATGTTATTTTCTGTATGGTATGTATTTTTTGATCATTCCACTTTCTTTCTATTCTGGCTCTGAACCTAAAATGTATCTTTTATACAGCTTATAGTAGGACTTTGATTCTTTAATTCATAATGATAATTTAGCAATAGTGACTGGCATGTTTTGTGTTTTGTCAGTTCATGTTTGTTATTATTATCTGCTTAAATCACATTTTCTCCTTATTCCTTTTTTATTTAAATAACATCAGTATTAGTTATAAATCAAACATTATTGTATATATTACTCTAAATTTAACAGTTAAAAAACAATGTTTTTTTGTTTTGTTTTGTTTTGTTTTTGAGATGGAGTTTTGCTCTTGTTGCCCAGGTTGGAGTGCAATGGCGCGATCTTGGCTCACTGCAACCTGCGCCTCCTGGGTTCAAGCGATTCTCCTGCCTCAGCCTCCCGAGTTGCTGGGATTACAGGCATGCACCACCACGTCTGGCTAATTTTGTATTTTTAGCAGAGACAGGGCTTCTCCATGTTGGTCAGGCTGGCCTCGAACTCCCATATATATGATAAATCATTTCAATTCAATTTTCTTATGAATTATTTCACATCTTATTGTCTTGTCTCACTGGGCTATCACATTTTATTTATTTATTTATTTATTAATTGATGGCGTCTCACTCTGTCACCCAGGCTGGAGTGCAATGGCATGGCCTCAGCTCACTGCAACCTCCACCTCCTGGGTTCAAGTGATTCTCCAGCCTCAGCTTCCGGAATAGCTGGGACTATAGGCACGTGCCACCACACGTGGCTAATTTTTCTATTTTTAATAAAGACAGGGTTTCACTATGTTGGCCAGGCTGGTCTCAAACTCCTGACCTCGTGATCTGCCCACCTCAGCCTCCCAAAGTGCTGGGATTACAGGGCTGAACCACCATGCTTGGCCTATGACTTTTATTAATGTTTATTAGCATTTTAAAAATCTTCTTACACATGGTAGGAAAGCTACAAGGGGCTAACGTTGGATAATTGTCCTTTCCCCCTCCAAAAGGCTCAGTAAAGTAATTTCCCATGGAGTGTTGGCCTTTGTTGTGAAGAATGCTCTGCAATTATACCAAAATGGCTATTTTTCTGCTTCCCATTCCCAAAATGTATGAATGTGTTACTCAGATGTTCTACCTGATGGAATTCCTGTAGATAAAACTAACAAAAATTTGGAGAAGGGCCCCAGGAGTTTCTTATTCACAAGCGAATCCACACTCAACCTCTAGGAATTCATCAAAATGACCTATTGTAAATTATCCTACTATTTTATAGCAACCTGGGGTTTCTGCCCCAGGTAAGTTGATATAGGCTGTTATTTGCTGTACTTGCCTCTTTCTTCAGAGTTCAGGTGGTCGTTTGTCAACTGATTTAAATTCTCTGATGGACCTAATAAATCATTTCCTTTCTGTTCAGGTTTTTTTTTTTTTGTAATGATTAGAATGACAAGATCCAATATTTTTACATGTTGGAGCTGAAAATGGAAGTTTTATAATCACATTTTAATGCCAAAAAACTATTTTATGTGCTAAGTTATAAAGATAAAAGCTATAATTTTTTCTGTAGTAACACATATCTAACAGACTCCAGGAATGGCTGAAAAATTATCTTTATCAAGTGATATTTATTAATTTATAAATAAATTATTTGGTGAGAGTTGGTGTTTCTGTATTAATTATTCATTTTTCTGCACTTTTTGACAGTTCTCACCATGAATATGGATTATCTTGTCAAATAATTTAAATGAAAACAGCAGTGTAAATGGAAGTTTTCTAAATAGTAATTTCAGGTATATAAGATAGATAATCGCTTGGGAGGAACAGAGGTTTGCTTTTCCATATAAAAGATGTTATTACTTTATTTGTCAATTAATTGTAGTGTTTTTGAAATAAGGTTAATTTCTCAAGCATCAGAACTAACATTCCTGAGTATATTCAGAATACTATAGCACAGTTTTCCAGCAATGTAAATTATATACACTGACTACTGCCAAAGAAGTAGCTGTGGTTCCCTTCTATGTGTATTCAGTTCTAAAATTTTGGAAAGCCCCCAAAGATGTTACTGGCATGAAAAGTACTGAGCATTGGGCATCTTGTAAACTTAATCAGTCATTTGAGTTTTTTTCCTTGAAATGGGTGCTTTCTGCAGTTTTGGCATTGGTATTTACAATAGTTAAATCAAGAATAAAATACTGCAAAATATTACAATAAAGACGACATGTATTGAAAACTTCTATAAAATAGTAATGAGATTCCAGCATGAATCTCATGCCTATGAACGTGAAACATTTGTCCAATGCTCTTTTATCATGACTTCTTTTCATATTGGATAAAGTGATCTCTTCATTATTGCAAGGCATAACTTATTTGTCAGTACAATACCACTTACAGACATAAGCTTTTAAAATTAATACTTAACATTTTAGTAAAAGCGTCAGATATATGCATACTCAAGGACTCTAAATGTCATGATTCTTGAAAATCAAACTTTTTAATTATTTTATCTCTATAATTTATTACTCCCACTAGATTCTGCCTGGTAATTTGTATGACATTCTATTACTTCCACATCATTGCCACTAGACAGGGCTCATACTAAGCTCTCTGAGAGCTGAAAGTAACATGTATATTTTCCATTAAAAAATTGTTTTAGCTCATATTAATTTTGAAATTTTAGTATTTAGCAAAATTTTTAGCAGATTTTCTTGGTTATTTGTGGTAAAATATTAAAACTGATGTGGATAACTGTTATTAGATTATTGAACTACAATAAAATTTTGGTAAATTAATGATCCTGAAAATTTAACTCCTCTGGAAAATGATTTATTTAACCAATATTTTTTTTTTTTTTTTTTTTGAGACGGAGTCTCGCTCTGTCGCCCAGGCCGCACTGCGGACTGCAGTGGCGCAATCTCGGCTCACTGCAAGCTCTGCTTCCCGGGTTCACGCCATTCTCCTGCCTCAGCGTCCCGAGTAGCTGGGACTACAGGCGCCCGCCACCGCGCCCGGCTAATTTTTTGTATTTTTAGTAGAGACGGGGTTTCACCTTGTTAGCCAGGATGGTCTCGATCTCCTGACCTCATGATCCACCCGCCTCGGCCTCCCAAAGTGCTGGGATTACAAGCGTGAGCCACCGCGCCCGGCCCCAATATTTTAAATTTACAAGTAGATTATCTTGTATGTATTGGTTTTACTTTTCTATTTGATCCATTTTTTTCTAACATTGATACTATTAATTCTCATAGTAATAATCATTATAATACTGAATAATATAATTATCTCACAAATATGGAAAGCTACTTGGTAGAGATGGAAGCACACAAAGTGAACAATATATAAAGGAGTAAATATTCAATTGTTTATTATCTAAAAATATAGATATGTATAATCCAAAATGGAATAATTCAATCAAATCTACACAATCTATCACTTATATATAATAATGTGTTTTCAGAATATTGTCTCTATTCCTTATCATTTGAAATATAGTCTTTTATGAGTGTTATTGGCCTCATTTCTAAATTAATAATGAAGATGGGGCTGTTTTAGAATGTATATTCAATTAAGTTTGTAAAAACTCCCTTATTCCTGGCTTATCATCATGTGTTCTCACTTATTTGTGGTACCTAAATATGAACACAATTGAACTCATGGAGATAGAGAATAGATGGATGATTATCAGAGGCAGGCAAGGGCAGTGGGAGGGAAGGGAGGAGGTGGAGATGGTTAACCGGTTAACAACAACAAAAAAAAAATTGGAAGTATGAATAACATCTACTATTTTGTAGCACAACAGAGGGACTATAGTCGATAACAATTTAATTGTACATTTTTAAATGACTAAAAGACTGTAATTGAATTGTTTATAAAACAAAGAATCCATGTTTGAGGGGGTAGGTTAAAAAATCCCCTTATAAATATGTGTCTATTAAAAACTACCTTTTTGTTGACTCTATGTTTATACTATTAGTAGTTTAAATTCAAATAAAGGAAAAATTATGTTAATAGCATTGTTAATAACATTTTGCATAGCTCTCATACTTTTAATTCCCCACCGCTGTCAACATATTATATATATCTTCTATTACTTTTCTTTAACATTTCTGTGGAAAATACATGATAACACTGAATAAATATTTTTCTGTAAAAATTATGGGATTAATATAATTTTGATTAAGTTATGGTATCATTTCTTCTGTTAAATAATTAGGAAAGGAACAATTTCTTGGAGTCCTTAGTGTATTATGATAAACACTGAAGAATAATTACTTCTCCAATTATTGTTAGAGAAAATAATGAATGAGCTCTACTCCTTGTCCTCATTCTTAGTCTGTTGATACTGACCTCTGTCACAGGAGCCATACTGAAGCCTCTTCTCTCTAGCTCACTATTCTCAATAGTTTAACTCGTTCAAGGAGAAACCCATATGCTTTCTTCTCATGAAATTTCTGGCCTAAAAAGTTTTAGTAACAATCAGTTTCCTTTCATTCTTCCTATTTTTTAAAGAATTTATTCCTCTTATCAGCAATTATCTACTGGAATGTGGTACTCTAGGAAATATAAATAGTAATTAGAACTGAGTCTGATGTCAAAGAGCATACAGTCTTAGTCGTGTGATAAAATGTATAAGTAATAACAAGGAAACCTTATAAAACTAAGGGATGGGTTATCTCCATAATTTTGTGAACATCATTTAACCTGACATAATAAAAGTAAAAATAATTAATATGGGTCCTTAGTGATAGAAGAACTTACTTTGAGTATTTCAATACAAGATGGATTTGACAAGATGCAGTTTAGAGAGAGAAGATAAACTTTTTACTTTATCTAATATGGATTTTAAATTTTCAGTCATTATTTATTCATAGTGTAGAAGTAGTGTTCCTTAACTGCATCCAAAGCTAATTGTATATAAAAGCAAGTCATGTAATATATTCAAATAAGTAATTAGGATACTGCATAATATGAGAAATAAAAAAAAGTTTAAATCTGTGAAACTCAGTTTTAGTTGAATTGTTTGAAGTTCAAATTGCAGGGTACTTAATATTAGAGTATTCAACATTGTGGGTTTTAAATAAACTTAAGAGGAAACTATGACATCTATAAACATTTCACCTTAATATTAGCTTAATCTCAAATACAAGGAAAGAGAAAGAGTAATTGTGTGGTATAACAAAAAGAAAAAAATGCAGTTCTACATAAATCTAATACTGCTATGTGAATGTCATTTCCTCAGAAACATAGTGTTATTTATCAATACTGCCTTTTTAGTTTTACATGTGTGTGAAAGTATCAGGAGAGGTATATTTTGGACTTAGATGCATGTTGGTTATCCTTTAATTTGTTATTTTAGTTTTCCCAGGCTCTATATTACGCTAGCAATGATTCCAAAAGACTTCCATTTAAAAGAGAAAAATGTATTGAAAATAAGGCATCTAGTTGTCATTCCTCATATTCTGTTGTCATCTATAATGACTAAGGACTAAAGGATAAGCAATTACTCTTCTACCAAAAAAATCAATAGCAACATTCATCCTTTTAGAATTGAGAGGACTCCAAGGATATGTGGAGCATAAGAACTTGTCAATTATTTTATTTTATTTTTTTAGAATGATGTATGTTGAATGAAATGTCACTATGCAAGCAATGACCACTTTATAAGTAGTACAATTTCCTTCACCTTTTATTTTTTAGAAAATAATTGAAGTCACTTTTCTCTGTGACCAATCCTTCTTTTAGAATGAGGATTAAAATGTTATTCTATTGTTCACCTGCATGAAAGCAGTTGTCATGCACATTTATAGCAAGTGCCTGAAAGAAAATGGAATATTTCAGTACCACAGAGAGCCTCCTATTCTTCAGACAGCCAGTAACCATTACACTATATGAGGAATTCCACTTTCCTTAAAAAATATGCTGGAAATGATGTTATATGCTGGAAATGATGTTTTATTGCATTATCATTATATTGGTATTGTAACTTACATTTGCTATAATTTAGTTTATATAATAAATCTTAAACTGACTTATTTCTAAGTTATAATACAATAGGTAATTTCACAATACTTGAAAAAATCCAAATTAATTAGTCAACCATTATAACACATAAAGCTAAGTATGAATATTAGCTAAGTATAAAAATGTGTTCTATCTTTCACATTTGAGAAATGTTTACTATTTCAGGCTGTGCATAGTAGCTCACACCTGTAATCCCAGCACTTTGGGAGGCCGAGGCGGGCAGATCACGAGGTCAGAAGATCGAGACCATTCTGGCTAACATGGTGAAACCCTGTCTCTACTAAAAATACAAAAAATTAGCCGGGTGTGGGGGCGAGCGCCTGTAGTCCCAGCTACTCGGGAGGCTGAGGCAGGAGAATGGCGTGAACCCGGGAGGTGGAGCTTGCAGTGAGCCAAGATCGCGCCACTGCACTCCAGCCTCGGGGGACAGAGCAAGAAAAAAAAAAAAAAGAAATGTTTACTATTTCAAATCACTTCGAAATATAAAGACCTATGTAGGCTTGAATCAGGATACATAGAATTAGAAGTCCATAAGAGGGCACTAAAATGAAAGCAAATAGGATGTTTTTCTCATAGGATTAAAATAGCATACCCATGAAACCCAATATTTTAAGTTATTTAACATTCCAAACTGCTTACCTAATGTTTAGTTATTTTAAAATCACTTCAATATATTACTATCTCATTAACTGTTTAATTCTATTTTATGTAACATACTATTTTAGAAATAACATATATTTAATTACTAAATGGCTAGCATATTAATTTCTTTAATTTTTTAAATATGTATTGCATGTGATCAAAATTTTTATGGAATACTAATCAAATAATAATATTTTAATTCTTTCTATATTTGAAAAAATTCTACTATCAAATTTATCTTTTAATTTTTATATTTAATGCAATTATTTGTTTTATAATTTACAAAAAGACTACTTAGTCATGCAATGAACTACAATTTTAAGTTTGGCACAGCATAACCAACTCTCAATGAATCCCGAAAACATTGGAAGAAATACAGGTGTAAATAATTGTTAGAAATGGTGCCATTTTAAAAGACATAGAATTTAAAGTATTATTTCTGAGCTGTAGCTATTAAAATACTATAAAATATATAAGTTATGCATATCAATATAATGGTTACATTTTCTGAAAGTGACATACCTTACATATGTTTGTTGAGGTTGCAAGCATAGGATGTCCAGAAAAGAAAGAAAATACACTTAATTTATATAAAACCAAATAAATTCTAGAGAAAGGCTAATAAATCCACTGCTTTACTTCACACACAAGGCAAAGAATATTATAAAACACAGCTAAAAAAACCTTGCTTTTTAATTTTTAAACTTTATTTGAAGGCAGAAAATATTGCTAGATGTGATCATATAATGTACAAAATATTAGATATTTTATATGCATTTAGTTACAACTTCCTTGTGAATGTAAGCACTATCACTCCTGCTGTGTGTGTATCTGCACACATGTGTGTGTCTTGCCTAAAGTCATTACTTAGCTAATATTCAACTATAGATATTCAAATATAATATGCCGTGGGTATTCATTTAAGAACAAATATTTATGGAGGTGTTATAAAGTTTATGTTGCTTCTTAATGAATTATTCTAAGCATATGTGTGTATATAATTTTTTTATTATTTGATGTCTTTAGAGTTTAACTTGTTATTAAGTTATAAAATTAAGTTCAAGGATCATTTGAGACAATGCATTCTTCTGCCAAAGGCTGAGAGTTACCAAGTCTTGACCATTGCTTTGGTCATAATGAGTATAGTTGAAAAGGTTTTTGTTGGATTTTTATAACCAAATACCAAATACCATTCTTTACTTAAGATATATAAATATGTCAAAATAAAAATAAAAAAGCTCTCCAGCCTGGGCAACATAGCACAACCCCGTCTTTAAAAATTAAAAAATAAAAAAGAAGAAACATTCCAGAGATTGCTTAATGTTTAGGCAATATACCTTACCATATAAGTGTTACACTTGGATCTTTCTGGGGCATGTTATTAATTATTACATATGTATAACAGCAAAAGCACGAGAGCATAGGTTTTGTGATCACTTGAGTTGTTATGTCAACAGTCAAGTTGAGTGAACACTTGAATTCGTATTCAAACCTAGTTTTCAATTACTTTCAGAGCATAATTTAACCTCTCTGCACCTTATTGGGTAATACTACAACAATTGAAAATAAAAAAAGATGTCTCTTTTCATGTAAAATTATAGAAATAGATATCGTTATCACGAAAGATAATGAAAGATTTACATGATACTGAGAAAAAGTCGAAAGAGTGATTGCATTTTAAGTCACTTTAAAAGAAACAGTAAGTGTCAAGTTAAACATCTCTTCCCTAATAAGGAAGACTAATTAAATTTAGGTGTTTGTTCTATTACTATTCCTAAACCATAAATTACTTGAGAAATTAAACTATATTCTCTGCTTATTCTATTTAATTCCTAAAAATCAGTCTTGTAACTTGTGGATTTTCAAGAAATGTTGAATGTCAGAGCTGAGTCTTAGGATAGGTTTCTTTTCTTTTTCTGATTTTAACAAAGACATATGTGGTCGTTGAAAAGGAAGTTCCTGAATAATTTTTTATTTTATGACTTTTGGATGTAATGGAAAATGTGTGAGACATTTTCTATTTCTTGTTATGTGGATAATTCGATAGCCTAAAAACCATCTTCTGGTACAAAATAACTTTACAATGTTGAATTAAAAATATTCAAATGTATTGCTGAGCTGGTAAGAAAGTCAGGAGAATCCTCAGCATACCAAAACAAACAAACAAAAAAGAAAGCATTTTTTTCTCCAAATGGGCTAGCCAGCACTGTAGCAAGAGTCTGCCCTGAGATCATGTGCTAATCCTTCAGATATGAGAATTTTCATTTTAATCAGCCAGAAGCAAGTGTCAAGGAACAATGTCTGTCTCTCCTGTTTTTATTTTTATTAATTTTTTCTGTGTTGGTTTCTCCTCCAGCTTTTTTGAGGTATAATTGACAAATACAATTGTACATATTTAAGGTGTACAATAATGCCATGATATGCAAATACACTGTGGCATGATTAGCACAACCAAGTTAATTAATACGTTCATCACCTCACCTAGTTACATTTTTTTTTGGGAGGGGAAAGGACAGTTAATATCCACTATCTTAGTAAAGGCCAAATATACAAAACAGTATTGCTTAACTGTAGTCACCATGCTGTACATCAGATCCTCAGAACTTAGATATCTGACAATTGAAAGTTTGTAAACTTTGAACAATATCTCCCCATATTCCCCCTCCCTACTCCTTGGCAGCCATCATTCTGCTCTCTGAGTTTGACTTTTTTAGATTCCACATACAAGCGAGATGCACGTTTCACAAATACGTGCAGCAGTATTTGTCTTTCTCTGTCTTATTTCACTTTGCATAATGCCCTCAAGGTTCATCAATGTTGTCACAAATGTCAGGATTTCCTATATACATATATATATATATATATATATATATATATATATATAATGTTTTATATATACATATACACACACACACATTCCTTACATATAAAAATATTTTAAAAAATCAATTCATTCATCCACAGGACATTTTGATTGTTTCCATGTCTTGCCTGTTGTGAATAATGCTGAAATGAATATGAGAGGACTGATGTCTCTTTGGGATATTGATTTGCTTATATAACTAGAAGTGGAATTGCTAGGTTATATGGTGTGGCTACATTTTAAAATACTTATATTCAGGCTGGTCGTGGTGGCTCATGCCTTTAATCCCAACACTTTGGGAGGTCGAGGCCGGCGGATTGCTTAAGTTCAGGAGTTCGAGACCAGCCTGGATAGCATGGCAAAACCCTGACTCTAGAAATCATACAAAAAAATTAGCCGGGTATAGTGATACGCACCTGTGGTCCCAGGTAGTTAGGAGGCTGAAGAAGGAGGATTGCTTGAGCCCAGGAGGCAGAGGTTGCAGTGAGCTGAGACTGTGCCACTGCACTCCAGCCTGGGAAATAGAGTAACACTGTCTCAAAAAAATAATAAAAGTAAAAATAAAATAAAATACTTACAGTCATATTCAAGCTTCCAAGTTTTATTTTAGTTAATTATGGTATTTTATACTTTTCTAGGAATATGTTCATTTTTATAGGCTTTGTATTTATTATATTATTAGTAGCATTTAAATATTTATATCTTAATTCTATATCTGTCAGTTCTGTTTGTGAGGCAGTAGTATGAAAGACATCAAGCTATTTTTTGTCTTTTTTATAGTTTTATCAGTTATTATACAACATAATGCAAGATTTTAGTGTTATGTGGACATATTTTGTTGATGGTTTTATCTTCTTCCCTAGTATTACTTTTTACAATATATATTTCCCTATTTGTGTCTTAAATTTAATTTTGTCAGATATGAAATTGCCTCTGTAGCTTTATTTTGCTTTTTAAAATTCATATAACTTTGCCTATTCTTTTACTTGTGCATTTATATGTATTTTGGTATCGACTGGGTATTATTATATTTGGTTGTTCTATGCATTTGGAAGTATAGTATAGTTTTTACAATGGTAGATTTAACTCACCTAATGCGATACTGTTTAAGTCAGGTTTACTGCTGGTATTATTCTTCACTTTTCTCACTTACTATATATAACCTGTAGTTTTCAAAATTATCCACTTTTTTCTGCTTTCCATTGGATAGAGCAGTTTTATTTGATCCCAGTTTAAAATCAATTTCCATTTTTATTACAGTTGCCCCTTTATTTAAAATTCATACTTATATTAGCCTTTACTGATTTCTTGAAAATTATATACTTACACACATATATATTAAAAGGTAGTATGCATGTATATGTGTTTGTGTCTGTTTATCTATCGATCAGTCTATATATCTTTCTATCTGGAAATAAATATATCTTAAAATGCAATTGCTAACAGAGAAAAACATCACAAGAGAAGAAAACTACAGATCAATTTATTTTATAAATAGAGACACATATATTCTCAACAAAATTTTAGCCACCTTAATCTGGCAATATATATATAAAAAAAAAGAAAGGTTGTAAGCCACGACCTAGTGGGATTTATCACAGAAATGCAGTTTGTTGATTATGTGAAGATCAGTAAATTTAATATACCAGACCAGACCATATCACAACACACAAAAAACAGAGTCATTTCAACACAAGCAATTTTTTATAAAATTTAACACCACTCTATGATAAACATTTAAAAACTAGAAATAGAAGGGAACTTTTTCAATCTGGTAAAGTACAGGTACATGTATGAAAACCCACAGCCAACATTATACTTAGTGGTGAAGAACTGAATACTTTCCCCCTAAGATCAAGAACAAAAAAAAAATTCCACTCTTACAAGTTCTATTAACATCATATTGGTGGTTCCAGCCAGAGAAATTCAGGGATAAAATACAATATATCAATACTTTAATCCCTTTATTGCCGAATGACATTCTATTATATAGATATGCTACATTCTATTTGGTCCTTTATCAGTTGGCAGAAACTTCAGTTGTTTACACTTTTTGGCTATTATAAATAATGCTGCTGTTAACATTTATTGACAGGTTTTTTTGTTGCAAATGTTTCCATTTCATATATACTTGCATATACACCTAGGAGTAGAATTGCTAGGTTATTTGGTAAATATATGTTTAACTTTCTGAGGATCACTCTAGACTTTTTTCCATAGCAGATGCACCATTTTACATTCAACATAATACAAGGGTCCCAGTTCCTCCATATCTTCACCAAAGTTTTTATTACTATTAGAATTTTTTATTATAGCCATCCTAGTGTTATGAAGTAGTATTTTATTATGGTTTTGATTTGGAATTTTCTAATAGGTAAGGATTTTGAACATCTTTTCATGTGCTTATTTGCCATTTTCATATCTTCTTTGGAGACATGTCTATTCAACTCTAATGTCCATTATTAAAATTGTGCTATTTGTCTCTATATTATAGAGTGGTAACAATTCCTTGTATAAATCCTGGATACAAGTCCCTTATCAGATATATGATTTACAAAAATATTCTCCAATATTTTGGGTTGTCTTTTCACTCTTTAATGATGTCTTTTCTAGAACAAAAGTTTTGGGTTTCATGGATTATGTCAATTTATCTATTTTTATTTTTGTTGCTTGAGCTTTGGGTGTCATAGCTAAGAAATCATATTTTCTAAGAAATCAATGTCATGAAGGCTTATGCCTATATTTTCTTCACAGAGTTGTATACTTTCAACTGATACATTTAGATATTTAATCAATTTTTAGTTAATATTTGTATAACATACAATACAGGGGTTAATTTTTTTACATGTGGGTATTCAGTTGTCCCAGCAACATTTATTGGAAGACTGTTAATTTCCCATTGGATGGGTTTTGATTCTCTTGTTGTAAATTACTTGATCATAAACACATGGTTTTATTTCTGGAATCCCAATTCTATACCATTGATCTATATTGTCCATACTTGTGGCAGTACTACATTGTCTTGGTTACCATCATTTTGTAGTCAGTTTTGAAGTCAAGAAGTGTGAGTCCTTCAACTTTGTTTTCAAGATTATTTTAACAATTCTGGATGCCTTGCCATTCCATAGAAATTTTATATTCTACTAGTCAAATTTTACAACTAAGTCAGCTGCTATTCTAGTTGGTATTGCATTAAAACTGAAGATAAATTTGGAGAGTGTTAACACTTGAACAATATTGAATCTTCTGACCTATGATCATGGGATGTTTTTCCTTTATTTAGGTTTTCTTTTATTTTCTTCAACAATCTCTTCTAATTCTCATAGTAAAGTTTTGTATTTCTTTTTTAAAAATGTATTCCCCAGTATTTTATTATTTTTGATGCTACTATAAAAAGAATACATTTATTTCCAGATCCTTCAAGTGTATACAAACTTGATTTGAATATATTGATTTTGTTTCCTGATTTTTCTTTCTGAATTCATTTATTAGTCCTAATTATTTATTAATAAAATTTCTTGAAATTTTCTATTTATATAGGATCATGTCATCTGTGGATAGAAATAGTTTTACACCTTTCCTTCATATGAATGAACCTTGCAAATATCATGATACATGAAAGATGCCAGTCATCAGAACACAAATTGTATGATTTTATTTTTTAAAAATTTCAGAGTAGCCAAATCCATAGAGAAATAAAAAAGATTTGTGGTTGCCTATAGTTGAGGATGTTAAAGAAAACATATTAACAGTTAAATTTAATGAACTGTACTTGAGCAATAAACAGATTGAGAACTGGGCCGCATTCTGAACCATCTTTTTTCAAGATAATTTTGGCAATTATGGATCTCTTGCTACTCCCTGTGAATTTTGGAATCTGATATGGTTTGGATGTCCCACCTAAATCTCATGTTGAATTGTAATCCCCAGTGTTTGAGATGGGGCCTTGTGGGAGGTGTTTGGATCATGCGGGCAGACTTCTCGTGAATGACTTGGACCATTCCCTTAATGATAAGTCTTGCTCTGAGTTCACACAAGATCTGGTCATTTAAAAGCATGTGGCAACTCTCCCCCAACTCTTGCATTCTCTTTCTGTCTCTCTCTCTCTGTCTGTTTCTCTCCTCTGTCTCTCTCTCTCTGTCTGTTTCTCTCCTCTGTCTCTCTCTCTCTCTCTCTTCCTTTCTGTCTCTCTCTCGCTCGCTCATGATTTTACCATGTAATGTGCCTGCTCCTTCTTTGCCTTCAGCCGTGATCGCTGTGCCTCCTGTACAGCTTGCAGAACTGTGAGCCAATTAATCTTTTTCTTTTAAATGACCCAGTCTCAAATATTTCTTTATAGCAATGTGAAAACAGCGTAAGACAGAATCTACTAGTCAAATTCTACAAAAAAGAATTGTGAACTGTATTATAAAAATAAAAACAAGCAAAAAATGCCCTACAGAGATTACTGATTGTAACCAGAAAGTTCCATGTTTGCCTTATATGGGCATAATTTGGCAGCCTTCAGCCTGGGATTGGCTGAGGGTTTAGCTACTAAGACTGGCTGAGACTCAGTTGCCTGTGTATGAGGGTACACTCTTAGATGGATTACAAGTTGCTTACACATTAAGCTAGGTGGCAGTTCACTATATGCAGCTGCTTTGGGCCAAATTTTTCACCCAAGTGTAGAGGCTTGTTTGGGCCAAATTAAATTTAATTTAACAGGTGTTTGGAGGAAAATACAGAATTACTGCTAATTGGTACAAGTGTGCTTTTGGGAATGATTAAAATGTACAAGTGATTGTGGTGATGAATATACAACTCTGTGAATATAGTAAAAATAATTAACTGTGTCTTCTTAAAAGGTGAATTCTCTGATATATCAATTATATCTCAATAAAACTGTTATTTTTAAAAGCAATTAATTAGCAGTCTCTCATATACTTTCTCACGTATTCCCATGTTGATATTGTCTAGAAATTTTGTTTTTATGCCTCTAATTTTTATTTGGCAATTCATGATTAAGTTACTAAATTATTTGATTATCATTTCTTCCATATTTTTTAACATTATTTTGAATTTATTTCTCAAGTACTTTCTGAAAGAATGTTTTAAAAATTTGCCTTCATTTGACAAGTGTGATGGTTAATATTGAGTGTCAACTTGATTGGATTGAAGGATACAAAACATTGTTTCTGTGTGTGTCTGTGAGGGTGTTGCCAAAGGAGGTTAACATTTGAGTCAGCGGACTGGGAGAGGCAGATCCACCCTCAATCTGGGTGGGTACAATCTTATCAGCTGCCAGCACAGCTAGAAAAAAGCAGGCACAAGAAGTTGTAAAGAGCAGACTTTGTGTCTTCCAGCCTTCACGTTTCTCCTGTGCTGGATGCTTCCTGCCCTTGAACATCAGACTCCAAGTTCTTCAGCTTTTGGACTATGGACTTATGCCAGTGATTTGTCAGGGGCTCTGGGGCCTTTGGCCACAGTCTGAAGGCTGTACTTTCAGCTTCCCTACTTTTGAGCGTTTGGGTCTCAGACTGGCTCCTCAGCTTGCAGATGGCCTATTGTGGGACTTCACCTTGTGATCATGTGAGTCAATGCTCCTTAATAAACTCCCCTTCATATATACATCTATCCTATTAGTTCTGTCCCTCTAGAGAAGCCTAGCTAACATAACATGCTTTTGAGTTCTTGTGTGCCTCAGAACATTTTTATTGCCCTGAAAATTAAATACAGTTTTGAATACAGGTATAACTCTAGGTTCAAATTTCTTTTATCACATTTCTATAAAAATATAACTACAATATATTATTAAATCCCATGCTGCTATTGAAAAAGCTAACATCAATTTTATTTTTGTTTATTTGTAGATTATTTTTTTCTCTGAAGTTTTCAGGATGTATTTTTTATCTTATTAAATTTAATCTAGGTGTATAATTTTGATTATATAACCCAGGTGGCATCCTCTGAGACCCTTGAATTTGAATGGTGTTAGTTTTGATTTACAGGTTTATATTCATTATTATTAACATTTATATGCATGTTTTCTCTTTCCAAAGATATTTAATTCATTCTCTGTCATTTTTAACTTTATATTTTCTATTTCTTAGTGTTTATTTTATAATTACTGTTTGTCCTATGGCATCTCAGAAAAATTGTATCCATTTCTGAAGCTCTGCTTCATGAGGCGAACGGTGTTTATTATTCTCGCTTTCTATAATGGTGGTTCCTTTTCTCAGATGTGTAATTATTTTGGTTATGTGTGTACATTCAGCTTGGAATATGAGCATTCCTGTCTAGTTATGTGTACAGAAGTAAGGCAAAAGTACAGGCCTCAAGTTGGGTTTGTGAATGTGAGCTTAAAAAGAGGATAAGAGTAGACTTCAAATAGAGTGTCAGGGAACACAAAGGCACTGCCAGCTAACCCAATTTGATGCTACTTCACTCAGAAACTCTCTAGCGAGGGAGGAGACATTTCATTTAATTTTTATTCTACGAACACTCGAAATTTAGAGAAACGGGTTAATAAAGTAAACGTCTAAAATAACTGGTTATCGATAACCTTCTTTTATCAATATGTCACCCAGCAAGGATGTGGCATACTCATATACCTGCAAACACTGCACATTCTGAATCACATTCTGAACCGATAATGCTTGGTGTGTGTGTGTGGGGGGGGGTGTGTGTGTATGATGACAGCATAGACAATGATGTTTCTCACTTTATTTCACTTTAAATACAGTTCCAATTATCCATTTTAATTCTGTAGGTTTTCTTGGGTTTATTTGTTTGTTTGTTTTTGTAGAGACAGAGTCTCGTTCTGTCGACCAGTCTGGAGTGCAGTGGTGTGATCTTGCCTCACTGCAAGCTCAACCTCCCGGGTTCAAGCAATTCTCCTGCCTCAGCCTCCCAAATAGCTGGAACAACAGGTGTATGCCGCCACACCCATCTTTTGTATTTTAGTAGAGACAGGGTTTCACTATGTTGCCCAGACTGGTCGCGAACTCCTGAGCTCAGGCAATCTGCCCACCTTGGCCTCTCAAAGTGCTAGGATTACAAGTGTGAGGCACCGCGCCTAGCCCCTGGATTTATTTTTTGGAAGAAAAGCTGAAGTCTATGCTGGTCTACCTTATTGTCAGGAACCAGAACCCTATGCTCTCTTACTGAAACTTATCACTTCTCTCTGTCACATTATAGCACCTTCATACTTATTAATATATTATTCCATCAACTTCGAGTAATTTGAGATGGGATTGGGATCTTAAATCATTTGGCAAGTATACCAGGTTTATCCAATCTCTCCAGATTTACCTCCAGAAGAATTATCAATTTTACCCACACAAAGAAAGCATAAGAATTTGTTTTCAGTCAATTATAGCAAATGATAAAGTTTGGGAGACAATGTGAAACTGACATTTGCAGAACATAATTTGTTGAAAATAAGTGGATAACTTGGAAGTTAAGAAATAATTTTAAAGATGATTTCATTCATCGAGGATGAAAAGTACAGGACTTGCTTTAAGGCCATGTCAGTGAGAATAGAAAAGTAAGAAACTGTGTGTATGTCATGGCTTAAAGTTAGAAATTATAGGTCTTAAAAACTGATTTTGACATATGAAGTAGAATAATTCAAATAAAATTAGGCAGGATGAATGCAATTCCCATTTACTGAATGACATACAGGATGGGAAACAAAGTTTCAGGAACTACATTGAGCATAATTTCATTTGCTGTCCATTACAGATTCAAATTAGATGGCATTCACAAAATTATGGAGATAATTGCTCCTTGCTTTTATTGCTGATAATTCCCTTCTGTATTGAGTTGAAGCTCATCACGAAGGGCAGTTTTGTGAATATTTTAGGATCACAGGATCTTTCTCTATATTTTTACATTTTGGCAAATAAGGAAAACAACCACATTTTCTGACACACTCCTCAGTGAGTTACTTACTCCAAGAGTAAGTATTTACAGATAAAGATTGTTATTTATTAACTATTTCTATTAAAATTCAATAACAATAATAACTATTCAATAACAATCTGTAAATTGTTATTTACAGATAAGAATTTTTCACTAACTGCTGACCCAAATATCAATCTTGGAGTATTGGGAGAAAAAAAATCAAGATTTGGAAATACGTTAAGATTCGAGTCTCTGATTCTCTGTTTATTTGCTATGTTCTCAGAAAATCTGGTCTCAATCTCTTAACCTCAAGAGATGTAAATACATGTGAAAATAATTCTATCTTTATACTGCTAGTTGATACCTTTATTATTTAAACTAATATATATTGATTATACAAGATTTTGAGAACAAGTTTTTTTTTCCTCCAAAGTTGATGTGGATGGTCTGCCTCTGTGGGCTTCATCTTCAACAGGGTTTTGTCCCTTCCTGAAACAGGTTATCCATTTTTAAAGTACTGATTTCTTTAGGGAATTATCCCCATAAACTTTTCTGTAAAGCATCAGTGATTTCACCATTCTTTCACCCAAGCTTCAGCATAAATTTGATGTTTGTTCTTGTTTCGATTTTAGCAGAATTCATGTTGCTTTGATAGGGGCTCTTTTCAAACTGTTGATTTATACTTTTCAGTGCCTCAAACCAGATCTTGTTCAGACTTGTTTTTAAAAGCTAGTATGAATTTATTTTGGTGAAAATTGTTTTTGAAAACCATGCATAGTTTTTCATAATAAACATTTTCATGAATTTTTTGAAGTCCCTCATATATGTTGTGCTAATCACAACAATAATTACTGATATGCAAACAGGAAAGATCTTGCTCTGAAGGGACTTAAAAGGAGAATATAGATAATTGAAATTTATAAACTAGTATAATATATTCTAAAATAGAGGTCAGTATAATAATACAGGAAAGACCACAAATCAGATTGGAAGACATGATGCCTCACTTGGTATATCAATTATGAGTAGTATTAGATATCAAGCATACAACTAGCCTCTAAGCAAAACATCCAGTTCATTCTAGGGCAGAGTCATGAGAGAACATGAGCAATGTATCAGTGCACCAAATTGGGTTGTTATGCTGAATAATGATCTTCTCATTATAGTAAGTTACAACAAAAATTTATTTCTTAGTAATATTTATTATCACTGTGGCTCAGCTACTGCTCGGGGACCAAGACAGATGGAACAACTTTGTGGTAGAGGAAAAAGACATATGGCAGACTCAAGAATGAACTTCTACATAGCTTTGCTGAAAAGTGATGTATATTACATCTATATATTTTTCAGTGTTCAAAGGAAATCACAGGCTAAATCTGATTTCACTGAAACAGGGCAGTACAATTCTACAGCAGAAGTGTTCTTGGTAGACAGGGGAAACAAATAGTTTGAATAATAACAGAGACCCCAGATTGTTTGGTAGTTGAATATAAAATTTAGTAGGCTTCAAACACTATCCATTTGGTAAGTTGTAGATGTATTTGGAAAAGTTGACATGTGCCAGACTGTGAATGGCTTTGCATGACACACAAAAACTCAATTAAAGGATTGTGCGTATGATCCGATTTTATTAAAAAACTTCAATCTGGCAAAGAGAGAAGTACCCTTCTCTGGGAAGTAAAACTAAAGCCAAGGAGCTGTGTTAGGAAATACTTCAGTAATTAATGCAATTTTTAAAGGTTGAATTTTGGAATAAAATCATATAAGACACATTAGAGGAGGAATACAAAAATGATAGTTTGGAAAAATAATTAGGAGATTGAATTAATAAAAATTGTGCTCAATTTGAGAGCAGATACCAAGAAGACACTCTTTCCTTTTATATATTTGACTTGGGCAATTCTGGTGAGTGGTCGTTATCCACCATCAAGATACAGAAACCGGGACAGGTGAAATATTTAAACAGAAGTAGGGTAAGATAAGCACTTCCATTAATAACAGATTAAGTGTAATCTAATAAAGGCTGTTCAGAGACTGTTAGACACATGTGTCAAATCATACTTCTAATGTAGAGAAAGGGCTGTACTGTAACAATACAGTAAGGGCTGCCAATGTGTATGTTTAATTTATGCTGCAAATCTGATGAGCTCATTTATGAAGAAGGGGATTATATTAAAAAATAAGTAACTCTGCTAGGGACAAAATCCTTGAGATTATAGATGTGGGATATCTGAATGGACATAATAAACATAATAAAAGGGCAGAAGGTTAGAAAAATGAAAGCTACTGAAAGGCAGAAGAAAGCAAAAGAAATAGCCTTATAAAATAGGAGTGGTCAGAAATGTATCTCTCTCTCTCTCTCTCTCTCTCTCTCTATATATATATATATATATATATTTTTTTTTTTTTTTTTTGAGACAGAGTCTCACTCTCTCACCTAGTCTGGAGTGCAGTGGTGCCATCTCAACTCACTGCAACCTTTGCTTCCCAAGTTCAAGAGATTCTCCTGCCTCAGCCTCCTGAGCCGCTGGAATTACAGGCGTGTGCCACCACACCCCACTCATTTTTGTATTTTTAGTAGGGACGGGGTTTCACCATGTTGACTAGGCTGGTCTCAAACTCCTGATCTCCAGTGATTCACCTGCCTTGCCCTCCCAAAGTGCTGGGATTACAGGCATGAGCCACTGCGCCCAGCCAGAAATGTCAAATGCTTCCTAAAGAATAGGAAAATAAGGAGTCAAATTGTTACTAGATTGGGCAATTAGTTATTCATGAGTGAATTTTGATTAATACATTTGGATGAATTCATTTTATGAGCCCCTTTGCTTCAAACACATGGTAATTATACACAAAATACACTTATTGTTAAAAAAGAAGAAAAAAATTGAATTTGGTAAAAGGCAAGATCAAAGGTTTGCAGAACAGAAATGAAATAGAAATTCAGAGAACTGAACATATATAGGATGTCTCAAAAGATCAATGAAAATTAAGCGGTAAATGCTGAAAATTCACAATAAAACAGGTATTGAGGTTTGACCATTCAAATTTATTCTAAATTTTTAGCTTTGTGAACTTTCTATAATTAACATCTAATTTTATTTTTATCAATAGGAAGTACTAAAATAAATTTTTAGTTCTCTACTTTTGTTTTAATCATCATAAAAATCATCATAAAAACAAAAGTAGATAAAGGACAGGGATTCCAGATAAATTTGAATTTCATATAAATAATAACTTTTTTATTATAATCATGCCCCATGCAATATTTAGGACATGCTTACAGGGAAAAAGTATTGTTACGTGAAATTTAAATTTATCCGAACATCTTATATTGCTACTTGCTAAATCCATCAACCGTTAAGGAGGGGTCTTAAAGAACATTTTTTAAATTCAAAATTCACGAAACTAAATGATTGGAAAATAAATTTCAAATAATTATATATTTTTTTAAAAAGCTATAGCATCTATGCTATTGAAGTGCATAAACTACTTAAAACTGCTTAAAGACATATGGGACATTTTATAGACTCTTTAGTAAATGGTGCTGTGGCAATTAACCGTATCCCAGATCTGGGACACGTCTGTGGTGCTGTCCGTGGACAACGGCCGCACCTCAGCCCTGCTGCGCTTGGCAATCTCGTCGGACTGCGCCTTGACCTTTGCAATGATGCTGTCCAAGCACAGCAGGGCTGAGGCTGAGAGCATGTACCAGATCAAGTATGAGGAGCTGCAGACACTGGCTGGGAAGCACGGGGATGACCTGCAGCTCACAAAGACTGAGATCTCCAAGATGAATCGGAACATCAGCCAGCTCCAGGCTGAGACTGAGGGCCTCAAATGCCAGAGGGCTTCCCTGGAGGCCTCCATCACAGTTGCCGAGCAGCGCAGGGAGCTAGCTGTTAAAGATGCCAAGGCCAAGCTGTCCGAGCTGGTGGCTGCCCTACAGCGGGCCAAGCAGGACTTGGAGCAGCAGCTGCGGGCGAGTACCAGGAGCTGATGAACATCAAGCTGGCCCTGGACATCGAGATCGCCACCTACAGGAAGCTGCTGGAGGGCGAGGAGAGCCTGCTGGAGTCTGGATTGCAGAACAGGAGTATCCATGGGAAGACCACTAGCGGCTATGCAGATGCCCTGATCTCAGCCTATGGGGACCTCACAACTCCCGGCCTCAGCTACGCCCGGGCTCCAGCTTTGGCTCTGGCTGGGCTCCAGCTCCTTCAGCTGCACCAGCTCCACCAGGGCCTTGGTTGTGAAGATGGAGACCCGCGATGGGAAGCTAGTGTCCGAGTCCTCTGACGTCCTGCTCCAAGTGAACAACCATAGCAGACCCTCTCAGCATACCCCTCCTGCGGCTGCCCCAGAGCCCCTGAGGGAGGCCACTGCGCAGGGGAGCACAGGGAACAGGAGACCCACCTGAGGCTCAGCTCTTGCCCTCAGCCCACTGGCGGGGGAGTTTACTGCCTGAGGTAGCCCCCTTGCCCATGCCTCCAGCTACAAAAGAATTCAATTTTTTTTTTCCCAACACAAACCTCAGCTACCTGTGCCAAAAAAAAAAAAAAAAAAAAAGGAATGACACAAAGAGTAAAACAGAAAAATATATTCTAGTACTACAGAAACAATACAGTAGTGAAAATGAATGTATGAGAAAGATGTGAGTCATAATGTGCATTAGAGTTTATCCTTGGATAATGAGCAAGGAAAAATAGATTGCAAACTATTTTAGAAAATATAATAGTATTTATATAAAGTATATTTTATGGACACTTACATGATTAGTAATATAAAACATTCATAGAATGGAAGGTGGCATATTTGGGAGAATGTTTATTATTTTGGGGAGATAAAGGGTGGATAAAGAAGATATTTACATTTATCTATTGATTGCATTTAAAATATTATTAAACATTATAAAATGCTAATATTTAAGAGGTAGCTAAAAGTAGATGCTAATGCTGTAGAAGTAGATGATAGTGTTCAAATTCTAGTTCTGCCACTTGCTAGCTGTGTGGCCTTAGAAAAGTTATGGATCCTCTCAGTGACTATTTTATCATTTGTAAAGGGGAACAGAAATAGTACATACCTCATAGGGTTGATTGCACTCTTTATCAAAAGAGTACATGAGTTAAAACTTTTAAAGTGCTTGGAATATAGCAAGACTATGTTGGTATTTGAGAAATAAGGTAAAATCAATAAACAGTAGTATGCATTTATGTTGTTAATTAAATAATTCTTTATAGAAATATTTTAGGTGATTAACATAGTGGCACTTTTAAAGCAGTGTTGTGGCCAAGAACAATCTAATAAACAAAAGAAAAGCAAGTGTACTTCCTTTCAAGAATCTTGGCTATATAAAGAAGACATGGGTGGTAAATTAGGATCTGTGGCCATGGGAGGACTCTTGCTTCAATGCAGAGGCAGAAGACCTAGGAGAGGGGCAGAGTGAACAATTCTAGAGATAAGGAAGGATTTAGAGACTAAGGCTTTTCCCTAAAATTTGGGAGTTGTTTTAATCCTGGGTCACATGAAAACCTCATTTTTGGCAAAAACTAGTGGCACTTCTCAGGCAAGAACCAAAAGAAAATTTTAAAAGTTACTAAATCTGGAATATGAAGTTGACAGAATTTATATCTGAGGGCCTGTTTCTTTGGTAAGTATGATGTGTGATTAAATTCTGAAGTTCTTGAGGACAGTTGTCAAAATTTGGTTTAAACATTGAAAGTGTAATAAATTATGGTCAACTTGATAGTAATACTGTAATGCCTAAGATTCCTGCCGCCAGGGAGTGATAGAGACACGGACTGAGAGAGAGAAAAAAAGCTGTAGGCTTTATTGAGCAGAGTGAAAGTACAAAGCCTTCACTCTGGAAGGGGTCCCGAATGGGTAGCCAGAGTTAGATTATACGACTGTCTTTTAAACTCTTTAAGTCAGGAAATACGTTCAGCGGGAAGATGTTACCAGAGCAAGGAACAAAGGCAGCAAATATTATTTTGTGACATGTCTTAGATTTTGAGGAAAACCAGAATTGCAACTTAGGTTTCATCTACTTTATGACCTTGCAGCGGCATGGCAAAGGATACAGGATCTCACAGGACTTTACAAAGTATGTTTACAAGGAATTGGAATTGGGAGTATAGATAAAGTCTGCTGGTCACAGAAAAATGGGCAGTTAACATACCTTTTAGTTTCGGGGGAGGGGGAAGGGAGAGAGGACACAGGGAAACTTACAGCAAAATTTTCACTGTTGATAGCTTTCTTGGGGAAGAAAACACATGCACAAATCCTGGTGTTAGGAATATTTTAAGCATATATTTTCAACATTATTCATCCAGGACTGAAGTAAGTCCTGATGCAGGAAATGAGTGAGTTTCCCCTACTCGACTCGGGAAACCCAGCTGGCACCTGTCAGTCCCCCCTCTAAACAGGACACCCCAACTGCTGTTGGGAACTGAGCGGCAGTTGGTCTGGCTACTTCCTGCTGCTTAGGAGCAAAGAAAGCGCCCTGCAGTTGTGGTGTCCTCCAGAGGGGAAATTTTTAGGCCAGTCGAAGGACCAGCAGGTTGAGACAGGGGTCCTCCGTAGAAGCCGTGAGTTGAGCTTATTTGAGGTTCCATTTGTAAGACCATTTGTAGCTTGATGGCCTCGATCATGGAGGAAACCAATTTGACAAGGAGGTTAAAAATGAAAGGCCCAAAGGCGAGTAATAGTAGGATGGCTGTCACAGGTATGCATTGGTTAAACATATTTCACGGTCCTGAGTGTTCAAGCTCCTTTTTCCTACTTTCTATCCGTTCTCTTATTTCTTTGACCTTTTCAGTAATGATTCTTGACTGGTTAATGAAATAGCAACATTCTTCTCTTATGAAGAGGCAGGTTCCTCCTCTTTCAGCTGTTAATATGTCTAGGGCTCTTCAGTTTTGGAGGACTACCACAGCTAGAGAATTAAGCTGGGCTTGTAGGGTCACTAGGGAGTTGGCAACTCATTCCATGTCATCATTTAATTCCTGTGATAATTTATAATATAATTGGGTGGAGGAGGTTATACCTCCAATTTCAGTCCCAAGCCTGTGCAATATTTCGGCTCCTACAATAAAAGGTACAATAAGGAAGGGCTCATGTGTGGTGGGATTGGGGTATAAGAAGACTTTGTAACTCTTTTTCAGTACATATGGACATGGGAGGTGCTAGAAAGGAGAGAAAGCATAATTCTTTTGGAGTGCCATTTAGGCATCAATAGGCTGTTTTATCATAGATGAAAAAGATGCCTGAAGTTAGACAGGTGAAACCTGAGGTTACTGATATCTAGGACTGACATCGGGAGGTGTTCTTATTGAGAGTCATGCTGAAGTTTATACATGTGAGATTTGAGGCCTTTGTGGCTGGTAAATTGGTGACTATGGGACCGATTGATTTGGTGGTGTTTAGGACTGGGGTGGATAAGTTCCACTGTCCAGGGACAGGGACTGGGACATATGGTTGAAAAAGAAAGGGGGACACATCCAACAGTTGGTTGGATTACTAGGAGAGGCCTCTTGCATTCCTGTAAGGGTGGTGTTTAACAGGCTCCAGAGACGAGAATGAGACTTAAGGGTTTCTTGTAGCCTGGAAAGGTCAAATTGCTTGTATGGACTGGGAGTACTAGAGAGCTAGACTAAGTTTTTAATCACTTGGATTAAAAGTGATTGGATATGCCCTTCTTTAGCCTCATCTTGGACGCCTCCTCCATCAGACGTACCTATATGTGTATAATATGTCCAGCAAGCATTGGCTCCCCATTTCTCAGGGCAGTCAGCTTGGATCATTTTTCCTTGGTGATATGTATGGCCATTGTGAGAGCAGAGAGAAGCAGTTTTATAACACCCTGCTGCTTATTTTTCAGTAGAATTTAAGGTCTGATCAAGAAGTAACATGATCTCTCTCCATGTTAGATCAAAGGACTGCCCCAATCTTTGCAGAATATCTATATGGTTATCAGGATCATCCGAGAATTTCCTTAAATCTGCCTTTATTTGTTTTAAACCTGAGAGTGAAAAGGGGGCATGCCCGTAAGCGGGCCCAAATTCTCCTCCTACTGCTTGTGAGGGACATAGTTTCGGTGCCTGGCTCGCGGAGTTTACATTCTCTTTCTGGTGTGCCTTTAATACTTTGGTGGGGCTGGATGGAGGAGAGTCACTGGGGGAGGAGAGTGGGGCTGAGGGAAGAGGCCCTGAGTATGGAGGCAATTGTGAGCCTCTGTCATTTGGGCAAAGCTTGCAGACTTGGCACAGGGCAGTATTGTCACGAAGGGCAAAGAAAGCCTGTACATAAGGGACTTCACTCCATTTACCTTCCTGTTTACAGAAAATATCTAGTTGTAGAATGTTGTTATAATTAATACTTCCCTCAGGGGTCCAAGTTTCTCCATTTTGTAAGGAATACTTTGGCCAGGCAGTGGTACAGAAGAAAATCAGCCGCTTCTTTTTTAAGGTCTCAGGGTCGAATTTGTTCTAGTTATTTAGGATACATCTTAAGGGAGTGTCCGGTTTTGAAAGTGTGGTACCCATCTGGAATTTTAAACACAGAGATGCCTGCACCCCTGGTTAGTTCTGGGACTCGTCTTCCCTTAGGGCATCCCCTAAGGGTCAGGTCCAATTGTCCTCAAAGCTCATGGCTGCTTTTCCTGAGCTCTCCATCTACCGGATTTAACCTTGCTTACCGGCAAGATGGAAACTTCCTTTGCCCCTGCTGTGCACCCATTGACCACTAAATGGGGCACAAAGAATGTTGGATTTATTGTGGTCCTTCTGCCAATGTGTCCTACCTGTTCCAGGGTGGCAAGGCCTGGGTTGGGGGCACCATTGATGCTTACATGCGAAGGCCCAATTTATGTGGGACTGGCCATAAAACTGTCCTTCAAGGATAAATCTCTGAATTAGCAACAGGAGGCTTAGTAAGCTTAAAGGGGGTGGTGGATGTCCTCTAGGCCAGGGCCGAGAACAGCTGCTGTACTTTAGCCTTCTGTTCCCACTTGCCATTAAAGGAGTAAGCCCCCCTCTCAAGGTGATACCAGTATCCTGTGTCCCAACTGACTATATTTTCTTCCATCCAATACCAATTATTGAATGGTTGAAAAAACAATTCAACTGCTCTAAGACCTACCTGTGCCTGTGCACCACAGATTGTTCTTGAGAGGCCCCAAGGAAGGCAAAAGTCTATCTGGGGAGCAATGGAGGAAATGTCCTAAGGCTTCTACTATCCACATGAAAATTACAGACCTGTCTTTAAATTTTCCTGGTGTGGGGGACCATCACTGTGGTGGGGAACTGGCCCTTTAAAATAGCCATCAAATGGCGACACCTGCCTAAACCCTGGCGGGCACCACGAACGGGGATCTTCTGGGTGCCACCACTAGAATTTAAGACTTCTAAATAGGGAACCTTGATCCTGCAGAACGGGAATAACCTTGCTTAGGAGATGAGGAAAGAAGTTTAATCGGCGGACATTAGGACCCAGGAGGCAGGAGTCAGAAGATGTGGCTGTCTCCTGCTCACTAACCCCCGCAGGGGGAGCCTGTGGCAGGGCCATGGTCTCAATCAGGATATCTGGGAGACCAAGACATCCGCTGAGCATTCCCAGGTGTACTTCGGGACCACCACGGAAAGCGAAAGAGTTAGAAGGGGTTCCAAGCAAACCAATGCTCCCAACTCCGAAGGGTTGGAAGTTGTTAGAGAGCCCTTTCCCAGAGAGGCTGATACCAGTGTTTTTAGTCCCACGGTCATGCTAATTGTCTTTAAGTGGCTGACAGGTGCCCGGTGTTTAGCCTCCAAATTCCAAGGAAGGACAGGACACAATAGCAAGTGAAAGAGGTCCGATTGTACTCACCACGTGATGACCTAGATGTCTTTCCTGGAGACTCCTGGCTGGCTCGCCAAGATGTAACGCCTAAGGTTCTTGCCTAGCCATGCCAAAGAATTGATGCGGTGGTGCGGCAGCTGACCGCGGCGAGTGATAGAGACACAGACCAAAAGAGAAAAAGCTGTAGGCTTTATTGAGCAGAGTGAAAGTAAAAAGGTCCCACAGTGTGGAAGGGGTCCCGAAAAGGTAGCCAGAGTTAGATTATATGATTGCCTTTTAAACTCTTTTAAGTCACGAAATACGTGCAGCGGGAAGATGATACCAGAGCGAGAAACAAAGGCAGCAAATTATTTTGTGACATGTCTTAGATTTTGAGGAAAACCAGAATTGCAACTTAGGTTTCATTTACTTCATGACCTTGCAGCGGCATGGCAAAGGAGACAGGATCTCACAGGACGTTACAAAGTATGTTTACAAGAAATTGGAATTGGGAGTATAGGTAAGGTCCACTGGTCACAGAAAAATGGGCAGTTAACATTCCTTTTAGTTTCGGGGGAGGGGGAAAGGAGAGAGGGAGAGAGGACTCAGGAAAACTTAACATTTTCACTGTGTATAGCTTTCTTGGGGAAGAAAACACATGCACAAATCCTGGTGTTAGTGTGTCCAGAATTGGTGGGTTCTTGGTCTCACTGACTTCAAGAATGAAGCCATGGACCCTCGCGGTGAGTGTTACATTTTTTTTTTTTTTGAGATGGAGTCTCGACCTGTCACCCGGGCTGGAGTGCAGTGGCGCAATCTTGGCTCACTGCAAGCTCCGCCTCCCGGGTTCACGCCATTCTCCTGCCTCAGCCTCCCGAGTAGTGGGGACTACAGGCGCCCGCCACTACGCCTGGCTAATTTTTGTATTTTTAGTAGAGATGGGGTTTCACCGTGTTAGCTAGGATGGTCTCGATCTCCTGACCTCGTGATCCGCCTCCCTCAGCCTCCCAAAGTGCTGGGATTACAGGCTTCAGCCACCGCGCCTGGCTGAGTGTTACAGTTCTTAAAGATGATGTGTCCGGAGTTTTTTCCTTCTGGTGGGTTTGTTGTCTCACTGGCTTCAAGAATGAAGCTGCAGACCTTCGTGGTGAGTGTTGCAGCTCTTAAAGGTGGCACATCTGGAGTTGTTCGTCCCTCCCAGTGGGTTCTTGGTCTTGCTGGCTTCAGGAGCGAAGCCGCAGACCTTTGTGGTGAGTGTTACAGCTTATAAAGGCAACGTGGACCCAAAGAGTGAACAGCAGCAAGATTTATTGCAAAGAGTGAAAGAACAAAACTTCCACGGCATGAAAGGAGACCCAAGGAGGTTGCCATTGCTGACTGGGGCAGCCTGCTTTTCTTCCCTTATCTGGCGCCACCCACATCCTGCTGATTGGTCCATTTTACAGAGAGCTGATTGGTCTGTTTTACAGAGAGCTGATTGGTCCATTTTGACAGGGTGCTGATTGGTGCATTTACAATCCCTGAGCTAGACACAAAAGTTCTCCAAGTCCCCACTAGATTAGATAGACACAGAGCACTCACTGATTGGTGCATTTACAAACCTTGAGCTAGACACAGGGTGCTGATTGGTGTTTACAAACCTTGAGCTAGACACAGAGTGATGGTTGGTGCATCCACAAACCCCAAGCTAGGCACAGAGTGCTGATTGGTGCATTTACAATCCTCCAGCTAGACATAAAAGTTCTCCAAGTCCCCACCAGATTAGCTAGATACAGAGTGCTGATTGGTGCATCCACAAACCCCAAGCTAGACACAGAGTGCTGATTGGTGCATTTACAATCCTCCAGCTAGACATAAAAGTTCTCCAAGTCCCCACTCAACTGAGAAGCCCAGCTGGCTTTGCATAGTGGATCCTGCGCCATGGCCCAGGCGGAGCTGCCTGCCAGTCCTGCGCCATGTGCTTGCACTCCTCAACCCTAGGGCGGTCAATGGGACTGGACGCAATGTAGCAGGGGGTAGCCGCTGCATGAGCCCACAGTGGGGTGGGGAGGCGGGGCTTGGGCGGGGAGGCGGGGCTTGGGCATAGCCGGCTGCTGGTCCCAGGACCTGCCCTGTGGGGAGGCGGCTGAGGCCTGCCTACAATTCAAAGGCGGCGTGGGTGGGCGGACAGTGCTGGGGGACCTGGCGCACCCTCCGCAGCTGCTGGCCCGGGTGCTAAGCCCCTCACTACCCAGGGCTGGTGGCGCCTGACGGCAGCTCCGACTGTGGGGCCCGCCAAGCCTGCGCCCACCCAGAACTCGCGCTGGCCCGCGAGCACCGTGGGGCAGCCCCGGTTCCCACGCGCGCCTCTCCCTCCACAGCTCCCTGCAAGCAGAGGGAGCCAGTTCCGGCCTCGGCCAGCACAGAGAGCAGCTCCCACAGTGCAGCGGTGGGCTGAAGTGCAGCCACACTGCAGCACAGTGCAGCCACGCTCCTCAAGCGTGGCTAGAGCGGATGCCCAGGCTGAAGAGGCGCTGAGAGCGAGCGAGGGCCGCCAGCACGTTGTCGCCTCTCATTAGGAATGTTTTAAGCATATATCTTCAATATTATTCATCCAAGATGGAAGTAAGTCCTGATGCAGGAAATAAGTGAGTTTCACAGCTTTCTGAGCCCCTACTCGACAGGGGAAGCCCAGCTGGCACCTCCTCTCAATACCTCAGAAGTACTCTTTGGTAATTATTTTCTAGCAGAATGGCAGAACCTAGCATTGTGGAGTAGACAGTAAAGTGCAACGGGTGAAACTATCTCTGTGTATTTGTTTTACTGAGAAGTAATATAGGGAACTAACTAGACTTGGGGCTCTGAAATAGAAACCCAGGCTTCCAGTTTAGATTCAATTCTTGGTCAAGGACTTTAATCTCTCTGTATTTCAGATACAATATCAATAAATTAGGCACAATAATAGAATGTACATCATGAAGTTTTGTGAAAATTAAAAGTGTTACAGGAGCTAGAAGTAACTGAAACATAGTCAAGCATGTAACAAAGGTTATCTACCATAATTACTTCTACCATTACTATTCATTGTTATGATCAAATTTTGTATCTACACCTTAAGATGTTTCTTTTTTATCATCTAAGATTTGTTTTAGTTCGAGTTCAGAGTAGCAAGCACAGAAAAAATATGGCCACCTAAATATAAAATATCTATATATGGATAAATCATACTGACTTCACAGTTAGTGGTTTCCTTGGAGAATGAGCAAGGTTGAGGGGATAGAAAGTAGTTCAGATGTAACTGTACAACTTCATATTCTGTCATATTTTTTAAAGTCTGAAAATATTGTGAGTATTTTAAAAAATATTTAATAGTCATCTTTTCCAGCATTTCGTATTTGGTAAGCATTGTGTATTTTGCATGCATTTGCTCATATTCTTTATATCATACTCATAGTTTATATATAATCGTATTGTTTCTATCCAGTATTTAATAGGAACACTTTTTTTAAAGTAAGTGATGAAAGAAAAATTTTTAAAAAGTTTAGATGTTCTTTTTAGGAATATTTTTTGCAAAAACTGCAAGACACTGCACGTAGTGACACTTTGAACCATAGCAAAGTGCTTAGCTACCTTTGTGGATAATGAGAACAGGTAATGGCAGAGGTACAGCCTGCTGCTTTTCCTAAGGTTGTAATCATAGTCAAAGAATAGAATCGAGAACTAGTTAAGGGTTGATAAACCTAGATTATTGGAGACTATTTGTTTTACAATTTCACAGTGAAGGAGTGCTAACTTCATCTGAATTAAGAAAAACACCATTCTTTGACAGAAATTATAATAGTAATTTTTGCTGAATGAGGGATAATTTTATTGCTATTAACACGGCTACAACCTGAAACTGTTAGATCTACTAAAGTTTTTGCTAATGCCTCTTTTAGAAACAGTACAAAATATATGTTTAGTACAAAGATACAGACATATCTTTGTTATGTCAACTTGCATATCTGATTTACTTAAAATATTTTATTGCAATATATAATTTTTACAATCTTATTTTGATTACCCATTTTCTTTTGGTGGCCTTTACAAATATTTATTAACTTACAATCATAACTGGAATGTATTGAGTCTATCCAATGTGCTAGTAGCTCTTCTAGTCCTTTATACACCTCACCACTAATTCTCACAACAAGCATTCAGGTGTTTATTAAAAAAAAAAATTGTAGAGATGGGCATCTCGTTATGTTGCCTAAGCTGGTCTTGAACTCCTGACCTCAAGCAATCCTCCCATCTTCACTTTCTAAAGCACTGGGAGTACAGGTGTGAGCCACCATGCCTGGCTTCAGTTGTTTCTTATTTTATTTTATTGTTTACCCTACGTTTCAAGTGGAAGAAAATGCAGTCTTGGCTAGCAAATTACCATTAGGCAGAAGAAACATATTTCAATTTCAGATATGTGTATTTCAAATTTAATACTTTTTTCCTCTACTTTACTGGCAGATACTTTTCACTTTACAGAAAAACACAGATTAATGGAACTAATATAGATGATATTTAATTTATTCCAAATGTTGCATCATCTATAATCTGCACAATATCACTTTATCTAAGAATCCCATGCCAAAAGGTTCTTGGCAGTTGTGCCAAATGCTTTCAGAAATCATTTTATCATTTGTTTTCAAAACAGCACTGAAAGAATACATGGCTTTTAAAAGTATTGCACTTTTGTAAAGAAACTCAGAAACATGCTCAACTTTCCCAAGCTCAAAGAGTAGTATGTGACAGGATTTGAACTCAGAAATTTTTGTTTCAGAATCAATTACATTTCCACAAATACCAGTTTCCTAACAAAACCAAAGGTATGTTAAATGAGATTGGAATTTGGCTAATGCATTGGTATCTCATGATTGGACTCATCACCTTTTATCTTTGCTAATACGCTATCTTCTTTCCTCCCTTTACCTCTTAGATATTAAAAAGGTTATTTATATGTAATTATTTGTCTTACTTGGAAATATTGTGATTTTGTACTTTTCTTTAAAATACCTTGTAAACGATATCCAGTGTCTTTACAGCTTTCACTAAAATCTACTGCAAGCTTGACAGAAATCTTAACCTCAGTACCAGCTCCCAAAAGAAATACAACCCCGAAAGGCATACTTTCATTTGGAAAAATATTTAGAAGATTGAAGTAGAGGTTCAAGGAAGGATAATGTTACATAGAACATGACCTCTTAAGTAAAAACAGTTAATTGCAGTTTTGCTTTCTTGGCCCAAGCTTTTTTCTAAATCACCAAGGCATTATTTCTTTTCCAATTTTATTTCAACTTAGCTTTCATGCTCAGCACCTTACGCCTCTTTTACCAAGCAGTTTTTATGCTTTGTTTCCATCGAGAAACAAACCTGTAGTCCACACAAAAGATGAGAAATCTTTTTCATCAAGCAATATTATGGAAAAAAGAAACAAAAAATTAAAACTTCAGCAAAAATAATTCCCCTTAGTCTCATGTTATAAAGAGATTATCTTCTCAGTCACTAAGAAGATAACATGGTATGCATTACAATAAAATATATAATTGCAAAAATTGTCCCATAATCAGAGTGTAGATCACTTTTTAATCCCAAGCACTCTTACTTGTGACAATGTACATTAACATTTAAATGGAAATACAGTAATCGTGCAATCATACTTGACTTGAACTTTAGCTTTTCACAAATTAGTTTTCTACCATTATTTTATTCACTGAACCAATATATTTAATTGTATTTTTTTATTTATGTTAAGATTGAAATTTCTTGAATTTTAGAAGGGCAGTTTATTCTAGAATAAATGATTGTGATAAGGTAAAACAAAATTAATATGTATATGTGTAAGTATCTATATCTACATAATTTGTAAAACTTATTTTGAAATCCAGCACAGAAAAAAGTTTTAGAGCTTAACTCTGTCTTGAATTAAGAAAGTTTAGTTAGTTATTACTAAAAAGATTTACATACTTTCAAAATCCCACTGTGTCCAAATAAAGCATATTTTGAATATGAAATAATTATTTAGGGCTTTAAAAAATCACCATGTGTATGGTTTTCTACAGCGACTTATCTGAAACATTTCTTATGTAGCCAATTACTTGGATGTTATTTTATTTTCAATAAATATTCAAAATATGTAGACATTTAAATGAGTCAGTTACAATACAAAGTAGTTTTAGGATAATATCAACATTAACTTGATTTCCTTTTCATCTATTACTAACTCCAATTAATCAGCAACTACTTATTCAAGCAGCAAGTTGGGATATAAGATAGGATGTAAGAAAATCTTGGTAACCTGAAGAAGTCCAGATGGAAAAGAGGTGTATAAATAGCTCTCTCCTGAGGATTAGAGTGGAATTAGAAACTTGTCTTAGAGAATCCATGCTTAAAATACAAGCACTAAATACTTTGAAATTCCACTTAAGTCTTGTTTAAGTGTCCCTACAATTTCTGGTCTCCAAAGTTAGGCAGTAAACAGATAGAAGGACTGATTTTTGATGTCACCATCGCTAAAAACTAGGGAGACACTTTCCAGTTGCTTCAAAATAAGACTGAAAATGGAACTGTTGTGATGTTTTCAGGTTCTCCAACAACCACACATATGAACAACATTTTCAGATATACAAATTTCCAAATAATTGAATTTTTTTTAGACTTTCAGTCCTTAACTAAGTGCTCTGAAGACACGGCAGGATGGTAAATAGGGGTTCTGAGGATGGTTCTTTCCGGGGCCCAGTGGGTAACTGGTTCATTCTTATTCTATGGCATCTGGATTTTGTTGATTGTGAGGTATTTGGATTTCATCACGGGAGACCATTGGCCTCTCCACACTTCACAAGCCTCACCTTGAAGGGCTCACTTTCACATTCCATAGCTAGGTAGATAAGCCATAAAAGTGCTGTCAAGGACCGAAACCATGAAGAAGTTCCAAAAATTTACTTGCCATGAATCCATTCTCAAAAAACGATGTCCATGTCAAATGGTAAAAGTTAATGGCAAACCAAAATAAACAAATACAAGCTGAGCTATTCAAGAATAAAATTGGATTTCCCTGCTAGGTTAAAGAATCATACCCAGTTCTTTTGCTGGTTGAGGATGAAGGGAATATGGAATTGGTAGCAGAATTTATAAGTAGTAAGAATAGAAAGACTTTGTGAACAATTAAGGAAATGAGGACTAGCAAATATGCATAGCTCTTTTTGTTTCATTATGCAAATACCTGTGTTCATTAACCATTTTCCTCCGTTCTCTCTCTCCACTATTATATAAGAGGATACTAGTGGTGTGTGTATATGTGCACACATACACACACATATATTATTTTTATATATTTATTAAATCATTTGATTACCAATATCGAAGTGAGATTATGGTTGAACTAGAAGAGAAATTATGTCATCCAAAAATAAAACCGTATTATAGAGATATCTATGCAATACATCGATAAGGCAGACTATGTGCTTTTCTTTGGGAAAAAGTGAATGTGTCTTCATTTGTAAAATGGATACTTACATCTTTTTAGCCAGAAGTATGGTGCTAGTTTCCTGTGATTTAGAAGAGTAGATAAGAATGAAAACCACTCTGAGGCGCACAGTAACAGAAATTCTCTTACAATTTCAACATAACTCTCATTCCCTTCCAGGCGCTCCCCAGTATCACAGGGGCAGGAAGACTGGAAACTAAATATTCAAGGTTTTTGTGCTAGAAAATTTACAGTTCAGGACTTACCAACAAGAAGCATATGTGTAATGTGAAATGTACCAGATAAGGAGAAACTATTATACTTCCATCAGCAGCAGCCTGGGAAATGGGCTTTGGCAAGTGGTAAAAGTAAGATTTTCATCTTCCTGTGAATTTCTTTTGTGCTATAGGCAGCTGGGATCATTGGCGGCAAATTCCAGCAATTCCCCTACCTTCTGATTTCCTGAGCACTAGCAGGTGTGTCTCTAATTTTCATTCCTCCAGGACTTTCAGCAGTTTGTAAGCCTCTAATTCACTACATGAAATCCTTCCCTGCATAATTTTCCTGGGTTATTTTCTGTTTTCCTTGATAAAACTCAATAACACATAAACTTAGAAAGTGGGGGACTTAGGTTCCCAATATGGCAAGTCTGGAGAGAAAGCCAGTATTGTGCTTGAGGAAAGCTGCCTTACTGTTCTGCTCTCACCTTCTGTTCCTCATCTCATCAGGGTTTGTTTACTGGATACTGAAATACTACAGAAAATGTTTTCTTGCCATTTAGAAGCTGCTGGCCTAGTTCCCTAGTCTTCTACATTGCTCAGACCCTAACATTATATGGTGACAAAACTGACCATACATTTCAGCACTTGAATTTTCTAGTTTTTCCAGCCTAGAAGAAACGCCCAAAGCTCCACTGGTGTTTATTTTCCCTAACAGAAGCCCAGAATTCTCTGACTAGCATCAGCGAACACCCCAAGGAAAAAAATATGTTGGCAATTCTCTGCTCAGCTAAGAATGGTTCTGCTTCTCTGAAATTTTTATTTATCTAGTTCTTATACCTCCCATAGTTATCAGATACCTTAAATCCCTAGCTGTATTTTAAAATGTAGCTGGCTTTTTTACCCCCTCTGCTGCAGGACGTTGTCTCTGCCTTACAAAGTAGTTAACTTGCTATTACCAGAAATGCTAAATTGTAAATTAGGTAAATATATGTAAGACATTTCTGAATGACTTATCATCTTCCTTATGGAGAGTTAATTTAGTCTAAATTATGTGTGTGTTTTCTGTTTTCCAATTTTTTGTTATATAATCATATTTCTAATGTGATAACCATGTTGCTAAAACAGTTTCCAGCAGGATCATATATCACATGTTTAAATTTGTGTGTGTGTGTGTGTGTGTGTGTGTGTGTGTGTATAATAGCATTGGATTAATTTAATCTGCCATTGTTATTTTCTCTCTTTATTAGTTACATTATATAAATCTTTTAAAAAATTAAATATCTGTGACCATGGCTATTTGGGAATTTCAAAACAGTGAATATTTATTATAGAAGTAAGTAGTTTTCAAACTTGACCATGCATCAGAATCACCTGGAGAGATTGTCAAAGCACAGTTTGCTGAGCCTATCCTAGAGTTTTTGATCCAGTAGGTTTGTAGTAGGGGCTGAGAATTTTTAATTTTAAAGTTATCACTAGTAATAATGCTTCTGGGAACAACACTTTGAGAATCTCTAGCATACAGAAATGAAACATCTGCATGATTTTACTTTATTTTCTGCTTATGCAAACCTGAAATATGAAAAGTGTAAGCAAGGGCAGAATGGTCCCTATAGCTTACAGTTCTGCTCTATAATTTGCACTTACAAATGGCCTGTCAAGTTGGTTATATGATCAGCTATTTAAATATTGATGAGACATTTTTTTTTCTCACTGCTGTTCTCAGCTAAGCCAGCTTGGAACTATAAGCAAATCATGTTGTCAGTCAATGTGTAATGCACATTACTTTCTCTTTCTCTCCCTCACTGTATCCTCCTCCAGTAATTTCCTGTAAAACTTGCTGCTTACCTCTGACAGGAATAACGGCAGCTCAGGTCATCCATCAAACCAGCACTCTGTGTCAGCAGCTTCTTAAATGATATAAGGAGATTCTTATATGGCATAGCCATCAGAAAGACACAAAGAAGAAGTCACAGTTGTCAGCTTGGGTCATAAACCATAGGAAGTCTCAATGAGCCTTCTAGTACCTGGCCAAGGCTAGTATGAAAGAGTCAGGAGGATAGAAAGATAGCATGGCTACAAATGGCAGGTACATATGTCTTTCAGTATTCAAATGCATACAGTACAGCAATCCTCAGGGATCATTCACATGTAGAAAACACATTTTGATATTACAAATATTCATTAAGGCATAAAATATTTTATTTGAATAAAAGTAATAAAGATATCATTGTTTATCATCCATTGCTCAGGTACATATGAGCCTTCCTATAAAACAGCATTTGCTTTGACTTTAACAACTCTATGTATTTGGTAAATTTCACTGGTCAAGAAATTTTATGTAATTGTAATTTAATAATTTAAAGAGAATAAGATTTCTATCTTGTATTTTCTTCTTCCTTTTTACTGTATTTTTAAAAGTTTTGCCATCATTTCTAGCCAGTGAGAAAAAAAAATCCTTTGAGATTCTTATGATAAATTCCATGGAAAACATTTTTGCCAGTGTTTTGCAAACAAAGGGACCAGGTTTTTTTTAAAAAGGTGGATATATAACACTAACATAAAATTTAAAAAAAATCAGAAAAGCTCCCAATGTCAAAAATAGTGTTGAAAAGATAAGAGTTATTAAAGTTGAAGAGAGTAAAACACTTAGATTTCAAATATAATTTTAATATAAAAATAGGTCCCTTATGGGATTATCCATATTATTGTAAATAATTAAATACCGATTGAACCTCTTTGTCTTTTAACCCTTCTCTCATATTTTAAATTTCTTTTCCAAGTTAATACCGTCTGTAAGACTATCTGAACACATTTTCTTTTCTCTCTTTTTTTTTTTTTTGTTTTTTTTTTTGAGATGGAGTTTTGCTCTTGCTGCCCAGGCTGGAGTGCAGTGGTGCAACGGCACGATCTCAGCTCATTGCAATCTCTGCCTCCCGGTTTCATGTGATTCTCTTGCCTCAGCTTCCCAAGTAGCTCGGATTACAGGCACCCACCACCACACCCAGCTAATTTTTTGTATTTTTAGTAGAGACGGGGTTTCACCATGTTGGCCAGGCTGGTCTCAAACTCCTGACCTCAGGTGATCCACCTGGCTCAGCCTCCCAAAGTGCTGGGATTACAGGCGTGAGCCACTGCACCCGGTCTATCTGAACATATTTTCAAGGTTTCCAATATCTTATTTTGGTGGTGGTGATGGTGATCATAGTTTTAATCTCCAGGAGTTGTTTCACATTTTTTATGCCTTCTTATGGCATCATTTTGATTATTT
Organism: Homo sapiens; assembly: GCF_000001405.40. NCBI lineage: Eukaryota > Metazoa > Chordata > Mammalia > Primates > Hominidae > Homo > Homo sapiens. Next base: position 43,524,416 of record NC_000014.9, on the reverse strand, counting down.
TAAATATGTAGTTCTCAGATCTGTTTGAGTATATTTACTAGGGGTTTTTATTTGTATTGCTTTCTCTTCATTTCTTAAAATGCTTATTAACTCACTGATGTTCTTTATTACATTTTGAGAGTCTGTTCCTTGAATGTTTGTACTTACACATATCTAACAACCATCGTTGTTGTTTATATCTAAGAAAGAAAAAAATGAATAATTATCTGAGTTTCCTGAGCTTTATGACCAATAGCATTGTTTCTCAATATATTTTTTCAATGGATGGGTATATCAGAGCAATAAGCTAAATTATGCTGTAGTAACCAACCACCGCTTCATTTTGGTGAATTGACATAAAGATTCATTACTTGCTCACACTAAACTTCCTCCTGAGGTTTGGTTCTGTGCTGCATTTTGAATTGCCTTCACTTTGGAACTTATCATGGGGCAGCAGTTACTATATGGATTTTTATTGATCACTGTGTATAGAGAAAAAGAACATCAGGGACTCTTCTGGCAACAGTTAATTGCTCCAGTCTGGAAATGTTGCACAACTCATTGTCTGGAATTAGTTGCAAGGCAACATTCAATCACAAGAAGGAGACAAATTGCCATTCTATCAAGTGTCCCTTGAAAGTCCGAGATTTAAGAAAGAGATTTATAATAATGATTAATGACTATCATAGAATGGAATATGGAAGCTCAGCTCTGTGCATGATAGGATGTGGGTGTTCAATCCCAGCCTTCCATTTGTAATACCTTAGTTGAGAGGCTTCTGTAAGGAAGTGGATTTTCCAAGTGCCAGAATAACAAAGATTTTCACCTAAAAAAACAAAATCCACACTAGATCCTCAGCTTTTTCCAGATTCTATAATCAATTGTGTTAAAGAAAAATAGTCCATTTTGGCCGAGCTTGGTGGCTTACGCCTGTAATCCCAGCACTTTGGGAGGCCGAGGAGGGCGGATCACGAGTCAGGAGATCGAGACCATCCTGGCTAACACAGTGAAATCCTGTCCCTACTAAAAATACAAAAAATTAGGCGGGCGTGGTGGCGGGCGCGTATAGTCCCAGCTACTCGGGAGGCTGAGGCAGGAGAATGGCATGAACCCGGGAGGCGGTGCTTGCAGTGAGCTAAGATTGCGCCACTGCACTCCACCCTGGGCGACAGAGTGAAACTCTGCCTCACAAAGAAAAGAAAAAAGAAAAAAGGTCTATTTTTTTATGTAAACACGTAATGCCTCAATTTTGCATAATGAACAAAATGAAAGAAAAAAATAGGATGTAAACCCTGTCTTCAGTCTTAACTTTTACTCTTGCACAATTTTATGCTTGCTGAATCAGAGCCAGCAGAACTTTGGCATGTCAGTATTAAGATTGTGTTACAAGCCTTTTTGCACACCCTCATGACTTACATTAAACGGTAGCTTTCATGAATTTCAACCTATATATATATATATATATATACTTTAATTTTTTATTTGAATAAATGGACTGTTAGGCATTGATTTCTATTTATGTTTATGTTATAGTTTCAAAATGGTTTTAGGAGTGAGATTGATGTGTATACAGTATCACTGTCTGAAAGGACAAGCTAAGATGTGGTTTTTGTCTGTTTTGTTATTTATTTTTTAAGTAATTACTTTACATAAATATTTTGTTTTTCAGAATTGTTAGCCCATACCCCCATGAGAAGCAATTTTATTAACTAGAATACAGTCTTTATATGCAATTCATTCTTCCTTTAGTCTTGCACACTATATTCGTTTCCAAAGTTAGTTTGATAAACACTTTTTCCTCGCTCATTTCAGTGAGGTTGCTTCATCCATTTGTAAAATAATTAGGTTCATTTGTAAAGTCCGCATTCCATTCTGTGATATCTCAACCTTGTAAATAATTTTTTAATTGCATATATTAAATTTCCCTCTTTGTGCTACACTGTTTTATGGATTTTTGACAAGTACAGTGTTATCTGCCCATCATTACAGTAATTCCACCACCCTAAAGCATCCTTATCCTAGACTTACTAAACACTCCCATTGCGTAACCTTAGCAACAATTCATCAGTTTACTGTGTCTACAATTTTGACTTTTCAGATTGTCAATGGAATCATATAGCAAGTGGTTGTTTCAGACTTGCTTCTCCCACTTAGCATATATTTTTCAGATTTACTCATGCCTTTTTGTCGCTTAACAAGCCATCCCTTTTGTATGAACGTACTACAGTTTCTTTATCCATTTACTTATTGAAGAACATCTTCTTTGCTTCCAGTTTTTGAAATTTATAAATAAAGCTGTTATAAACATCAGTATGGAGACTTTTGTCTAGACATAAGTTTCAAATTATTTTGATAAATACCTAGGAGTGTGATATGGTGAGACTATGTTTAGTTTTGCAAGAAGCTGCTGAATGATCTTCCAAAGTGACTGTACTATTTTACATTCTCACCAGCAGCAAATGAGAGTTCCTTTTAATAGGCATACCAGCTTACAGTTGATCTTGTCAGTTTTTAATTAAATTTTAGCCATTCTAATAGGTGTGCAGTAGTATCTCATTGCTGCTTTAATTTGCAAGTTTCTGATGATGTATGATGTTGAACATATTTTCACATGTTAATTTGCCATCTACATGTCATCTTTGGAAGGTATCTGTTCGGGTCTAATGCCCTAAGGTTGTTTATATTCTTATTGTGGAATTTTAAATGTTCTTTGTACATTTTGGATCCAAGTTCTCTAGAAAATCTGTGGTTTGAAAATATCTAGTGTGTGAATTATCTTTTCATGCTCTTAACTGTCTTTACAGTGTAAAAAATTTTAATTTAATAATGTTCAGTATATCAATTTTTATTGATCATGCATTTGGAGTATCTAAAATTCATCAACAAACCCAAGATCATGTTAATTTTTCTAAGTCTTTTATCCTTCTTTGTACATTTTAGATTCAGTTTGTAGGTACCTATAAAATAGGTCGCTGGGATTTTGAAAGACATTGAGTTCTATTATTAACCAAATTGCAAATCATTGACATCTTAAAAATATTGAGTCCTTCAATGCTTGAATATGGAGTAGTTCTCATTTTATTTAGAAATTGTTTTATTACTTCTTTCTCTTGTAGACTTCTGCATCTATAGCCTGTTCATATTATTTTTGAGGATTTACACCTCAGATTTTTATTTTAGGGGTGCTATATTTTATGGTATGTTTAAAATTACAGTTTTTCAATACAATATATATTAAAATACCTGATTTTACTATACTGACTTTGCATACTGTGAATTTGTTTACTGATTTTTTAGTTCCAGATTATTTTTGGTAGATTCTTTGGGGATTTTTGACATAAATAATCAACCATCTGCAAAATGTAGCACAGCCTCTTTTCCTTTTCAATATGTTTAGTTTCTAGGACTTTAAGTATTAGGTTGATTAGGGGTAAGGGGTGTAACAGAATATACTTGCATTTTTTTTTTCTGAATTGAGGATAAATAATTTAGTTTCTCAACTCTAATTATAAGGGTTGCTGTAGGATTTGAATAGATGTTCTTTATCAAGTTGAAAGTATTAACTTCTATTCCTACCTTGCAGAGAATGTTTATTATGAATGGGATTTTGTCAAATGCTTTTTCTGCCTCAATTAAAATGTTCGTGTGAATTTCTTTTTTAGCGTATTGATATGCTAGATTACATTTATTTGTAAAGAATAAATGTTTAGACAGATTTTTCCCAAGAGATCTTTCTGTATGTTAAGACATTGCATTAGTGGAATAGAGCTTACTTGGCTGTAGTGTGTAGTACTTTCTATGCAGTTTGTTTGTATTTATTTCGCTAAGTAGATCTCAGCTTTAATTTTCTGTATTTTCCTGTCCCTGCAGATTTCAGTGGCAGTTTACCCTGCAACCTCAGTTCTTAGATGGGTCCAAGAAAAGTTGTTGAATTTTACAGCTTTTTCTTGTTATAAAGATGTAACTACCAAACACTTTATATGTTGGAGTTAAAATCAGAAGCCCCCTGCTACCCCATCCAGTTAAAAAAACAAAAACAAAAACAAAACAAAGCTAGTATCTTAGTCCTCATGAAATAATAGTGATACCCTCCTGCAAAAAAAAAAAAAAAGGTATTCTCTAAAATAATTACACAATAATTGTGACACTTCCATCTCCTAACTTTTCTATCATGATTTTTATTTATTTTTTATTACTTTTATTTCATTTTTTAAAAATTATATCAATAGATCGGGGGAACAGGGAGTTTTGGTTACACAGATAGTTTCTTTAGTGGAGATTTCTCAGATTTTGGTGCACTCGTCACCCAAGCAGTGCACACTATACCCAAGGTAATGTGTAGTCTCTTATCCCTCACCCCCCACGCACCCTTTCCCCCAAATCCGCAAAGTCCATTCTATCATTCTTAAGCCCCTGCATCCTCATAGCTTAGCTCCCACTTTTAAGTGAGAACATATGATGTTTGGTTTTCCATTCCTGAGTTATTTAAGTTAGAATAATGGTCTTCCTCTCCATCCAGGTTGCTACTAATGTCATTATTTCTTGCCTTTTTATGGCTGAGTAGTATTCCATGGTGTGGATATATATGTGTATATTACATTTTTTTATCCACTTGTTGATTGATGAGCATTTGGGCTGGTTCCACATTTTTTGCAATCATGAATTGTGTTGCTACAGGCATGAACTTGTGCAAGTGTCGTTTTCATATAATGACTTCTGTTCCTCTGGTAGATGCCCAGTAATGGGATTCCTGGATCAAATGGTAGATCTACTTTTAGTTCTTTAAGGAATCTCCACATTGTTTTCCATAGTGGTTGTACTAGCTTACATTTCCACCAACAGTGTAAAAGTGTTCCCTTTTCACCATGTCCATGTCAACATCTTATTATTTTTTGATTTTTAAATTGAGGTCATTCTTGAAGGAGTAAAGTGGTATCGCATTGTGGTTTCCATTTGTATTTCCCAGGTAATTAGTGATGTTGAGCTTCTTTTCATATGTTCGTCAGCCATTTGCATATCTTCTTTTAAGAATTGTCTGTTCATGCCCTTAGCCCACTTTTTGATGGGATCATTTGTTTTTTTCTAGCTGATTTGTTTGAGTCCTTGTAGATTCTGAACATTAGTCCTTTGTTGAATGCATAGTTTGCAAAGATTTTTCTCCCACTCTGTGGGTTGTCTGTTTACTCTGCTGATTGTTTATTTTGCTGTGCAGACTTTTCTTGCTTAATTAAGTCTTAGGTATTTATCTTGGTTTTTGTTGCTTTTACTTTTGGGTCCTTGGTCATGAAGTCTTTACCTAAGCCAGTGTCTAGAAGGGTTTTTCCAAAGTTATCTTCTAGAATTTTTATGGCTTCATGTTTTAGATTTAAGTCTTTGATCCATCTTTAGTTGGTTTTTGTATGAGATGTAAGATGAGGGTCCGGTTTTATTCTTCTACATGTTGCTTGCCAATTATCTCAGCACCAATTGTTAAACAGGATGTCCTTCCCCACTTTATGTTTTTGTTTTCTTTGTCGCAGATCAGTTGGCTATAAATATTTTGCTTTATTTCCAGCTTCTCTATTTTGTTCCATTGGCCTATGTGCCTATTTTTATACCAGTACCATGCTATTCTGGTGACTATGGCCTTATAGTATAGTTTGAAGTTGGGTAATGCAATGCCTGTAGATTTGTCCTTTTTGCTTAGTCTTGCTTTGACTATGTGGCTCTTTTTTGGTTCCGTATGAATTTTAGGACTGTTTTTTTTTCTAGTTGATTGAAGAATGATGGGGGTATTTTGATGGGAATTGCATTAAATTTGTAGGTTACTTTGGCAATATGGTCATTTTCAAAATATTGATTCTATTCATCCTTGAGCATGGGATGTGTTTCCCTTTGTTTGTGTCATCTATGATTATTTTCAGCAGTGTTTTGTAGTTTTCCTTAGGGAGGTCTTTCACCTCTTCAGTTAAGAATATTCCTAAGTATTTTATTTTGTTTTATTTTATTTTATTTTACTTTTTTGCAGCTGTTGTAAAAGGGGTTGAGTTCTTGATTTGATTCTCAGCTTAATTGATGTTGATATATAGCAGGCCTACTGATCTGTGTACATTAATTTTGTATACTGAAAATTTGTTGAATTAATTTACTAATTCCAGAGCTTTTTGGATGAGTCAATAGTGTTTTCTGGGTATACAATCATGTCATCGGCAAACAGAGGCAGTTTGGTTTCCTCTTTACCAATTTGGATGCCTTTTATTTCTTTCTCTAGCCTGATTACTCTGGCTAGGACTTCCAGTACTATGTTGAATAGAAGTGGTGAAAGTCAGCATGCTTCTCTTGTTACAGTTTTCAGAAGGAATGATTTCAACTTTTCCTCATTCAGTATAATGTTGACTGTGGGTTTGTCATAGATGGATTTTATTACCTTAAGTTATGTCCTTTCTATGCTGTTGCTGATGAGGGTAATAAAGAAATGCTGGATTTCATCAAATTATTTTTGTGCATCTATTGAGATGTCCATATGATTTTTGTTTTTAATTCTGTTTATGTGGTTTATCACATTTATTGACTTGCATAAGTTAAACCATCCCTGCATCCCTGTTATGAAACCCACTTGATCATGGTGGATAATTTTCTTAAAAATATACTTCTGGATTTTGGAATGTAATATTTTGTTGAGGATTTTTAGATTTATGTTCATCAGGATTATTGATCTGTAGTTTTCTCTTTTTTGTTATGTCCTTTCCTGGTTTTGGTATTAAGGTGATACTGGCTTCATATAATGATTTAGGGACGACTCCCTCTTTATTTATCTTTTGGAATAGTTTCCATAAGATAAGTGCCAATTCTTCTTTGAATTTCTGATAGCATTCAGGTGTGAATCCATCTGGCCCTGGATTTTTCTTTTTTGTTGGTAGTTATTTTCATTACAATTTCAATCCTGCTACTTGTTAATGGTCTGTTCAGAGTTCCTATTTCTTCCTGATTTAATCAAGAGGGCTGTAAATTTCCAAGAATTTATCCATCTCTTCTAGGTTTCTAGTTTGTGTGCCTAAAAGTGTTCATAGTAGCCTTGAATGATGTTTTGTATTTCTGTAGTATTGGATGTAAAATCTCCCATTTTGTTTCTAATTGAGTTTATTCGGATTCTGTCTCTTCTTTTCTTGGTTAATCTCACTAATGTTCTATCAATTTTGTTTATCTTTTCAGAAAACCAGTGTTTTGTTTCATTTATCTTTTGTATAATTTTTTGTTTTAATTTCATTTAGTTCTGTTGTTTGTTATTTATTTTCTTCTGGGTTTGCGTTTGATTTATTCTCATTTCTCTAGTTTCTTGAAGTGTGAGCTTAGATCTGTTTGTGCTCTTTCAGACTTTTTGATGTAGGCATTTAATTCTATGCACTTTCCTCTTAGCACTGCTTTTGCTGTATGCCAGTGGTTTTGATAGGTTGTATCGCTACTACCATTCAGTTCAAATAATTGTTTTAATTTCCATCTTGATTTCATTGTTGACCCAAAGATCATTTAGAAGCAGATTATTTAATTTCCATGTATTTTTGCAATTCTGAATGTTCCTTTGGAGGTTAATTATAAAATGTATTTCTCTGTGGTCTAAGAAAGTACTTGATATAATTTCCATTTTCTTAAGTTTATTGAGGATTGTTTTGTGACCTATCATATGGCATATCTTGGTGAATGTTCCATGTACTGATGAAAAGAATGTATATTCTGCAGTTGTTTGGTTCTGTACAGATCTGTTAAGTTTATTTGTTTTAGGGTGTAATTTGAGTCCATTGTTTCTTTGTTGACTTTCTGTCTTGATTTCCTGTCTAGTGCTATCAGTGGCGTATTGAAGTCTCCCCCTATTATTGCGTTGCCATCTGTCTCATTTGTTAGGTTGGGTAGTGATTGTTTTATAAATTTAGGAGCTCCAGTGTTAGGTGCATATATATTTAGGATTGTGATTTTTCCTGTTGGACTAATCCTTTTACCTTACATAATGTCCCTCTTTGTCTTTTTTAACTATTGTTGCTGTAAAGTCTGTTTTGTCTGATATAAGAATAGCTACTCCTGCTTGCTTTTGGTTTCCATTTGCATGGAATGTCTTTTTCCACTCCTTTACCTTATGTTTATGTGAGTCCTTATGTGTTAAGTGCATCTCTTGAAGACAGTAGGTACTTGGCTGGTGAAATTTTTATCCATTCTGCCATTCTTTACCTTTTAAGTGGAGCCTTTAGGCCATTTACATTCAACATTAGTAATGAGATGTGATACTGTTCTATTCATCATGCTAGTTATTGCCTGAATATCTTGTTTTTTTTTTATTGTGTTATTGTTTTATAGGCCATGTGAGATTTATGCTTTCAGAAGGTTCTATTTTAGTGTATTTTGAGGTTTTATTTCAAGATTTAGAACTCCTTTTAGCAGTCCTGATAGTACTGGCCTGGTAGTGCAAATTCTGTCAGCATTTGTTTGTCTGAAAATGACTTTATCTTTCCTTCGTTTATTAAGCTTAGTTTTACTGGATACAGAATTTTTGGCTGATAATTATTTTGTTTAAGGAAACTAAAGATAGAACCCCAATTCCTTCTTGCTTGCAGGTTTTCTGTGGAGAAATCTGCCAGTAATCTGATATATATTCATCTATAGGATCTATAGGTTAACTGAGTTTCTTTCGTCTTGCCTTCAGATAACCTGATGACTATGTGTCTAGGTGATGATCTTTTTTCAATTAATTTCCCAGATGTTCTTTGAGCTTATTGTCTTTGGATGTCTAGATCTCTAGCAAGGCCAGGGAAGTTTTCCTGTATTATTTCCTCAAAAAAGTATTCCAATCTTTTAGATTTATCTTCTTCCTCAGGAACATCAATTATTCTTAGGTTTGGTTGCTTAACATAACCCAAGCTTCTTGGAGGTTTTGTTCATTTTTCTTAATTCTGTTTATGTTAGATTGGGTTAATTTTGAAAGCCTTGCCTTTGAACTCTAAAATTCTTCCTTCTACTTGTTTGATTCTGTTTTTGAGATTTTCCAGTGTATTTTGCATTTCTCTAAGTGTGCCTTTCGCTTCCAGAAGTTGGTGATTGTTTTCTATTGATGATATCTATTTCTCTAGAGATCATTTTTGTCCATGTCCTGTTTTTTTTTTAATTTGTTTACATTGGATTTTTCCTTTCTCTGGTACCTCCTTGAGTAGCTTAATCATCAACCTGAATTACTTTTCTGGCAATTCACATATTTCTTCTTGGTTTGGATCCATTGCTGGTGAGCTAGTGTGATCTTTTGGGGGTGTTAAATAACCTTTTTTGTCATATTACCAGAATTGTTTTTCTTGTTCCTTCTCCTTGGGGTAGACTACATCAAAGGAAAGATCTGGGACTCAAGAGCTGTTGTTTAGATTCTTTTGTCCCATGGGGTGATCCTGGGATGTGGTGTTCTTTTCCTTCCCCTAAAAAGTGGGGCTTCGTGGGAGCCCGACTACAGTGATTGTTATTGCTCTTCTGGGTCTAGCCACCCAGTGGAGCTCTGGGCTGGTACTGGGGAGTGTCTGAAAAGAGTCCTGTGATGTGATCTGTCTTGATATCTCCCAGCTGTGAACACCAGCACCTGCTCCGGTGGAGGTAGGAGGAATATGAAGTAGACTATGTGAGAGTCCTTGGTTGTAGTTTAGTTTAATGCGCTGGTTTTCTCAAATGCTGGTTATGCTAGCAGTGAAGTTGTCATGTGGACAGGCTCAGGACCTCTGGTTTTCTCAAATGCTGGTTATGCTAGCAGTGAAGTTGTCATGTGGACAGGCTCAGGACCTCTGATTAGCCAGGATGGTACAAGTGAAGGAATTAGCTATTGTTTTCTTCTTTCTTGGAGCAGGGTTTTTCAGTTATCAGTGGCTGTAATGGCTTCCTTAAAAAACAATAGCAATAAGTGCTTCTTATAGTATGTTCTTAGGATATCACACAATTTAGCTCCTAGTTTTGAAATAATGTCTTTGAATGTCACATATGCACACTTCTACCTTACTAAATTTCAGAAAAAAAAACTGTTCTTGCTTGAATACCAAGATATTATTCTTATTAAATGGATTCCTGTCTTTTTTTTGATACTCTTCTGATATATAAAAATGAAATGACAGCCCTAATTTATTGAGTCTTTTCCTACATTTTTAATCAGCCAGGCTCTACCTTAGTCTCACTCTTAATCTGCAATAATGAGATAGACACTTCTTCTCTAATCATGATGAAAAAGATGTTCACCTAAAAAGACATAGCAATGTGTATAGCATTCAGGTATCTGTTCAACATTTCTTTGTGGGTGGAATTAATAAAACAATTGTATCAGAACCAACAAAAACTCTTGCTTATTTTTGTGTACATTTATTTTTAAATTGTAAGAGATATAGAGATGCGGCACTCAGCTTCCCCTTCAGGAAAGGTCTAGCTCTGGAACTTCAAGGAGTCCCAGTAACTGATATTCTCAGGCTAATAGAAACTTTGGGGTCACCTCAGCTTTCCAAACAAGAATAGGGACAGTAAGTGTATTTCCTGAGTTACAGATAATGCACTTGCAACTATTTGTGTCTTGCATATTTCTGGTGTGCCCCCAAATTTCCAGGTTATTTCACTTGTTATTTCCTTCATCTAAACTATTTTCAATCAGTAGAAAAAAACTATTGGCCAACTTAATTTTTTTCTTCTCAAAAAGGTGTATTTATACCACTTCATATTTTTACTACTTTTTTCAATTTAGAATAGTTCTATATATACAGAAAAGTTGTGAAAACAGTACAGAGAATTCTCAAAATATCCCACAATTATTTTCACTATTTATATTACACAGTAGTATGGTAATTTGTCACAACTGAGGAACAAATTTTGATACATTACTTGATGTATGGAAGAAAAAAACCTGCTGGGTGCCACTTCCTCCCGCTCACTGAATTAGGGGAGCAAAAAAGCCACAACAAAAAGAACTGTATATAAGCATTATCGTCTAGTTCATAAACATTTTTTCTAGGAAGTACAGATTAATAATTCTGAAATCTCTGTGAGAAAACTAGAATAAAAAATCTAAGTAAATGGCTGGTGGATTTTGGGAGCTAAGTTTTCACTTTTGGTGTAGTAGGGTACAGATATTTACATATAAAATATGTATAGATAAGGCACATATACTTCCTTGTTCTTTTGGCTGTGAGAGCATAGATGCCAATGATATCCCAATAGCAACAAGCACATCTAGAGTCAAGAACTTGTTTTATAATATCATTTTTTTATTACAACATAAGTGCAATACCTATTGTATGCAATCCCATAAGAGCAACCAGGAGTTCTTGGGGAAATCACTGACTCTAGGACTCTAACTTCTAGGATAAATGATGGATTCTTAATTTCCATCAAGAGAAGGAAATTATCAAGGTAAACCTGGAACATCTTGTAGTGCCAAACAATATTGATTTAAAAAAAATCAAAAACTTTGATGGAGATGTGTAAAGAGAAAAAGGAGCCAGCTGGATAACCTCCCAATGGCAATAGCTAAAACAATTTTAGAGAAGAAAGAAAAAGAGAAAGAGAGAAAGAAAACAAGAGAGAAAGAAAAAAGAGAAAGAAAGAAAAAAGAAAAAGAATTATTAGATTATAGAAAGAAAGAATTATTGGATTATAGAAAGAAAAAATAATTATTGAATTATAGAAAGAATTATTGGATTATAGAAAGAAAAAGAAAGAAAGAAATGAATTATTGGGTTATAACCCAAAATAAAAATAAATACGGCACATACTGTTACATACATATGATTGAATAAACAAATCTCATGTGGAGATTCCAAATGACCCCCTACTCTTTAAGAGTGGGCTGTTAAAGAGTTGGGGGGGGGTCCCTTTAGTGATAGTGATACCCTTCTAAAAAGTACAGTATGGAAAATTGAAAAAAGAGTGACTTTATAATGGAGATACTTAACAATCATTGCCTCAGCTAAATGACCTTGGTTAATATAGGTAATAGTATTGTATTGATAGTATATTTTTGACATGATGGAAGAGAATAGTACATTATGGAGCTATCTGTAGTTTTCTTCCTCAGAAACCTATAACCCCAGTTTAATCAAAGAACACATCGGACAACTAATTGTGAGATATTCTTCAAAATATCTGACTAGAACCTCCCTTCCCCAATGCCATCAAGACTGTCAAAAAATAAGTAAGGTCTGGGAAACTGCCACATCCAAGAGGACCCTATGGAGACATGATCACAAAATGTAAAACAGGAAAAGATGCTGAAACAGAAAAATAACATTAGATTAAAATTAATTGTACCTGAATAAATTATGGAATGTATTTAATAAATTTTAGCAATATCTATAATGTACTGACATTAATGTCAATATTAATGTTTAAGTAATATCAATGATACATCAAGTAATGTATCAAAATTTGTTCCTCAGTTGTGACAAATTACCATACTACTGTGTAATATAAATAGTGAAAATAATTGTGGGATATTATGAGAATTCTCTGTACTGTCTTCACAACTTTCCTGTACATATATGTATAGAACTATTCTAAATTGAAAAAAGTAGTAAAATATGAAGTGGTATAAAAATAATTTTTGAGAAAAAAAATTAAGTTGGCCAATAGATTTTTTTCTACTGATTGAAAATAGTTTAGATGAAGGTAATGCAAGTTAAATAACCTGGAGATTTGGGGGCACACCAGAAGTATGCAAGACACAAATAGTTGCAAGTGCATTATCTGTAACTCAGGAAATATGTTAGTTGTCCCTATTCTTGTTTGGAAAGCTGAGGTGACCCCAAAGGTTTTATTAGCCTGAGAATATCAGTTACTGGGACTCCTTGAAGCTCAGGAGCTAGACCTTTCCTGAAGGGGAAGCTGAGTGCTGCATCTCTATATTCCTTACAATTTAAAAATGAATGTACACAAAAATAAGCAAGACTTTTTGTTGGTTCTGATACAATTGTTTTATTACTATGCAAAATGAAACTGATAAAATCTTTTTACAGTATCCCAAGGGAGTGATCTCTGTTTGAGACCATGTGTTTCCTTTCTTATTAATTTGTCCGCATCTGCCAATTATTTGATACATCCTACTTTTTATTCTATTATACTAGCTGATGCTGGAATTTTTCTTCCTTTGATTAAGATTATTTCTATTTGTATAATATACTTGGCTAACACCTGCAATTGTTACATCTCTATTAATTATTAAATTTTTCATGCAATATTACCAAAAAGTATGTTTCCACCAAAAATACTCACAAAATGCTGATTGTTTTTAATTTCAAAATCTGTCTTCCTCTGAATTACCTTTTTTTGATCCCCTGTCTGTCTTTCCCCCTTTACTGAATTTGTAAAGCAGAATCTTCCAGAACTTCTTTTTATTAAATATGTGTATTTCTTAATACATATCTCCACAAATTAATAATAAAGAGAAGCTCTTAGGTATGGGCAATTGCAAAGTTTACAATTTAGTAATAACCTCAAGTAGTACAAGTACATTATGATACTTTAATAGTTTTGTGATGGTGATTGTGGATATTTGCTTATAAATTTCTCAAAATAAATTATTGAGTTATGATAAATTAATACATTAACAACTTCCAAATGATTGTTTGAATGAATAAAATTTAAGACAATTTAAGTTGCATTATCTTAGGTATAAAATCTACCCATGATATATATAGGAATATATTCACATGTTCTGCAGTGAAATAAACATTTTTAAATACTTAATTGTAACAACGTTTACAAGCTAAAATAAAGTTAAAATGTGAAAACAAAGCTAGGAGGCTCAGCAATCAGCCCCTTTAAAAATAATGTATGACTTTATTACTTTTAATTAAGCATATTCAACTATTAAAATAAATGTCATACAGAGACAGTATTGTAGTTAATATTGTTCCAGAAAGAAAAAAAAAACTAAATTTGGAAATTATGGAGAAGCAGACTTAGGTTCAATTTAAATGATGTGCCTAACCTTCTAGACACTGTTTTTGTATCATAACAGGTTCTTGATTACTGAAAATTTTCTACTAGTAAATAGATGACCCTCTTACTGTAGTGAATATCTCTATACTGAGTCATGAATTAGGTTATGAGTCCTGTATTATGATCCCTTTCAACTAAAATAGTCTATTACTAGATGTTTTTATAAATATCTAAGTGTATCATTATAAATCAATAGTTGCATTACTCACATAATTCTTTTCCAGGTGTAACTCTCAGAGATTGTTTGACCAAGCAGTGAATATTCTTTTCTTCATAAAACAACATTACCTAAAAATCATTTACTTCAAATAAATTTGCTGTTCATAAAATATGTTATAAAGATCATTTGCATTATCATAGAAAAAATATGCTTTATTCTTTTTGCTAAAAAATTGGCAATATTATGAATCAGTGAGGTTATACTTTTTATTGTTTTCTGCTGTATTTCCTTTCTGTACAAATGAACTATAAACTAAAGATGACTTCTATGTAAAAAATGTCTATATAAAATCATGCCTTATTTAATACATTAGCAACTTATATTTCACATTTGGAATTGAAATAATATTAAAATGTATATTTACTTTCTAATGATTATATGAGAAATACTAAAATTTCAGCAGCATTGTATGCAGTAAGCTTTTTCTTTTAATTCCTAAAAGTAATATGGGTATAAAAGGTCTAACAGTCTCACTTTATCACTTTATGTCAATTGTGTTAAAATGAATACCAATTATCCTGAACTCCCACCAGAAGTTATAGTTTTCACCTTTCTTTTTCTCAAACAAATTTGTACTGTAACAAAATGCACGTGTAATTAGGTTACTTTTTCATATTGCTAGCATATTGTGTAATTTATTTTATAGTGTTTCAAAATATTTTAGAGAACTTTGACCTTGGAGCCTACTACAGTATCGTCATGAATTTAATGATGGCATTCTGTCGTCTATCCCCCTCCCCCCCCACTTTTCCTTCCCTTCCTTTTCCTTCCTTCCTTCCTTCCTCCCTCTCTCCCTTTCTCTCTCTCTTTCTCTCTTTCTTTTTGACAGAGTCTTGCTCTGTCACTCAGGCTGGAGTGCAGTGGCATGAACTCAGCTCACTAAAACCTACACCTCCCAGGTTCAAGCAATTCTCCTGCCTCAGCCTCCTGAGTAGCTGGGATTAAAGATGCACGCCACCATGCCCAGCTAAAAAATTTTTCTATTTTTAGTAGAGACGAGCTCTCACATGTTGGTCAGACTGGTCTCGAACTCCAGACCTCGTGATCTGCCCGCCTCGGCCTCCCAAAGTGCTGGGATTACAGACGTGAGCAACCGCACCCAGCACTCTTCCTTCCTTCCCTCCTTCCTTCCTTCCTTCCTCCCTCCCTCCCTCCCGCCTCTTTCTTTCCCCCGCTCCCTCCCTCCCTTCTTTCCCTCCCTCCCTCCTTCCTTCCTTCCTTCCTTCCTTCCTTCCTTCCTTCCTTTCTTTCTTTCTTTCTTTCTTTCTTTCTTTCTTTCTTTCTTTCTTTCTTTCTTTCTTTCTCTTTCTTTCTTTCTTTTCTTTTCTTTTCTTTCTTCCCTCCCTCCCTCCCTTCCTTCCTTCCTTCCTTCCTTCCTTCCTTCCTTCCTTCCTTCCTTCCTTCCTGTCTCTCTCTGTCTCTCCTTCTCTTTCTTTCTCCTCTCTCTTTCTCTTTTTCTTTCTTTCCTTTAGACAAACATTGAGAATATCATACTAGGACATGTTTCTTTTTTCTTTAGGTGCTAATAGGCCAACAGACAAATCCAGTAATGAAAGGTAAATGTAAATTTGCTTTCTTACAGGCTCATAAGCTGTTTTTTTTTTTTAAT
The DNA here is from genome assembly GCF_000001405.40 of Homo sapiens. Taxonomy (NCBI): domain Eukaryota; kingdom Metazoa; phylum Chordata; class Mammalia; order Primates; family Hominidae; genus Homo; species Homo sapiens. The sequence continues at coordinate 43,508,634 of NC_000014.9, read as the reverse complement.
GAATGGAAGCATTTGACAGCATAACAGCCTTCTCAGTGAAATTTTAGACGTCATTAGAACATTTTTCTTTCTCCATTGGGCTGTAATAGGCTAATAGAGATATCTAGCAATAAAAGGCAAATGTAAGCATACTTTCTTAAAAATGCATCGTAAGTGAAAATGTATTGATGTGGAAAGTTAGAGAACCTTAAGTTAAATAAGCAAGGTTTTGGGTTTTTTTTTTTTTTTTGGTAACTTTCTACAATACATACATCCATTTAAATAATAATAAAATGATAACAATAAAAAATGCATTATAAATTGTTTTGTTTCAGTGAATGAGAGTTTAACAAAGAAAGGCCTTTGTAGGCAAACATTGTGAATTTGTTATTACAATGTTTCTTTCTCCATCAGTTTGTATTATGCCAGTTTACATATACACCTCTAAAAGGCAAGTGTAAGCCTGTTTGTTTTTTTAAATTTATTTTTATTTTATTTTAGATTCAGGGGGTATATGTACATGTTTGTTATATAGGTATATTATGTACTTGTGGGGATTGGGTTTCTAGTGTATCCTTTACCCAAATAGTGAACACTGTTATCTGTTAGGTAATTTTTCAACTCCCACCTTACTTCTAGTCTCCCCCATTTTGGAGTCCCCAGGGTCTATTATTTCCATCTTTATTTCATGTGCTAATTGTTTAGCTATGACTTATAAGTAAGAACATGTGGTATTTGGTTTTCTGGCAATTAGCTTTATGGGATGAAATTGTCTTTTGATAGTGACTGACTTTGTTTCTATTTAAAAGCTCAGTATCGTCATCCCTCACCTTTTCAACTAGGTAAAATATTTAACATATAAAAATTTATTTTCTAAATATGTCTGTGAACTGATTGAACTATATAGGTAATGTAACATTTCATCCCATCATTTAGTATAGGTGTAACAAATAAAACCATTCACTAGCCCCTGTGATTAGTTGTTTACAGAGTATATCACTTGTAACACTTTCTCATGTTCTCCTACTTGTTCAACTATAGCCAATTAGATGGTACTCTTGTTCATTTTGTGGAGCTGAGGTGAGCCTATATTTCAGTTCTATTGATTGCAGTCTCTGAATTTGTTGTTGAAGAATACACATAAATATACCCAGTATACAACAAAACTTTAAAACTTGCACACATTTTCTAGTTATTGTAGAATGCAATTACATTAAATTACAATTTCATGAAAGTTTTACTGAAATAAAAAAAACTGAGCAAGGATGTAACAAAGTATATACTGGTTTATAATTTGTAACGATAATATGATTTACATTTTTTCATCTCTGATTAAATTCTGTTGTATTCCAGTACAATTTACAGTTTCTTTTTGAAGTTCTTCTCTCCTTGTCATATATAAGTAAGACAATGACTTGATTCACTTAGCTATTTTTCTAAAATCACCACTTTATGCATGCCTATGGGATTTATATTTTTCTCACAGCCAAATCAATTGATTCTTATAAAATCTAAGACAGTTTTAAAAAGAAAATTTGAATATACTTTATTGATAATTAATTTAATATTGCTTTCATTCCTTAAATCTATATAAAAGCAATTAGAAACATTTGTATTACATCTACATTCTTTTATGTGCATTTATCCATGTTACATACATAAATTGAATGAACATTTTGAAATGTATAGGAAATTCCAAAGGAGTTACATGTATGCCATCATCCACTTGCATACATGTCTTATTTAAAAGTATGTTAAACACACATAGACCAATTATTTTCATGACTCTAAATAGTTACAGGCCCAAATATTTCCATTTATACTTGAGCACCAATTGTTAAATTTATGCACTCTTATGCAACCAGGCATGTTTTTGAGAACCTCTTGGTGCTTCAGATTAGATAAAGATGGGATGAGTTCTCACCATTAAGTTCACTCTTTCATTTGGAAGGCAGACTATTATGGATTCTTAAATATTAGATACTTTCAATTTCTCTTATGAAAAGAAGTGAAATAACCTAGAAGAATATGACTGAAGTTACTAAAAAAAAAAAACAAAACAATGAAACCTATTTTGATATAGAATGTGAGAAGCTGTGACCTAGCAAAAAAGGTGCTGAAAGCTCTCTTAATCCATCCTAGGGAGATGTGTTCTTTCCTGTGCAGGCCAAGAAGAATGGCCATTCTTTCACAACTTGAGGAAGATTATTTTATTGCTCTTCTTATCATCCTTCTGCTTGAAAGCACATAATCAAAACTAATGTAAAATTGAAAGCAGCTCAACTCCCTCACAAGTGAGAATCAGGTTGATTAAACGAATAAGACTTTGAAGTAAAACATGAAAACTCCTGGTAAAACTTGCAATGTTTTAATTTTCTATTCAGAATTTCCAAATCCTCTAATAGCAGATTCCATGCTATTTAAAACTTGTCAGCACTGAAGTTATTCTGACAAAACTACAATAAATGTCAGTGAAAGGGAATTTTAATAAGTAAAATAATTTCTGAGTTAAGCATATTTTCATCCCCTCCAGAATTCAACACCTGCTCAAGCAGCACATTACTCTGTCTCAAAATAAAGAAGAGTCATATTTTTCCAAAGGTAACAATGAAGCTAGTTCAGTATTAGAGATTTTTAGAACATCAGGTTATCATTTACCTAAGATCAACAAAGTTTAACTTAGTCAAAATAGTATAAACGACTCGCTCAGATGCTCTTGGAATATGCTGATCATACTGATAATGGCTCATTGACATCTTTAATTTTGATGATAGATAATTCTTAATAACTCCATATTTAATCTCCTAATTGAACCTATACAGGGGAAATATTTGTATTAATTAGAGAAGATGTATAATTAACATGTGTATTCACATGTCTAAATTCATCAGGCTTTAGAATCAATATTTTAATAAGGAAAAATTATTTGATTGTCAGAAAGCATTTAGAATATTTAGTAGACTAAACATAGAGTGTTGGAAGTTTCTTATTTTCTTTTTGCATTCATTTACCACTACTACTTAAGAGTAAGGCTTTTGTATTTGTTATCTACTGCTGCATAACAAATTACCCACAACTAGCAACTTAAACAATTACACATTTACTATTTCATAATTTCTGAGGGTACGGTACTTGGAAATGACTTAGCTGGGTGATTCTATCTCAGGTTCTTTCATAAGGATGTAGCACAGATGTCAACTGGAGCTGCAGTCAATTGAGGTCTGGACTAGACTGTAGAACCATTCTCTAGAAGGTTTTCACAAATAGCTAAGAGGAAGGCCCAGTTCCTTGCTGGCTCTTGACACACAGTGACATTTTCACATTACACGGGCCTTTCCAAAAGACTGCTTGAGTATCCTCATGATATCCCACAGAGAGTGATTCCTTAGAGCATAAAGTAGCCACAATGCCTTGGATTACCTGGTCTCAGAATCACACATTGTCATTTTTGCAATGCTCTATTTGTTATATAGGTCAACCCTATTTGATGTGGGAAGGGATTGCACAGAAAGAGGAATAGGTTCATTATTACAAGGTTCATTAGGGTACCTAGCTATACAGAATCTTTAGCTTTAAAGTAATATCCAGACAGGTTGAAAATACCTAAATTACTCCTATTTTATGGCCATGTACTTTTTCAGAAGCTACTCTATTGGAGAAGCTGCTGAAATTGGCTTTTAAAGAATTTAAAAAATTCCCTTTCAAAAGTGCATTCTCATTTTTCCCAGTGAAAGAAGTTCATCAGGCCAGGGGAATTATTTTACATAATTTATTCATTTTCTTCTTTGTGATGAATGTTTTTATCCACTATTTCTCATATGCCCTACTCTTCTAGCATTTGAATAATTTCCATTTTTTCAGACCAACGTCTGTCTTACTTATTGACAATGAGAGCAGCAAATACTGTAACCTACTCTAACAATTTGAACCAACAATTTAGAAACATGACATATTTTTCTATCATTAGCTACTGGCTTTATATTTGCACGCTGCTTTTTCTCAAGAAGAATATAATCTTCTTGAATGGACAAAATTGTATACTTTTTTTACTCCTCATTATATCACTTGAGATAATCCTGAACACAGTATAAGTACAAAATAATTCTTATGCAGTTGAATTATCTATACAAAGGTAACTGCTGATAGCATTTCAGATAATACTGTGTTTCAGAAGTTAGTCCAATTTATCTGACCCTTGAGGGAAAGAGAAACCGTTCAGATGAGTAAATCCTGATGCTATCACTCTTCACCTGATTTTAGCCTACATTATGCCATTATCTGCCATTAACTGATAATGATTTTCCTGAAAAACATCGTTTTATGTTGATCACAATATCTTAGAAAACTAAAGTTCTAGAATATGTTTCATAAAACTATTCCCCAGTCAGTGTTACTTCCTTTTTGAAAGTTTTTTTTGTTTTAACTTAAAACTATTTAAAAAAAATCTTCTTCCTGGGGATTTTTTTTTATAACTCAATTAGAATTGATAGCACATTTCAAATTCACTTTTACTTTAACAAATTACTGTACCAAATTTCCTTCAGGCTGAACTTTGATTATTAATTAACACACATATCATGTAGCTAAAGGAACATAGGCACTTTATGGCAAGGGTTTTTTTTTTTTTTTTTAATTAAGTGTAACAGCTTATTCATCTCCAGTGACTTTGAGGTTAACTTTTAAAACTCATCTTTAACTTCTTCTTTATTTTGCATTATTGTGGAACATAAACTTCTGTGATTTCAGCTGACTAGTGATAATTATTATTGCCACTCACACTCCAGTAACAGCATCTGATTCCAGAAAGGAAGCTTTTCTTTATTTGGTTATCTCATGCCCTTTATTAAACTCAGGGCTTGGTTGTCAAGTATATTAAAGTTTACAATGCTCCATACTCAGATTTTTTTGCATTACAAGAAAAGTCAAATGAGTCTTTGGAGCCACCTGTTGGATAAGATAGATTATATGCATTGCATATATACTTCAGGAATTTAGGAAGCTTCTGTTAATTTATCAGTATTATGTATCCTACTATGCCAGTTTGCACTCCAAAAGATAGTCACATTTTTTTTTGCTTTTTTGTTTGCAGGTTTTGTGTTGGTTTTGTTTGTTTTTGTTTTTAACTAGAATTACACATCTTGATTCACAGTCTCACTTATCCTATAATGTTGTCCTATCCTCCTGGTTTTCCCCTTCCTATCATGATTCATGAAGACAACTGAATTCTGAGTCTTATCCACAAAATCAGTCACTCTTAGTCCCACCTTTGAGCTTGGAAAACAACTCAAATTTTGAGTTTGAGTTTTTTCCAACTGTAAATGTTTAGTACCTTTACAGTGTTTCAAAGTGCAAAATTTAAGAAAAAAATTCTTCCTACCACCCATATAGTGGTAGGATCAGCCTAGAATCTTTTATACAAAACCTGGGCTTACATTTCAAACTAGATGACATTTAAGTCTAAATTCTCACAGGAAGGTTTGACTCTGCTAGATTCCAGTGTCAACCACATTGTAGATATAAATTTATAGTCACAACTGTTAGCCTGTCTCTTAGGAACAAGTCCGTGGGTTTTATTTCTTTTATCTTTATATCTTGATTTTATGTCAGGGGACTCATTTTTTCTACTGAGCTTTGCGGTTGACCCTCAGGTGTTTAAATAGATGCAAATTTCAGGAGAAAGGTAATGAGGTTTTTGTTCTTGCCCTGTAGGAAGGCATCTTGGCTCTTCATAAATAATCTCCTCTCCTCTCCTCTCCTCTCCTCCTCTCCTCTCCCCTCCCCTCCCCTCCGCTCCTCTCCAGTCTCCTCTTCCACAATCCTTAAGCACATCATTATGTTTTTCATGCAGAGACAAAAATAGGTCCCTCCTCAGTGTACAAATCAACACATATTTTGAAATATACATATTAATGTGTACTTGTATCAGCATACATACATATGTATTTTATGTGTATGAAATATCATTTTATGTTTTATTAAAAATTCCCAGTACAAACTAGAAACATACGTTAAACTACAACTGCCAACAGGAATACCTTAAGAGCAGATAAAAGTAAGAGTTTTACTTTACATGTTGTGGACTGATAGAAGCTTTTAGATACAAACACTATATTTCTAGCTAGAAACAAAAATAATAATGACAAAGAAAGAATGTATATCATTGTATGTGTTAAGAGATAAAGATACCTCATGGACTCTCCTAGAACTTGAAATATGACCATTCTGAATCATGCTCTTTGGAAAATGGTAAAATGTTAAATCAAGTTCCTGTAAGAACAAATTATCCTGTAGTTTAGCTCTGCTGTGATTAGTTTGCCTTCCCATGCCTTTGTTATGAATTTACTGACAGACAGAAGAAACCTGTTACTTTTGCTATCATGGATTTCAGATCATTTTGCTTCAGGGAGTTGCTTTCTGATGCCATTTTTAATTTGCAATTTGGAAGTGGCCTTATGCATCACTTGAAATATAGCAGATTTTCATCTTTAAGTTTATCTTCCATATAACAAAATCTAAAACCCAGTTCTTGGCTCCCAGGTATCATTTTAAAAACCACACTTTCTGGATTAACATTTCCTACACGTATATAAAATATAATAATTATATCTCTCAGTAATCAGACTGCTACATATGTATGTTTTTATGAACTAACCACTTACATTTAAACTGACACATTTAATAATTACCGAATAACCTGATGTCTATAACATTCTATCCCTTTTAGGTGATATGTAAGTTTAATAGTTATAAAATAATATTTAAGGGAATGATATAATTATCATATAAAGTTGGAGAAAAATAAAATACACTGATAAAATAAATTATAAGATATATTATAAATTACTTGTTGATTATACTACAGAAAACTTGGTGGACTGATGGGTACATAATCTTATAACATCATGGACAGGCTTTAAATAGAAATGACACCTCATAGCTTGTCTAACTAACCCTGTCATTGCAATCGTTCAAATAAATCATCGTTTATAAATATTTTCAATATTTAATTGCTTGAACATTCTGAATACAGAAAAGGATAAGGTTAATGAAATTGGATTTGTGCTGATGTATTTGTGAACATGGAGAATGTCTACTCCCTTATCCTGTTTATTGGAGGACTTCCTTTTAAGAAATGATGGCTCTTAAAAGGGATGAAGAAGTGATGCCACCTATAAGGGATGAGAAAGCAATGTGGACTCACAATTCATAGTTACAACCATGCTAGTCAATTTAATAATGGCCAAGAAAGTCTCCAAGGATTAATATCAATTTAGAGCCCAAACCGAATCTAATAGTAGTTCAATTTGTTTATTTTAATTAAAAATGATGTATATTTTAAGCTGCTGACTTGCGGGTTTTTTCAGTAATTCATCTTATTGATATATAAATATGATAAAATACATAGATAATTCTATAGTTCAGTGGGTTTTAAAAAATTAATAAGGCCATATAATCACACCCTTATCAAAATGTAGAATTTTTATTGTTTCCTTATGCAGCTTCCAGTCAAGTTTCCATACTTCCTGCTCTCAGATATTTTTCCTATCATCATAGATTTCTATTGTCTAATCCAGAGCTTCTTATAAATAGAATCAGACAGTATATTTTGTTCTATTTTTCACCAAAATGACTCTCAGCAAAATCCTGGCATCTGTATTTTTACACAGATCAATAGTTTCTTCCTTTCTGTTCCTTAGTAAAATTATATTTTATAAATATGTCATAGTTTATCAGTTTCCCTGATGATGAATAGCTATTGTTGGGTATTTGCAGATTTTGCTTGCTACAAATAAAGCTACTATGAAAATTCTTTGTCTAAGGCTTTCTGTGGTCATGTTTTTATTTATCTTTGATAAATAAAACTCATGTATCATAGTTTGAAGAAGGTATCAAACTGATTTTCAAAGTAGATATATGCTTCTATCAGCAGTTTGTGAGTGTTTCAGTTGCTCTACAAACACAATTCAGTGTCGTCAATATTTTAAAATTATCATTCAGGTTGTGTGTAATGTTAAATCATTATGGTTTTAGCTTTTCATCTCTGGTAACTAATGATATTGATCAAATTTTTCATGTGCTTATTGGCCATTTGAGTATCTCCCTTTATGAAGTGTTTGTTCAAAATTTTCCTGCATGGGTTTTGCTCAATATAATGCTATTAGTAGAGAGAGGAAGAAGACTAGAAACAAGAATATTGAAAATTTTTTCTGTGCTATATAGTAATATCCAAATTTTTGCTCTATACTTTTGAACTTAAACTGTGTCCTTGCTTTATCTGATCATTGGGGTTACAGAAAAATACCTACAGGTCTATATAATTTATATATTTCTTTAACTTTTGTTTTAAATTCGGGGGTACACGTGCAGGATGTGCGGGTTTGTTACATAGGTAAATGTTTGCCATATTCGTTTGCTGCACAGATCATCCTATCACCTAGGTGATAGCCCAACATCCATTAGCTATTCTTCCTGATGCTAACCCTCCCCCATGGACTCCAACAAGCCTCAGTGTGTGTTGTTACCTCCAATGCGTCCATGTGTTTTTATCATTCACCTCCCAATTATTAGAACATATGGTGTTTATCTGTTTCTGCATTAGTTTGCTGAGGATAATGGCTTCCAACTCCATCCATGTCTCTGCAAAGGACATGATCTCGTTCCTTTTTATGGCCACATAGTATTCCATGATGTATATGTACCACATTTTCTATATCCAGTCTATCATTTATGGGCATTTAGGTTTATTCCATGTCTTTGCTATTGTGAATAGCACTGCATGAATATACACTTGCATGTATCTTTATAATAGAATTATTTATATTCCTGTGAGTATATGCCCATAATAGTATTGCTAGGTCAAATGGTATTTCTGCCTTTAGGTCTTTGAGGAATTGCCACAGTGTCTTCCACAATGGTTGAATTAATTTACACTCCCACCAACAGTGTTAAAGCATTTCATTTTCTCTGAAAGCTTGCCAGAATCTGTTGTTTTTGACTTTTCAGAAATAGCCATTCTGACTGGTGTGAGATGGTATATCACTGTAGTTTTGATTTGCATTTACCTAATGATCAGAGATGTTGAGCTTTTTTTCATCTGTTTGTTGGCCACATGTATGCCTTTTTTTGAGAATTGTCTGTTCATGTCCTTTGCTCACTTCTTAATGCAGTTGTTTGTTTTTTTCTTGTAAATTGGTTTAAGTTCCTTGTAGACTCTGGATATTAGACCTTTGTCAGATGGATAGGTTGCAAAAATTTTCTCCCATTCTATAGGTTGTCTGTTCACGCTGATGATAGCTTCTTTTGATGGGCACAAGCTCTGTAGTTGAATTAGATTCCATGTGTCAATTTTTGCTTTTGTTGCAATTGCTTTTTGGGTTTTTGTCATAAAATACTTGCTCATGAAAATATCCTAAATGGTATTGCCTAGGTTTTCTTCTAGAGTTTTCATAGTTTGGGGTTTTACATTTAAGGCTTTAATCAATCTTGAGTTAATTTTTGTATTTGGTTTAAGGAAGGGGTTGACTTTCAGTTTTATGCATATGGCAGGCCAGTTCTCCCAGCACCGCTTATGAAATAGAGAATCTTTTCCCCATAGCTTTTTTTTGTAAGGTTTGTCAAAGATCTAATATCTGTAGTTGTGCAGTCTTACTTCTGAGTTCTCTATTCTGTTCCATTAGTCTACGTATCTGTTGTTATACCAGTACCATGTTGTTTTGGTTATTGTTGCCTTTTAGTATAGTTTAAATTCAGGCAGCATGATGGGCCCAGCTTTGTTCTTTTTGCTTAGAATTGTCTTGGCTATTTGGGCTCTTATTTGATTTCATATGAATTTTAAAATAGGTTTTTCTAATTCTGTGAAGAATGTCAATGATAGTTTAATGGGAATAGCATTGAATATATAAATTGCTTTGGATAGTATAATCATTTTCACGATATTGATTCTTCCTATCAATGAGCATGAAATGTTTTTCCATTTGTTTGTTTCACTTCTGATTTCTTTGAGAGTGGTGTGTAGTTATCCTAGAAGAGGTCCTTCACCTTTCTTGTTAGCTGTATTTCTATGTATTTTATTATTTTTGTAGTAATTGTGAATGGGAGTTCATTCATCATTTTGCTCTCTCCTTGCCAGTTGTTGGTGTATAGGAATGCTTGCAATTTTAGCACATTGATTTTGTATGCTGAGACTTTGCTGAAGTTGTTTATCAGCTTTAGAAGCTTTTGGGCTGAGATGATAGGGTTTTCTAGACATAGAATCATGTCATCTGCAAACAAAGACTGACTTTACCTTTTCCTATTTAAATACCCTTTATTTCTTTCTCTTTCCTGATTGCCCTGGCCACAACTTCCAAAATTATGTTGAATAGGAGTGGTGAGGTAGGGCATCCTTGTCTTGTGTCAGTTTTCTTTTTTTTTCTTTTTTTTTTTTTGTCATTTATTTTATTTTATTTTATTTATTTATTTTTTATTATACTTTAAGTTTTAGGGTACATGTGCACATTGTGCAGGTTAGTTACATATGTATACATGTGCCATGCTGGTGCACTGCACCCACTAACTCGTCATCTAGCATTAGCTATATCTCCCAATGCTATCCCTCCCCCCTCCCCCCACCCCACAACAGTCCCCAGAGTGTGATATTCCCCTTCCTGTGTCCATGTGATCTCATTGTTCAATGCCCACCTATGAGTGAGAATATGCGGTGTTTGGTTTTTTGTTCTTGGGATAGTTTACTGAGAATGATGTTTTCCAATTTCATCCATGTCCCTACAAAGGACGTGAACTCATCATTTTTTATGGCTGCATAGTATTCCATGGTGTATATGTGCCACATTTTCTTAATCCAGTCTATCATTGTTGGACATTTGGGTTGGTTCCAAGTCTTTGCTATTGTGAATAATGCCGCAATAAACATACGTGTGCATGTGTCTTTATAGCAGCATGATTTATAGTCCTTTGGGTATATACCCAGTAATAGGATGGCTGGGTCAAATGGTATTTCCAGTTCTATATCCCTGAGGAATCGCCACACTGACTTCCACAATGGCTGAACTAGTTTACAGTCCCACCAACAGTGTAAAAGTGTTCCTATTTCTCCACATCCTCTCCAGCACCTGTTGTTTCCTGACTTTTTAATGATTGCCATTCTAAGTGGCATGAGATGGTATCTCATTGTGGTTTTGATTTGCATTTCTCTGATGGCCAGTGATGATGAGCATTTTTTCATGTGTTTTTTGGCTGCATAAATGTCTTCTTTTGAGAAGTGTCTGTTCATGTCCTTTGCCCACTTTTTGATGGGGTTGTTTGTTTTTTTCTTGTAAATTTGTTTGAGTTCATTGTAGATTGTGGATATTAGCCCTTTGTCAGATGAGTAGGTTGCGAAAATTTTCTCCCATTTTGTAGGTTGCCTGTTCACTCTGATGGTAGTTTCTTTTGCTGTGCAGAAGCTCTTTAGTTTAATTAGATCCCATTTGTCAATTTTGTCTTTTGTTGCCATTGCTTTTGGTGTTTTAGACATGAAGTCCTTGCCCATGCCTATGTCCTGAATGGTAATGCCTAGGTTTTCTTCTAGGGTTTTTATGGTTTTAGGTTTAACGTTTAAGTCTTTAATCCATCATGAATTGATTTTTGTATAAGGTGTAAGGAAGGGATCCAGTTTCAGCTTTCTACATATGGCTAGCCAGTTTTCCCAGCACCATTTATTAAATAGGGAATCCTTTCCCCATTGCTTGTTTTTCTCAGGTTTGTCAAAGATCAGATGGTTGTAGATATGCGGCGTTATTTCTGAGGGCTCTGTTCTGTTCCATTGATCTATATCTCTGTTTTGGTACCAGTACCATGCTGTTTTGGTTACTGTAGCCTTGTAGTATAGTTTGAAGTCAGGTAGTGTGATGCCTCCAGCTTTGTTCTTTTGGCTTAGGATTGACTTGGCGATGCCGCCTCTTTTTTGGTTCCATATGAACTTTAAAGTAGTTTTTTCCAATTCTGTGAAGAAAGTCATTGGTAGCTTGATGGGGATGGCATTGAATCTGTAAATTACCTTGGGCAGTATGGCTATTTTCACGATATTGATTCTTCCTAACCATGAGCATGGAATGTTCTTCCATTTGTTTGTATCCTCTTTTATTTCCTTGAGCAGTGGTTTGTAGTTCTCCTTGAAGAGGTCCTTCACATCCCTTGTAAGTTGGATTCCTAGGTATTTTATTCTCTTTGGAGCAATTGTGAATGGGAGTTCACTCATGATTTGGCTCTCTGTTTGTCTGTTGCTGGTGTATAAGAATGCTTGTGATTGTTGTACATTGATTTTGCATCCTGAGACTTTGCTGAAGTTGCTTATCAGCTTCAGGAGATTTTGGGCTGAGACAATGGGGTTTTCTAGATATACAATCATGTCGTCTGCAAACAGGGACAATTTGACTTCCTCTTTTCCTAATTGAATACCCTTTATTTCCTTCTCCTGCCTAATTGCCCTGGCCAGAACTTCCAACACTATGTTGAAAAGGAGTGGTGAGAGAGGGCATCCCTGTCTTGTGCCAGTTTTCAAAGGGAATGCTTCCAGTTTTTGCCCATTCAGTATGATATTGGCTGTGGGTTTGTCATAGATAGCTCTTATTATTTTGAAATATGTCCCATCAATGCCTAATTTATTGAGAGTTTTTAGCATGAAGGGTTGTTGAATTTTGTCAAAGGCTTTTTCTGCATCTATTGAGATAATCATGTGGTTTTTGTCTTTGGCTCTGTTTATATGCTGGATTCCATTTATTGATTTGCGTATATTGAACCAGCCTTGCATCCCAGGGATGAAGCCCACTTGATCATGGTGGATAAGCTTTTTGATGTGCTGCTGGATTCAGTTTGCCAGTATTTTATTGAGGATTTTTGCATCAATGTTCATCAAGGATATTGGTCTAAAATTCTCTTTTTTTGTTGTGTCTCTGCCTGGCTTTGGTATCAGAATGATGCTGGCCTCATAAAATGAGTTAGGGAGGATTCCCTCTTTTTGTATTGATTGGAATAGTTTCAGAAGGAATGGTACCAGTTCCTCCTTGTACCTCTGGTAGAATTCAGCTGTGAATCCATCTGGTCCTGGACTCTTTTGGTTGGTAAGCTATTGATTATTGCCACAATTTCAGCTCCTGTTATTGGTCTATTCAGAGATTCAACTTCTTCCTGGTTTAGTCTTGGGAGAGTGTATGTGTCCAGGAATTTATCCATTTCTTCTAGATTTTCTAGTTTATTTGCATAGAGGTGTTTGTAATATTCGCTGATGGTAGTTTGTATTTCTGTGGGATCAGTGGTGATATCCCCTTTATCATTTTTTATTGTGTCTATTAGATTCTTCTCTCTTTTTTTCTTTATTAGTCTTGCTAGCAGTCTATCAATTTTGTTGATCCTTTCAAAAAACCAGCTCCTGGATTGATTAATCTTTTGAAGGGTTTTTTGTGTCTCTGTTTCCTTCAGTTCTGCTCTGATCTTAGTTATTTCTTGCCTTCTGCTAGCTTTTGAATGTGTTTGCTCTTGCTTTTCTAGTTCTTTTAATTGTGATGTTAGGGTGTCAATTTTGGATCTTTCCTGCTTTCTCTTGTGGGCATTTAGTGCTATAAATTTCCCTCTACACACTGCTTTGAATGCGTCCCAGAGATTCTGGTATGTTGTGTCTTTGTTCTCACTGGTTTCAAAGAACATCTTTATTTCTGCCTTCATTTCGTTATGTACCCAGTAGTCATTCAGGAGCAGGTTGTTCAGTTTCCATGTAGTTGAGCGGTTTTGAGTGAGATTCTTAATCCTGAGTTCTAGTTTGATTGCACTGTGGTCTGAGAGATAGTTTGTTATAATTTCTGTTCTTTTACATTTGCTGAGGAGAGCTTTACTTCCAAGTATGTGGTCAATTTTGGAATAGGTGTGGTGTGGTGCAGTGCTAAAAAAAATGTATATTCTGTTGATTTGGGGTGGAGAGTTCTGTAGATGTCTATTAGGTCCGCTTGGTGCAGGGCTGAGTTCAATTCCTGGGTATCCTTGTTGACTTTCTGTCTCGTTGATCTGTCTAATGTTGACAGTGGGGTGTTAAAGTCTCCCATTATTAATGTGTGGGAGTCTAAGTCTCTTTGTAGGTCACTCAGGACTTGCTTTATGAATCTTGGTGCTCCTGTATTGGGTGCATATATATTTAGGATAGTTAGTTCTTCTTGTTGAATTGATCCCTTTACCATTATGTAATGGCCTTGTCTCTTTTGATCTTTGTTGGTTTAAAGTCTGTTTTATCTGAGACTAGGATTGCAACCCCTGCCTTTTTTTGTTTTCCATTTGCTTGGTAGATCTTCCTCCATCCTTTTATTTTGAGCCTATGTGTGTCTCTGCACATGAGATGGGTTTCCTGAATACAGCACACTGATGGGTCTTGACTATCCAATTTGCCAGTCTGTGTCTTTTAATTGGAGCATTTAGTCCATTTATATTTAAAGTTAATATTGTTATGTGTGAATTTGATCCTGTCATGATGATGTTAGCTGTTGATTTTGCTCGTTAGTTGATGCAGTTTCTTCCTAGTCTCGATGGTCTTTACATTTTGGCATGATTTTGCAGTGGCTGGTACCGGTTGTTCCTTTCCATGTTTAGCGCTTCCTTCAGGAGCTCTTTTAGGGCAGGCCTGGTGGTGACAAAATCTCTCAGCATTTGCTTGTCTGTAAAGTATTTTATTTCTCCTTCACTTATGAAGCTTAGTTTGGCTGGATATGAAATTCTGGGTTGAAAATTCTTGTCTTTAAGAATGTTGAATATTGGCCCCCACTCTCTTCTGGCTTGTAGGGTTTCTGTCGAGAGATCTGCTGTTAGTCTGTTGGGCTTTCCTTTGAGGGTAACCCGACCTTTCTCTCTGGCTGCCCTTAACATTTTTTCCTTCATTGCAACTTTTGTGAATCTGACAATTATGTGTCTTGGAGTTGCTCTTCTCGAGGAGTATCTTTGTGGTGTTCTCTGTATTTCCTTAATCTGAACGTTGGCCTGCCTTGCTAGATTGGGGAAGTTCTCCTGGATAATATCCTGCAGAGTGTTTTCCAGCTTGGTTCCATTCTCCCCATCACTTTCAGGTACACCAATCAGACGTAGATTTGGTCTTTTCACATAGTCCCATATTTCTTGGAGGCTTTGCTCGTTTCTTTTTATTCTTTTTTTCTAAACTTCCCTTCTCGCTTCATTTCATTCATTTCATCTTCCATCGCTGATACCCTTTCTTCCAGTTGATCCCATCGGCTCCTGAGGCTTCTGCATTCTTCACGTAGTTCTGGAGCCTTGGTTTTCAGCTCCATCAGCTCCTTTAAGCACTTCTCTATATTGGTTATTCTAGTTATACATTCTTCTAAATTTTTTCCAAAGTTTTCAACTTCTTTGCCTTTGATTTGAATGTCGTCCCTTAGCTCAGAGTAATTTGATCGTCTGAAGCCTTCTTCTCTCAGCTCGTCAAAGTCATTCTCCATCCAGCTTTGTTCCGTTGCTGGTGAGGAACTGCGTTCCTTTGGAGGAGGAGAGGCACTCTGCGTTTTAGAGTTTCCAGTTTTTCTGTTCTGTTTTTTCCCCATCTTTGTGGTTTTATCTACTTTTGGTCTTTGATGATGGTGATGTACAGATGGGTTTTTGGTGTGGATGTCCTTTCTGTTTGTTAGTTTTCCTTCTAACAGACAGGACCCTCAGCTGCAGGTCTGTTGGAATACCCTGCCATGTGAGGTGTCAGTGTGCCCCTGCTGGGGGGGTGCCTCCCAGTTAGGCTGCTCAGGGGTGAGGGATCAGGGACCCACTTGAGGAGGCAGTCTGCAGGTTCTCAGATCTCCAGCTGCGTACTGGGAGAACCACTGCTCTCTTCAAAGCTGTGAGACAGGGACATTTAAGTCTGCAGAGGTTACTGCTGTCTTTTTGTTTGTCTGTGCCCTGACCCCAGAGGTGGAGCCTACAGAGGCAGGCAGGCCTCCTTGAGCTGTGGTGGGCTCCGCCCAGTTGGAGCTTCCAGGCTGCTTTGTTTACCTAATCAAGCCTGGGCAATGGCGGGCGCCCCTCCCCCAGCCTGGCTGCCGCTTTGCAGTTTGATCTCAGACTGTTGTGCTAGCAATC
The DNA here is from genome assembly GCF_000001405.40 of Homo sapiens. NCBI lineage: Eukaryota > Metazoa > Chordata > Mammalia > Primates > Hominidae > Homo > Homo sapiens. The sequence goes on along the minus strand of NC_000014.9, from coordinate 43,492,557 downwards.
AGTGAGACTCCCTGGGTGTAGGACCCTCCGAGCCAGGTGTGGGATATAATCTCGTGGTGCGCCGTTTTTTAAGCCTGTCGGAAAAGCGCAGTATTTGGGTGGGAGTGACCCGATTTTCCAGGTGCGTCTGTCACCCCTTTCTTTGACTGGGAAAGGGAACTCCCTGACCCCTTGCGCTTCCCAAGTGAGGCAATGCCTCGCCCTGCTTCGGCTCGCGCACGGTGCGCACACCCACTGACCTGCACCCACTGTCTGGCACTCCCTAGTGAGATGAACCCGGTACCTCAGATGGAAATGCAGAAATCACTGTCTTCTGCGTCGCTCATGCTGGGAGCTGTAGACGGGAGCTTTTCCTATTCGGCCATCTTGGCTTTGTCTTGTTTCAGTTTTCAAGAGAAATGTTTCCAGCTTTTGCCCACTCAGTATGATTTTGGCTATGGGCTTGGCATATACATTTCTCATTATTTTGAGGTATGTTCTTTCAGTACCTAATTTATTGAGAGTTTTTAACATGAAGGGATGTTAAATTTTATGGAAGGTCTTTTCTGCATCTGTTGAGATAATCAGGTGGTTTTGTCTTTAGTTCTGTTTATGTGATGAATTACTTTTATTGATTTTCATATGTTGAATCAACCTTTTGACCCAGGGATGAAGCCAATTTGATTTTGTGGATAACAGTTTGATTTGCCTCTGGTTTTGGTTTCCCAGATTTATACTCTTTTTTAATGTGTGTGTTTATCCCCACTGTGTCATTGGTAAAGATTCTTCAGAATTTAATAATTTAGCATATTTTCCATTAAATTAATATTTAAACAGATAATATATAGTTATTTCATTATAATTTTTTATGTAATATTTATATAAAGATATTTTATATACTTTCAATTTGATTTATAAAATATCTAATTCCATTGCAATGAATTGTCTTTCAAATGCTTTACCATGGTTGTGTGTCTGAATTAAACTATTTTTGATAGTTTATAGTCAATACAAAGCTTATAAATGGAATAATCTTCAATTATTTTTGTTATACAATATTAATATAGTATATAGGTTAAAAAGATTAATGCATTGCACATATACTGTTAGTAATTTATGAAAGCTGACATTTGATGTTTTAATCATTCATAGTTTCTAAAGTACTTTTTTGTAGTACTTTGAAATGTCAGGTGAAGAGAATATTCAGAAATCCTTTCTTTAAACACTGAGATTTCTGCTCTATTCAAATGATGGTTGCAACCATACATATAGCTATATGAAAACAGCTGTTGGGAGAAGATGATGCCAAAAAGCAGAGATAGGAAGTAGAGGGATTTTTGAGTGCTTTCAATTTTCAGTATCCAGTTATCTCTTAGATCCAATTGCACCCAGTCCTTTATATGCTGTGATTAAGTGAGTCAATAGTTTTCTTTTCTTTCTTTTTTTTGTTTTTTTTCTGCAACGGAGTCTCTCTCTGCTGCTCAGCCTGGAGTGCAGTGGCACGATCTCAGCTCGCTGCCACCACCACCTCCCAGGTTCAAGCCATTCTCCAGCCTGAGTCTCCCAAGTAGCTGGTATTACAGGTGTGTGCCACCATGCCTGGCTAATTTGTGTATTTTTAGTAGAGACAGGTTTTCACCATATTGGCCAGGTTGGTCTGGAACTCCTGGCCTGAAGCGATCCACCTGCTTTGGCTTCCCTAAGTGCTAGGATTACAAGTGTGAGCCACTGTGCCTGGCCTATGCCAATAGTTTTCTATTTTGCCTAATTTATCATATGTTTTCTGTTTTATTTATGTATTTCACAGTCACATATAGAATATTTGCCAGGTGCCAGGCACTGATTAAAAAATTTAGGAAGATTAACCCCAAACCAACCTATGAGGTACAGACTATTATTTCTCCAAACTTTATAGGTAGAAAGCTAAAACATCAGAGAATTTAAGTAATCTGCATTTTTTTAGTTATCTATAGCTGCATAATGCTAAACTTACAGATCACCTTAAACTGAAAAAGTCAACTATGTATTTGCCTGTAAATCTGTATGTTAGCACTTGGGTTTATCTGGAAGGTTCTGCCGGTTTTACCTGGGGTCACTCATGCAACTTCAGACCCTTGGCAGCTCTCCTGGGGCTTACTTGTCTCACGTGGTTGTACATACATAATTGTCAGTTGATTCTGGCTGTCATCTGCAGCTCCTTTGTTCTTCTCAACAGGGCTGCTCATTTCTAGCTAACTAGTTCTAGATTTTCTAGAAGGTAATTTATGGAAGTGTTACTAGAGGATGAGAGTAGAAACTAAGCCTTTTGAAGCTTAGGCTCTGAAGTTTAGCAACATTACATATTTTATATTCTCTTTTTCCAAGCAAATCAAAATGCAAATCCAGATATATGGGATGGGCATATAGATTACACCTTATTATGCAGAATTCCTATAGCTACATTCCAAGGGAATGTGCACATAGGAAACAAGGAATTATTGTGGCCATTTTTGCAGACTTCTGCTACACCAAACAAAGTTACATAGCTGATGATTGGTAGAAGAAGTCTTGGAGTCCATGATTTTAACATTATATTGTGATGCTTTCAGTGTAAGCCCGTGTCCTCACTTAGATCCCATATTTCCCTTCATTAAAAGAATATCAGAAATGATCTAGTGTTTCAATATATTTTGTTTAACATGCAAATTAAATTATATTATGTAATTATTAAGTTATGAAATTATACACATGTGCAAATAGAGTACTTTTATTATTTTACTTATCTTTTTTGAGATGTTTATAACTATCAGTCCATATATTCAATTGATGTATTAGAATTGTGTAAGAATTTACAAGAATTCAGGGTATTAATTCATAATACCCCAAATAATGCAACAATAATTCTTATAAAAGTTATATAAAATTCTTGTATAAAAATTTATGTTGCATTCTTCTGGGTATTATGACTAGAATCTTTCTAGCAGTGTTTCCTTGTAGAAATCATTGATGAAATAAGCTTAAGATGTGATATAGATTAAAAGAAAAATATTTCTTTTTTTTTTATACTTTAAGTTCTAGGGCACATGTGCACAACGTGCAGGTTTGTTACATATGTATACATGTGCGATGTTGGTGTGCTGCACCCATTAACTTGTCATTTACATTAGGTATATCTCCTAATGCTATCCCTCCCCCTCCCCCCACACCAGGACAGGCCCAGGTGTGTGATGTTCCCCTTCCTGTGTCAAAGTGTTCTCATTGTTCAATTCCCACCTATGAGTGAGAACATGCAATGTTTGGTTTTCTGTCCTTGCGATAGTTTGCTGAGAATGATGGTTTCCAGCTTCATCCATGTCCCTACAAAGGACATGAACTCATCAAAAGAAAAAGATTTCTTATGACTAGATCTTCAGTGATTCAGAGATCACACTGTATTAGAGCATTGAAGTTTTGTTTGTTTGTTTGTTTAACAAAAGTAATTATAAAGCCCACTTCTGGAAATCTTTTTATAGTATATCAAGGCAGCAAATACAGTCAATCCTCTTTAAATATGCCTTACTTAAACATATTATTAATTCCATTTCTTGAGCTAGATTGCTTATTTTGAGTCAAAGTTCCATCAATTACTAAATGGGTGAATTTGGGTAATTTTCTTAGCTTCACTAACCCACAATATCCCGATCTATATATAGCATTATAGTCATAACTTTTAGATAGATATTTTCTCTCATTTATTTATTTATTTAAATTATATATTTAACATGTATGGCATATTGTTTTGAAGTGTATATATATATATATGTAGTTACTTCTAAGATACGGTAGGGATAAATGCTCCCCATAAACTTTTTGTAAAGAATCAATGATTTCACCATTCTTATCACCCCAGTTTCATTATAAATTTGAAGTTTGTTCTTGCTTTAACTGAATTCATGTTGCTCTGATGGGAGCTCTTTTCAAACTGATGTCTGACCCTTCTTACTGCCTCCAAACTAGATCCTTTTCAGATATATTAAAACAAGTTAGTACAAGTTTATCGTGGTGCAAAAACACTTTGAAATTCATGAATAGTTTTTTCATAATATGAATTTTTTATGAATTTCTTGAAATATCTCATATATGGGTGTAAACTTTTTATGTTTTACCAGAATTAAGTTTCTATTATCCTGAAGTATAAGTTAAGATGCGTTTTATAGTACCTAGGACAACGAAATGGAAAATAATTCAAAAAACTTGAAAAAATAACAGAAATACGAAAATTGTATACTAAAATATGTTTTTAATAATTCAGTAAAGGAAGAACAGAGCAACAATAAAGACATGATAAAAACCAAACAAATAGCAAAATAGCAAATATAAATGTGACTACATCAATAATATCATTAAACGTGAATACACTAAACACCCCATCAATGGATAGAAATTTTTAAATAAAGGACATATGCAGGACCCATTGCATACTGTCTTTGAAAGACAAAGCTTATGTGACATTGAAAGTAAAAAGTTTAAAGTAAAAGCATGGAGAAAATTACCTTACAAACACTAATAATAATAGAGTTTGAGTTACTATACTAATATTAGACAAAATGGATTTTAAGACAAAACGTATTACTAGAGACAAAGAAGTACATACTGTAATGATAAACAAGTCCATGTGTCAGGAATGGTACTCATTAGAATGCATATACACTTAATAAAGGAGCCCCAATATGCACAGATAAGAAATTGAGAGAGTTCAAAGAACTAGATAATTTAGCAGCCACTCTAAAAGATTTTAATACCCCATATTCAATAAGTAATAGATAAATTAGACAGACAATTAACAGTTCTATAGAATACTTGAACAACACTATCAACCAGCTTGACCTAATTGACAATTGTAAAACACTTCATCTAAAGACTGCAAATGGAAAATCTATAGCTTTAATTTCTGTATCAAAAAAAAGAAGAAAGTTTAAATCACCAATCAAGTTTTATTTTAAGAAACTAAAAAAGAAGAGCAAACTAAACCAAGTCAAGCAAAGACAAGAAAGTAATAAAGATTAAAGCAAAAATCAATGAAATAGATAACAGAAAATCAATGGAGAAAGCAATGGAAATGAAGTTGGTTCTTTTAAAATATTAACAAGGTTGACAAACTTTATCCAGAATGATGAAGAAAATGTAAGAAAATACAGATTTAAAAAATCACTGTGAACTTATAGGACTGTAGAAATTATAAGGGATTATAAATAACTTTATGCCAATAAAATAGTCAATTTAGATGACATGAAAAAAATCCCAGAGAAAAAAATACCAAAATTGAATTAAGAAGAAAAATCACCTTTCACAAACTTGTCCAGAAAATAAAGGAGGAACACTTCCCAACTCACCTATAAGGCCAATATTACCCTGATGGTAATGCTGGATAAAGTCATATTTAGAAAAGTAAGGACTAATATTAATCATGGATATAAGATGTAAAACCCCTTAAGAAAATGCCACTAAACCAAATTTAACAACACATAAAAACATATACACTATGACCAAATGGAATCTATCCCAGGAAATCAAGGCTGATTTAACATATTATAATAGATATGTATCTATGTATATATATTTTATGTATTAATACCTATTTCCTTTCATAAAAATACATGTAAATATATGCTGCATATATTTATTTTATTTAAATATATTTAATATTTACATATATATGTAATATGCATATATACTATATTTATATATGTGATTATGCATATATGTCAATATACCCATATTTAAATAAAAATATGTTGATAATAAATATATAAATATAATGATAATTTTCTAAAATTATATAAATACAATAGATAAAATATGTACTTACATATATTTTGTATAAAACGGAATATATTTTCATATAAAATGGTAATATACTGTATTTATAGAATAATAGAAAACTATTACATGGTAATTTGAATACATGCACACAAATTATCCTACAAAATTCAGCATGCATTTAGTATAAACATTTAAAAATTTTTTTACTTCTGAAGAATGACATTTTAGTTTAACTTGACAAAAATCAAAAAAGAAAAAGTTAAATGTGGAAAATAATTTGTATTATTTTTCACTTCAGCCTCTTGTATATGCGTAAGATTATGTAATTAAAGTTTGTTACTATTTTGCAATAAGAATAAGAATAATGTGTTAGAAACAATTATAGTTTAAACAGATATTAAAGTATTAATATTGGGAGTGTTACAAAATGATAATATATTCTGACAGTTTGTTTAAAATTTGAAAAAAGATGGAACAATATAATTATTCCTCGCTTTCGATGAACATTAATTTCAAATTTTTTGTAACATTAGGATTACTAAGATTAAAACCATTAAAAGCAATTTCCAATCAGATGAAAATATTATCAAGTAGCAGATTGTTTAAATTGTAGACTCGGGCAAAACAAAACAAAACAAGTGTTTTTTTTTAGGGGAAAATAATTTGGAAAAAATGTTATAATCATGTTTTAATTTATATTTAAAAATAAATTCTAGTGAAAATATATTCTAATTTTTCTTGGTAATTGTACTATAAATATTATTTCAAAACACATAACTTTTGTGATTTGCAAGTTTCCAAATACAAACTCATCATTTTATTAGACCTTGCAATAATTTTAGAGATAAATGCCAAGAAGGACTCTATAATGTAAACTGAAACTAAAATTCTAAGACGACTCCCATCAATGGAAAAAATCCCCTCTTTGCCAAAAAGACCCCAGAGAAACCTTAAGAAGTGAGTTCCTGGCCATAATGGGAAAGGAGGTCAGACATGCCTCATTATATTCTCTTCTGTTTTTGAGTTTAGGCACAACAACTGAATAGCATTAATATTAAAATAGAGGTCATATGACTGACAAAGCAGATTCCTTGGGTAATAAGATACCAAATAATAAGCAAGATCTAAGGCTATGCAAGGCAAGTGTTAAGTCACACATGCAGGCTAATAATCTTACTAAACAGGTCATTTGTGGCTGATTCTGACATAGCATCCTAATCTTCCCCTTTTCCTGTTTGGAAAAAAACAAAAGTGCAGCTTACTGCCAGTGCTCATTTAAGTTTAAATAAACACTTCGTTTGATTATGAAGCCAATCTGACTGATTTTCAATGTGAAAATAAAATATAGAAACTGTTCTTGGAGTTATTTCTCAGGAAAACAAACATCAGAATTGTCTATTTCAGAAAAATTAGATTCATCAAATGAATCTTTGGCCAACAACTGTTCAAGCATGATGTTAACATCACACATAGGAATGCTACATTTTCTAGGATTTGACATTTTCAGTGATCGATAATTATTATATTTTGTAAATGGAAATACCACTACTAAAATCAGAATCCTATAAGTAGAAGGATGCCTTTTGTTTTCAAAGTCAATATACTGAAGTAATGCAAAAATAATAAGAAAGCAGGATATTTCATGGCAAAGTTATCTCAGGGTAAATGCTGCAGCCACAAGTCTTTAAGGAAAAAAGGAAAAGGACCAAACATTCCTGTCTGCTGAACACAAGCTTTTAAACAAAGTTTTGTTCCTTTACTTACAGATAAAAGAATCTCTGAATCTATCTATGACTTAGAAACCTGTGTTTCAAGATGTCCCACCTTTCTGGGCAAAACCAGTGTATACTTTCCATGTATTGATTTATGTCTCTTCCTGTAACCCATGTCTCCCTGAAATATATAAAACAAACTATAAACTGATTACGTCAAGCACACTTTCGCAGGGCTCCTTGAGACTGTTTCCCTGGGTTGTGGTCACTATATTCTCTTTAAAATGTTTTATACACAGTTTGGTTTTTCCATGAATAATTAGATGTACAAAAATTTCTATGATTATAAGCAAACTTTTGAATGTCTATAATTTGTCTTCATAAAAAATATACACATAACTGATAGTTTATTCACTGCATATTGTTTTATAAGTATATATCAAACAGTTTTCCCTTAGAATTTATCTAGTAAATTTTAATATATCACATTTTAGTATCAATATTTTTGTACAGATGAGATGAATTTTTGAAATATTGATCATGAAGAAAAATGCGGAAGTTCATATGGTTTACATTAAAATTTCCAGTATGTCAGTGTAAACTAGGATCAGTAAGTCTTTCCAGTTGCTAATAAAAGGAAAAAAATAATAGATTATTGGTAGAATTGGTAGAATAAATCTTTAACATATTCAACTGAACCTTAAATTTTATTCAGAGGTTTGGATCCAGATTGAAGAAAGCATATAAAGATCTAAAAAGCAGTAAGAAAAAAAAAAAAAGCATTCAACAACGGATCTAACAATCACTAAATTAATTAATCACTGATTCAGCTAGAGGTGGGAATAATGATGGAAAAGTAGAGTCATTCTGATGATAATCAGATTATTAGAATAACTTATTAGAACTTGGTTAGAACTAAGTTCTATTATTTTGGATGTTCTTGTTTCTATCTGCTTATTTGGTTACTTGTGTCTGTGTGTGTTTTACCCATATTTTTAATAAAGAAGCAACAAGCCAAAGATCACTGATGAACTCTCCTATTTCTCTATGTCTCTTTGACTTCTGTAAAAACAAATATAAGTGAAAAATAAGAGGCTTAATTCTATTTATTAACAGTAAGGTAAAAGATTTCTGTCCCTCCCCTTTTTCTTAGAGCATTTACTTTAGAAAACCAAAAATTGTAAGTTCTTTCTCTTCTCTTTGAAATGTATATAAATCTGTTAGAAAACTAGATAGGCCATTTGTCAGCTGTAGAACACAGAGTTATCTTTCTCAAAGACCTGAGAATCATTTGCCTGAAATGTAAAAATCAAGACGATAGCACCCCTATCTCCCAGTTTCTGTGGGAGGGCAGGAGCTCAGCTTCATTGAGCACCTTGCTCCAAGTTGCAAAACTACATTCCATCACAAAGATATGAAAGTATTTTTTTCTCTTGATAAAGCCAATGAGTTATCACAGATGTCCTCTCTAATTACCAGGTAAATCTAGGATAAATGCTGCATGACAAATGGTGCTGTCAAGTCCTCTTACTTGAAGACTAGTTATTGTTTATCTTGAGAACATGCGTGTAATGGCTTTTATGTGCTTGGCTACGTAAATGGGTAAACTTTTTTTCTTTGTAATCTCTTAGCAGATTGTGATGCTCATCACATCCTAGTTTAATGCTTATTCAATAATAAAACTTTTTATATTTTACTACTCTGTGGAGGTTTTTGAGTTGGGAGAATATGTTGTTTTTAATTGTCATTTCCTAAAACTTTCCATAAAATTTACATTTGTAAGTACAGATATCTGAAGTATATGACAAATTAATTCCCTAATTGAGTATCCTATGTTTCAAATAGACATATGACTGACATATTTGATAAAGTGTCATTTTATAGAACAAGAAGGCTATCTTATCAGGGTTAATGAAAGTCCCAAACCAAATATCTTTCTCCATGTATGAGCATTAAACTAGACATTATATATTCCATAAACATCTCAAATTCAGCATGTCCAAATGCAAAGATGGTATCTCATCTATCCAAACCTGTTACTGGCCTCGTTGAATGCAATCAACCCTGACTCATGTCCAAAAAAGAAGCATTATGCTTCATCAATTTTTTTCTCATGTTTATCTCAAATCAATCATTGAAGAATGTTAATTGTACCTACACAGCTGTAAAATCTATTAAATCTTCTCTATTGCTAGATTCATCATATTATTATAAGCCATCATCATATGACACTGGATTATTACAATAGCTACTTAAATGGTCTTCCTAAATTCATTCTTGTCCTTATCTTATCCTTCTCCACATTTTGGCTCAAGCTTTCCCCCCCACCCAAAATGAAAATATGGTTTTTCCAGGCTTTAATTTAAAACGTATTTTAAAATTTCTAGTGTGAAATTAAACCAAATATTTAACATTTTTTAAGAACTTTCTTCCTTTGCTCATATTTGCATTCTTAAACTTGTTCCATCCCAACCCATTAATTTTTCAGTTTGATGACATTAAGCTGCTTTCTATTTCTCACTCATCATGTTTGCTTTCCTTGCCTTTTCAAGCTTACAGCAATGTTATTTAGTTCATTGGAAGACAATTTACCTCTACATGGTTGGTATCTACCCTATGCGTTCATAGTGCCCTTTACTTCAAATCTAATGACACTTATTTTGTTGTATTTTGAGTATCTGATACCTCTAAGTGTGACCCACAAGTCTCTAAATTCCATACATAAAAATCTTTCTGTCCAGTTTATTTATTAACCTTATATTTATTAGGCAGGGACTTTTCTCAGACTCAAAAATATATGGTGCAACCAGATTCTAATATTCTTGATCTCACAAAATTTACATCTTCTCAGAAGGTAAAAGACAATAAATTAATGAAATATAAGATATTTTCAGATAGCGATAAGTGCAAAGAAGGTACTAGAATAGTAATATCCTTCTGGACAGTATAATCTTAGGAAAGTGCTTTCATCTCTCTAAGTTCATCTTCTGCTGTAAAGGGGGTAATTACCCCCTCTGCTGGAAAGGGGGCAATTACAGCCTCTGCTTCATTTTTGTCTTCCACTTGTGAGAAGTGAATGAGAGGGATGTTTCTAATTTACTAAAAATATTGTTTGGTTTGGAGCAAATAGTTAATCTAGAAGTTGTTTATGTTAGTTTTGTTAATTGAGGTACTGGATTTCCAATTTCGCACATGCTCATGTGTATTGTCAGTTATATCTTTTGAAAGGAATCAGGTACTACCTTAGGTAGAATGATTAGAGAAGACCTCTCTGATGTTGTTTGTCCATCATCTCACATAATTCCTGGTATGCAGCATGTAGACAATAAATGTCTGCTTATAATTAGAATTCATGAACAATTAAAAATATTATTATTTTTGGATGGCAAACTGAGTTGTAGACTTGTGAAGATTTCTAGCAGCCACCAATCAAGACTTTTCATTCAGCTTCCAGTATGTTGAGAGGCCGCTAAACCAGCGGTGGCAGCTTTTTAATTCTAATTTTATATTCTTTAAATTTCATTTTCAGGGTTTATGCTTGAAGTTATGAGTCCAATTCTCAGTGGTTTTCAGAAAGTGCTATGGTGTCTGCTAATTATTCCTTATTGGTATCCAAGACCTTGCTCTTTCAGTTCTCATAATTTGTGAAAGTACCTGTTTATAACTACCTATGTAGAGTGCTTTCTGTTTCCTGTAGTACTTGACTTGGATGATACCAGAGATAGATGCAGGAAACAGAGGCTCAAATATGGAAATCTGGATTTCTTACTTGGCCTGCTTAGAATGAAATGACCTGGTGGTTATACCTAGAGGATGACAATTGTGTAGTCTATGAAAACCAGTGGCCAAAAAAAAATATACTAAGAAAGCCATGGCTTCAGTGAATAGAGTGATTGTTATGTTGGAGTATTATGGTGAAGATGAAGAATATAAAAACTGACAGATGGGCTAGCTGCTTTTGAAAAGCTGAAAGAATAACAATCGCAAGCACTGGGCTGTCAATTCACAGCTCAAGGCAGACATATATACATATCAAAGGTAATAAAGCCAGCCATCAGATGCAGTATTATCTTGTATACTATTGAGTTAAAAGATAATTAAATTCATAAGTTTCTTTGTCTCTCATGTGAAGTTTAAATCATTGGTTGAGAAAGAGCAGGGCTTGACAATTGGAATGCGGTCATTTAGGTGGATTAATGTGGAAATGAGTTCTGTGCGTCCAAAACCCCTTGAGGTCTGTTCATCTTTTGGTGGAGTCCTTTTAATTATTCAATGGATATAATTGCTTTGGAAAGAAGTGCCAGCCTGTTTTACTGCACACTCCTACTACCTTATAGCCACTAGGCCAATAAGTAGATTTCTGATAAGTTTGTCTCAGGAGGCATATAAAAAGATCAAGATAAATATATAGATACCAAATATTAAAAATTTTTCACCATTTATATTGGCAAAAAATCTGAGCAGTTTATGTGAGAATTTATCCTAACTGTTCCAGAAAGAGAAGAAAATAATTAATTAGGGCATTTTAATCAATATGACTATATTTACTTGAAATTCTGAATGTAATGTGCCACCTAGAGTAGTCAGGAGTGGTTCCAACAGTTGACTCAGTTGCTTGACTATAACAGAGTCTTAGAGTTGGAGGTGGTCCACACTAAATTAATATGATATACTAGACATTTCTTGGCATAATTTACAGGTGTAACTGATCACTAGCTCTGAATACATGCTTAACTTTGAGGATGCATAATGGCATGTTGTACCACCAGAGGTAATACTTGGAGTCAAGTGGGAGAGTTTTGACATGAATCATTTCACAGAAGATTTGGTGGTTAGGAGAAGCCAAGGATTAGCTCTTAAACCAGACCCACCCCACGAAAGGAGAATAATAAATGCAATACTGCATTCATGGGGAAAGTGCCACGATTCAGGTTGGTTATTACCATCACAGCTCCATGGAGTGTCTGTTTGGCCTGTACAGATGAAACGTGGCAGGAATGGGAAGCAAAGCACATAAAATCTGATGATGACCCCAATTGCTGTTCCAGATGTAGTCTCTTTATAGGAGCAATTAGCATTGCCCCTGGCACCTATTACACAGCTATAAAACTGCCAAAAGGTTTTGTTCTCTACCAATGAGTAGAAAACACCAGCAGCAGTTGGCTTTCAACTTGTAATGACAGCACTAAACCTCTATTGTCTCTTTCCCCTTTACAGTTTTCCCTCATAGTTTAGTTTGTGTGATTTGAGAGTAACTGAATATCTCAAAAGACATTATGCTGGCTCACCACATTGATATTTACAAGCTGTTAAGACATGATAAGGCAGAAATAGTTGATAAACTCTAAAATTTTGCAAGACACATGCTTGCTTAAAGAAATAACACCTATCAAATGTCAGGGGTTTTCTACTTTAGTCATGATTATTGGTGCTTCTGACTTGGCATGTATTAGGATTTCCCCTTTAAAGTGAAAGGCAAAGTTGATGCCCATTTCATTCTTTGGAACTAAAAGTGGGGCACAAGTCTCATTATCCTTATTTCATTTGGCTTGGGAGGTAAGATATGACAAATTGATTGTGTTCTCTTTTACCAATGAACTTTTAAAGCTACAAGATTTCAGATTGGGGGTTTGGACCTCACATAGGCTCTGAGAACTGGCCCACGCTGTAGTGAGCGAATATAGCTCTGCCATATATGACTTGGCAGAGCCAACGACACTCAAAATTCCTGTAGCATATTAGTACATGTGTACAGTCTGTGGCCAGGTCTCAAAGAGAATTAGGTTGTGTGTCCTTAGAGCTTGGAGAAAATCCCTCTGGGCCTGAGGGTAGACTAAACACCACTGGCTTACAAATAAGCATACAAATTAAGCTGACCAATGAATGGGCATTATCTAATCCACCCAATCAGAAATGTGTGACAGTAGTCCTGTACCACCAAGTAAAAATACTATAGAGAAGAGCCTCAAGTTTGTCCTGAAAGCACACATAAGATGTCCAAGCTCATGGGTCATGCTCCCACAGTGCCTATTTTCATTACATTGCCCTTCACCCTCAGCCCACTACCATGGCCTCCTGGTGAGAGCCATGACCAGTTAACTGAGGAAGACAACATTTTAGTCATCTTTACAGATAGTTCTGCACGATAAGCTGACACCAGCTGGAAGTTGAAAGCTACAGGATTAAAGTCTTTTTAATGAGAATAAAGCATTGAATTTACAGTGAAAGAGGGGAATCAATGGGCTGATGAGTGTGGATTTCACTGCTTTTACTCTGTTTTTCTTTTTCTCAGCTCTTAGTAACCCTTGGCCTTTTAGGATGTTAGGATGACCTTTTGAAAAATGCAGAGTCCAGCTACCAAGGAAATGAAAATAGGCCCACATTTTTTCATATCAAATACTCCACACATAAATCAATTTATTCGTTTCCATAAGACATTGTGTTTTGATGGTTTAGGAGTCTTAGTTCTCAGGTGCTATGGGCTGAATTGTACTTTCCACCCTCACCTAAATTCATATGTTGAAGCCCTAACCTCCAATGTGTTGTTATTTGGAAATGGCATTGGGGAGGTAATTTAGGTTTAGTAAAGTCATGAGAGTGGGACATTCATGAGGGGATTAGTGCCCTTATAAGCAGAGACACCAGAGAGCTTGGTTGCTCTTTCTCGCTGCCATATGAGGACATAGAGAGACGGCAGCCATCTACAAGCTAGGAAGACAGCCCACACTGGAATCCAACCATTTTGGCACCATGATCTCAGATTTCTAGAATCCAGAACTGTGAGAAAATATATTTCTCTTTAAGTTATCTGTATCTGATATTTTGTTATGGCAGCCCAAGCAGGCTAAGACATTATTCATATTTTTTTCCTGCTATTTATATCTTTTTACCTCTTATTTTATATACATTGGTGGTAATGAATGTGAACATTTAATTCCTGGAATAAAAGGTGTTAGAGTTGTACTAGATTGTAATAGGCATGGAAGATGAATGAGCATCACCAGGCTACTGATGAAATTCTGTGGCCTGTTTCAGTGAGAGCCAGTTTTGGCAGCAGAGGAGTCTTCTTTATTATGATTTTTGATCCCTTTCCCATGACTGTAAAGCTGGGACACACAATTATATTAGTTACCTTGGAAGGAGTATGTCTCCCAATGGGTCAATTTTGTGTTGTGTGGGGAGACATTTCTGAAGTTCCAACATCAAACTTTTTTCTTCTGCCCCTGAAAATATTTTATGTGCTTGAGAAGTAAAAAAATATTTCTTGCATGAAAATTTTGACTTTCTGCTTTGAATCATTATTGAAAAATTAAATATGCTAATTTTGCAAAATTTGGCAGAAAAAATGCAAGCAAATAAATTGAAATCAGTCAAAATTCCATTTTCAGGGAAAATCAAGCGATAATCAACCATTATTAAAATATTTTGTTATAAATGTCCAAAAGATTTTAAACGTACAATAATATTTTCAACAACAATTATAGTCTACTTTAAATGCTGGTAAGTACCAGTGTACTTTAAAAGGATTGGTTTTCCAAGGATTTCTTTTTTTTTCCCCTCTTAGGACGAGGAAGTTATAAAAAATATGTCAGCTAAAACTTTTGAAATTACAGTGTAATTACTAAAGTGTAAAACAGGAAAAATTATCCTGACTTTTTTTTCTCTTTTCTCTGTATTCTCTCCTTGCTGGTTCAAAAATTTGCCATTGTTTCCTTGTTACCTTTCTTTTGCTTCTATCACCAATGCGGTTATCTTCCTTCCCTGTTTTCTCCTATCATTTTAAGAAACCTTTAAAGCTTCATTTTTCCTTTTTTTTTTTTCCTGAGCAGATGATTATTTGTTATCACATTTTTCAACCTCTATCAAGCCATAAGAAACTGAGCCAGCTGCAAATCGCCAATGTACCAATTTTTTTAAATGATATTTTTCACCTCATAAATAGATCAATGTCAGAGTTAGAATTTCTACAGAACATTCATAAAATATTGATAGTAAAATCCAGGCATTTCAATATTTTCATGTCTCAATAATAAAAACCTTCAAAATAATGTGTAGCTAAGCAAAAAATTCTGACTTTCTTCATCGTCAAACTTGTTAACATGAGTGCTGAAAATATGTAACAGCAGTATTAAATTCATTACATAACCCAGTGATCTGAAATTACTTTCAACATTTTAAAACTCTGTAATATCTACTGCTTTACTCATACTTGGACCTTTGGTACAGTATATAAAAATTTAGAGTTTCAAGTATACTTTGACATTATTTTACTTAGAAACAATTTCTAATTTAACAAAAATATTTATTTGGACTACATACAGTGTATACCAAGAAAATAATTATAATAGAAACATATTACACATTCTTATTTTAAATGCACTTTACTATTTAAGAAATCGATGTATGTTCTAGCATGTAAGTAGCAACATTTTCAAAATAATTCAGTCATTTTCTTAGTTACTTCTAAAACGTAACAATTTATCTCAAAATCCTATATCTCAAATTTTATTATAATACATTTATAAAATTTGAACTGTTTGACATCAAATGTAAGAAACAGATTTTTAAGTCTTAAATATATCAATGGAGCACTAATTTTTTTATTTAAAGTGTGGTCATAGTTTAAACCTTATATTAATTTTTTTTGCTTTTAAAAATTATTTATGTTTCTTTTTAATGAATATAGTTGTATAGCTTTTCTTTTATATTATTTATAGCCATACACTTTCTTCAGAGTTTTATGTTTTTAAGTGGACCATTTCAAATAGTTTGAGTGTGGAATTATGCTTCCCAAAACACAAGGCATCTTATTTTTTTTAACCCATTAGCTTTGTTTGGTTTTCACCAAATAAGTAGTTGTGTAGTTAATGTATAACCATAGTACAAAGTTTTGATGACAGTCTTATTCAACATAGCATGACAGACGATATAATGTATTTCTGCATTTTTGGAGGTTTATGTTCAAATGGAAAGACAAAACTGTCAAATGTCTTCTACATTTCTTAAAAGAAGTAGAGTTTTCCTAAGTTTGATATGCTGTAAACACAAAGCACCATAAACATGTTATGTACACAGAGAGACAGGAAGGGTTACTATGTAATATGAACCTTAAGGTGGTTAGTGATTCATTTGCTAGTGCTATCATAACAAGTACAACTAACTGGGTGAGTTAAGAAACATTTCTGCTTTCCCACAATGCTAGAGGCTGTAAGTCCAAGATCAAGGTGTCAGCAGGTTTAGTTTCTCCTGACACCTCTATTTTTAGCTTGCAGATGGCTGTCTTCCTGCTATGTTCTATACTCTGCCTATGAATAGCCCTGGTGTTTCTTCCTCTTCTTATAAGGACACTTGTTTCTATTAGATTAGGACCCCAACTTTTTTATCTCATTTAACCTTTATTATCTCCTTAAAGGCTCTCTCGCCAAATATGGTCACACTGGGGTTTAGGGCTTCGACATATGAATTTAGGGGAAACAGAATTTAGTCCATACCAGATGGCTCAATAAAATTCTGTGTTTTAAAATGAGTTTTCTCATGTAAGAGTTTCTTTGCCATTTAAAAAAATTCAATTCTAAGATGATATTATTCATATAAAAATGACAGTTTGCTTTGTGGAGTGAGAGATGCAGAAACACTGTGAAATGATCCAATATATTTTAGAAAATATTCAGCAACCATCTATTCTAAATAACTAAAAAGAATATGAAATTTTTAGAAGTGTTTCAATATGACCAGTACTTTCTGTGTACATATTTTTTTAAATTTTTTATTGAGGTATAACAAATAGTATGGTATGTGAAGCTTAATAATCTTAATTTATGTAGTTTTATAAATTTGTACGTAAGTAGACACTTGTGTTAACTACCACCCAGATTGAGCTCTATATCCAATCTTAGTTCAAGGAATAAAGAAATACATATGGTCTTTTAACTTTTCTTTTTTTTAACATCCAAATGAAACAAATTAAATGCTTTAATATGCTTTGGTTATCTGAAAAACATAAATGTTTCAATGCAACCTATTCCATATGCCATAGAAAACACAAGATGTCTATTTTTTGATACCACCATATTTAAGCATGTTTATCCATTTCTTTTCAAATTCAGAAACTTATGACATAAAACATATAGCTAGAATGGCTATTTTGTATATAACAGAAATATTTATGGTGTTGTAAAACAGTGTCTGAAGAGAAAATAACACATATGATTTTAAGAATTAGACATCAGAATTAAACATAAATTTTAAAACAATAAAATATGAAACAGATGAGATTATTGTAAAACCCCTTCAAAAGCTAGTGCTGAATATTCTAAACTTTTAGGTAAATTTTATTTTCTACTTTTACAAAGCCATCTTGCCTCTGGTATTTCAAATACCTGATGATATATATTAATTGTAACACAGTCAACTAACAGTATGTACATGAGAAAGATATCTAAATAAACAACTAATCTACAGATATCAAAATTCATGAACTAGACTTAATCCATTCTACTCAAGAAAGATTTCTAAACTCTCTTGCAAATTATATTTATTCTTAATTTACATACAGTTAAGGTTTATAGTCGTCACTTTTCTAAGTCACAATTATACTATATTCAGTACATTAAAAAGAGCATAAGTTGCTAAAAACCAGCTTCCCACATTTTATGACAGCAGTGAAAAAACAGCTGAGAGTGCTGAAACACATAAGATGATAAGCCCATTCATAGGAATTTACAGGAGGAAAATTGGGTTCATTTATTTTGTGAAAAACAGGCTATACATTCCTGGGAGAATTTATGGAAACTGGAGAGATGATTTAATTGTTCATTTGATAATTATTTGTGGAGATACATAAATGTGAAAAATATTTTTAAGAATGCTGCTATCGTGTATCTTAATTTGATAATTAGCTTTTATTGAGAACTCAATATACAAGGTATTGAGCATCACTATGGGATAGAAATGATCTTAAGTGATACAGATGCAAATGTTGCTAGGTTGAGTCACAGGAAATTGCTGCTGTTATGTCAAAAGTGTATAAGTATGGAAAATTTCATATTATCGAGCCTATTAATAAGTGTAAGTTCTAGTAGGGGAACACAGACAGGTAAGTATATTTTTAATGGCCTATTAAGAATATTGTTTTTAAAAATGGGAAAAAGTATGGCAGAATGCTAATAATTTGTTAAATCTCAGAATTAATTGTGAGATGTTATATTTTCTATATGTATTGTTTTAAAATGTTGTCTGTATATTTCGTTTGTACTTTCTGTATGTTTGAGATAAAACAAATTAGAAAATAATAACCAATATAAAAAACAGAATACAGATATACTTTCTCCAAGTTAATCTATATAGTCAATGCAATAAAAACATTTTTCTACTAAATATCTAGAAAGATGGAAAACGTATATAGAAGAATAAAGATCCTTAAATAACTTCTTCTTCTTTCAAAAAGAAAAACAAAAGAATGAGTGATTGTCCTACCAGTTTATAATGAACACAATTAAATATAAAATGTTATTGAACTACATTAGTTATTCACAGTTAAATTATAGTTCTCTACTAGTACAGATACAATTGAATGACTAAAATGAAAAAAAAGGATGTAACTTCAAGTGTTTACAAGGATATGGAAAGAACTAACAGCTTCATACATTGCTGATGGGGGTTTAATTAATATACTATTTATCAGTATTTGCCAAATCTGGGGGTGTCTGTGTATGTGTGTATGTGTATGTGTATGTGATTGAGCAACTACCAACATAGTGGTATATTTGACAGAAAAGTACTGTTCTTACTGGCAGTAACAATATTTTTTTTCTGTCTTTTATTTTCTTTTTCTCTTTCTTTCTTTCTTTCTTTCTTTCTTTCTTTCTTTCTTTCTTTCTTTCTTTCTTTCTTTCCTTTCTTTCTTTTTTTTTTTTTGAGACAGGGTCTCCCTCTGTTGCCCAGGCTGGAGGACAGTGGTATAATCATAGCTAACTGCAGCTTTGAACTCCTGAGAACAGCAATCCTCCTTCCTCGGTCTTCCGCAGCATTGGGATTACAGGTATAGTCCACCATCCTCCACCACTAGCAGTATTTCTAATAGATACAACCTTGAAATGGCCCAAATGCACATAAACAGATAAAATGGATGAATGAATTGCAGTATATTTATATAATAATGGATAATATACAACTTTGATAATGAAAAAAGCCACAACTCCACACAGTAATATGGATATGTCTCAAAAACATAATACTGATGGAAGAAACCCTAACTCAAAAGAATGCATTTTTTACCTTTCTATTTATGTTAACGGAGCCAAAAAAGACAAAAATAATATATTTTATTAGAAATCGGGATAGTCTTCATTCTAGGGGTTAGTGACTGGTATAAAACAGGAAGATTGCTTTTCACATAATGACACATTTTCTTACTCTTGATGCAGCTAAAAGAAGCATATCCACTTTACGAAAATTCATTGAGCTGTTCCCTTATGCGACCTCTTTTGTATACACATATTAACACTTCAATAAAAGGAAAAGAGAAACACTACTTTAAATTAATAGTTTAAAAATTCCTATAGAAATTATACAAGAACAAGCAAATAAAGCAATGGAAAGAATGTAACACTTTGGGAATAGTAAAAAGAAAAATTTCTCATTATATAAAAAATATAAAATCAGTTCCTTAGTAATATGGTATGCAAAGATACCAAATGGGGTAAAGAACTAAATACAAAAGATAAAATTTAAAAAAATTAATATTAACTAATTAAAAATTTAAAAAGCTTATGCTCATAATAATAAGAATAGCTTTGTGTTGTAGCTGTGCAGCATGAGGAAAATATAATGAAAATTGATCTTATGATTATATATATTTGATATGAAGAACTTATGTTCAGGGAATTACAGCATAGATATGAAAGATGTCTGAAAAATTGGAAATATCAAATAAAAATTAAGAAGCCTAAAACTACATCAGATTAATATGTAGTATAGTCTTTCACATCTGGCCATGATGGAATGGAGCAATGGGATTATATATACATTCTCACAGTAAACAGTTTTCAGATATTGAACAACAAAAAGTAGGCAGTGCTAGCCAGAGATTCCTTGGAGCCAAAAAACAAAACAAAACAAACAATAAAAATTGGTAATCTCTATATTGCTCCAGTTTGCTGCTTGGAGAAAGTTCTCAGGCTGCAGCTCAGAGAGGAAAAATCCAGAGCTCAGTGGTCTGAATGAGTTAAAGAGGATTTGGGGCAGCAAATGCAATTAGAATTCACAGGGCAGAGGTGAGAGGAAGTGTAGAGATGGAGAGGGTTGTGCTGAGGGAAGAGAGAGAGAGCGAAGAGAGTAGAACTACAGAGAGAACAAGTTGCAAAGTAAAAGAGAAATAAAGATCTGGAGTGCTGCAGACAGTTTCAGGCTTAAGTATTGATCAGTGCACACATGTGAGGAAACTGCAGGGCAAATAACTACTGAAAAGAAGCAGATAGAACAATGCTCAATGGACAGAGAAGGCTAGAAATAATAGCTGGCCTCCTCATCAGCCACAGTAGGCAACCTCAATATACCCAGAGGATTGAGAAAATTACCCAGAAAGGTATTGCCTCAGTAACAGGGTACAATTAGCTCAAGGCTAAAGGAGTCTTTTGTCTCATCTTAACAGAGATTCAAGGCTAGTTTCAAAAGAATTGAGCCATTTGAAAGTAACTTAACTGCCTCAGGCCAAAGCTTGAGAATATGAAAAGGAATATAAAATTATCCAACTCACAATAAGATGAAATTACAATATCTACATTCAGATCCAGTTTGAACATGGATGTGATAATTAGTAAACAAGGCAACTGAAATAATTATAATTATATTCTATGTACAAGAAGATAGAGAAAAGCATAGCATGTAAAGGAAAAATGTAGAAGACATAAAACAGATCCTAGTCATATTGTACACATGAAAAATCCAAGTTTTAGATGAAAAAAATGCACTGGGTAAAACTAAAAGCATATTAAACACTGAAGAAGAAGTCTTATTGTAATTGAAGGTATAAAAATAGAAACAAGTGTTAAATTAAATTTGGCCTGAGGGTATCTCTGTACTCTGAATTTCTACTTAATCAATAGCAACCTAACATAGTCGAAAAATAAAATGAATCCTAACAAAGGAGTATTTTTCTTCTAACAGATAACCAGATAGCCAATCACAAGTAGCTGAGCTTCAGCTCATCACAGGCAGCCAACTGATCAAATCATGTCTGCAGAAGACAACACCTAGCTGTAACTAATTAAGCTATTCCTCTTCTTTACTTTCATGTTCTGTCTACATTCACTGCTCATTTGCTGAGCAGAGCTCTCTGAATCTTTTGTGGTTCTGAGTGCTGCCTAATTTATGAATTGTTCTTTGCTCCCATAAAGCTTTTCTTTTAACATAAGATGAAATGAAGTAGATTTTTTAAAGTAGACATATTGTCAGAGAATTAATAGTATGTAAACAAAATTAATGTGACCTAGTGTAAACTAAATTAGAAAAAAGGGGGTGGAAAAATATGAGTGAAAAATTTCCAAATTTGATGAGAACTATAAACCTATAAATCCTAGAAGCTCAACTAGCCTCCAAACAAGCAAACAAACAAAAATTATGAAAAGAACTACAAGAAACATCAAAATAAACAATTCTGAAAACCAATCTTAAAAGCAGACTGAAAAAATAAGAACAAATATACAAATTAGTACAAATTACAGCAGATTTTTTTTTTGTCAGAATCAAAGCTAGTTGAAAGAGAGTGGAACTTTAAAGTAGTTTTGAAAACACTTTAAACCTAGAATTATATACTAATCAAACATATTTTGAAAAGGATGGCAGAATAAAGACTTTTTTATGGCATATGAAAATCGAAAGAATTTACCATTAGCAATTACTACTTCAGGAAATGTTAAATAAAAAAATCTTCCTTCTAGCAGAAAGGCAATGATACCAGGTACAAATCTAGACTTGCAAAAAGAAATGAAGAGCGCCAGAAATGTTTTCTTTTTCTTATTTTTTTTATCTTTTTCTTATTTTAAAAATCTCTTTTAAATATTATTGACTATTTAGATCAAGCATTATAGTAAAGCAATGTGGGTTTTATATCAATTCTAGAAATACAATCTATGAAACAAAAGCACAAAAATTGTGAGGACTAAAATGAAAATTTACTATTCTAATATTCTTATATTTGGAGTAATTCTATAGTACTTGTCAATAAATTGTTAAAATATATATCAACTTAAAAAAGAACATGCATGGACAGATATACAAGTGGTAGAACTGATAATCCCACAAGGGAGATAAAATAGAATTAGACAAAATAGTGAATTAATACAAAAGAAAGAAACCAAAGAAAAATAGTGAAGAATGAGACAAAATGAAAAAGAAAAAATTGATGTTAGAGTTAAAACTAAACGTATCAATAACCAATTTTCTTCTAAATGGTATATATACCCCAAATAGAAGATAGATTAAATATAAATCTTTTTTTATTTTAAATTTTCATTTATTTATTTATTTATTTATTTTTATTATACTTTAAGTTTTAGGGTACATGTGCACATTGTGCAGGTTAGTTACATATGTATACATGTGCCGTGCTGGTGCGCTGCACCCACTAACTCGTCATCTAGCATTAGGTATATCTCCCAATGCTATCCCTCCCCGCTCCCCACCACAGTCCCCAGAGTGTGATATTCCCCTTCCTGTGTCCATGTGATCTCATTGTTCAGTTCCCACCTATGAGTGAGAATATGCGGTGTTTGGTTTTTTGTTCTTGGGATAGTTTACTGAGAATGATGATTTCCAATTTGTGTAATTTAAATTTTTATTAATGAACATATATTTTTTCCAAATAATGTTCAATTTTGGTAACTCTTTTGTGTAGTTTGCTGTTATTGGAGAGAGACTTCTACAAATGTTAACTTAAGTGAGTTAATAGTATTCTTCATGTCTTCTATATGCTTATTGGTTTTCTCTTTATTTGTTCCATGAATTATTTAGAAAGAAGTGTTGAAATATTTTAGTGTAATATAGATTTATTTATTTATACTTTCAGGGTTTTGTTTTTTTGCTTCATTTTGGATCTCTGCTTTGTGGTGCATGAACATATAAGATTTTTATTTTCTTTTGAAAAATTCTCATCTTTATCATTAAATAATAACATTTTTTCTAGAAATATTACTGTTTTGAATATATTTGTATGATATTATTTTGGCCTCCTTTGCTTACTATAGTTAGTGTTATCACTGGATAATTTCCTTTCTTATTATGCTACCCTATTTGTTTCTTTATACTTGAAATGCCTTTTTTGGGAAGCATATAATCTGAATACTGCTGTTACAGTTAAAACTAGACTTTTAGATCATTCTTGGCATAAAATTATTCCTCAAAACAAATCGTACTATTCTTGTCTTCAGAAGTTTATTTACAATGACTTTTTTCTTTGCCTTTTCCTATTATTATTGCTTTATCTAAAAAAAATGAAGAAACAATTTCCTGTGTAACTTATCTAACTTCTTCTTTAGATTGCAACGTCTGACCTAGTGATGTATTTCTCTGTCCTTTAAATATTTTATTACAATATTGGTCTCCAAATGTCTTATTTAGAGCAGTCTTTTGATGTTAGAAAATATATCTGGCTGAGGCCAAATATTTTTTTTCTCTAGTTTCTCCATTGCATTCTAGTGAATCACTCTCCTATCTTTAAATATTTTTAAATATTTTATGCTACAATTTTTTTTGAACATTCAAATGTTGTTAGGAAATGTGAGGCCAATGTTTATTTGCTCACAACTTAAATATCGTAAAATATCTCTAAATATGCCAGACTTTTAAATGTATATTTATTGTTCTGAAAAAAGTTTTTCCTAATTATCAATGAATATAATAAATAAATAACACTGAATTTACTGGGAACTAAGGTGAATATTTTGTTGGGGGCATAAAGAGGAAGTATGGATCCCAACTAAGTGGAAATAACAAGAGCAACAACAACAAGAAAGCACCAGGTTTCTGGCTGTACACAGTTGGGTTACCTAGTGATTGTTAGTCAATTTCCTCTTCATCTTTCTTCTATGAAACTATGTAATTTGTAATTTCTTCTACTTATAACTATGCATTTATTAAAAATTGTTATGTTGAGGACTTTCTGGAAGTATGAAAAATGGCTGAAAACCCTGAAAATCTCACAAAAATCACGGAGCAGAAAATGTCTGTAAAATTAAATAGAAATAATTTTATCTTTTAATTAAATAACTGGTTAAAATGGTTTAGAAATCTCAATTCCAAGCACAAAATTTTATAATTCAAATTCTATAAGCTGAATAATCAAAATAGGAAAATTGGAGCACTTAGTGGCAAGTGAGGACTTTGATGAAATTGACTTCTCTGAAATATGGGAAAAGAAAAAGTAGAAATTAATTATAGTGGAGACACAGTTTAATTATATATTTGAATAGTAACAGGCAGACAAGAAGGAGACAATAAATCCATTAAAATATATTTAGATAATAGAAAGCACAGGTACTGAACACGTGTAATTTTAAGGTACCAAAGAAAGGAAGAGGAGTTAGAATATAAAAAAAAAATGGAGAAATACATCAAAACATTAGAAGGACAAATGACTGAATAAATAAAAGAAGAGACATGAAAACAATTAAGGGGCATTAAGTTTTCAAGGATTATTTAAGAGTTTTCAAAGCCAACAGTGTAGTTAACTGGCTTCACATATATTATGCTACAATAGCTCTAATTTTGAAGAATAATGCAACAATTCTTGATAACTCAAAGCCAGTAAATGATATAGAGAAAAAACAGTAAGTGCTGAAACCTTATTTGTTGAACCAAATGTCATACAAATGTTTAAACTAGTAAAATAGTCTTATACATATGTGCTCAACAATTGAGGAATAACTTTTAGCACTGCTTACTTCCTCAAAACATAGCCTCTTGACGGATATTCTCACATTTTCTATTCCTCAGTTTCTCTCTAGATTGCGTGTGTTGCTTTTCACTACATTTAATTTTTCTTGTACATTTGAGAGGGATTATGAATATAAATTTTTTTTTGATTCTGTGGAAAATTGTGTTACATTCAATTTCTATGAGGCTAGTAGGGTAACTATATATCCAGTAAATATTGATCTATATTTTTTGACTTTTTAAGACCTTAAAACTACAGATTGTTACATTGTAAAATAAATTCCTTATTTTACTTAGTCACAAGAAATATATAAACTGAGATTATCATGTGGTTTTATGGAATTATAAGATCCCATACATATTTCTTTGAAATGGATTATAAGTATGTAATAAAATAGGCATGTTTATAGTACAATGCATGGTAATTTTCTTTAGAAATCTATTATTTATTAAAGGATTAATAATTTATTGAAATTGTTACTAAAATAAATCAATCTGTAACATCTATAACACTTCAGAAGATTTAGCATGTTTTATGCTGTTCACATTGTTTTGAAACTCAAACAGTATTCAGCAAATGGCTGGAAGAGGAGTAGCACAGACTCCTGACTACCCAGAGGCCTTGTTGCCATATGATATTGAGAATGGCAACTATCTCCTTGGATCTAAGTTCAGTGTCATCCTGAGCATAGTTTGATTTAGCATTGGGACCTTCTTGGGGCTTTCTTATTTAAATTACCAGATTAATCTCCCCAAGGATTACAGGAGTCTTATCTGTAAATACATGTGATTTTCCTATCTTGTGCTCACTCACATCAATAAAGAGTGATTCCAGACACTGTTTTATTCCTGAGAGAATAAAAAACAACAAAAGGGCTATTTTTTCATTTAGAGAAAGAATATTAAAGTTTCACCTTAATATATGTAGCAACAATATGAATCCAATGAGGGAGGGTTTTCCACTCTGAAATATTTCAACTACTAATGCAATTGTGTTTTAATAACTAATGGAGACATAACTAGGTTTTATATTTCTAAATATTAGAGCTGTTATTTTATAGATGTTAAAATATTCTTCTTGTGCAGCTATACACTGTGTCCTGGGAATAGGTTATGTAAAAAATATGGAGAAATTCTGAAGATAAGCTGGAGGCAGAGCTTATTAGAATGGAAGGTATTGGGAAATAAAAGTTTGGTCTCTCAGTGAAACTTATAGCAAAGGTAAATTAAAAAAAAAAGCCATTTCAGATGAAAGGAAGAAACTCACCATTTTTCTAAACATATTTAAGTCAGACTGTATACATATAATGCTATGTGAGATGAAGAAGTGACATAATTCCAGCACTTTGGGAGGTTGAGGCAGGAGGATTACTTGAGACCAGGAATTTGAGACCATCTTGGGGAACACAGTAAGACCTGGTCTCTAGAAAAAAATACAAAAACTAATTGGGTATGTTGTCAAGCACCTGTAGTCCCAGCTACATGGGAGGCTGAGGTGGGAGTATTGCTTGGGCCTGGAAGGACCAGGTTGCAGTGAGCTGTGATCATGCCACTGTCCTCCAGCCTCAGCAACACACCAAGAACTTGTCTTTAAAAAAAAAAAAAAAAAAAAAAAAGTGGCAATAAGGTTTATTTTGAGCTAGTAACTGAAACTCAATGTGTTTTTGGTCCTAAAATTTAAAGCAATTAAAATAAGAATTAAAGATTTATTAGCAATATTTTAAGTCAAAAACAAAAACAAAAAAAAACACAAAGACACAAAAGCTTGAGTCTTATAAATCTTTCCTGTTCATAATTACTGGCACTCGTCATCATTTCCATTTCCATTTCCAATCATTTTATTCCTCATTTCATACTTTATTCTTTCTTTATGCCTGGAATTATAGCCTCTGCTCTTTCCTTAACTCTCATTATTTTTAAATATAGTGACTTCCTTATAAAAGTCTCCCATGTGTCTGTTAAACTTTACATGAAATGAAGGTAAACATTGCTTATGATTCATTAGATGTGAAAGTTTATGAGCCATATTTCATAAACATTGCTTATGATTTATTAGATATGAAAGTTTATGAGCCATATTTTCAACTAAGATTTTAAGCTAAATCTGCAACAAGGCATGAGAAGAATGAGTGGCTTTCAGAGACTATAACTACACTGTTGAAATGTGATTGATCCATTATAAAACAATTAATAACTTTAGCCATATATTTAATATATGCATTTCCCTATTTGTTTTAAAAATAAAATGCTGATTACTAAAAAATTCTTAAAGTTTTTGAAGAAAATGGGTCTAAATATTTGATAGTAATATAATTAAAACCATGTATATCTTTTCATGGACAAAAAATCACCATAATTTCAGTGACATAAATGAAAGTTTAAAAAGTTATTTATGGGGCTAGCATTCTTCTGATACCAAAATCAGGCTACAGGCCAATATTATTGGTGAACATAGATATAAAGCTCAACAAAATGCAAACTGAATTCAACAACACATTAAAAAGATCATTCACCATGATCAGGTGATATTCATTCCAGGGATGTAGGATGTTTTATAACATATGCAAATCAATAAACGTAATACATCATATTAACAGGACTGAGAAAAAAACAATATGATCATTTCAATAGATGCTGAAAAAGCATTTGATAAAATGCTTTATGATTAAAAACTCTCATATTATTCTGCACACATTATTTTGAGGTATGTTCCTTCTATAGCCAGTTATAGAATGAACTGGCTATAGAAGGAACATACCTCAAAATAATAAAGGCTGGCTATAGAAGGAACATACCTCAAAATAATGAAGGCCATAATAAACCCACACCCAACAGCATACTAAATTGGGAAAAATTGAAAGCCTTTCCTCTAAGTTCTGGAACATGAGAAGGATGCCCACATTCACCACTGTTACTCAACGTGATGCTGAACGTCCTTGTCCGAGCAGTTAAACAAAAGTAAGAAATAAAGGGCATCCAAATTGGAATCAAGTCAAATCAGCCTTGGATGCAAATGACAAGAGCTTACATTTAGTAAAGCCTAAAGACTCCACCAAAAAACTTTAAAAAATGATAAACAAATTCAGTAAAGTTGCATGGTATAAAATCAACGTACAAAAGGAGTAGCATTTACATACACTAACAGCAAACAATTTGAAAAAGAAACCAAAGAGCAATTTTATTTACAATAGCAACAAGAGTATCAGATAGCTAGGAATCAATTTAAATGTACAAAAGATCTATACAAAAAACCATAAAGCATTGATGAAACAAATTGAAGAGGATATATAAACGTGGGAAGATATTTTATGCTCATGAACCAAAAACTTAATATTGTTAAATTGGTGGTACTACCCAAAGCAATTTACAGATTCAACACCATCCCTATCAAAATACCAATGACAGTCTTCACAGAATAATAAAAACAACCCTGAGATTTATATGGAACCACAGAAGACCCTGAAGAGCCAAAGCAATCTTAAGTAAAAATAATAAAGCTGGATGCATGACACTACCTGATTTCAAAATATGCTATAAAGCTATAGTTTTCAAATCAGTATGGCACTGGCATAAGAACAGAACCATAGACTAACGAGACCAAAAAGAGAACCCAGATATAAATCCATACATTTCACAGCTGCCTTTTTATTGACAAAGGCACCAAGACACACAATAGGAAAACAGCAATTTCTTCAATAAATGGTGCTGAGAAAACTGGATGACTGTGTGCAGAATAATAAAATTGGACCCCTGTCTCTCACTATATACAAAAATCAAATCCAAATGAATGAAAGATGTGAATCTAAGTCCCCAAACCATGAAACTACCAGAAAAAAATTGGTAAGGAAAGAGTCCAGGACATTTATCTGGGCAAAGACTTTTTCTGTAAGACCTCAAAAGCAGACAACAAAAGCAAAAATACATATATGTAATGCCATAAAGCTAAAAGTCTTCTACACAGCAAAGAGAATAATCAACAAAGAAACATAATCCACAGAGTGGAAGAAAATATTTGCACACTCTCCATCTGAAAAAGATTAATAACCAGAATATATAAAGAGCTCAAACAATACAAAAAAATCCAGCTTAAAAATGGGCCAAAAATCTGAATAGACATTTCTTAAAAGAAGACATACAAATGGCCAGTAGGTACATAAAAAATGTTCAACATCATTAATTATCAGGGAAATGCAAATCAAAGCCACAGTAAGAGATAATCTCACCCCAGTTAGAACTACTTTTGTCAGAAAGAGGGAAGAGCATATGTTGGTCAGGATGTGGAGAAAAGGGACCCCACATACTCTGTTGGTGGGAATGTAAATTAGTACAGCCACTATGAAAAACAATATGGAGCTAAAAGCCAAAAATAAAACCTCTGAAAGCTAAAAATAAAACTAAATATGGTCCAGCACCAATTACACTACTGGGTATATACCTACAAAAAAGAAAATTGGTATATCGAAGCGATAGCTACACCTGTGTTTATTGCAGCACAATTCACAATACCCAAAATATGGAATCAATCCATTGATGTCTATCGATTGACAAATGAATAAAGAAAATGTAATATATATATATATAATATATGTATATACACACACACAATAGAATATTATTCAGCCATAAGAGAATGAAATCCAATCATTTTCAACAGTTTGGATGGAACTAGAGGTCATTACATTCAGTGAAACAAGACAGTCACAGAAAGAGAAATATCACATGTTCTCACTCTTATGTGGGTTTCATAAAGATAGAGAGTAGATTTGTGATTATCAGAGGCCAGGTAGGGCTAGGAGAAGGAAGGGATATAAAGGAGTTGATTAATTGATACAAATATACAGTTACATAGAAGATATAGGCCCTGGTGTTCAATAGATCCATAAGGTGATGATAGTTAACATTAGTCTATTGTGCATTTCAAAATAGCTTGAAGAGAATGATTTAAATGTTCCCAGCATAAAGAAAAGATAAATATTTAAGATGATGGATATCTTAATTACCCTGCCTTGATTATATAAATGCATCAAATTATCACATGTACCCCCAAAATATATACATCTATTATGTATCAATAAATAATTAAAAACACATTAGGCTGAAAACTATTAAGATTCTGGGTGATTTTATCTTCTTCCTGGCATAGTTTTTTTGTTTGTTTGTTTTGTTTTTGTTTTGTTTTTTTTATTTGGCAGGCAGTTTTTCTGGAGGCAGAATTGAGTCAAAGCTGAGCTTTATTCCTTTTGAAGGCCGTTTTTGTCTTTTTTCCCTTTACTTCTAACATTTAGTGCCCTAAGTACAGCCCTGGCTATTTATCAGGACCCTCATTCTTGGTGTCATGTGAATTTCATTTTTTTTTCTCTCCAGCTTTTCTAAGTCTGCTTTTGTCTAAACTTTTACAATGACACTTTTACTTTAGAATTCATAATTGTCTCAAAGAAAAAAGCAGCTCCCCCAATTGAATTTAGCTCTCTTGCTTCACCTCTTCATTTTATTCTGAGAAAGCTCACTGCCTTGATAACTCTCCAATGCTGTCAGACAGACATCACTGTTCCCCATACCTCACAGGTTTTCTAATTTTTCTCTGCAGGATAATTAGATTCAAGCAACATAAAGCAGTCATTGCTTAAGGGTATCAATGATTATCTTTGATTTAACAAGTGCATCAATATATGTTTATGGTAGAAATTTTAGAAACTAAAAGTTAGTAAAAGTAACAAAATAAAAGCACATAGAATTAAATCACACAGACCTAATTACTATGGAGATATACTAGCTAGTGACCATGGAGATAATACTGTTTCATATATATATATATATATATATATATATATACATACACACACATATATACATATATATATATATTTAATACCTTACAGCATCAAATGACCAAATTAGTGCAAAGACAAGGATCAATGTCTTGAGTTTCCTCTTCTCTATTGCTAAGAGTGCTGATCTAAGAATCTTAAATTAGGCCAACCTAATCTAAGTTTGTCAGTCCTGCTTCTAAAATCAGGGCAAACAAACCCTAAAAGGGCTTTGATAGTTCACATATTTAAATATCTGTGCATCTACTGCTATTGATTTAGGGGCTGTCCCACACAGTTTCTATGTTGAATGCATGTCAGATGCTTTTTTGTCCTTTACTACAGTATTCTTTTGACCTAGACTTTGCCTTTGAAGGCTACAACTACAGTGATAAAGGGTGAACTGCCATTATGTTCTATTCCTCTGAATATGATGAGGATGCCTGATTTAATCACCTGCTATGCTTGAACCAGTTTCTCATTCAACATCTAGATTCTGTTGTTGGTCTTAGGTCAACAATACAGAGCATTCAATTCCACAGCTACAGGGCCCTTGAAATCTTTGCATTTGTGTTTGTTTGCTTTTAGATCTCAGCTGCAAAAAATAAGGAGGTTCCTGAATATCTTTTCTCACAAAGGGCTTGTTACCTTATTTTTCCTTTTTTGTTTGCCGTATGCCCTTTCAAATGTTTGCAAATTTGTCAACCTTTTCACCAGCTGCCATCGCTGCCAACCAAGAGTCTGAGTGACAGCATAAAATTACCACACTTAGAAACATCATATACTGTTCAACAAAAAGCCAGAGTAATCTTTTTTTTTTTTTTTTTTTTTTGATGGAGTCTTGCTGTGTCGCCCAGGCTGGAGTGCAGTGGCGTGATCTCAGCTTGCTGCAAACTCCACCTCCCTGGTTCAAGCAATTCTCTGCCTCAGCTTCCCGAGTAGCTGGGATTACAGGAACCCACCACTAGCCCAGCTAATTTTTGTATTTTTAATAGAGATGGGGTTTCACCATCTTGGCCAGGCTGGTCTTGAACTCCTGACCTGGTGATCCACCTGCCTCAGCCTCCCAAAGTGCTGGGACTACAGCCTGGCCCAGAGTAATCTTGTAAAATAGTATATCTAAACATGTTTGCCAATTCAGAGCTTAAAATCCTTTACCATCTTCCTGCTATCCTTAGCATAAAGTCAACACTCTTTAACATCCCTAGAAGAGACTACATATTCAGTCTCTACCTAAATTTCTCATTTTATTTCATCACAGGCCTCTTTCCAAGCTCTTCACACTGCCCTCAAATACTTCAAATTCCCAAGTTCTGCATACTTACCTAGCTTCTTCCTTTCTTCACACTTTTGTACAGGATTTTGTTTTTCTATTTCCCTATGGTCAACCTTCTTAACTCAGCTCAAGCATTATATTACAAAGGAATTCCCTGATTTGCTGTCTGCAGATTATTTTTATGGCTGCATAGTATTCTACGGTGTATATATACCAAATTTGCTTTATCCAGTCTATCAGTGATGAGCATTCAGGCTGATTCTGTGTCTTCCTATTGTGAATAGTGCTGCAATGAACATTCATGTGCATATATCTTTATGATAGAATGATTTATATTCCTTTGATTATATACCCAGTAATGGGATTGCTGGGTCAAATGGTATTAATGTCTATAGGTCTTTGATGAATCGCTACACTGTTTTCCACAATGGTTGAACTAATGTACACTCCCACTAAAAGTGTAAAAGGATTCCTTTTTCTCCACAACCTTTCCAGCATATGTTTTTCTTTTTTGACTTTTTAATAATAGCCATCCTGAATGGTGTCAGATTGTATTATATCATCGTTTTGATCTGCATTTATCTAATGATCAGTGACGTTGAGCTTTTTTTCATATGCCGGTTGTCTGCATGTATGTCTTCTTTTGAAGCGTTTGTTCACGTCCTTTGCTCACTTTTTAATGGTTTTTTTTTTCTAGTAAATTTGTTTAAGTTCCTTATAAATGCTTGATATTAGACCTTTGTCAGATAGATAGATTCCAAAAACTTTCTCCCATGCTGTAGGTTGTCTGTGTACTGTGTCTATAGTTTCTTTTGCTGCGCAGAAGCTCTTTAGTTTAATTAGATCCCATTGGTCAATTTTTGCTTTTGTTACAATTGCTTTTGGTGTCTTAGTAATGAAATCTTTGCCTGTGCCTATGTCCTGAATGGTATTGTGTAGGTTTTTTTCTAGGATTTTTATAGTTTTGGGTTTTACATGTAAGTCTTTAATCCATCTTGAGTTGATTTTTGTATATGATGTAAGGGAGGAGTCCAGTTTTAATTTTCTGCATATGGAGAGCCAGTACTCCAGTACATATGGAGCACCATTTATTAAATAGGGAATCTTTTTCTTATTGCTTGTTTTTATCAGGTTTGTTGAAAATCAGATGGTTATAGGTGTGTGGTCTTATTGCTGGGTTCTCTATTATGTTTCATTGGTCTATGTGTTCATTCTTGTACCAGGACCATGCTGTTTTGGTTACTGTACCCCTATGGTATAGTTTGAAGTTGGGTAGGGTGATGCCTCCAGCTTTGTTTGTTTTGCTTAGGATTGGCTTGGCTGCTCAGGCTCTTTTTTTATTCTATATTAACTTTAAAATAGTTTTTTTTTCCTAATTCTGTGAAGAATGTCAATGGTGGTTTAATGGGAATAGCATTGAATATATAAATTGCTTTGGGCAATATAGCCATTTTCATGGTATTGATCTTATCCATGAGCATGGACTGTTTTTCCATTTGTTTGTGTCATTTCTGACTTATTTGAGCAATGGTTTGTAGTTTTCCTTGAAGAGGTCCTTCATTTCTCTTGTTAGCTGTATTCCTAGGTATTTTATTCTTTTAGTGGCAATCGTGAATGGGAGTTCATTCATCATTTGGCTCCCTGCTTGCATGTTGTTGGTTTATAGAAATGCTGACAATTTTAGCACATTGATTTTGTATCCTGAGACTTTGTTGAAGTTGCTTATCAGCTTAAGAAGCTTTTGGGCTGAGATGATCGGGTTTTCTAGATATAGGATCATGTCATCTGCAAACAAAGATAGTTTGACTTTCTCTTTTTGTATTTGAATACGTTTTATTTATTTCTCTTGCCTGATATCCCTGGCTAGAAATTCCAATGCTATGTTGAGTAGGAGTGGTGAGATAGGGCATCCTTGTCTTGTGCTAGTTTTCAAGTGGAATGTTTCCAGTTTTGTCCATTCAGTATGATATTGGCTGTGTGTTTGTCATATATGGCTCTTAATATTTTGAGGTATGTTCCTTCAATACCTACTTTATTAATAATTTTTAACATTAAGTGATATTTAATTTTATTGAAAGCCTTTTCTGCATCTATTGAGATAATCAGTTGGTTTTTGTCTTTAGTTCTGTTTATGTGATGAATCACATTTATTAGTTTGCATATGTTGAACCAGCCTTGCATCCCAGGAATGAAGCCTATCTGATCATGGTGGATGAGCTTTTTGATGTGCTGCTGATTTTGGTTTGCCAGTCAGTATTTTGTTGAGAATTTTTGCATCAATATTCATCAAGCATATTGGTCTAAAGTTTCCTTTTACTGTTATATCTCTGCTATGTTCTGGTATCAGGATGATGCTGGCTTCATAGAATTTCAAAAAAAATTCAATTTTTTGCAAAAGTTTCAGTAGGAATGATACCAGTTCTTCTTTGTACCTCTGGTAGAATTTAGCTATGAATTTGTCTGGTCCTGGGCTTTTTTTTTGTTTGCTAGGCTATTGATTACTGCCTCAGTTTCAAAGCTAATTATTGGTCTAATCAGGAATTCAGTTTTTTCTGGTTCAGTCTTGGGAGGGTATATGTGTCCAGGAACTTATCAGTTTTTTCTAGTTTTTCTAGTTTATGTGCATAAAGCCTTTTATAGTATTCTCTGATTTTTGTTTGTATTTCTGTGGGGTCAGTGGTGACATCCCCTTTATAATATTTTATTGTGTTTATTTGAATCTTCTCTCTTTCTTATTCATTAGATTAGCTAGTGTTCCATCTATTTTATTAAATTTTTCAAAAAAAAAATCAGCTGCTGGATTCGTTGATCTTTTGAAGGATTTTTGGTGTCTCTATCTCCATGAATTCAGCTCTGACCTTGATTATTTCTTGTCTTCTGCTAGCTTTGGGGTTTATTGCTCTTGGTTCTCCTGTTCTTTTAGTTGTGATCTTAGTTTGTTAACTTGAGATCTTTCTAGCTTTTTGATGTGGGCATTTTGTGCTATACATTTCCCACTTAACACTGCTTTTGCTGTGTTCCACGATTCTGGTATGCTGTATATTTGTTCTCATTAGTTTCAAAGAACTTCTTGATTTCTGCCTTAATTTCATTATTTAGCTCAAAGTCATTCAGGAGCAGGTTGATCACTTTCCATGTAGTCATATGGTTTTGAATGAATTTCTTAATCTTGAGTTCTAATTGTAATGCACTGTGGTCTGAGAAACTGTTATGATTTATGTTCTTTTGCACTTGCTGAGGAGTGTTTTACTTCTGATTATGTGGTCAATTTTAGAGTAAGTGCTGTGTGATGAGAAGAATGTATAGTATGTTGTTTTTGAGTGGAGAGTTCTGTAGATACCTAAAGTCTACTTGATCCAGATCTGAGTTCAGGTCCTCAATATCTTTGTTAATTTTCTGTCTCAATTATCTGTCTAATATTGTAAGTAGGGTGTTAAAGTCTCCTACTGTTATTGTGTGGGAGTCTAAGTCTCTTTGAAGGTCTCTAAGAACTTGCTTTATAAATCTGGGTGCTTCTGTATTGGGTATGTATATATTTAGGATAGTCAGCTCTTCTTGTTGAATTGAACCCTTTACCATTACTTCTTTGTCTTTTTTGATCTTTTTTGGTTTAAAGCTAGGATTGTGATCACTGCTTTTTTTCCATTTTCTATTTGCTTGGTAGATTTTCTTCCATCCCTTGATTTGAGCCTGCATGTGTCTTTGCATGTGAGATGCGTCTCTTGACAGCATACCAATTGGTATTGGCTCTTTATCTAGCTTGCCAATCTCTGTCTTTTAACTGGGGCATTTAGCTTAGTTACATTTAAAGTTACTATTGTTATGTGTGGATTTGATCCTGTCATCGTGATGCTAGCTGGTTATTTTGCAGACTTGTTTATGTGGCTGCTTCACAGTGTCACTGGTCTGTGTACTTCAGTGCATTTTGGTAATGGCTGGCAACAGTTTTTCCATTCCATATTTAGTGCTTTCTTTAGGAGCTCTTGTAAGGCAGGTCTGGTGGCAAAATATTCCCTAAGCACTTGCTTGTCTGAAAAAGATCTTATTTCTACTCTTATAAAGCTGAGTTTGGCCAGATATGAAATTTTAGGCCAAACTAAGCTTCTTTAAGAATGTGGAATATTGGCCCCAAACTCTTTTGGCTTGCAGGTTTTCTGCTGAGAGGTCCTCTGTTAGTCTGATGGGCTTCCATTTGTAGATGACCTGGCCTTTCTCTCTGGCTGCCCTTAACATTTTTTCTTTGTTTTAGACCTTGGAGAATCTGATGGTTATGTGTCTTGGGAATGATCTTCTTGTGGAGTTTCTTACTGGAGTTCTCTGCATTTCCTGAATTTAAAAGTTGGCCTGCCTAGCTAGGTTAAGGAGGTTCTCTGGATGATTTACTGAAACGTGTTTCTCAAATTTGTTCCATTCTGCCTGTCTCTTTCAGGTATCTCAATCAGTCATAGATTTTGTCTCTTCCTAATTCCACATTTCTCATAGGTTTTGTTCATTCCTTTTCATACTTTTTCCTTTTCTATTCATGCCTTCCTTGTTTCATAAAGATAGTCTTCAAGCTCTGATATTCTTTCCTCCACTTGGTCTGTTCTGCTATTAACACTTGTGATTGCATTGTGATATTTTTGTAGCATGCTTTTCATCTCTATCTGCTAGGTTCTGTTTCTCTCTATTCTGGCTATTTTGGCTGTCAGCTTCTGCATTGTTTTATTGTGATTCTTAGCTTCCTTGCATTGAGTTACAATGTGCTCCTTTAGGTTAGCAAAGTTCATTGTTATCACATCCTGAAGCCTAGTTCTGTCATTTCAGCCATCTCAGCCTCAGCCCAGTTCTGAACCATTGCTGGAGAGGTGTTGCAGTCATTTGGTAGAAAGGGGACACTCTGGCTTTTTGAGTTTTTAGCATGTTTGTACTGATTTTTTCTCAACTTTGTGGGCTTATCTACCTTTGATCCTTGAGGTTTCTGACCTTTGGATGGAGTTTTTGTGTTTGTTGTTGTTTTTTTTGTTTGCTTGTTTTTCTTTTAAAAGTCTGGCCACTCTTCCGTAAGGCTGCTGCATTTTCCTGGGGGTCCACACCAGACACTAGTCACCTTGTTTTTTTCAGTACCTGGAGATATCACCAGTGAAGACTGTGAAACAGCGAAGATGGCAGCTTGCCACTTCCTCTGGAAGCTCTCTCCCAGGGGGATACTGACCTGTTGCCCCACCAAATACACCTAAGGAGGTGGCTGGAGACCCCAGTTGGGAGTTCCCAGGCAGGAAAAATGGGATCAGAACCTGCTTAAAGAAGCAGTCTGGCTGCGTTTTGTTAGAGCAGCTGTTTTGTGTTGGGGATCCCTGCAGCCTCTGATCAGTTTGGACTCTCTAAAGCCTGAAGGACGGAGTGGTTGAGTTGCCCAAACAGTAAAGACGGAGGCCTGTCCCTCTCCTAGGCACTGTCCCAGGGAGAAATCAGAGCTCAGTCCACAGAATACAAGTGGGTGGGGGTGGCTAGAGGCCTGGCTGGGAGGACTCACCCAGTGAGGAAGAGCAGATCAGGGCACCACTTATAGAAGCAATGTGGCCACATTCTGGCAAGGCAGCTGTGCTGTGCTGTGGGGACACTTCCTCGTCCAGACCATTTGGACCCTTCAAATCCTGCAGGCTGGAATGACTGAGACAAATAAATAGTGGCCCACTCATCCCCCTTGGGGGCTCTATCCCATCTCATGGCAGGCTCCACCTTGTTGCCAGTGGCTGGTTGAAATTCCAAGCCAGTGGGTCTTATTTTGTGAGGTGCCATGGAAGTGGGACCCACAGACTGATATAGCTCAGTCCCCTGGATTCAGTCCCATTCCTAGGGGTATATGTGGACCTCCTGCCTTGCCTGAGTTATAGCCACCTTTGCCAGGGATCCCAGGGAGGGACTATGTAAAGCTCCTAGGTCTCTGTGCAAGTCTGAGTAGCTGCTCTGCTGAGACTCCACACAGCTGTGTGTGTCTGACCTGAGGCCCTGATGGTGTGAGTTCACCAGGAGATCTCCTGATTCATGGGTTGCAAAGATCTGAGGGAGAAGCATGGTTTTCCCCCTGGGTCACACATTCACTCATCACTTCCCTTGGCTGGCAGTTCGCTTGGTTCCATGTTGCTCCCTGGTGGGCTATTGCCCCACCTTGCTTTTCTTTGTCTCTGTGAGTTGAGTAGTTTCCCTGATTTTTCCCAATGCAAGTACCTGGATATTTCAGTTGAAGGTGCTGTATTCACTCACCCCTTTCTTTCTTCTCAGTGAGTGCCATGCACTGCAGCTACTTCTAATTGGCCATCTTTACCCCCACACCCTGCTTTTATATTATGAATCTGAAAGTACAGAAGTTTGTTGGGGAATACAGCTATGAGCAAAGAGTATTGCTTACTTCATCCCTCATAATGCTTCTTAAAGGAAAGTCAAACATTTTTATACTTATCATAAGAAAGTGTAGTGAGCGTTGTCTTCAGAGAAATGCTATGAGTGGAGGCAGTAGATAATTTGTGATCTCATCTAAAATGTGAAAATCTCCCAGAATAAATTACATATCAAATGAAATGTTAAAGGTAGATGGTGATGAGTGTTCTAAACAGAAGTAGTAGATTGTTTCAAAGTTTAGAAGTAAAGACAGAAAGTCATGCATTCAAGAGATTGAACAGGGAAATAAGATTGTGCCTATAGAGGGAAGCAGAGGCAAATCATGGAGGACCTGAAACAGTGGTAAGGTGTTTGGGGGCATGCCTTGAAGGCAGTGGGAGAGCATTAAGGTTTTTAACTAGTAATCCTGGTAGTGATGTTATCTGAATGTAACTTAAGAAATAAAAGTCTACATTTCTTACTGTGGTGCAAAAACTACAGCAGAACAGTTATACTGATATGAGATTTGGGGAACCTGACTTAGAGACGGTGGTATAAGTAAGAGATAAAAGTTTTTTGAATCTGATAATGGCAGTGGAGATTTAAAGAGGTAGAGTTAGAAAGATATTGTTCCCAGTTACTGAGACTCTTTTCTTTTAAAGCAGAATTAGTAGAATATCTGATGGGATACCTGTGAGATAGTCAATATTGATTTTTAATAAGCATTTGGTGCACAAGCCTGAGCTTTTGGAGACATAATTAGACTGAAACTATACATGACACACATTTGTTTTCGTCTGCACTTTTCTGATTAAAAGTTAGATTGGAATATGCTGATATCCATATTCTTTTCCAGTTCATTGAATTGCCTTGTATACTGATGCCTATTTATTTTATTATATTATGTTATTTGTTGTGTTCTCATTGATGGATATACATTATTACCTCTTATGAATAATTTTTAGTAATTGAACATGCACAAGAACCAATAAACTGAAACAAAAGCAATAGCTACAAAAAAGATGGTATATAAAGAGAAAATTAAATTTCCAAAATTTCAGAGGCAATATAGGTATTATTCCATGGTTCTAACACTGATGCTTTCAAAGAGAGATTTGAGTTGCCTTCAAAGCAAAGCTCAGAATGTCAATTATGTTAAAGCAATGATTATGTTTTCATAGTGCCAGTCACATTCTCAATATATGTGTTTGGGAAAAAAAACCGGTAATTTCATTGATTAATATCTGATAAATATGTAAAGAGAAACATTAAATAAGTTAATTTAACTTTCAGGTAGCTCTATTAAACAATCAGTCTTTAACACATATTCACCGAAGGTAGAAGGAAAGGCATTGATGATTTGGTGTCTCAAACATGCAATCTGTTACATAAATACACTTCAGAAGTTTATAATCAAGAATGTGATGACTAAAAAACTTATAAAAATAAAGATTATTTTTACAGTAATACTCAGTAAAAAGGAAAGAGATTGAGGGTGTAAAGAAAGAAAGTCAGTCACCTCAATTCCAAAGATAATGCATTTAATAGTATAAACTCTATATTGGGAAACATAATTGAGTAGACCAAGATAATAATGGTACATTACTAATTGAAGTAAGACAATATTTTCAAATGAAGTTTACATTATAGCGTGATTAATATTAATTGGATTTCAAAAAGGCTAAGGCAGAACTGCTCATATTATAGTTAGGATATGAAGAGAGTTAGAGAGAGCTAATTTTTCATGTGCTATTTTAAGTAAAAAATTTGAGATATCCAAGAACAAAAGAAAACACAACATGTTTTTAAATAATAACAGGGCAGAAATTTGAATTTTCCTGTAGAAATTTTATTTAAGCCACAGAAAAAGTGCCCTTGCAGATACTGGCAAAAGGTAGCAAATAAACAAAAGTTTTTCATTATAGTTAGAGTTACAAAATTTCAATTTTATCTGAAGTTTCCAGTAATAAATTATGTTTCAGAAAGTAGAGACTATTTTTAGAAAAGCTAACATTCAAAGAAGAGGTAACTTGAAAGATGTGATCAACTATAAAAGTCATCAGAGAGAGGAACAACATGAGTCTTACCTACAGAGCATATTCCAAGAACAGGGGATTTTCTTCTCTCTTAAAGCAAATGTTCTCAAAAGGATTTATACTTTGGCTGTCAGAACTAAAATAGTGAAGTCAGCAACAATATATCTACCAATAAGCAGGGGTCATTGCAAAGAGTTAGAGGTGAAAATACCTTTAGGTTTCTGTGGGACATATTTAACATATTTGATTTATATTCATAAGAAAGAGTATTGGAAATCCAAGCATGCAAGTAAAAAGATGTGTAGTGTAAAAATAAAAGAGACCATCAGACAATAAATAAACTATTTTAATAATCTCAAAGTAAGCACAAGGAGTATTTGTTTTCATATCAAAATAAGTGTAGTGCTAAAAAAATAAAATCAATAATGCTTAATATATTTCAGGATGAGTTTGTGTGTGTTTATATTCTGTATAAGGATATAAGCTTTTCCTACATTTTACTATATACGTTTAACCCATACAAATATGTTCTTGGTGGCTATCTTATTAGTCATATGATCTTGATGACAAGAAATGCAGCTGACAAATTTTTGTGTTCCAGACTTCATCTTTCATGTTTTATATTTTTCTCTAAGTTATTTAAACTATACCTGATCCATATCTTCAAATCAAATTTGGAAATAATGTTATTAAAATTAAATGAATTAAGGAAATTCATTCTATTGAAGGTACTGAATTTTGAATTTTTAAAATCTTTGCCAATTTGCTAAATGCCTATATAATATTTCCCTTGGTATGCATGTATTCAGAAACCTGACAATGTACTTATGACAAAGATATTAGATAATACTTTGAACTTAACAGTGTGTCAATTTACACACTCAATTAGAGAGACAACACACACATTGTACGTGAAATATAATCCAAACACATTTTTAATGTTGAGTACACTACTAATACAATATGTATAATATAAATTATATGTGAAAATGGAAAAATTTGTGTAGTATGACAATGGCATTATACTAGACCAGAAAGTGTACAAAAATGTTATGTATAATTCTATGTTATGTATAATTCTATGTTATGTATAAAATGCTCTACGTTATGTATAAAATGTTATGTATGATAACTGAAGCTTATTTTCTATATTTTTTGGCATTCTTAGTATTTATTGAATGTGCCCAAGAGTATTTCAAGGATGTATTTGAAGTAAGAAGTATTTTGAGTTGAACTAAATTTAGAAAACAATGTAGCAAAAGAGAAAATTTTAAATAATTTATTTATACTCAGTGTTTAGCTTCCACTTAAGAGTTTTAATATACAGTGTTATGTTTTCTGTTCCTGCATCAGTTCACTTAGGTTAATGACCTCCAGCTCTATCTATATTGCTTCAAAGGAAATTATCTTATTCTTTTTATGGCTGTGTAGTATTCCATGATGTGGATGTACCACATTTTCTTTATCCAGTCTACCATGGATGGGCATTTAGGTTGATTCCATGTTTTTGTTATTGTGAATCACAAATTGTTATGTGTGATGAATATACACATGCATGTGTCTTTATGGTAGAACAATTTATATTCCTCTGGATATACACACTAATGGGATTGCTGGGTTGAATAGTAGTTCATTTTTAAGTTCTTTGAGGAATCACCAAACTGCTTTCCACAGTGGATGAAATGATGTAAATTGTCACCAGCAGTGTATAAACATTACCTTATCTCCACAGTCTCTCCAGCATGTTATTTTTTGGCTTTTTTAGTAATAGCCATTCTGAATTGTGTAAGATAGTATCTCATTGTGGTTTTGATTTTCATTTCTTCAATGTTTAGTGATTTTGAGCCCTTTTCCATATGCTTGTTGGCCATGTGTATATCGTCTTCTGAAAAGTGTCTGTTATTATCTTTTTTCGCACTTTTTAATGGGGTTGTTTGGTTTTTGCTTGTTAATTTGTTTACATTTTCTACATATTCTGGATATTAGATATTTGTCAGATGCGTAGTTTTCAAATATTTTCTCCCGTTGTGTGGATTGTCTATTTACTCTGTTCATAGTTTCTTTTGCTGTGAAGGAGCTCTTCAGTTTAATTAGATTCCATTTGTCAACTTTGTTTTGTTTTGTTTGAGACCGGTCTTGCTCTGTCCTCCAGGCTGGAGAGCAGTGTCATGATTTTGACTCATTGCAGCCTCGACCTCCTGGCCTCAAGCCAATTTTTGTTTTTGTTGCAATTGCTTTTGGCTTGTCTGTATTAAAAGCTTTGTCACAGCCTATGTCTAGAATGGTATTTCCTAGGTTTTTTTCAAGGGTTTTTATAGTTTTAGGTTTTACCTGTAAGTCTTTAAACGATGTTGAGTTGATTTTTTAATGTGGTATAAGGAAGAGGTCTAGCTTCAATCTTCTGCATATGGCTAGCCAGTTCTTCCAGCACCATTTATTGAATAAAAGAGTTTTTTCTCCATTGTTGGTTAAAATGGATTAGATCTATGTCCCACCCAAATTCCGTGTAGAATTGTAATCCCCAATGTTGAAGGTAGGGCATGGTGGGAGGCAATTTGACCATGGGGGTGGAATTCTAATAAATGGTTTACCACCAGCTCCCTTTGGTACCATATAGAGAGTGAGTTCTCATGAGATCTAGTTGCTTAAAATGTGTAGTACCTCCATCCTCTCTCTTTTCCTTCTCCCCTGGCCTTGTAAAATGTGCTGGCTTCCCCTTCACCTTTCACCATGAATCATAATTTCCTGAGGCTTCCCCAGAAGCTATTCTTGCTGTAAGCCTGCAGAACTGTGAGCCAATTGAACCCCTTTTCTATATAAATTACCCAGTCTTAGGTATTTCTTTATAGCAATGCAAGGAGAGACTAATACACTTGTTTTTGTCAATTTTGTCAAAGATCAGATGGTTGTAGGTATGTGGATTTATTTCTGGGTTCTCTATTATATTTCATTGGTCTTTGTGTCTCTTTTTGTACCAGTATTATCTATTTTGTTTAGTGTAGCTTTGCAATATAGCTTGAAGTCAGGTAATGTGCCTTCAGCTTTTTTTTTTTTCTTCCTCGGATTGCTCTGGCTATTTGGGCTGTTTTTGGTTCCTACAAATATTAGAATAGTTTCTTCGTTCCAATTCTACAAAGAATGCCATTGGTACAATCTTAAGCAAAAAGAACAAAGCTGAAGGCATCATGCTACCTGACTTTAAACTATACTACAGGGCTACAGTAACCAAAACAGCATGGTACTGGTACAAAAACAGATATATAGACCAATGGAACAGAACAGAGGCCTCAAAAATAATGCCACACATCTACAACCATCTGATCTTTGAAAAACCTGACAAAAACAAGAAATGGGGAAAGGATTCCCTATTTAATAAATGGTGCTGGAAAAACTGGCTAGCCATATATAGAAAGCTGAAACTGGATCCCTTCCTTACACCA
This sequence comes from Homo sapiens, assembly GCF_000001405.40. Taxonomy (NCBI): domain Eukaryota; kingdom Metazoa; phylum Chordata; class Mammalia; order Primates; family Hominidae; genus Homo; species Homo sapiens. The sequence goes on along the minus strand of NC_000014.9, from coordinate 43,448,235 downwards.
CATACAAAAATTAACTGAAGATGGATTAAAGACTTAAATGTAAGACATAACAGCATAAAAATCCTAGAAGAAAACCTAGGCAATACCATTCAGGACGTAGGCATGGGCAAAGACTTCATAACTAAAATACCAAAAGCAATGGAAACAAAAGCCAAAATTGACAAACGGAATCTAATTAAACTAAAGAGCTTCTGCATAGCAAAAGAAACTATCATCAGAGTGAACAGGCAACCAACAGAATGGGAGAAAATCTTTGCAATCTACCCATCTGACAAAGGGCTAATATCCAGAATCTACAAAGAAATTAAACAAATTTACAAGAAAAGACAAACAACCCCATCAAAAAGTGGACAAAGGATATGAACAGACACTTCTCAAAATAAGACATTTATGCAACCAACAGACATATGAAAAAATGCTCATCATCACTGGTGGTCAGAGAAATGCAATTAAAAAACACAATGAGATACCATCTCATGCCACTTAGAATGGCAATCATTAAAAAGTCAGGAAACAACAGATGCTGGAGAGGATGTGGAGAATTAGGAATGCTTTTACACTGTTGGTGGGAGTGTAAATTAGTTCAACCATTGTGGAAGACAGTGTGGCGATTCCTCAAGGATCTAGAACTAGAAATACCATTTGACCCAGCAATCCCATTACTGGATATATGCCCAAAGGATTATAAATCATGCTACTATAAAGACACATGGACAGCTATCTTTATTGCAGCATTATTTACAATAGCAAAGATTTAGAACCAACCCAAATGTCCATCATTGATAGACTGGATTAAGAAAATGTGGTACATATGCACCATGGAATACTAAGCTGCCATAAAAATGGATGAGTTCATGTCCTTTCCAGGGATATAGATGAAGCTGGAAACCATCATTCTAAGCAAACTATTACAAGGATAGAAAGCCAAACACTGCATGTTCTCATCATAGGTCGGAGTTGAACAATGAGAACACGTGGATACAGGGTGGGGAACATCACACACAGAGCCTGTCGGGTGGTGGGGGGCTGGGGGAGGGATAGCATTAGGAGAAATACCTAATGTAAATGATGAGTTAATGAATGCATCAAACCAACATGGCACATGTATACCTATGTAACAAACCTGCACATTGTGCACATGTACCCTAGAACTTAAAGTATAATGAAAATTAAAAAAAGAATGTCATTGATAGTTTTATAGGAATAGCACTGAATTTGTAAATTGCTTTGGGGAGTATGGTCATTTTAAAAATATCGATTCTTCTTATGTATGAGCATAGAATGTTTTTCCATTTGTTTGTGTCATCTCTGATTTCTTTCAGAAGTAGTTTGTCATTCTTGTAGAGATCTTTCACCTGCCTACTTAGCTGAATTCCTACATATTTTATTATTTATTTATTTATTTATTTGGTGTGGCTATTTTGAATGGGATTACATTCTTGATTTGGCACTATCAGTGCATAGAAATGTTACTGATTTAATACATTGATTTCATCTCCAGAAACGTTGCTGAAGTTTTTTTGTCAGGTCTAGCAGCTGTTAGGCTAAAACTATGGGGTTTTCTGGGTATAAAATTATATCATTAGCAAACGGAGATAGTGTGACCTCCTCTCTTCCTATTTGGATGCCTTTTATTTCTTTTTCTTGCCTAATTTCTCTGGCTAGGACTTCCAGTACTATGTTGAACAGGAGTGCTAAGAGTGGGCATCCTTACCTTGTTCTGGTTCTCAAGATAAATACTTCCGTCTTTTGCCCATTCAGTATGATATCGGTTGTGGGTTTTGCATGGATGGCTCTTATTATTCAATGCCTAGTTTATGGACATAGAGGAGAGAACAGTAGACACCCAGGCCTACTAGAGGGTGGTGGGTGGGAGGAGGGTTGGGATCAAAAAGTACCTATTGAGTGCTACGCTTATTACCTGGTGACAACATAATATGTACACCAAACCCCTAAGACATATAATTTGTCTATATAGTAAATTTGCAGATATACTCCTGAATCTAAACTAAACTAAAATAAATAAATAATAAAATAAAAGTTTATTTAAATCAAAACCACATAAGCACACATCAGTCTTGTTTTGTTACCAGCATGTCAGTTAAGCTATCTCTTTTCTAACACTGCTTCTAACTTTCTCCTCTACACTGAAATTATGGTGGTTATTCTCCTGATAGAAGATAGAACACCAGGTTATCACACCTAAATGTGTAAATAATTACATTAAATATAAAGTTATAAAGAGTCCAATTAAAACGCAAAAATTGTCATGGTAGATAAAAAGGTAAAAGCCAACTACATGATACATATAGGAAACCAAATTTAAATGCAAAAGCACAAATATATTTAAAATTAAAGGATGAAAAGGATATGCTATGCTAGTACTAGCCAAAAGAAAGCTAGATTAGCTAAATTAATATTAGACAAAAGTACTAAATCTGACAAGGGAACAACAAATAAAACTATAAGTCAATGTCTCTGGTGAACATAGATCCAAAAATTATTCTAATAAAATATTAGCAAGCCAAATTCAACAGCACATTGAGAAAGTCATTCACCATAATCAAATGAGATGCACCCCTGAATCCAAGGATAATTCAACATACACTGATTGAAAAACATGATACATAGCATTAACAGAATGAAGGACAAAAACTATATAATCATTTCAATAGAATCAGAAAAAGTATTTGACACAATTCAACATGCCTTTATAATACAAACCTTCAAAAATTAGAAACAGAAGAAATGTACCTCAACACAATAAAGGCTATACATGACAAACCCACAGCTAACATCACATTGAACAAGGAAACATTAAAGCTTTTCCTCTGAGTTCTGGAACAAGACCATAATGTCCATTTCCACTACTTCTACTCAGCACTGTACTGAATGTCCTAGCCAGAGTAACTAGGCAAGATAAAGAAATAAAAGTCATCTAAATTAGATAGGAGGAAGTTAAGCTGTCCCTGTTTGTAGATGACATATATACAAAGAACCTAAGAGACTCCAGTTAAAAGCTATTATAACTAATAAACAAATTCAATACAGTTCCATGATACAAAATAAACATACAAAAATCAGTAGTGTTTCTATGTGTTAATAACAAACTGTCTGAAAAAGAAATCAGGAAAAAGCGATCCCATTTCGATAGCGACAAATATGTAAAATAGCTAACAATTTTAAATGATGAAGTGAAAGACGTCTACAATGAAAACTATAAAACACTGATGGAAAAATTGAAGATACAAATAAACAGGGAAGTATTACTTGTTCATGAACTAGAATAATTAATATTGTAAATGTGTTCATACTACTTAAAGCAATCTACAGTGTAACCTCTCTGAAAATGCTAATGACATTTTTCACAGAAATGAAATGGAGAAAATGATCATACAGAAAATGGAAAAGATGTATACAGAACCACAAATGACTCTGAATAGCTAAAGGAATCTTGAGCAAAAGAACAGAGCTGAAGGCATCACGCTACCTGAACTCAAAACATTCCGTAAAGCTGTAGTAACCAAGACAGCATGGTACCAGCATAAAAACAGACACTTAGACCAATAGAACAGAATAGAGAACCCAGAAATAAATCAACACATTTACAAGCAACGAGTTTATGACAAAAGTGCCAAGAACATACACTGAGAAAAAGACAACCTTTTCAATAAATGGTGTTATGAAAACTGGCTAGCTACTTGCAGATGAATTGCATGCTTATCTCTCACCATATACAAAAATCAACTCAAAATGGATTAAAGACTTTAAGACCTGAACATATAAAACTTCTAGAAGAAAACATAGGGGAATTGTTTTATAATATAGGCTTAGGCAATAATTTATTGGAATTTACTACAAAAGAAAGTCTACAAAGCCAAAAATAGAAAAAATGAGACTACATCAAATCAGAAATCTTTTTCAGAGCAAAGGAAATGACCAGCAAAGTGGAGACACGACCTACAAAATGGGAGAAAATATTTCCAAACTATACATCTGATAATAGGTTAAATCTAAAATTTGTAAAGTACCCAAACAATTCAGTAGCAAGAAAATAAACAATCCAATTTAAAAATGGGCAAAATACCTGAATAGGCATTTCATACCAATGGCCAACAGGTATATGAAAAAATCCTCAACATCACTAATTATCAGAAAAATGCAAATCAATACCACAGTGAGATGTAGTCTCCCACTTATTAGAAACGCTATCATCAAAAATATAAAAGGTAACAAATGTTGGCAAAGATATGGAGAGAAGGTGGAAATGTAAATTAAAATAGCCATTATGGAAAACAGTATAGAGGTTCCTGAAAATATTAAAATAGAACTACCATACCATACAGCAGTCCTACTACTGGGCATATATCTAAAGAAAGTGAAATCAGTATGTCAAAGTGATCTCTGTACCCTTATGTTTCTTGCAGCACTTTTCACAATAGTCAAGATATGAAATCCACCTACGTACCTATTTACAGATGAATGGATAAAGCAAATGTGGTATACAAATACAACGGAATACTATTCAGAAATTAAAAAGAATAAAATCTTTTCATTGGCAATAACATGGATGAACCTGGAGAACATTATGTTAAGTAAAATGAACCAGGCAGAGAAAGCCAAATACCATGTGATCTCACTCATATTGTGGCATCTAAAAATGCTGATCTCATAGAAGTAGAAATTAGAATGATAGTTACCAGATGAATAAGTGGTTAGAGGGGAGGAGAGATGTTGGTCAAGTAATATATAATTACAGTCAGATAAGAGAAATATTTTAAAACGTTGTCCCAAATAAGCATAAATATAAAGACAGAAAGTACATAAGTGACTGCCTGGAGGCAGGGATTTGTGAGAGGAGAAGATAGATGATGTGGTGGGGAGAAATGGCAAATGACTGCTAATGGTTGTGTTTCTTTTTCATGTGATAAAAAAGTTCTAAAATTTATTGTGGTGATCATAACAACTCCATGAGCATACTTAAAACTATTGGATTATATGCTTCAAATGGGTGAATTGTATGATACAAAAATTATATCTCAATAAAGCTGATTTTTAAAATTAAAATCAGGCAAAATTAATTTCATAGCAAGGGATATTAACAGGGAATAGAAGGTCATTTATTAATGATAAATATTTCAATTCACCAAGAATGCATAAAATCTTAAATGATTACAAACCTCAGACCAGAGCTTCAAAATACGTGAAGCAAAAGCTGAAAAGAATGTGAAGTAAAATGTAGAAATTCATAATTTTGGTCAATGGCTTAAACATTTCTCTCTCAATAATTGATAGAGCAGATAGATGACAATCTTTAATAATGTAGAAGCTTTAATCAATACTGTCCATCAAATTGAGGTAATTTACATTTCTAAAACACTCCCCCATTACTATGGCACCACATACATTCTTTCTAAGTGTCATTAACATTTATCAAGACAGACTACATTCAGAGTCACATAAAAGGCCTACATTTAAAAATCAGAGGTATTAAGGGAATAGTATGGCAACATCACAAATCATTTAATGCTCACAATTTCAACAACATATGTGAAAAGGATAAACTGTTTGAAATACACAAGTTACCAAAACTCACTCAAGAAGAAAACATTAACATGTATGTTCCTATATTAAATAAAGCACTTGAATTTGTAGTAAAAATTATTCCCATGAAGGAGCCTTCAGGTCCAAATAAATTTATGAGGGGATTCTACCAACTCTGGATATGCTTTTTCCAAAAACTTGAAAAGGTGTCAGTACTATCCACCTCATTCTATGAGTGTATCATTTATCTGAAACAAAAACCAGTAAAACTAATGTGTTACAACCGTAGACTGAAAGCTACCAGAAAAATGCTTATATTACATATGAAGCAGATTAACATCACCTGAAAGTATATAGTGACAAGTTAAAATGTATATCATGTCATTTGCAGCAACAAAGATGTGGCTGGAGCCCATTATTCTAACTGAATTAACATGGAAACAAAACCAAATACCATATGTTATCACTCATAAGTTGGAGCTAAACACTGGGTACTCTTGGACGTAAAGATGGCAACAGGAGACACTGGGGACTAATAAAGAGGGTAGGAAATATGGAGGGAGATGTTTGAAACACTATCTACTGGGTACTATGGTCACTACCTGGCTAAAGAAATATTTTGTATACTAAACCTCCACATCATGTAATATACCCATGTAACAAACCTGCACATGTACCCTCTGAATCTAAAAGTTAAAATTATTTTTAAAACATTAAGATATAACTTAAGACAATCAATAGAGTACCACAACAGAAAGCTATAGATACAAATCCAATATATAAACAAAAATCAATAAACAAGTCTGTAGGTTGCCTGTTCACTCTAATGATAGTTTCTTTTGTTGCGGAGAAGCTCTTTAGTTTAATTAGATCCAGTTTGTCAATTTTGGCTTTTGTTGCCATTGCATTTTGTGTTTTAGTTATGAAGTCTTTGCCCATACCTATGTCCTGAACGGTATCACCTAGGTTTTCTTCTAGAGTTTTTATGGTTTTAGGTCTTACATTTAAGTCTTTAATCCATCTTGAGTTTTTTGTTTTGTTTTGTTTTGTTTTATTTTGTTGTTGTTGTTTTGGTATAAGGTGTAAGGAAGGGGTCCACTTTCAGTTTTCTGCATATGGCTAGCCAATTTTCCCAACACCATTTATTAAGTAGGGAATCCTTTTTTCATCACTTGTTTTTGTTAGATTTGTCAAATATCAGATGATTGTAGATGAGTGGTATTATTTCTGAGGCCTCTGTTCTGTTACATTGGTTTATATATCTGTTTAGGTAACAATACTGTGCTGTTTTGGTTACTGTAGCCTTGTAGTATAGTTTGTAGTCAGGTAGCATGATGTCTCTAACTTTGTTCTTTTTGCTTAGGATTGTCGTGGATATACAAGCTATTTTTTTGGTTTCATATGAAATTTAAAGTAGTTTTTTCTATTTCTGTGAAGAAAGTTAATGGTAGCTTGGTGGGAATAACATTGAATCTATACATTACTTTGGGGAGTATGGCCATTTTCACAATATTGATTCTTCCTATCCATGAACATGGAATGTTTTCCCATTTGTTTGTGTTCTCTGTTATTTCCTTGAGCGGTGGTTGTAGTTCTCCCCGAAGAGGTCCTTCACATACCTTGTAAGTTGTATTCCTAGGTATTTTATTCTCTTTGTGGCAATTGTGAATGGGAGTTTACTTGTAATTCCACTCTCTATTTGTCTGTTACTGGTGTATAGGAATGCTTATTATTTTTGCACATTGATTTTTGTATCCTGAGATCTTGCTGTAGTTGCTTATCAGCATAAGGAATTTGTGGGCTGAATGATAGGGTTTTATAAATATACAGTCATGTCATCTGCAAACAGAGACAATTTGACTTCTTCTCTTGCTATTTGAATACCTTTATTTCTTTCTATTGCCTGGTTGCCCTGGCCAGAACTTCCAATACTATGTTGAACAGGAGTGACAATATTGGGCAACCTTGTCTTGTGCTGGTTTTCAAAGGGAATGCTTCCAGCTTTTGCCCATTCTGTATGATATTGGCTATGGGTTTGTCATAAATAGCTCTTATTATTTTGAGATATGTTCCATCAGTACCTAGTTTATTGAGTTTTTTTTTTTTTTTTTAGCGTGATGGGGTGTTGAAGGCCTTTTCTGCATCTATTGAGATAATCATGTGTTTTTTGTCGTTGGTTCTGTTTATCTGATGGATTAAGCTTATTGATTTGCATATGTTGAACCAGCCTTGCGTCCCAGGGATGAAGCTGACTTGATCGTGGTGGATAAGCTTTTTGATGAGCTGTTGGATTCAGTTTGCCAGTATTTTATTAGGGATTTTCACATCAATGTTCATAAGGGATACTGGCCTTAAATTTTCTTTTTTTGTTGTGTCTCTGCCAGGTTTTGTTGTGTCTCTGACAGCATCAGGATGATGCTGGCCTCATAAAATGAGTTAGGGAGGTGTCCCTCGTTTTTCTATTATTTGGAATAGTTTCAGAAGGAATGGTACCAGCTCCTCTTTGTACCTTTGGTAGAATTCGGCTGTGAATCCTTCTGGACCTGGGTCTTTTTTGGTTGGTAGGCTATTAATTATTGCCTCAATTTCAGAACTTGTTATTGGTCTATTCAAGGATTCAACTTCTTCCTGGTTTAGCCTTGAGAGGGTGTATGTGTCCAGGAATTTATCCATTTCTTCTAGATATTCTACTTTATTTAAATAGAGGTGTTTATAGTGTTCTCTGATGGTAGTTTGTATTTCTGTGGGATCAGTGGTGATATCCTCTTTATCATTTTTTATTATGTCTATTTGATTCTTCTCTCTTTTCTTCTTTATTAGTCTAGCTAGTGGTCTATTTTTTGATCTTTTCAAAAAAAACAGCTCTTGGATTCGTTGATTTTTTTGAAGGGTTTTTCGTGTCTCTATCTCCTTCAGCTCTGCTCTCATCTTAGTTATTTCTCATCTTCTGCTAGCTTTTGAATTTATTTGCTCTTGCTTCGCAAGTTCTTTTAATTGTGATGTTAGGGTGTTGATTTTAGGTCTTTCCTGCTTTCTCCTGTGGACATTTAGTGCTATAAATTTCCCCTTAAACAGTGCTTTAGCTGTGTCCAAGAGATTCTGGTACATTGTGTCTTTGTTCTCATTGTTTTCAAAACTTTAAATATGTGTCATTTATTATGTATTGTGTATTATTATTACCTTAATAAAGCTGTTAAAAATGGCATTTGAAGCCAGGTGCAATGGCTCCCGCCTGTAATCCCAGCACTTTGTGAGGAAGAGAAAGGCAGATCACTTGAGGTCAGTAGTTCAAGACCAGCCTGGCCAACATGGTGAAACCTCGTTTCTACCAAAAACACAAAAAAAGAAAAACTTAGCCATGTGTCGTCGTACGTGCCTGTAATCACAGTTACTCAGGAGGCTAAGGCATGAGAATCACTTGAACCAGGGAGGTGGAGGTTGCAGTGAGCCGAGATTGTGTTACTGCACTCCAGCCTGGACAACAGAGCAAGACTCTGTCTCAAAAAAAAAAAAATTATAAAATATGATAAACATGCTTAAAAATTAGGGAAAATAAATTCAAACATTATGCCATCATCAGTTTTGCAAAATGTATTTGAAACTATAGATTTAAACCAGTACATTCTGGGGTTCAGAATAAAAGCTACTCCTATGTTGTCTTAGGTGGTGCAAAGTAGTAAAACTTTTAAAAAATGCCATTTGAAAGAAATTATAAAATTAAAAATTGCATATAATTTGTCCATGCAATTGTTCTTCTAAGTTCCCCTCAGAAAATACATACACACACACACACACACACACACACACACACACACAGCTACACATATAATGCATATTTATAAGAAAGTTCATTTTAGGATTATTCATAATATAAAAATATTTTATACTAATTTTGCATCAATGTAGTAATCATTCTAATTGATTTTACATCACTATAGAATATTTTATTATTAGATATAGAGAATTTTCCAATGAAATGTTATGTAATGAGAATAGATAATTGTTTTCAAAGATATATAAAAATAATATTATTTAAGTAAAATAAAAGGAAAATAATACAAATATATATACCAACACTCATACAAACAATACAAACATTTCAAGCACAGAGTGTGTGTGTGTGTGTGTGTGTGTGTGTGTGTGTGTGTTCATGCTCATATAAATGTATGGTGATGTCTCTGAAAAAAATAGAGTTAATAATGTTTATGACTGGAGGAAGTATCATATGATTTGGCTCTGTGTCACACTCAAATCTCTTATGGAATTTTAATCCCCACATGTCAGGGGAGAGACCTGGTAGGAGGTGATGGGATCATGGGGACAGTTTGCCCCATGCTGTTTTTATGATAGTGAGTGAGTGCTCATGAAAGCTGATGTTTTCATAACTGTTTGGCAGTTCCCCCTTTGTGCACTCTCTCTCCTGCTGCCTTGTGAAGAAGGTACCTACTTCCCCTTTGCCTTCCACCACGACTTTCAGTTTCTTGGTTTCCCCAACCGTACAGAACTGTGAGTCAGTTAAAGCTTTTTTATTTATAAATTGCCCGGTCTCAGGTAGGATCTTTATAGCAGTGTAAAAACAGACTAATACAAAGTAGTATTATTGAACAAAAGTTATATGAAAGGGACAATTAAATTTTCTTATTTTACATCTCAATCTTCTCAATAGTTCTATATTGATGGCAATTCTTAAAGTGAATTTGTATAAATTTAATAATTTAAAAAAGGTAAATCAAAAAAGAGGGACAAACATCTCTCTCTGTATAACTTATACTGCTTTATTTCCATGCTATCATTTAAATCTGCTGTTTTCAAGTTTTTTTTTAATTATCAGAAATAAAACTAATGCCACTCTTTTGGCAAAGGCTAATATCAATTGGAGTTGATTATTTCTAATTGGCTAATTAACAAAAAAAAAAATCCCTATATTTGGAATCCATTCTGGAACTCGGCATCTTACTAGGAAGACTGAATGGACTTATCATAATTTATGTTATTTTGTAAAATGTGGTTAGTGAGGTGTTAAACTGAACCTATTTAACCTTATTTTCCAGTACAACTCTATTTTCTAATATCATAAATCAGAACAGAAATAACAAATGTAAGAACAAAGAGAAAAAATAATTAAGAAGTTAGGCACATGTTTATCCTCTGTGTTTTATATGTCTCTAAGATGCTTAGAAATTACTTCAACTTGGCACATATCTGCTTGCCAGTGAAACCTAGCACTTTCTGGAATACATACACACACACACACACACACACACACACATGCACACACACATACATGTTTACCCATATACCCACACACATACACACACTCTCACACACACGTTTTCAGACAGCTGGGTTTTTAAAAATTTTAACTACGGTGGTGCAGCCATCAGCATTTTTTTGAGAATCTACCATGTGTAGACTCATGCTGAACCACAGAGCAGGATAGAATTATACATCCAGTCCAGCACTGAACCAGAACAAAGCTGCTTCCTTAAAATTAATGTTGGGAGAAATAGAAAATAGTTTATTTTAGCCAGTTTATGACACACTCTTTTCCAGTAAAGAAAAATTGAGGAAGGGGCTGAGCAGTCTAACCCCAGTTTATTTTCCAAAGTCACTAATCAGATTATGAATGAGGGAGAGAAAAAGAAGGGACTAGTCATCTTTTGACAACAGAGCTCACAATATAAGCTGTGGGAAGCAGGTGTTTTCCCTGTCAATGCATTTCTCCTTATTACTTTACCCCAACAAACGTAATTTTCACAAAGATTTCCCCTTTGCTACAAGGAAAAAAGCATATATTGCCTCAGGAAGGCCTGTGACTGGAACAACAGAATAAAGCTATTGCCTTCTAGAGGCCTGCAAGTTTAAAATATAAACTATGAAAATAAGGCAAACATTTTTATTTAATACTGGATGAACTTTCTTTTCTCCCCATCTGCTGAAACTTTTTTATTTGGGCAGATTAAGACAAATGTAGATAAGACAACTGAGAAAAGGCAAAATCATTAGGTGTTAGAAAGATAATTAAGTTCACCTTGGGCCAAATCCTCTTACATGAGCATAGAATACCTCAATAAAAATTTAAAGGACAAAGTCTAAAAGGGATCTATAATCTACATTTCATTTTCTAAATGTAGATCCACAAGTTTTGCAAAAGCATGAAAACATCTTGTGACACCACAGTACAGGAAAATAGAATGGAGTCAGCCCTCTATGCTATCATGAAAGGTGGACATGCATAATTCTAGAAGGAATAGTCTCTCAATAGGAAATGGGGGCAATCATTTTGGTTTTATTTTTATTTTTCATATGGTTTAAGATGAAGGAGAGTTGATGTTGGGGTATAATAGGTGCAATGCTGTTTCACAGTTGCCACAAGTAACCAGAAGTTATTTGCAAATATGTCTGCTTCAGAGGGGTCAGTGGGGATGAATTTAGATGAGTAAAGACGCAAAGGCAAAATTTTTCATCTCAGTAGGGAAAATGATATAATCAAGTAAGACTCAGAAATTATTGGTAAATAGAGACTAATTTCTTCACTCTCTTTGTTGCCTGGTTCTTACACTAAGAATAAGGTCAATAAAGGGACATAAAATATTGAGCTTGGCTAAATGTATATCCTAATGACTGAGAAACTACAGAAATGAATGTTTTAACTGAAGCTGATTAAATTAACTTTATTTTATGGGTTAAGTCATGACAAACTAAAGACAAATTTTGTACCTTAAATTTTGTGGGCTGTGAAACACCTTTATGTTATGTGAGAAGAAATATGTAGTACATTATAATAAAAAATGTACACAAAGACAGCTATGGGCTAAATATTTGTGTTCCTTCCTAATTCACCTGTTGAAGCCTAGTCCCCGATGTGATGTATTTGTATTTAGATGGGTGGCCTTTGGGAGGTAATTAGGTTTATGTAAAGTAATAAGTGGGGTCTCCATGATGTAATTAGTGTCCTTACAAGAGGACAGGAAGAAATGCCAGGGCATGTGCAGCTGCCCACTCCCTCACCTTCACCCTCACCCTTCCCTTTTCCCTACCACTTCCCCTTTCTCTCCCCCTCTTACTCTCCCACTCTTCTTTCCTCCCTCCCTCCCTCTTTCTGTACCTTGTGAGGTCATGGGAAAAGGCTGCAGTCTGCAAGCCAAAAGGAGGGCCATTACCAGAAACTAAATAAGCCAATACCATGATTTTGGACTTCCTAGCTTCCAGAACTGTGAGAAATAAATGTCTGTTTTTTAAGCTACTCAGTCTTTGGTATTTTGTTAGAGTAGACAGAGCTGACTAAGACAGAGAGAGTACTAGATAGTCTGACATATAAGTTATTTGCTGCATAACTATCTTTTGGTCAAGGATGAACTGCATATGCAACTGTGGTCTCATAAGATTATAGTGAAGCTGAAAACTTCCTATCACCTACTGACGTTGTAGCCAAGATATCATCTTAGTGAAAGGCATTACTCACATGTTTGTGGTGATGCTGGTGTAAATGAACATACTGTGCTGTAAGTCATACAAGTATAGAGCACACAATCAGGTATGGTGCATAATACTTGATACTGATAATAAATGACTATGTTACTGGTTAATGTATTTACTATACTATACTTTTATCATTATCTTAGAGGATACTCATTCTACTTTACAAAAAGTTTACCAGAAAGCTTATCCCATTATACTAGCTGCAGTCTCATACATTTTGTGTTTACTACATTTCTTGATTGAATTATTCTTTTTTGTACTAAATTTAATTTCTGTTGTTTTGTTTATAATGGCCCCTAAGTGTACAAAATCTTCCCTAATATTGCTAGTTAGAGGCCACATCTAGTGATTGACCTGTAAATAAGATTAAATTGATTAAGAATTATGAAAATAGAAAATTAAGAATGGTTATAGTCAGGTATGTACCCTTCCACCATAGCTGTAATCTTCAAAAACAGGAACACAGTGACAGAGACTGTTAAAGGAACTTCTTCACTGAAGGTAAGAAGAATAACACAAATTTGAAAAGGGCCTCTATCAGATATAGGGAAACTTCTAATGACCTGGATTGAATACCAGACACAGAAATGTATCCCTGTCAGCACGCTGAGTATCATGGCCAAAGTATAAAGTTTGTGATGTTGAAAAAAAAGGCTGGATCTGACTATGATGTCAGATGTTAAATTTACTGCTAGCTCTGGGTGGTTTAAACAATTCAGAACCATTATTCATTACATAATGTGAAAGTGAGTGCTGAGTCTGTGAGTGCTAATGTTAAGGCAGCTGGAGAATTTAGAAACCCTAGATAAGCTAATTGTGGAGGAAATTTACTTGCCAAAGCAAATCTTCAATGTGTATGAACGCTCCCTATTCTGGAAATGGATGCTGAAAAAGATATTCATCCATAAGGAGGCCAAGTCAATGTCAGGTCTCAAGCCTTTTAAGAACAGGATAAAAGTCTTGCTTGGGGGCAATATTTCAGGCTACAAATTCAAACCCTTTGTGATCTGGCACTGGACAAACCCTGGGGCCTTCAAGCATACAAGTAAACACACACTGCCAGCTACAGGACCAACAAGAAGTCATGAGATGACCCAATTTCTCTTCCAAGATGTTTTCCTCAATTGCTATCACAGCAAAATAGAGTATTGTTTAGAGAAAAACATACCTTTCAAGAGTTTGCTTACTGTTAATAATGTTCCTGCACATGTTTCTTTAATTGGTGATCTCCATCCCAATATCTAAGTGGTGTTTCTCCCTCTAAATACCACCTCTTTGATCCAACCAATACATCAAGGAGTTAAAACAGCATTTAAGTTCTACTACCTCAGGAGTATCTTTGCCCAGGCTATTTCTGCAATTGAAGAAGACACTGCAAAGATATTGATGTAATTCTGAAAGGATTACTACATCTATGATTCCATCAAGAACCTTGCTTAGCCTTAGGTTAATGTCATCAAGTGGTGTATAAATGGCATCTGAAAGAAGACACTTAGGGGTTGTCTATGATGTCAAAGGATTTTCCAAGGATAAGGAGGTTGCAAAAATCAACAAGGTTGAAATGGCAAGCAACTTTAACTCAGGTGTGGATGAAGATGGCATTGAGGAGCATCTATAGGTGGTTTCTGAGGAGCTGACTAATGAGGAGTTATTGGAACTGGAAAAGGAATGCAATGCTGAGCAAGAGGTAAGAGAAAAGGAAACTGCACGAGAAGAAAAATAAGAAACCCTGTTAAAATTCACAGCGAATTGTTTAGCAGAAGTTTTTGCGGTACTCACCAACTTCCTTAAAAGTTTGAAAACATGGACCCTAACACAGAAAATTTGTCATTAATAGAGGGGACTATTCATGGCATATTATCTGCTTTCAATCAAATCTATGATTCAAAGAAAGAAACCAACCACCATGGACATATTCTGCAAAGTGTTCACCCTCTCAAGAAGAGCCTCAGTCAGGTCCTTCAGTAGGTATTCCAGAAGAAGGCACTGTTATTATAGGAGATAAGATCTCCATGTGTGTTATTGTCTTTGAAGACCGTCTAGTGGTACAAAATGTGGAGGTGGATGACAGTGATATTGACAATCTTGACCCTGTGTAGGCCTAGGCATATGTGTGTGAATTTGTCTTAGTTTTCAAGAAGATATTTTAAGAAGTAAAAAAAATTAAAAAATTAAAAAATAGAAAAACTATATAGAATAATTATATAAAGAAAATATTTTACAGCTGTACAATGTGTTTGTGTTTTAAGCTGTGTTATTACAAAGTCCAAAAGTTTAAAAATTATAAAAATTAAAAAGCGTATACAGTAAATATGTTATAGGAAGCAAAGATTAATTTATTGTTTAAAAATGTTTAAAATAGGCTGGGTGCGGTGGCTCATGCCTATAATCCTAACATCTTGGGAGGCCAAGGTGAGTGGATCACGAGGTCAGGAGATCAAGAGTATCTTGGCTAACATGGTGAAATCCCATCTCTACTAAAAATACAAAAAAATTAGCCAGGTAAGGTGGTGGGCGCCTGTAGTCCCAGCTATTCGGGAGGCTCAGGTGGGAGAATGGCATGAACTCAGGAGGTGGAGCTTGCAGTGATCCAAGATTGCACCACTGCACTCCAGCCTGGGTGACTGAGCAAGACTCCGTCTCAAAAAAAAAAAAATGTTTAAAATAAATTCAGCATTGCTTATGTATACAGTGTTTATAAAGCCTACAGTTCTGTACAATAATATCCTTGGATTTCACATTCCCTTACGTCTCACTCACTGATTCACCCAGAGCAATGTCCAGTCCTGCAAGCTCCATTTATTGCATGTACCCCATATATGTGTACAATTGTTTAATCTTCATAACATACTTTTGTTTTACCATTTCTATGTTTAGATACATAAATACTTACCATTGTGTTGTAGTTGCTTACTGTATGTAATACAGTAACATGCTGTACAAGTTTGTAGCATAGAAGCAATAGACCATACTATATAGCTTAGCTGTGTATTAGACCATACTATCTAGGTGTGTAAGTAAAATCTATATTTGCCCCAAAACAGAATCCCCTTAGTGATGCATTTCTCGGAATGTATCCCAGTTTTTAAGCAACCCATGAACGTAATTAGTCTTTCCGGCGGAGCTGACCATTAAGCTGAGGCTGAAAGCATGTAAGTTAAGGGACAGAAGGAGAAGAAATGCATTTTAGAAAGAACATATAGAAAACATGTGGGGGCGTGGAGCATGAAAAAGATGGCTTGATATGACTGGAGTATGGATTAGGAGTGAATCAAATGCTGAGTTATGAACTGAAATGAAACATACACATTTGGCAAAGGTACACAGTTTGATGGGAAAGTTGTGTCATGGAATTATGTGAGCAGAGACATGATATGGACAGGCATGTGTTTTATAATGATTACTCTGACATTTGACATTGGCATGAAGAATGGATCAGGAATGGTGAGAAGGAATAAAGGAAGACCAATTAGGCTATTATGCTTTCTAAAAAATATAATGATGAAGACTGAACTAATTCAGCTGCATTTGAGAAGGAGGAAAAAGGATTAAATTTATAGAAAACCACGATAATGAGATATGTGATTTTTCTTTACAGTTTATGTGAAGATTATTAAACTATTTCTCTAAGATCAACTCCAAACCCACACTCCTGTACAACTGATTGGGGTACTAAAGGATAAGACTCTGTAAATTCTTAATATATTTTTGATTTGTCAGTTAGCTTCCTGTTAGGCTCTTCCAATATGGAGTACCAGAAGGAGATTAGAAGACAGAAGGGGTAAAATAGGATTTGCCTTTTCTTGTTAGTTTGCTTATTGACTGTAGCAGTTAGTTCCAGTGTTGATTGATTTGCATATCCAGTTACTTACTAGCACTTGAATAACTAACCAGGTAACACTCTCCAGAGGCACCAGAAGCAACCATGTAGCACCTTTTATTTAGAGGTCTGTGTCCACCTCCAGAGAATTTTTCCTTCAAGCTATTAAATTCAACAATTCTAATATTTTCTCTTTACTCCCCAAACTAGAGGTAAAAACTGCTCTCTGCATTAGCATTTTGGTGTTATCTCCATGTTCTTTTTGGCCTCTGCCTACTTTCAAAATATTTATATTTTGAAAATCCTTATATTACATTTTTTCCTGTTAAAATAATTAGTACAGTGTCTTTTTCATTCACTGGACCCTGATTAATACAGCTTCCATTAAAAGTCATAGTGAAGGTTCCCTCCCCAACTAATCATATTGTTTAACTACTGTAGCATCAATTCTTAGAATTTGCTGACATACTGTCTAAAAAGTGACATCAGATGTTTCTTTAAGTCATTTTAAATTCCCTGCCTTCTGAAAAATATTACCTATATTTTTAGATAAAAAATAAAAAAGCACATTTTATTATTTTTCTTTAAAATTCTCTTACATTTTCAATATTTTAGCAAGAGGTATATATCCTAGCATAATTGATTAATAAATATTACCTGAAATTAGGAGGTATGTTTTTACTTTTTACTTAAATTTTGTAGGAAAAGGTACATCTAAGTTTCTGAAACAATAGGATGATTTTACATGGCAAAATGTACTATTTTCCTCAACAACAGTCAACAGGAAACTGTAAACTATAAGCTGGACATCTTTTTGATTCCCTCAGCCATCTGGCCGAATTTTATACAAGAAGAATCTCATAATGAGAATCAAAGAGATTGTGAGGAAATAGACCAGTGGCTTTATAATTTGATAGCAACATTTTCATGGTCATGTTAAACTTAAAGTAACATCTTGTGTGTTTAAGGGTTATATTCTTTTACACTGGAAAGATATTCCTAGCCAAAGTTAATTGGGCTAGCATAAAAATAGATTGTATATTATTTTGCTGTTTGAGAACACTTTTGGTTCTTTATTCTCATTAGCCAAAGTTAATTGGGCTAGCATATGAATAGATTGTATATCATTTTGTTATTTGAGAATAGTTTGGGTTCTTTATGCTCAATAAAATATGGTGTACAAAGTTTAAAATAAAATAAAATGGCTGAATAATGTGTAGAAAATATTTAGGTGGATGCATAGAATGATGTCATTAACAAATTTTATAAACATAAAGTATTTGTTTTTAAAGTTCGTGATTATCTAAATTTGAATTTAGGAAAAGAAAAGGTGTTGAAGTTGATTTCAGTCTGCATATGTAATTTCCCTCTACAGATGGTTTCCTTAGTAAAAGAAGAGCCAAGGTCACTTTAATGTTTAACATTCTTATAGCAAGTGTATTTTGGGCTCAATATGTGTCATGAATCAAAAATAATTTTATGCTGGTCAAGATGACCCAGAAAGAGGAAAGTTTTCTTTTTTCACTTATTAAACCAATATCTTTAAATGATATGAAAGAGTGGAGCTAAACATACATTATCTCCCTTCTTCTCATTCTTAAAAGCAAAAAAAGAGACTGGAGAAATTACTTCATTGACCCATGTTCTCAGGGAAGAACTATGGACATTAGAAAAATCTGTGCAACTTAAAAGAACAGAGATAATGGAGTTTGAGCAGGATGAGAAGTTATACAATGTCAGAGCCTAATCTAACAATGGCACTACTGCACTGGCATCAAATCTGCTCTACTAACCTGATATTCTGAGCCCTAAACCTTGCTCTTAACAGCTCTCCAGGGTGCAAGAGAGGAATAAATGGGCAACCATGGCCCAGGAGAAGAGTTAAACATAAGTACCATAAGCTTTTTATTCCAAAGGTGCACATGTTGATTGTCTTCTATCCACTAGGCCAAATGCGGAGAACGTTACTGTAGAAATGAATTATGGTTTTTACTTATTTTTCAGTGCCTTGTGCTAAATGGTGCTTAACCTATCTATCCACAGGAGGATTGCAAAAATCTGCCTATAAATTATTGAAATTAACACAAATAAATCATTCTGAGTAACTGAAGACTCCCAAGCCTCAATTTTGTTTGTAAAGAGGAAATAAATTCATTATATTAAATTTCATTTCAACTTGTGCTTAAGAGTGCAACTCTGAGATGTAATGGTATTCTTTAAAAAAAAAACTTTTAAGTTCAGGGGTGAATGTTCCTTGGGTACGTACCCAAAGAAATTAATGGTATTCTTTAAATATTCTCTGAGCTTTGTCGAAATCTCCACTTGAAAAGTAACACCTTGCAATGGCAACAAAAGCCAAAATTGACAAATGGGATCTAATTAAACTAAAGAGCTTCTGCACAGCAAAAGAAACTACCATCAGAGTGAACAGGCAACCTACAAAATGGGAGAAAATTTTCACAACCTACTCATCTGACAAAGACCTAATATGCAGAATCTACAATGAACTCCAACAAATTTACAAGAAAAAAACAAACAACCCCATCAAAAAGTGGGCAAAGGACGTGAACAGACACTTCTCAAAAGAAGACATTTATGCAGCCAAAAAACACATGAAAAAATGCTCACCATCACTGGCCATCAGAGAAATGCAAATTAAAACCACAATGAGATATCATCTCACACCAGTTAGAATGTCAATCATTAAAAAGTCAGGAAACAACAGGTGCTGGAGAGGATGTGGAGAAATAGGAACACTTTTACACTGTTGGTGAGACTGTAAACTAGTTCAAGCATTGTGGAAGTCAGTGTGGCGATTCCTCAGGGATCTAGAACTAGAAATACCATTTGACCCAGCCATCCCATTGCTGGGTATATACCCAAAGGACTATAAATCATGCTGCTATAAAGACACATGCACATGTATGTTTATTGTGGCATTATTCACAATAGCAAAGACTTGGAACCAACCCAAATGTCCAACAATGATAGACTGGATTAAGAAAATGTGGCACATATACACCATGGAATATTATGCAGCCATAAAAAAGGACGAGTTCATGTCCTTTGTAGGGACATGGATGAAGCTGGAAACCATCATTCTGAGCAAACTGTCGCAAGGACAAAAAACCAAACACCGTATGTTCTCACTCATAGGTGGGAATTGAACAATGAGAACACATGGACACAGGAAGGGGAACATCACACTCTGGGGACTGTTGTGGGGTGGGGGGCGGGGAGGGATAACATTGGGAGATATACCTAATGCTAGATGACGAGTTAGTGGGTGCAGCGCACCAGCATGTCAGATGTATACATATGTAACTAACCTGCACATTGTGCACATGTACCCTAAAACTTAAAGTATAATAATAAAAAAAAAAAAGAAAAGTAACACCTTAAACAACGCTGGTAGAGTTTTTTTTTTTTTTTTTTTCAATTATCTTCCAGCTCTTTAATGACAAATTCTGTAATAACTCAATGTTTAATAAACATTTATTGAGTTTCTGGTCTGTGTTTGTTTTGTTTGTTTGTCTGTTTGTTTTAGATGGACTCTTGTTCTGTTTCCCAGGCTGGAGTGCAGTGGCATGATTTTGGCTCACTGAAACCTCCTCCTGGGTTCAAGCGATTCTCCTGCCTTAGCCTCCCAAGTAGCTGGGATCACAGGCACCCGCCACAACGCCCGGTTAATTTTTGTATTTTTAGTAGAGATGGAATTTCATCATGTTGGCCAGGCTGGTCTTGAACTTCTGACCTCAAGTGATCCACCTGCCTCAGCCTCCAAAAGTGCTGAGATTACAGGTGTGAACCACTGTGGCCAGCCATTTGTTAAGTTTCTATCATAAGAAAATATATCTTTATTTCTGGGAATTTATAGATAACCATGCCATTTTGATCTCAATTTATATGTATTGGTATACATGGTATTTCTATATTTCATTTTAAATTTGCCTGATGTTACATATCTACTGATTGTTGAACTAAGATTTAAATATAAGTATGTATAAATTCAGAAAGCCATTTGCTTATGTACTTTAACTCCCAGCCTAATCCCAACCTAGAGAAAATGTCATGTGTGTGGGACTGCATATAAGAAAAGACATTTAGGCAAAACAAAACAAATACAATATAGCTGACTAAAATGCAAAACAATAAGACAAGTGATATTCAGAATTTTTAGTAATATCATTGTAAATTTCTTTCTTATTATGGATATGCATATGAAATTTTGCATAAAGATACATTTAATTTTGCAAGTAATAGTTTACCAACAATGGAATTAAAATATACACATTATCAAAAAAAAAGAGGGCAAAGTAATCTAAAGAATCAAATTAAAGACACTTTAAGCAGGATAAAACAAAGAAAGAAGAAAAGCAATTTAAAAAACAACATAAATAGTTTGAGGTAGTGGTTTTGTCTCTTGCTTTTTCTTCTGCTACTAAGTTTTAGTGGGCAATGTTTTTTCTTATTGACAAACCACTTTAGTAATTTATACTTTTGTGTTTAACCTACAGATTTGTGTGAATTTCATGTGAAATAGAAATTGACATTGTCATGAGATGTCATGGGATATAAATATCATATTATCAGAAATTCAGCAGCTTTGTAGTGGTGTTTATATGTGGGAAAATAGGTTATAAGCAGTGAGATTAAACACATTAAAAAATATGGCTTTTGTCAGGTTTGTCAAAGATCAGATGATTGTGTTCCACTGGTCTATATATCTGTTTTGGTACCAGTACTATGCTGTTTTGGTTACTGTAGCCTTGTAGTATAGTATGGAGTCAAGTGGTGTGATGCCTCCAGCTTTATTCTTTTTGCTTAGGATTGTTTTGGCTATACAGGCTTTTTTTGGTTCCATATGAAATTAAAAGTAGTTTTTTTCTAATTCTGTAAATAAAGTCATTGGTAGCTTGATGGGGATAATATTGACTCTATAAATTACTTTGGGCAGTATGGCCATTTTCACGATATTGATTCTTCCTATCCATGAGCATGGAATGTTTTTCCATTTGTTTGTGTCCTCTCTTATTTCCTAGAGCAGTGGTTCATAGTTCTCCTTGAAGAGGTCCTTCACATCTCTTGTAAGTTGAATTCCTAGGTATTTTATTCTCTTTGTAGCAATTGTGAATGGGAGTTAACTCATGATTTGGCTCTCTGTTTGTTTATTATTGGTGTATAGGAATGCCTGTGATTTTTGCACATTGATTTTGTATCCTGAGACTGCTGAAGTTGCTTATAAGCTTAAAGAGATTTTGGGCTGAGATGATGGGGTTTTCTAAATATACAATCATGTTATCTGCAAACAGAGACAATTTGACTTCCTCTCTTCCTATTTGAATATCCTTTATTTCTTTCTGTTGCCTGATTGCCCTGGCCAGAACTTCCAATACTATGTGGAATAGGAGTGGTGAGAGAGGGCATCCTTGTCTTGTGCCAGTTTTCAAAGGGAATACTTCCAGCTTTTGCCCATTCAGTATGATATTGGCTGTGGGTTTGTCATAAATAGCTCTTATTATTTTAAAATACATTCCATCAATACCTAATTTATTGAGAGTTTTTAGCATGATGGGGTGTTGACTTTTATTGAAGGCCTTTTCTGTATCTATTGCGATAATCATGTGGTATTTGTCATTAGTTCTGTTTATGTGATGGATTACATTTATTGATTTGCGTATGTTGAACCAGCCTTTCATCCCAGGGAAGAAGCCAACTTGATCGTGGTGGATAAGCTTTTTGATGTGCTGCTGTATTCAGTCTGCCAGAATTTTATTGAGGATTTTTGCATCAATGTTCATCAGGGATATTGGCCTAAAGTTCTCTTTTTTTTGTTGTGTCTCTGCCAGGTTTTGGTATCAGGATGCTGCTGGCCTCATAAAATGAGTTAGGGAGGTGTCCCTCTTTACCTATTGTTTGGAATAGTTTCAGAAGGAATCGTACCATCTCCTCTTTGTACCTCTGGTAGAATTTGGCTGTGAATCCATCTGGTTCTGGGCTTTTTTTTGGTTGGTAGGCTATTAATTACTGCCTCAATTTCAGAATGTATTATTGGCCTATTCAGGGATTCGACTTCTTCCTGGTTTAGCCTTGGGAAGGTGTATGTTCCAGGAATTTATCCATTTCTTCTAGATTTTCTAGTTTATTTGCGTAGAGGTGTTCATAGTATTTTCTGATGGTAGTTTGTATTAGTGTGGGATCAATGGTGATATCTCCTTTATCATTTTTTACTGTGTCTATTTGATTCAATTCTTTTCTCTTTTCTTCTTTATTAGTCTTGCTAGCAGTCTATCAATTTTGTTGATCTTTTCAAAAAACCAGCTCCTGGATTCATTGATTTTTTGAACGGATTTTTGTGTCTCTATCTCCTTCAGTTATGCTCTGATCTTAGTTATTTCTTGTCTTCTGCTGTCTTTTGAATTTGTTTGCTCTTGCTTCTTAAGTTTGTTTAATTGTGATGTTAGTGTGTCAATTTTAGATCTTTCCTGCTTTCTCCTGTGGGCATTTAGTGCTATAAATTTCCCTCTAAACACTGCCTTAGCTGTGTCTCAGAGATTCTGGTACATTGTGTCTTTGTTCTCATTGGTTTCAAATAACTTATTTATATCTACCTTAATTTTATTATTTACCCAGTAGTCATTCAGGAACAGGTTGTTCAGTTTCCAAGTAGTTTTGTGGTTTGGGGTGAGTTTCTTAATCCTGACTTCTAATTTGATTGCACTGTGGTCCGAGAGACTGTTTGTTATGATTTCCGTTCTTTTACATTTGCTGAGGATTGTTTTACTTCCAAGTATGTGGTCAATTTTAGAGTAAGTGCTATGTGTTACTGAGAAGAATGTATATTATGTTGATTTGGGGTGGAGAGTTATGTAGATGTCTATTACGTCCACTTGGTCCAGAGCTGAGTTCAAGTCCTGAATATCCTTGTTAATTTTCTGTCTTGTTGATCCATCTAATATTGACAGTGAGGTGTTAAAGTCTCCCACTATTATTGTGTGATAGTCAGAGTCTCTTTGTACATCTCTAAGAACTTGCTTTATGAATCTGGGTGCTCCTGTATTGGGTGCATATATATTTAGGATAGTTAGCTGTCCTTGTTGCATTGATCCCTTTACCATTATATAATGCCCTTCTTTGTCTTTTTTTATCTTTGTTGGTTTTAAGTCTGTGTTACTTGAGACTAGGATCGCACCCCCTGCTTTTTTTCACTTTCCATTTGCTTGGTAAATATTCCTCCATCTCTTTATTTTGAGCCTATGTGTGTCTTTGCATGTGAGATGGTTCTCCTGAATACAGCACACTGATGGGTTTTGACTCTTTATGCAATTTGCCAGTCTGTGTCTTTTAATTGGGGCATTTAGCCCATTTACATTTAAGGTTAGTATTGTTATGAGTGAATTTAATCCTGTCCTTATGATGCTAGCAGGTTATTTTGCCCATTAGTTGATGCAGTTTCTTCATAGGGTCAATGGTCTTTACAATTTGGTATGTTTTTGCAGTGGCTGGTACCAGTTTTTCCTTTCCATATTTAGTGCTTCCTCTTGTAAGGCAGACTGGTGGTGACAAAATATCTCTGCATTTGCTTGTCTTTTAAGAAACTTTTTTTAGTATTTGCCCTACATTTTGCAATATACATTTACAAATAATCTAAGTTCACTTTCAAATAACAGTATGCCACTTCATGGGTAGTATAATTGTCTTATAAAAATAAATGTAATTTATTTCTCTTATCTCTCATATTATTGCTGTCATTCTTTTTATGTAGACATAAGAATATATATATATATATATAGAGAGAGAGAGAGAGAGAGAAAGGCATAACCATACATAATCATATACATTGTTGCTATTACTATTTTAAACACATTTTACTGTTCCATAAATTAAAAAAATATAAAACTTTTTATTTTATCTTCACTTATTCCTTCTCTGATGTTCTTGAATTCCTTGTGTAGATTCAATTATCTTTATATATATACATATTATTTCTTCCTCTCTAAAGAAATTTTTAAATATTTTTTGAAAGGCTAATCTATCTACTGGCACAAAAATTTCCTCAATATGGTTTTTCTGAGGAAATATTTAATTTCTCCTTCATTTTTTAAACAATTATTTCACAGGTTATAGAATCCTAGGTTGGTGGGCTTTTTTTTTGTTTTTGTTTTCTCTCAACATTTTAAGTAGTTCACTCCACTCTCTTTTTGTTTACATAATTTCTCAGAAGTAGTTGAATGTAATTCCTGTTTATGCTTTTTTTTAATTTTTATTTTTGAGGCAGAGTTTTGCTCTTCTCGCTCAGGCTGGAGTGTAATGACACAATCTCAGCTCACTGAAACCTCCACTTCCCAAGTTCCAGCAATTCTCCTGCCTCAGCCTCAGCCCAAGTAGCTGGGATTACAGGTGCCTGCCACCGTGCCTGGCTAATTTTTGTATTTTCAGTAGAAATGGGGTTTCTCCATGTTGGCCTAGCTGGTCTCGAGCTCCTGACCTCAAGTAATCTGCCTGCCTCGGCCTCCCAAAGTGCTGGGATTACAGGCATGAGCCACTGCGCCCAGCCATGCTTTTATAATTGTACAATTTTTTTCCTCACTGTGACTTACGTTTAGATTTTTTTTCTTTATCTTGATTTTTTGAAGTTTGAATATGAGATGTGTAGGTGGTGTTTTTTCTTTTATTTTCTCTTCTTTTGTTTTTTGGTGGGGGTAGGCATTTATTCTGCTTGGTATTCCATGCTCTTCCTGGATCAATGGCTTGGTTTCTGACATTAATTTCTATACATTCTCAGTCATTAATGCTTTGAATATTTCTTCTGTTTTTTATTTTTTTCTCTTTCTGGTATTTCAATTAATTATATACTATGTCTTCAGTTATTTCATAGTTGTTCGATATTCTGTTTTGGTGGGGTTTTTTTTTTGTCTTTTTTCTGTTAGACTTTTAGTTTGAACAGTTTTTATTGAGATATTCTAAACCTCAGAGATTCTTTTTTTAACTCTGTTCAATCTACTAGTAAGCCTAAGACATTTTTTGTTTCTTTTACACTGCTTTTTATTTCTAGTATTTCTTTATTTTTTTCTTAGAATTTCTATCTCTCTGCTTACATTGCTCTTCTGTTTTTGCATGCTATTTGCATTATCAATTAAGGTTTTTAGTATAGTAATCATAGTTGTTTTAAAAACTCAGTCTGATAATTTCAACATCCCTGCTGTATCTGAGTCCAATTGTAGTGCTTGTTCTGTTTCTTCAAACTGTGTTTTTGCCTTTTAGTATGCCTTGTGAGTTTGTTCTTGCTATCCAGACATGCTGTACTGAGTAAAAGAAAATTGTAAGTAGGTCTTTAGTAATGTAGTGATAATATGTGGAACAAAGTGAATCATTTCATAGCATTTTGATTAGGTCTCAGGCACTTAATAAACTTTTACCTCTGGACTATGAACTTCACCAGTGTTTCTCAGTTTCTCCCACCCAACTTGAGTAGGACAGGGTGGCTAGAGTGGGCTGGAGTTTTATATTTTCTTCATTCACATGGAAGGTTAGAGTTTGCTAGAGCTGGCTCTTCTCATCCTCCCAGGTCAGTTAGGCACTAATAAATCCTCATCAGGTTTATCTCTGGTTAAACGATTTCTCTTGAGGGCAGACTTTGTTAAAAACAGAATGCTGTAGCAGATTTCAAAGATTTTTTTTTTTATTCTTTACCCCCTGCCAGAAGCATGAGGAAACTTTTTTCCAGTATTCACTGTGAGAAACTGGTAGAGCTCTTGGGGGAAAACCATGAAAAGTTGGGTGTCTCCTCATGACTAGAGATTTTATCCCCCAGACTTGTCCACACAGACCCTCCAGCAATTTGCTGATTACTGTATAGGCATGCTTACCCTGGCAGTAGCTTCAAAGGAAGTTTCTGCTGGTCAGTTCCATTCCAGTAAGTTGAGATTCTTTGTATTCAACTGTTGGTATCTCCAATTTTGGTGCCAGCAGTTTGTCCTGTGACCTTCCTTCTCTAAGATATCTTAGAAAAGTCATTTTTCTTTGTTTTGTTTTGTTTTGTTTGGTTGTTTTTAGTTAGTTCCACTTTTTACTTAGTTTTAGGACAAAGTGCCAACTACCAACCTGCTTACACTATGGACAGGAAACGAAATATGTGCTTTTATTTGTAATAGAATATAGTACTAAAAAAATTTGAGCATAGCAATTTTTTGTTTATTGTTTTGTTTTAACTTATGCATAGATATATAAATATAGAGTTTTAACTTAAATGATAAACAATTCTGAATTACTTACAATAGAGAATAAATTCTTATCAGTAAAGTTTTTCTATTTAATTGATAATACTATTACCTTGAACTTTGTGTTTTTAAATCATAATCTATGCTTTTGTATCCATATTTAATTCATGATTATATATATATATATATATATACACATATGTACTTAGATTCTTATTGGTATTTTTGTATTTCTCTCATGATATTTGAAGAAGTAATTTTAGACATTTGAAAAATTTACACAAAAACAGGGAAATCTTAGATGTCACCTAGCTCTAATGTATTCTTGTATTTCTTTTGAGAATGCATTTCTCTGATAATATCTTGGTAATTGTTTATGTCATGTTCGATTTCCTTTTAGAGCTTAAAGATAAACAATGATTTACTAGGGGTATGTCTTTCAGGCTTAAGAAAATGAATATACTGAAACGTGTTGACATAAGAGATGAATTCTCCTCTGCTAGCACTATGTCCAGTCTCTAGTCTTGCTTTATAATTAATTAGCTGTCAGATCTGCTAAACTTCCATGAAGACACTACACAGATGTCATGGCAAATTGTTCTTGAAATTAAGATCTGAACTGGGAATGTTCTTCATACTGACCTTACAATTCTCTTTATTGATTTTGCTGTCATTTTCACCTGTTAAGAACAGAAAGAAATGGAAATGGTGCTTTATTTGCTTGTAAGAAAAAATGTAATATAATATTTGAAGAAAGAGTTTAGTCTTTATAGAAAATTATATATATGTATATATATGACTTTAAGTTCTCAAAATTAAAGTTACCATGTAAATCTAAGACAATAGATTATACAGTTTAGATAATATATAATATTTAAAATAAATTTGTCACATAAAGCCATTGAGGATTCAAATGGAATAAATGATTGGCACAATGTTTTTTAGCTTGCCCTTACTCTAAGTTACTATAACATAGTTTACCTTATTTATTATCTATTAATATGTTTAATATTGACTTTAGTTGTTGAAAAATCAATATAAATATTAATATTCCTTATCCAAAGTCTGACATATATATTAGAGTTGTTTAACAAATAAAATATTCTTCTCACTGCAGTAGAATAGCCTAAATTGATAAGAGATTATTAACATTTTGAGAACATATTAAGTGGAGAATATTTAATATGTTATTATATAGTCATTTCTAGAATAATATGCCATATTTTTATGTTTATTGCAATTATACATTTCTTTTTATTTTTTTTATTTCAGTAACTTTAGGGGTGCAAATGATTCCTGGTTACATGGATAAATTTTACAATGGTAAAATCTAGAATTTTTAGCGTGCCCATCACCTGAGTAGTGTACATTATACACAGTAGGTAGTTTTTTTCCCAATAAACACTCTATAATTAGAATGTTCTGATTACATTTAAAGTTTCATATAAATATAACTTTATGAATGTATATCATTCCATTGTATTCATTATAATACACTAATATGATGTAATTAAGATAATAGCATATTTGAGTATTTATTTTTATGAAGGCAGTCCAATATAAAGCACAGTTTAATTCTGGGCATAGATCTTGAAGAATATAGAACACTTAATTCCCAAAAGCATATAAAATTACCTATTTTCTTAGCTCACCTTAAACATTAAGATATATTTTAAAATATTTATTTTTATAAATGGCATATTTTAAGACTGATAGTTTAATATAAATGAAATATAAAATGTTATCCCGATGGTCTATTCATTATATTAATATAATGATATATTCATATACCAATTTCCTCTCATAGCAGGGTTGAACTTAGTTTTTGTGTGATTTTGGTTTTGCTTTTGGTTATTTACGTTAGCCTTACCACCTAGAAGAATTTGCTAGGAAATATGAACAATACTTAAAAGTGAAATTGGCATGGGGAAGATATCAGAAGACTAAACAGGGAGGATATGGTGAGTTGAGATACTAGAGTAAAAGTGAGTGTACTGGGGGGAGTGTAAAATATTTATGTGGCTTTTCTCCTCGCATTTGCTAGCATGAATGCAGGGGCATGAAAGTCTGAATAGGGCTTTCAACCATCACCTGGGGCTTAGAAAATGAAAATCAGAGTTTAGGATACGTCAAAAAGGGCCACATTGTAGAGTGGATAGCAATCCATTCAAAAGCTCAGCACTAACAAATATTAAACTTCAGATTTAAATCAATTCAATTATTGATTCAAAAAAGTTAATGCGACCTTATCATAACTCCTGGCCAAAAGAAAATATCACTTCTTTTGGGAAGAATATAGCATCATTTAGATCCTCAAATGAATGCTACACATGCTCAGACGAAGTGTTTAACAGCCAATCAAAATAATCAAGTATGCAAAAAGAACAAAAGTACAAAAAGGAAAAAGAAAAATAGAAGGGGAGGGGCCAAGATGGCTGATTAGAAGCAGCTGCAGTCTGCAGCATTCATGGATGGGAACAAAATGGGTGAATGAATACAGTACCTTCAACTAAAATATCCAGGTTCTCTCATTGAGACTGATTAGGGGAACAACTTGACACACAGAAAATGAAGAAAAGCATGGTGGAGAGACAGCCCACCCAGGAGTGACACGGAGCCAAGGGAAGTGGTGAGTGATTGTGTAACCCCAGGAAACCACGCTTCTCCCACAGATCTTTGCAACCCATGGATCAGGAGATACCCTTGTGAGCAAACCCCACCAGAGTGTTTGGTCCAACACACAGAGCCGTGTGGAGTCTTGGCAGAGCTGCTGCTCAGGCACACACGGAGACCCAGGAACTTTACATAATCTGGCCCTGGGATCCTCAGCAAACATGTCTGTAACTCAGGTAAGGCGGGAGGCCCACACATAGGAAAGAGGTGGAATCCAGGGATCCAAGTAGCATCATTCTTCTGGCCCCAATTCCACAGCACCTCACAAGATAAGACACATTGGTTTCAAATTCCAGCCAGCTACCAGCAATAGTGTGGACCCTCCCTAAGACCTGATGGAGTCCCAGAGGGAGGCATGGGTATCATCTCTGCCATTTGGTTGACTCAATCGTTCCAGCCTGCAGCATTTGGAGAATCCAAATGGTCCAGACAAGGAAAGGTCCCCCCATCAGCACAGTACAGTGGATTTGCCAGATCATAGCGAGACTGCTTCTTTAAGTGGGACCCTGATACATTTCTGCTCACTGGGTGAAACCTCCCAGCCAGGCCCTCCAGCCATGTCCACCTGCACTTATTAGGGACAGAGCTCTGATCTCTCCCTGGGAAGGAGTGCCTGGGGGCAGGGAGGGTGGCCACCTGGGTTGGTTGGATGACTCAGTTCTTCCAACCAACCTCCTCCCCAACAGGGGCAGAGGCAGTTCCCCACCATGACACGGTTCCCCCACCACAATACAGCTCTTTTCTTGAGGCATGGACAGACTGCTCCTTTAAGTGATTTACTCCTTCTCGTGGATTGGTTTCTCCCGGCCAGGTCCTCCCAGTCGGGGCTTCCAGCCACCTGACCTGTATTCTGTGGGGCAGACAGAGCTCGTGTTTCTCTCTGGGATGAAGCATTTGAGGAGCAGGGAAGGCCACCTCCTGGACCACTTGGGCTTTTCAACCTGTTAAGCCTGTGGGCCTTGGAGAATCCAAACTGATGGGGAGATGAAGGAATCCCCAAAACAGTAAAGCCGCTCTACCAAAAAACTGCCAGAATACCTTTTTAAGTGGGTTGCAGATCCTGTTCTTCCAAAGTAAGCCCTCTAAACCAGGGTCTCCGGCCACCTACTGCAGGTGCAATTCAGGCAGGCAATAGGTCAGTACCCCCCTGGGACAGAACTTCCAAAGGAAGGGGCATGCTGTCATCTATGCTATTTCATACCCTTCACTGGTGATACCTCCAGGTATGGAAAAACTAAGGCAACTAGGGTCTGGAGCAGAGCCCCAGCAAACTGCAACAACCCTATGGAAGAGTGACCAGAATGTTCGAAGAAAAACGAACCTAAAACAATAACCATGGCAATAGAAACCCCCCCCCCAAACACACACACAAAAGAACTCTCCAAAGATCAGCAACCTCAAAGATTGGAGGTAGATAAGCTCAGAAAGATGAGAAAGAATCACAAAAAGGCTGAAAACTCAAAAAGCCAGAGTACCCCTTTTTCTCCAAATGAACATAATACTTTTCCAGCAGGGGCTTAGCCCCAATTCCACAGCACCTCACAAGATAAGATACATTGGTTTCAAATTCCAGCCAGCTACCAGCAACAGTGTGGACCCTCCCTAAGACCTGATGGAGTCCCAGAGGGAGGCATGGGTATCATCTTCAGAAGGTTGGCTAACAATGAACTTTCCTGAACTAAAGGAGCATGTTGCAAAACAACTCAAAGAAGCTAAGAATTATTATAAAACAGTACAGGTGCTGACCATCACAATAGCCAGTTTAGAGAGGAATATAACTGACTTGTTAGAGTTGAAAAATGTATTACAAGAACTTCACAATGCAATCACAAGTATCAGTAGCAGAATAGACCAAGCGGAGGAGAGAATCTCAGAACTTGGAAACTATCATTCTGAAATAAGACAGGCGGACAATAATAGAGAATAACGAATGAAGAGGCATGAAAAAACCCTTGGAGAAATATGGGATTATGTAAAAAGACTGAATCTATGACTGATCAGGGTATCTGAAAGAGATGAGGAGAATGGAACCAAGTTGGAAAACATACATCAGTGTATCATTCAGGAGAACTTTGTTAACCTAGAAGGACAGGCCAACACTAAAATTCAAGAAATGCAGAGAACCTCAATAAGATACTCCACAAGAAGATCATCCACAAGAAAAATAATCATTAGATTCTCTGAGGTCAAAAAGAAAGAAAAAAAAGTTGAGGACAGCCAGAGAGAAAGTTCAGGTCACCTACAAAGGGAAGCCCAGCAGACTAACAGTGGACCTCTCAGCAGAAACCCCACAGTTCAGAAGAGATTGGGGGCCAGTATTCAACATTCTAAAAGAAAATAATTTCCAACCTAGAATTTATTTCATATCTGGACAAACTAAGCTTCATAAGTGAAAAAGAAATAAGATCCTTTTCAGACAAGCAAATGCAAAGAAGTGAGGGTATTTGTTACCACCAGACCTGCTTTGCAAGAGTTCCTGAAAAAAGCACTAAATACGGAAAGGAAAAAACTTTACCAGCCACTGCAAAAACACAGTGAATACACAGACCAGTGACACTGTGAGGCAACCACATAAATAAGTCTGCAAAATAACCAGCAAGCATTATGATGACAGAATCAAATTCACAGTCAGTGGAGTCAAATTGTATTTCATTTGATAGTAATTTTTCAGGGACCCTCCTTTTAAAATTGTACTTAGTTCTCCTAATAGTGAGGTTTCATATTATCATAGCAAAACTGAGTCAATTAGAACATTAAAGCTGCCTTCTTTGGTTTTATTTATTTGTTTTATTTCATTTTTTGAGACGAGTTCTCTCTCTGTAGCCCAGACTGCAGTTGCATGAGCATGGCTCACTACAACCTTGAACTCCTGGGCCCAAGTGATTCTCCTACCTCAGCCTACCATGTAGCTGGGACTTCAGGCACACAACAACACACTTGGACAAATGTCTTTTGTTTAGAATAAATATTCCCCACTTCACCATTTTTATTCCCTTTTTTTGTTTTGTTTTGTTTTGTTTTGGTGTCACTTTGTCAGCCAGGCTGGAGTGCAGTGGCCAGTCTCGGCTCACTGCAACCTTTGCCTCCCAGGTTCAAGCAATTCTTGTTCCTCAGATTCCTGAGTAGCTGATACAGCCGTGCATCACCATGGCTGGCTAATTTTTGTATTTTTAGTGGAGACAGGGTTTTGGCATGTTGGCCAGGGTAGTCTCAAACTCCTGGCCTCAAGTGATTTGCCCATCTCAGCCTCCCAAAGTGCCGGGATTATAGGCATGAGCCACCATACCCAGCCCCATTTTCTTTCTTTTAGCATATTTTTGAGTTATTTTCTTAGTTGTATCACTGGGAATTACAATTAACATCTTAATTTAAAACAATCAAGTTCATAATAATACTAACAATCTCAATAGTATTGAAAATATTTACATATTATAGTTCAGATCTCTCCCCCTGCATCATCTTATTGTCTTTAAACAGATTGCAATTTTATGCATTTATAAGCCTATAAACACATTTGTAATTATTTTTAATGTAGTTGTCATTTAAATAAGATGAAGGCAAACAGTAAAACGAACCAAAATATTTGTATACTTTAGTTTTATTTACCTGTTTATTTACATGTACCTATGTCCTTTATTTCATTGTGTGGATTTGAGTTTCTGTTTAGTGTCTTTTCATTTCAATTTGAAGAGTTACTTTTAGTATTTTGTAAAAGCAAGTCTACCAACAACAAAGTTTCACAGTTTTTGCTTATTTGGAAATTTCTTATTTCTCCTTTATTTTTAAACTATAGTTTTGCTGGCTATGCAATTATAGGTAGATGGGTTTTTCTCCTTTCAGTATTTTTAATATGTTATACCATTCGTTTCTAGAGTCCATGACTTCTTACATTATTTCAGGTGTAAATATTTGTAGTGATTCCTTGTATGTGATGGGTTGTTTGCCTCTTCTTGCTATCAAGATTTTCTTTTTGCCTTTGGCTATTGATATTTCATTATGATGTGTTTAGAGATGGATCTATTTGAGTTTATGCTACTTGAAGTTCATTGAGCTTCTTTGATGTGTATCGTCATAATTTTCATCAAATTTAGAAAGTTTTTGGCCATTATTTTTTCAAATACTGTTTTTGTCCCTTCTCTCTTTTTAATCCTTTGCATACATTTTATGAAATTGATGGTTTTCCACAGTTTTCTGAGGTTCTGCTTACTTTTCTACATTATTTTACCATTGTTTCTCAGTTTGGGTAATTTCGGGTGACTTTTTTTCAACTTTACTGGTTCTTCTGAAATGTTAAGCCTGCTCTTAAGTCTGTCTAATGATTTTTTATTGTAATTATTTTAATTTTTAAACTCTATAGTTTTGGTTATATTTATATCTTTTTGTTCTCTATTTGGTGAAACATTATTCTAATGCTTTCTTTTAATTCTATGAGCATATTTATTATGGCTGATTCAAAATCTTAGTATGATAAATAGAAAATCTGGCTTTCTTCATGTTGGGTAAGTTTTTCTTTCCTGTATATGAAGCATAATTTCCTGATTTCTTTTTTCATGCCTAATAATTTCTTATTGGTGTTGAAAACTGAATATTTAAATAATTTAATGGAGCAAATCTGTAAATCAGATCAAGTCCCTTGCAGGATTTGTTATTCTTACAGTTTATTCTTGTTGTTGCTCTTGCTGTAGTTTGCATATTGAACATCTTGCAATAATTCTGTAAAGACTGTATTTTTTTCCTTTTGTGGCTACTGAAGCCTCTGATTGATTAGCTTAGTGGCAGCAAATTAGTGGGCAGATTTTCTTATTCATCTTGAAACACTAAGTCACCTAGTGTTTGCCAAGGGATTCTGTGTATGTTTTAAGGCAAAATTTTCATTCTCTGACAGTTTATAACTCTGCCTTGGCCTTTATTTTCTTGTCACATAGGGCTTTAAGTCAACCAGAGTTGAGAGATTAGGGCCTTTCTAGGTATACTCTGTAAGTATTCATTGACTTCTACACTCTTAAGAATATATTAGAGCTTTTTCGGGGATTACATGAACATTTTATCCTCCAGATTTTTCTTTTAAGTGTTATGACCAATTTCTTATTTGCCCCAACTGGTATTGCCACCTCAAGCTGATGAAATATTAAACACTTGCCACTGGTTTGACAAATGCTCTGTAAATAAGGCTTTTCCATTAGCTGTGTATCCAAGTCAGATAAAATAAATATAAGCGCAGTGAATGAAGCTCCAGACAGAACTGGAGCTCTATTCTGTGAGACAAATCTCTGGGGGAGCTCCAAACCCATCTTCTTCCCTCTTGTGTTAGGTTACTGGTTTGCAAGGGCTGCTGTCTAGCTGAGGTGAGGAAAAATAGGAGACAGGGCTTATTACAATATTACCAGATTCAACTTTCTAACAAAGAATTGGCCATTTTTATTTATTTAGTGGTTCTTGGATTATTGCCAGTATTTGGGAAATTCCTGTTTTGAAAAATTTAATGTTCACAAATTTTTTCAATGTTCTCCAAGCCTTTATGGAGGAGAAGATTATCAGATATTTTACACTCCTATTCTAAATGTGCTTGATAGTTTATTATTTCTGGATGCATTTAAGTTGCTAAGAAGAGGTGAATGTACTGAATTCATTTTAATGTCTGATATTTTAATTTTGCAATGGTCATTTAGCAGAAATAAAAGCATTTGGGTTTAATTTACTCATTTATTTAGTTTTCTTTTACATAAAACTAATTCCAGACATACAGTTCAGTGATACTAGATCAAGTCTTGATGAATTTGAAACAGCAAACTTGAGAATCTCATCATATTAGGATCACAATGAATTTCAGCTGCTTTTTGGGTGAAGATAAATATTAAAAATTTTAATATCCTTACAGAATGAAAAAGATCTTGAGCAATCACTTATTTATTCATTTCAGCTGAGAATACTGTGACAGTTTTATCAGACTCTAAAACTCATGGAGGAAAATAATAGATATATAATGAATGCATAAATATTCAAATAACCTATTATAAACACATGAAATACTGGTGTAATTTAAATATCCAAAGTGTATATATTCTATATATAGCACAATGGCAACAAAGAGACAGTTACAATTACATGATTTTTTTTCTATAATGTATACTACTTTGCTACCACAAAGACTTTTTCTTTGTAATATAGTTTAATCTTTTTTAATATAACCTGGATTCAGTATGAAATAGTTGTAAAGAGTCTGAAATCTCATATAAACACTAAATCAACATGCACTTGAAAGAACATTCATAATAAAGATAATCTAGATTATTACAAAATAAAAGCCTGTGAAAGCAGTTTATATTTTGGTAGGTATTTTCTTTTCTAGCACTAGAATCTGTCAGTAGTTGGCTAGCCTCCATAAAGTTGATTATCTAAAATAACCATGCAACATGAGATATAAATATTGCTTCATACCCTTAGTCTCCCTCTCCAGTGTCTCTTCCTATCCTGGATGTACTTTCCAAAGAATTTTCTGAGCTTTCCAACTCACTGACTCTCATGAACAATTATCTCCAAGACAGCAAACCTAGAAATGCATTACGAATGCTATGAACAAATACAAGCTACAATATGTGATTTTATATGTTTATTTTTTTATTGTCAGCTTTGTTCCACAATTATTATTAGCAGTACTTGAATGCTTAAAAATGTTTGGCTTATCCACTCACATTCTCATTTTGAAACTGGAGTTCATCAGTAGTCTAGGCCTCCTTGTTTAGTTGAATAATAGTCTCTAGCAAATGAGGAGAAATACGTAATGCAGTATTAATTAATACTACTTTATTATAAATATACTTAATATATTTGAATATTTTAAATATAGAAAGTAGTTTACATATTACTTAATTTATCATTCATAGAGCTTTCAGTGTATATTTCTATTTAGTTTAATGTAATCAGACTGCATATACAGAAACGTGGGCAGATATATACATGGTTATACTATCATTTAGTGTATATATGTATTCAAAAATTTCCTTCCTACTCATATTAAAGCAAAGCAAATATTAGCATTTACTTTTTATGTATTTCTCAATATTTAATGTAAAACAATATATTGAAAAATACTCTGTGACCTTTGAAACAATGTATTCTAATTAACTGGTTCTCCCATGTCTACACTAACATTCAGGGAGTGAACTGAATGACTACTCAATCAAGACGTGGAATATTGAAAAGGTCAAACTGATATGATGGTGAAAATCACTTCATAATGTTTTTTATCTTAAATCTATTTTTTAATAAAAAAACTGAAAACCGATATAGCAAAAAACTCAAGGTAAATATTTTCCAACATTAAATAGTGAAAGAACAAAGAGATATTGTACAAACAGTATAAGGAAATGTGAACATACATAATGTTCTTATTTTTTGTCACATAGTCTCAGATTACTTGTATTCTACTTGGAATATGTTATCTCACATATATAAAAGTTACAATTACATTAATTAATCATGAAATCACTACATATAGGTCATGATAAGTCACAATAATGTAAAGTAAAATATCTTATTATGTGCTTAAGAGACAAAGATATATTTGTATTGATGGCAGCAACAGGCTTTCTGGAGCTGCCACTGCAAAGACACTGGCTGCAGCAAGGGAGGTGCCACCAGGGGCTGTGCGCTCCATGGAGCCAGCAAGGGCCAGGAACAGGCAGGAGCCGCCTTCTACTTGGCGGGGTGGGAGCCCTGCCCTCCTGGCTGCAGCTACAGACCTGGGCATCCCTGTACTCTCAGGGTCCCAGAATGCCTGCTCCTGCTGCCTGGCCTCTCCCTGCTCCCAGCACCCACTCCTATTTTGGAGCAAAGTTGTGGCTGAGTTTGGGTGCTGTTTTGATGTGGCCGGGTGTGTGGTGGTTCACACCTGTAACCCCAGCACTTTGGGAGGCTGAGGCAGGCGGATCACTTGAGGTCAGGGGTTTGAGACTACCCTGACCAATATGGTGAAACCCCATCTCTAGTAAAAATACAAAAATTAGCCGGGCATGGTGGCTTGAGCCTGTAGTCCCAGCTTCTTGGGACGGTGAATCAGGAGAATTGCTTGAACCTAGGAGGCAGAGATCACCGTGAGCCGAGATTGTGCCACTGTTCTCCAGCTTAGGTGACAGAGCGAGACTTCAACTCAAAAAAAAAAAGAAAAAAATGTGTACATATATAATACAGACACACACACATACCATGGAATACCATGTGACCATAACAAAGAACAAAGTCACATCCTTCGCAGCAACATGGATGGAGCTGGAGGCCATTATTCTAAGTGAACTAACACAGGAAGAGTAAACAAAATGCCACATGTTCTCTCTTATAAGTGGTAGCTAAACACTGAGTACATATGGACACAAACAGAACAACAGACACAGGGACTTGCTTGAGGGTAGAGGATGGTAGGAGAGTGAAGATTGAGAAATTACTGATCGGATACTATACTTATTACCTGGGTGATGAAAGAATCTGCACATGAAATCCCCATGACATGCAATTTACCTATATAACAAACCTGCACATGTATCCCTGAACCTAAAATAAAGTTTAAAAATAAAAATAAATCTGTACTGAAGACTTTAAATGCACAGCTATTAGAAATCTTGTAGGTGATACACATACATTAATTTTACAACAAAATCCTAAAATCATTTATATAATTTCTAATACAATTTTAAACATACTTTTTAAAACTAACATTTGATTCAGAAAGCATCAGAATATTCATGGCCATTTTTAAATGCCACTTTAACTTGAAGGTATCAATTGCTTTCTTCCACCCCTTAAATATAGATAGGCTGGTAGCATACCATAAACAGACACTTAATTTCAGAAAAACAGGCAGCAACATTAAAATAATTAATGTTTTTATAAATGTCAATGTGTAATATCTATACATTCCATGGTTTAAGGTAAAATATTTAATAATTTTTTTATGAAATATAAAAATCTTTATAATAAATTTTAATTTTATAATATCAACCACCTAAATGTTATCCTGTTGGTCTTCATGAATTACCTTTTGAACTTTCATGCAATAACTTATCTATAAATGATCCAGAGAATATATTTTATGATATTATTTATGTAACCTTCTCAAACATAATTTTACTATCCTAAACAAAACTCTCATTCATAGGTTTATATTGCTGTTTGTTGCAATCGATCTTGTAATGTATATGCCAATAGGTGCTATATATCATGATATATTGATACTACAGATGTTCTGGTATGTCTTGCCATTGATCCCGCAAATATTCTTATATTTTTAATTTTTCTCATTTGTCAGCAATACTGTAGATACGATTTGGTGAGTTTTGTCAGCGTATCAAGTTAAATAATCACCACATAATCATGTAGCTCATTTCCAATAACCCTCAAAATTTCCTTCTGCCTTTTTGCAATCAGTCCCGTCCTCTTGCCAATGACACATAATGATTTGCTTTCTTTCGCTACAGTTTTCATTTTATATCATTTGTTATAAATTAAATTTTAGAGTGTGGCATCTTCTTTATATGTTTTATTTTGCTCAGCATTATGCTTTTTGTGATTCACTGACACTCTTGCATATATCCATAGTCCCTTTGTATTATGGGATGATATCCCATTTTATGTTAATACCATAATTTGTTTATTCATTCACCAGTTGGTGGATATTTATATTGGTCCCAGTTTTTCTCAATTATGAAAAATTCCTCTATGAATCTACCAGAACATGTCTTTATTATGGATATATCTTTTCATTACTCATAGATAAATACCTAAGAGTGGAATTGCTGGGCCAATCAATGGTAACTTTATGTTTAACTCTATAAGAACCTGCAAAATTGCATTCCTAACTGGTTATATCATTTTAGATCTCCACAAACAAGTTAGAATTTCTGTTATTCCTCACCAATGCTTTTTATGGTTAGCTTTATAAATTTTAGCCATCTAATGGTTAGGCCAATGGTATTTTTGTTGTTTAATTTTTATTATTCTGATGATTAATAAGGTTGACCATCTTTTCAAGCATTTATTTGCCATCTGTAGGTTTAGAATCTGAATAAAATTATCTATTCGATATGTACTTATAAAACATTTTCTATTAGCTTGTGTTGTGCCTTTTTATTTTCTTTTGAGTCTGTTTAAAAGAGTTTTAAAAGTTTTGATTAAGTCATGTAATTTATATAATTGGTGTGTACTATTTAAGAAATCTCTGTTAAACTTAAGGGCACAAAGATTTTCTCTCATGTTTATTTTCTGAGATATTTGTAATTTAAGTGCTCACAATTAGGTCTATGATTTATTTTAATCTAATTTTCGTATGTGATATTAGGCAAGGGTGGGATTTCATTTTTCTTACAGATGAATATTCATTATTCTAGAACCATTAGTTAATGATATTTTCTGTTTATTTTTGAATTGCCATTATGTTTTTATTTAAAGTTAATTGGTTATACATTTGAGAGTTTTTTCTTGATCTGTCTTTTTTTCCCATTAATCTATATGGCTATTTTAACAGCAACATTTTGTAATCTTACTTACTGTTTGCTTTGTAATAAGCCTGAAATCATGCTGTGTGAGTCATCCAACTTTGTTTTTTATTTTTATAATTTTTGTTATTGTTAGTCCTTTGCATTTACATGTACATTTTAGAATTAGTTGTCATTTTAAAAAAAACACATTTTTATCTGGGCACTCATCGTATTACAATGTTGGTTTTTCTCTATTGTAACTGAGGTAACAAGGTATATACTATATCAGCATGCATTTCCTCATTACCCTCCCACCATCTCTACCTAGACCCTCTCTCACAATATCTTACCCTACAAAGGCTTTTTTAGTATATATAAAGTTTATTTCTCTTACCTACATCTTGTTTTTTGAAAACTAGATTCATATATAAAATTTCCAACTTGATTGTCTTATTGGAAGCCTACTATCAACATATCCAAAATGAATCTTATATCCTTGTGCTTTAACATATAATATATTTCAACCTCTTCATCAGAGTTAATCGCGCTCTGTTGGTCCATTCAGATGCTCCTGCCACATAATTAAGTGTCTGTCTTTATTCTCTCCTTCGGCTCATACTGTTAATGGTCTTGTTTAAGGCCACTTACTTTAAATTCATTTCTGATCACAGAGGCTGTAAAGCTATTACAACTGGGATGCTATCTGTCAGGCTTAGAAACCACTAGTTTAGACAAACTGCCTATGTAGCTCTTTTGACATTGCATTAGATTGTGTGAATGGAAATAAGAGATCTGATTATTTGGACAAACTTACCCATAGCTCTTTGGTACCAATCATAGAATGTGCTCTAGAATTTCTGTAATTTCCTAATAATTGGCCATGTTCCTATACACATTGCTGTCTTCCTCCAGTCACATCCTCTCATGTCTAGCTGGATACTTTCCAATGCTGTGAAGAAAAACAGCAAGATAAGAACTTTGTTTTCACAGAATTTTTGTTCATTATTTACATGAGTGAGTAGCTTTTCAAAAAATAATAAAGCTAGTACATACATTACAATAGATTGAGAGTTGGACACAGCACATTAGAATATGTGGGCAATTTATTTCACTGTAAACATGCTAAAACTAGATAGTAATGAAACTAGAAGGAGGTGTGGGGTCAAGATTTTTAATGTTTAATTAATTAATTATATGTTACATGTCAATAAAAATTGTCCATATTTAAATATAAATAAAATAATGTTTCATTTGTAGTGTTAAGACAAAAGGGAAAATATAAAAGAGGAAGTATTCCAGTTGCTAGAAACTAAATCAGAATTATGCCTATTTCAGTCTTACAGTTATGCCATAATCTTTAGTTGTAAAATAGAATCAAACCTGACATAATGAATATCTAACAAGGGCAACCAAACCAAGAAAAGGGTTGAAGTAAATATTCAGCTACATTTTATTTATACATTTAGCTAATTTTATCCAGAATGTATTATGATAAACTCTGTGATAGTAATAAGAACATGTATGCAGAAAAATATCTTCTCTCTATAATCACCACTCCCTGTCTTGAGAGACTACAAAATATAAGAGGCCCATATGCCTTTTCTAAAGAATTTTCAAGCTTTTGCTTCCTACTTTTCATCAGTTTTTTTTTTTTTAATTTATTTTTTTTATTATTATACTTTAAGTTTTAGGGTACATGTGCACATTGTGCAGGTTAGTTACATACGTATACATGTGCCATGCTGGTGTGCTGCACCCATTAACTCGTCATCTAGCATTAGTTATATCTCCCAATGCTATCCCCCCCTCCCCCCACCCCACAACAGTCCCCAGAGTGTGATGTTCCCCTTCATGTGTCCATGTGATCTCATTGTTCAATTCCCACCTATGAGTGAGAATATGCGGTGTTTGGTTTTTTGTTCTTGCGATAGTTTACTGAGAATGATGGTTTCCAATTTCATCCATGTCCCTACAAAGGACATGAACTCATCCTTTTTTATGGCTGCATAGTATTCCATGGTGTATATGTGCCACATTTTCTTAATCCAGTCTATCATTGTTGGACATTTGGGTTGGTTCCAAGTCTTTGCTATTGTGAATAATGCCGCAATAAACATACGTGTGCATGTGTCTTTATAGCAGCATGATTTATAGTCCTTTGGGTATATACCCAGCAATGGGATGGCTGGGTCAAATGGTATTTCTAGTTCTAGATCCCTGAGGAATCGCCACACTGACTTCCACAATGGTTGAACTAGTTTACAGTCCCACCAACAGTGTAAAAGTGTTCCTATTTCTCCACATCCTCTCCAGCACCTGTTGTTTCCTGACTTTTTAATGATTGCCATTCTAACTGGTGTGAGATGGTATCTCATTGTGGTTTTGACTTGCATTTCTCTGATGGCCAGTGATGGTGAGCATTTTTTCATGTGTTTTTTGGCTGCATAAATGTCTTCTTTTGAGAAGTGTCTGTTCATGCTACTTTAAAGTTCATATGGAACCAAAAAAGAGCCCGCATCACCAAGTCAATCCTAAGCCATTTGAAATTTACTCTTTATTTTGAAATATATAGTACATTATTATTAACTATAGGTATCCTGCTATGCAAAAGATCTCAAAAACATTTCTCCTATCTAACTGTAACTTTGTACACTTTGACCAACATCCCCCGGTCCCCTCCCTCACTGTTCCTACATCAATCCTCCGGTAACCACCATTCTACTCTCTACATCTATAGTTTGACTACATTAGATTCACATATGAGTGAGATTATGCTGTTTTTGTCTTTCTGTTTCTGGGTTATTTCACTTAAATATTTTCCTCCAGGTTCATCCATGATGTTACAAATAAAATAATTTCTTTTATCAGGCTGAATCGTATTTTGTGATGTGTATAAACCACATTTTTTAAAATCCATTCATCTGGCAATGGACATTTGGGTTGATTCTGTATCTAGGTAATTGTAAATAATGCTACAGTGAACATCAGAGTTCATGTATCTCTTCAACCTATCGATTTCAATTCCTTTGGATATGTACCGAGAAGTGGAACTGCCAAATCATAAGGCAACTCTATTTCTTTTTTGGTGGGCCCTCCATACTGTTTTCCAAAATGCCTATACAAACTTACATTCACACCAACAGTACACAAGGATTTCCTTTTCTCTATAACCTACCAACTTTTTTTTCTCTTTGATCATAGTCATCCTAACAAGTGTGAAGTGATATTACATTGTAATTTTAATTTCTATTTCACTCATGATTAGTTATGTTAAACATATTGTAATCAATCTGTTGGCCATTTATCTATCTTCTTTTGAGAAATGTATCTTCAGGTCTTTGGTCCATTTTTAAAATGGATAATTTGTTTTCTTACTTGAGTTCCTGATATATTTTAGATATCAGGGAATAGCTCCTTATCAGATACATAGTTTACAAATAGTTTCTCACACTCCGAGGGTCATCTCTTCACTCTGTTAATTCTTTCCTTAAGGTGCAGAAACTTTTTTGTTTAATGTAGTTCCATTTGTCTATTTTTCTTTCATCGCTTGTGCTTCCCGGGTACTATCTAAAAACATTAATGCATAGGCCAATGTTGTGTCACTTTCTCCCCCATGTTTTCTTTCAGTAATTTTACAGTTTCAGGTCTTATGTTTGAGTCTTTAGTGTATTTTGTGTTGATTATTTTATATATTGTGAGTTAAGGATCCAATTTATTTCTTCTGCATGTAGATATCCAGTTCTCACAACACTATCTATTGAAGGGAATGTCCTCTCCCCATTTTGTGTTCTTGGCATCTTTGTCAAAACTCAATTGGCCATAAAAGCCTAGGTTTATTTCTGGGTTCTGTTCTCTTCAATTTATCAGTATGTCTGTTTTTATGCCAGCACCATGTTCTTTTGATTACAATAGTTTTAAAGTATATTCTAAAATCAGGGAGTATGGTGGCTTCAGCTTTTTCTTTTTGCTTAAGATTACCTTGATTTGGCTATTCAGGATGTTTTGTGGTTACGTACACATTCATGGCTTTTGTTTCTATTTCTGTGAAAAATGAGA
Source organism: Homo sapiens (assembly GCF_000001405.40). Taxonomy (NCBI): domain Eukaryota; kingdom Metazoa; phylum Chordata; class Mammalia; order Primates; family Hominidae; genus Homo; species Homo sapiens. Next base: position 43,403,971 of record NC_000014.9, on the reverse strand, counting down.
ATACATTTTGATAAGGATATCACTAAATGTGTAGGTCGCTTTGGTTGTATGAATATTTCAACAATATTAATTCTTCATTAACTAATAAAAAAATTAATTATAAATTTATCCAAAAAGGTAAAAGTTCTATATATAGAAAACTATAAAATGCTGATAAAAGAAATTGAAGAAAACATTAGAAATTGAAAGATATCCTGTGTTCATGGATTAGAAGAATTAATATTGTTAAAATATTCATGTTGCAATATATATTAAAAAATTGTTAACACAATTTTAAAAATGCATAACTCACAAATTATTCACTGAGAAAGTGGAAAAATTATTTTGTAGAGTAATTAAGTAAAATGAAAAAAATGAATGTGAAAAATTGATGAATAAAATGGCAAATAGTTCGGGAAAAACACTATGTCTGAAAACAAAATGCAAAACATAACTTCATGTTTCTTTAAAGATAAGTTTCTTATAGATAAGGGCATGGAAAGCTTAAAAAGCAAAAGGATACAATATAATATAATGTAAACACAAAACAAGAAAATATATTACAGCTGTACTAATTGTAATTAAAGTACATTTTAAGAAAAAATAAATCACTAGATAATGAGGCATATTTCGTAATTTAAAAAACACAAATGTAAATATATACACATATATAAACATAGGCACACATTTACATATAGGCACACATCTATGTATATATATCCATACATATTCAAATAATGGGAGACATTTATACACCACTGTTAATAGCTAATATAATAAAGAGAAATAATTGGTAATAGTATAATAGATCTGAGAGCACAAGCTGTATAATTAATCTAATCTAAAGAAACAAAATCGACTCCCAATCAAGGCAATTCACATTCTTTTAAGTCTACATGGAATATTTATCAAAACTGAGCACAAACCATTATGAATCAAATGTGAATATATTTTTTAAAATACATCAATTTTTTATCATAAGATGATTAAGATAGTCAATAATATAGTTAAAAATTTCCAACTACTTATAAAAAAATTTTACTTATAATGAACTAATGATTCAAAATGTAAATCACAATATAAATTATAAAATATATTTTCAAATATAGGTAGATGTGTGATATGGTTTGGTTGTGTCACCACCCAAATTTTATCTTGAATTGTAACTACCGCAATTCCCACGTCATGGGAGGAACCTCGTGGGAGGTAATTAAATCATGGGGCGAGTTTTTCCAGTGCTTTTCTCATGACAGTGAATAAGTCACATGAGATTTGTGAGATTTGATGGTTTTAAAAATGGGAGTTTCCCTGTACAACTCTCTCTCTTCCCTGCTGCCATGTAAAACATGCCTTTTACCTTCCACCATGATTATGAGGCCTCTCCAGCCACGTGGAACTGTAAGTCCATTAAACCTCTTTTTCTTTATAAAATACCCAGTCCCCAGCATGTCTTTATCAGCAGCATGAAAATGAACTAATACAATTTGAGAAAAATATTAAACTGGTAAGATGCAGGCAAAACAAAATTTAGAAGATATTTGATAGCTTTCAATACATATATTAGAAAATAAAAAAATAAGAATAATAGCATTGATAACATCATGGTAATTAATATCAGCCCAAAGAAAGCAGAAGAAAAAAATGTTAAAGAGCAAAAATAAATGAATTAGAAAAAAGCAATTGATAGAAAAGATTAGCAGTGTTAAAAATAGCTTTTTCATAAACACAAATAAACTCTATAACTCCTTCCAAGATTGATCAACAGTGAGAGAATACTGAAATTCTCATTATAAGTAACAAAATCCAAACAGACTTTATTATCTCTGGAACAGATTGCATATAATTGATATTATTTTTTATTATATGAAATTACAGGCCTAAAATACAGGAATACAAACATACACTTTTAAAAGATATAATAAAAATTATTTGCACTAATTGGTAAGCAAAAATTTCTATGTAGGGTACATAAAGCATGAAACATTAAAGAAAAAAACTGATAAATTGAACTTCATCAGAATGAAAAATTCACCCTTCCAAAGTCATTGTTAAAAAAAAAATGAAAATGTAATGATCTATTTTCCTTTGGGTATAAAAAAGACACATGCACTTATATGGTCATTGCTATATTATTCCCCAGAGCAAAGACATAATCAATGTCCATCAGTGGTGAGTCAGATAAAGAAAATGTGGTACATATACTCCATGGAGTACTACACAGCCTTAAAAATTGAATGCAATCACATCCTTTGTAGCAACATGGATATAGCTGGAGGCCATTGCCCTAAGCAAATTAATGTAGGAACAGAAAACCAAACATTAGATGTTCCCACTTATAAGTGGGAGGTAAACATTGAGCATATGAGAATAATGGACATTGGGAACAAGCAGAGCTGGGAGGCAGGGAGTGAGTGTGGGTTGAAAAACTACCTATTGGATACTTTGCTTACTACCTAGGTGCAATATACCCATATAAGAAAACTGCTCATATACCTCCTATATCTAAAATAAAAGTTGAAATTTAGAAAAAATAAAAAGGAGAGAAAAATATATGTGACAGGCTGGGAGAAGTCACTTGCAACGCGTATTTCTGAGACAGAATATGTATCCAAAATATACAAAGAACTCCTACAACTCCACAATAAAATAACATACACTCTCTGCATATTGCCAACATATTTGAACAGTCACTTCAGGGAAATATAAGACACATGAATCTCCAATAATTGCATAAACAGATGTCAAGCCTTATTAGTCATCAAATAATACCACAATGAGATATCATGCAACTTTGATATCACACAGCCTGTAATTTCTAAAATTAAAAAAGATAATGCCAAATGTTAGGAGGTTATGCAATGGGAACTTTCATAATTTGTTGAGGGACATGTAAAATTGTATAACCACTTTGGAAAACCATGCGTCAGTTCTAATAAACCTAAATATTAGCTTATCGTATGGTACAGAAACTGTATCCTTATATATATACACAAGATAAATCAAATATATATCTACATAAAATCTTCTACATGACTTTCATAGAAGTTTTATTCATAGGGCTGAAAATTGAAAGCAAGTTAAATGACCATCACTAGGTCAATAGATAAATATATTATAGCTTATGCATTCAATGGAATACTGCTCAAAAATATTATAAACCATTATTATAAATGTAGTAGCTCATATAAACCTTAAAAGCAGGCTAAGAGAAAGCAAATATGTACAAAATAGGAATTACTGAGTGATACAATATTTGTTAAATGCTAGGACACTTAAGTCTAATTTATTTATTGTGATAGAAAGGAGATCATGGGCTTCTTGAGGCCAGAAATGAAAAAAAAATTGACTTTAGAAATAAAAGAATATCAGAGAAAAAGTTTTATATTTGGAATCTAATGGTGGTAAATCTAAAGGAGTATAAACATTTGTTAAAAGCCGTTGGACTGTATACTTATAATGGGTGCATTTTATTTTATGTAAATTTTAATATAGCTTTTTTATTGTATATTTATTTTATTTATTATAAAATATATTTATTATATATAATTATTTATTTATTATATTCTAATATTAGAATATAAAAGAGCTGTCTATGCCACTACTTCTATTTTCTCCTTCGACATCCTTGCAACAACGTTTATTTGAAGTCCTGATTAAAACATCTGAATTTCTAGAACAGGATTTTCTAGACCACTGAACCAAAATGTGACAAAAGAATAGATTTGCATGAAAAATCCATGATATTGTATATTAACATCTTGAAATCTAAGAATGGTTAATATTTGGCATTCAAAATTTTTCCACAGTCTAATGGTCTCCCTAGTTCAGAAGATAATGGATTTGTGTATTGCTGTGTATTTAAAAAAAATGAAAGTAAATTTAGAAATGTTTGTTTGTGATACAATAATCTTTTAGTCACTGCAGGCAATCTACCAACTTTCTTCAGGTAAATATAATTAATATTTTCTAAGATGGTATGAAACAACATACGCATAGATAATTTTCTTCTTGAGTTTCTAATTGTATATATAACTAATTTGAACCTTTCAGTCAGTTGATAAAAATAAAATATATTAGATCTTAAAAACTGGTCATCACTACAGTTGTTTGCCATATATTAATTTTTAGTTAGGTGCAACAAATTCGTATTGCAATTATTTTATAAAGTGAAATAGGAGATTGTATAAATGAAAAGGATATATCATACACCTGTAAATTATTCCTCTCTTGTATTTGTGTTAACATGGTGAGCCATGTCCTCAAAAATACTCACTAAATATCAACAATTTCCTTGTACTTTTCTTCACTCTGCTTGTTGAACAAAGTCCTTCTTTCTTCTCTAGTCCACTGAATCTACTCTAGCTTTAAAGCTTTTACAGTAACTGTTACCATTGACTGAACAGCTATTTCCTTTAAATCTTAGCTTGATAAGCAGAATTACCTTTCAGACATAAGTGCAATGCCACATCCTCAATAAAGTTAATCTCTGTAACTATATGCTGTTTTGCCTCCATCAAGCAATTTATCACTGCCTGAAATATTTATTATGTTACTTTAATGTTTACTGTGTTCCACAAATAGAATATAAGGCACGTGAGCCAAATACCTTAGCAACTGGTAATTGGTATTCTTGGCAATTGTAATGATAGAAGTTGATTGAAAAAAAAAGAAATTGGTATGCATTCTGTCAAAACAATTGGGAGAAAGTTCAATTGACATTACCTTTATACAGTTGTTTGTTATCACAGTAGAAGCTCATGTTATATTATACAACCTTTACATGGCTGCAGTTTATTTACTTTCTTCCTGTTCTTTTAATCTTCACCTTCATGTTTTTTTAAAAGAAAATGCTATAAGTGGTCTCAGTAGTCAATATCTCTTTCTTATTCAACAAGAAAATAAGACCTCTAAACCATATGTTTCAGATAATTTTCTGATTAAATATGTTACAATTTAAAATATTCACTCTATATTTATCATGTCTAAACTTAGGCATAATTATTACTCTTTCATCAAATCATTTTGAGTACCTATTATGTGGCAGGCACTGTTAGAGGTGTTTAGACATATTGTGGACATGGCATTGGAACCAAACAGGGAAGGAAACATTACCTGGGCAAACTGTTGATATGGTTATAAACAATATTTGTATATTCATGAAAATTAATGGCATTTATTGATGCCCATCTTTGGGAATCAAAATAGAAATGAGCCAGATAAGATTATAGTTTTAAAAACAACTGTAGGCTGGGCGCGGTGGCTCACGCCTGTAATCCCAGCACTTTAGGAGGCTGAGGTGGACATATCACCTGAGGTCAGGAGTTCAAGACTAGCCTAGCCAACATGGTGAAACCCCATCTCTACAAAAATACAAAAATTAGCTGGGCATCATGGCGGGTACATGTAATCCCAGCTACTCGAGAGGCTGAGGCAGAAGAATCACTGACCCTGGGAGGCAGAGGTTGCAGTGAGCCGAGACGGTGCCATTGCACTCCAGCCTGGGTGACAGAGCATGACACCATCTCAAAAAAAAAAAACAACAAAAAAAAAACCCCTGTAAATATTATCAAGCTTGACAGTACAGAAAACAATCAGTGTTAAAGTACTTATTACTAATATAACTTTTAAATCTTAAAATTTAAGTTTAAAAATAAAATACATTTTAAAATATTAAAAATTCTAAAAACAAAAAATTTAATGTCTGATTTTAGACCTATATTACATTGTATTGCAGAAAATAGATGATACAAAGTAAGAAATAAACTTTAAAACTTAATACTAACATTAACTACACATACCATAGTAGTATTTGTGTGTGTGTCTTTGTGTGTGTGAATTTATATATATAATAAAATATATGATGATAGTATGTTCTATACATACTTTTAAAAAATTTTCTAAATTCCTAGGAATATTATATTCTTAGAATATATTCATTTTGTCTTTAATTTTCTAAGACCTGTCAAATTTATTGTGTATAACTCAACTTTCTCATTCATTTTACTTTAGTTTTTCTATCTACATTATGGTGATATCGTGCATGATCTCCATGCTACTCACATAAAATCCTGTATATTATTTGGACATGGTGGTATTAATTAACATGTGTCTAGTATTTTTTGAGAAACTATTATTAGATTGTGTCTAAATAGATCATCTTTAATGATTTGCTATCAGTAATTCAAAAATTACAAACCCACTCAGATTTTAACAAATATGTTTTCTTTAAATTTCCAAGGTTTTTGGCTAATTTTTAGTATTTCTGTGTATTGTTTTGGGTAATCATATAATGAATATCAATGAGACAATTTAATATCATCTAATCTGCTGATGTGCTTAAATAGAAAGATATTATGAAATTAGTTATAGCTATATGTTGTTCTCACACCTTAAAACTGTATGCCTCAAAATTTCCCTACTTATATTTTTTGTTACAGTGTCTGGTGCATAATAATAATTCAATAAATGTTTTCTAGTAAATGACTAAACAAAATATTTAAATATGTAATACATTTAATCATTTCCAGTTTCATGATAATGATGCACAGCATTTAGAACTTTTGGAAATACAACCCAATTCACTAGAGATTTGTTAATTGTACAAAAGTAGTGAGATTAAAGGAATTGGCCTTTCAGCTTACATATTACAAGCAAACACATCTAAAAAAAATTTCAATTAACTCTGTGTTAAGGCAAAGTACAGAAAATATGCAGTCCTCTTAATAATGGCATTATATTATTAACAATATTAATCAGATGGATATTGGTATTAAAAGATATAAAAACTCATATTTTGAAGGCTTTGGTTGTAATAAGACTACAATTTTATACTGAAGATTTGTAAAAAAAATTTTATCATTACTTTGAATCAGTATTTAAAATTACTTTTCACTTTGTAACTGTATTTTGTTTTTGTTTTTGTTTTTTCATAATATACAATATTTCCTTGAGGTAACACCTGAAAATTTTATCTTGGAATACAATAATCTGTCTACAATTAATTTTCTATTTAAAAATAAATTCAATGAGAAACAAGATTATATTTCAAAAATACACTAATAGATTTAAATATCTCTATTGCCTCTAAGTATTTTGATACATATTTTGAACCAGGGTAAGACGAAATGAAGCACATATACACACACACAAGTAAACGAGTTTGTCTCTTTTCTTTTTAAAGGATACTGTTAAATTATGAGTACACATCAATTATAATCTCAAAATAGATTTTGCCTTAATAGGTTGTGAGTGTGTTCTTTGACAAATAGTATGAAAACAAAATTATTTCTACTGAATGCCATATTTATTGATAATTGTGCATTATAACTTTAAGGAATGAGTGGTTAAAAAATTGAGTCTCTCTAATTTTTATTCTGAACAGCGACTTACTTGATTACTTACATATGTGATCAAATTAATGTCAAATATATTAATATGAGAAATAAGCAGATTTTGTTTTGTATGAGTTGTGTCAATTTTGTTGATGGCGTATGTCACAGTAGGTAGTTCAAAACATTTAATTAATCTGATTTTTGAAATATCACATATAAGTGTCACATCAAAACAAAATTAGTCTCTGTGAATAGTTCTTTATTTTGTCATTATGTTAGTAAAATGAGAAAGATCAAAGTTTGATGCATATCTTAGCTTCCATTCTTGTTAGGGAATGTTTTTGACCATTTCTCTGCTTCTACTGTACCAGAGAAGCCAACCTAGCTGCTTTCTCTTATGGGTTCTCACAGTTGGTAAGGTAACTTTCTCTTGTTTCAAGGAATTACTGACATGGAGTAGCTTTTCCCTGGAACTTTTCGATATGAAAAATTACTCTGTCTACACCCCTAATTAGCAACCCAGTTTCAAACAAAACCAACAAAAAAGAGCTTTTGATAAAATGAACATTGTTGTCTTTCTTGTGATTTCTCTTCCCCCAAAGATGCTCAATTTATTGTTTTACCTACTCATATTTATTGTCTTTATTATGACTTCTTCTATGCCTATTCAGAATTTCCCCAATGTCAACATTGATTAAAATCCTATCTTCTCAACCTAGTGCTGAAGGACTGTGCTGCTTTTATTTCTTTCTGACATGTTGACACAAGGTATCTTTGATCCCATTGCCAATAAATTTAGCCTATCTAGATGAACAAGATAAAGAGAGATATTTTGTCTCTAGAAAAATAGAGATTACTATAATGAGATAATCTCTCTAATTTCTTCATCTTGCAGTACACTAATGTTCTTCAAAAAGAATAAATCTTTTCTAGATCTGCAGCTAATTTTCTCATAAGAAGCGATCATTTTATTTGAGCTGAAAGAGAGCTTGAGCATAGAAATTCGACTAGTACTAAAACTCAGTATAATTCCATTCTTTCCTCAAAGATACCATAGCTGTTTTTGTTTATTTATTCATTTTTTTTAAATCTTGAGACTGTGCCTCTGGCCTATGAGTCTGTATACATGCAGTAGCAAAAGTACAGGATAGTTGGAGAGCAAGTGAGGTAAGAGATTCAGTAAGATAATATTAAATGGTAGGAGGCTGTGGTAAAAGAAAAGGAAAAAGATAAAAATCTGAATGTCATAGTGATGATTTGATATTGGTTGTATCAACCAGCCCATATTTATTGTTACTCATTTAGAGCCCACTGAATAAGCAATACGGGTTGCTTCCATCTTATTCCAGCATCTTGAATTAAAGTCTACTTTAATTCAAGTATAATCTCTTTTGAATTAAAGTCTACTTTAATTCAAGTATAATTGATCCTAGAGATAGAAGATCTCTTGGATCTATCTCTTGGATCCTAGAGATAGAAGAATGTGAAAAGAGTTGCATAGCGGCAATTAAATACTTTTATCTAGAGGTGACATGCATTATCTTTCTTCAAAAGCCTTTAGTAAAACTAGCCAAGTGACTTTTCTTAACTGTACTTGAGCCTTGGAAGCAGAGTCTGTCATGTGGCACAGAGTGGAATTGTTGGGTAAAATATAGGATGCACAGTTAAATTTTAATTTTACAGAAAAACATAGTTTTAGTATAACAGTATGATATATCAAAAAAACTACACTTTGTGGATTTTTTTGAAATTTAAATTTAATAAGTTGCTAAATTTGGCAGCACTTTCAGAAGTGAGAAGAACTGAATATTTGACAATAACCATTAATGTCTAACACAGTCCATTATTTTCACGAGAAATTATTTGGTTTGATTTCTTTCTGACACATTGAGCACACTCACTTGCTCCCTATGGGAGACCTAAATCCTATACAGTTAGAGTTCAAAATTCCTGGAAAGTAGAAAAGTTTGCCCTTGTCTCTTCACCATGTATGTTTATGTTTGTCTTTGGAACTATGCACTAAGTATAAGACAAAAAATCTGCTCTATATACCCCCAATGTGTAATGGTGGAACATGGAAACACTAGCTGAAAGACATTCCCAGAAAAGGGAAGAATGGGGGTGATACAGTAATCACAGGTTCTCACATCTCACTCAACAAGTAATATGAAGTTCCTTATCTTGGGATAAGAATATTTATTAATTAGTCCCTGATTCTGCTCTCTGCAAGGAACTATCAGGTGCATTTTGTTGTTGTTGTTTGTTTGCTTCTTTGTTTTGACTTCAATTTGTTGAGAATTTATTTCACCCTCAATCCTCCTGTTAAATAGAGGTGAGTCTGCCCTTTTGAGTGCTTCATAATGTTTACAGACATATTCAAATATTGAGGCAAGGACTGTAACATATATATGTGTGTGTGTGTGTGTATATATGTATATACCCAAAAGTACATAAGATGTATGTATGTTTATTGTTTCATTGGTAGTACAATAACATCAAATTTTAGCAAACAACTTTTTGATCTATTTGTCTTTGGTATGCTATTTCTTAGATATAAGAAAGATATACATTTTTCCTCCATTATTCGTGAAGGTGTCTAATAACTTACTGTTGGGTGCATGAAAGCTATCAGAAACGATCTTCTTGGGTTGCAAAGTAACACTCAAAATAATACAAAGTAATGAGAAGTAACACTCAAAACCATAATTTGCAAAAGAGAGGCAAAAATAAACAAAACACAAGAACATTTTGACTTTTCCCAATCAGTTGCTCCATAGCCTCGTGTGTACGTGGTGTATCTTCTAACTTACTGCAGATAAAAGCATTTTTAGGGGGTCTATTTTCCTCAGTCTTACTAAAAAGCAAATTGATTTGGAAATAAAATGACTTTATACCACTTTATAAATAATATAGTATCATATACAGACTTTGCTTAAGAAAATAGGTGAGATCTAATATGTGGAAGTACAAAGTGATAGAGGATTGAAAGTTCCCGTCTTTAAAACATTTACATTTCATCTTTATGAATTGAGAAATCTATCAATATTTTAAAAATTGTTCAGAGGCAGAAAGAACAAAATTTACTACAGATAGCATTTTTCATAAAATGTGTATCTAAAATACCATGGTAACAGTCCTTTTTAAGTAGGTAGCAATAGCAGAAGTTTTTTGCAATTAATTAATTGCATAGACAATTAACCTACTCACCTGAGGAAAATATGACTTTTAGAATTGACTCATTAAGATCGTCATGTTTTTCTGATGGAAATTATGCTACAGAGCTTAAATGTAGTTCTTATGGGACAAGTTTTACTGAATAATTTACTAATAACTATTATGCTTCTATCAAAAATACTCCCTCTGCAATTTAATTTTTCTTATTTTAATATTTCTTCTCAGTTGTACACAAAATGATATCACTGCAGATGTTAGTGGAAAAGACATTATATATGAGCAAGTCAATAAAAATGAAATGTGTTTAAAGTACATCTATAAAGTGTTAACTTCATAGATGCTTTCAAATTATGCAAATAGTATAATTCATAATGTAGAAAAGCCTGAAAAAAATGCCTAAAAAACAAAACAAAAAAGCCATTAGATTTTTTAAGCGGAACTTTTTACCCCCAAAATGTGTCATGAGCCAATTAAAATGTTAATTAGTATTGACTGGACTGGGAAATTTTGTCTAGCTGTCATAGAAACCTAATCTGGAAAATGACAATTACCAGGAAGTCTTATATTTCGCTACACAGCAAGTTTCTGAATTAGCGCATGCTTAAAGAAATATTTTTTCCTAATTGAATACCCTTTATTTCCTTCTCCTGCCTGATTGCCCTGGCCAGAACTTCCAACACTATGTTGAATAGGAGCGGTGAGAGAGGGCATCCCTGTCTTGTGCCAGTTTTCAAAGGGAATGCAGCCAAAAGAACAAAGCTGGAGGCATCACACTACCTGACTTCAAACTATACTACAAGGCTACAGTAACCAAAACAGCATGGTACTGGTACCAAAACAGAGATATAGATCAATGGAACAGAACAGAGCCCTCAGAAATAACACCGCATATCTACAACTATCTGATCTTTGACAAACCTGAGAAAAACGAGCAATGGGGAAAGGATTCCCTATTTAATAAATGGTGCTGGGAAAACTGGCTAGCCATATGTAGAAAGCTGAAACTGGATCCCTTCCTTACACCTTATACAAAAATCAATTCAAGATGGATTAAAGATTTAAACGTTAGACCTAAAACCATAAAAACTCTAGAAGAAAACCTAGGCATTACCATTCAGGACATAGGCGTGGGCAAGGACTTCATGTCCAAAACACCAAAAGCAATGGCAACAAAAGCCAAAATTGACAAATGGGATCTAATTAAACTAAAGAGCTTCTGCACAGCAAAAGAAACTACCATCAGAGTGAATAGGCAACCTACAACATGGGAGAAAATTTTCACAACCTGCTCATCTGACAAAGGGCTAATATCCAGAATCTACAATGAACTCCAACAAATTTACAAGAAAAAAACAAACAACCCCATCAAAAAGTGGGCGAAGGACATGAACAGACACTTCTCAAAAGAAGACATTTATGCAGCCAAAAAACACATGAAAAAATGCTCACCATCACTGGCCGTCAGAGAAATGCAAATCAAAACCACTATGAGATACCATCTCACACCAGTTAGAATGGCAATCATTAAAAAGTCAGGAAACAACAGATGCTGGAGAGGATGTGGAGAAATAGGAACACTTTTACACTGTTGGTGGGACTGTAAACTAGTTCAGCCATTGTGGAAGTCAGTGTGGCGATTCCTCAGGGATCTAGAACTAGAAATACCATTTGACCCAGCCATCCCATTACTGGGTATATACCCAAATGATTATAAATCATGCTGCTATAAAGACACATGCACACGTATGTTTATTGCGGCATTATTCACAATAGCAAAGACTTGGAACCAACCCAAATGTCCAACAGTGATAGACTGGATTAAGAAAATGTGGCACATATACACCATGGAATACTATGCAGCCATAAAAAAGGATGAGTTCACGTCCTTTGTAGGGACATGGATGAAATTGGAAACCATCATTCTCAGTAAACTATCGCAAGAACAAAAAACCAAACACCGCATATTCTCACTCATAGGTGGGAATTGAACAATGAGATCACATGGACACAGGAAGGGGAATATCACACTCTGGGGACTGTTGTGGGGTGGGGGGAGGGGGGAGGGATAGCATTGGGAGATATACCTAATGCTAGATGACGAGTTAGTGGGTGCAGTGCACCAGCATGGCACATGTATTCATATGTAACTAACCTGCACAATGTGCACATGTACCCTAAAACTTAAAGTATAATAAAAAAAAAAAAAAAAAAAGAGAGAGGATACAAAGAGGCACAAGGAAGTCTTTGGGGGTGAAGAATATGATAATTATCTATTTGCTGATGCTTTCATGGGTATATACATATGTCAAAACATAAAATTGTACTCTATAAAATGAGAGGCTTATTGTAAATACATTATACTTCAATAAAACTGTAAAATAATAAAAAAAAAGAATACAAAAAAAAATATTTTTTCAGCCAATATTTAATTTTCACCGTTAGCACTGCTCAAGCCATTTAAAAATTACTGTCGTTTGTAAAATTTATTGTCATAAATTATGAAACTCACACTATCCCTTTATTACTCATGTTGAGTTGGGACTTTAACAAGGTTAATTTTGAGAAAAGATTATGAAAAGTAAGTTCTTATGTTTTTGACAATTATGTCAAATCATTTGCAATTGTAAAGATTTATTGTGTGTTATTTGCCATACCTGAGTGTCTCCCTGAGTTTCTATGTTAGTTTCTTTCCTCTACTGCATCTACAGAGCCATATTTCAGAAATATCAATTACGGTATATTTCTAACATCTGAAAAAGCTATCATCATCTCATTCTTCTTTTCAGAATCACTTGTTAAACTTTGTTTATATACTTTGATTGTTTATATTAGCTTTGCTTATTTATTTATTATTATTATTATTATTATTATTATTATTATTATTTTGAGACAGGGTCTCACTCTGTCACCCAGGCTGGAGTGCAGTGATCTGAACATAGCTCACTGCAGCCTCGACATCCCTGTCTCAAGCAATCCTCCTGCCTTAGCCTACCAAGTAGCTGGGACCACAAGCACACACCACCATGCCCCGCTAATTTTTTGTAGAGACAGGGTTTCGCCTTGTTGCCCAGGCTGGTCTGGAATTCCTGGGCTCAAGCAATCCACCCCCTCAGCCTCTGGGCCTCCCAAAGTGCCGAGATTTCAGGCATGAGCCACTGTGCCCAGCCTTAGCTTTGCATATTTTTAATTAGGGAACATATATAAATTAATATAGTAAACTAATTAATATATGTGAATTAAATTTTTCTCTGAGTATTTGTGTTTTTAATCTCATCAATGCATAGTTAAGAATGCAAGTTAGCACTTTGAGAGACCCAGGATGGGCAAATCACTTGAGGCCAGGAGTTTCAAACCCTGTTCTACTAAAAATACAAAAATTAGCTGGGCATGGTGGTGTGCCTGTAGTCCCAGCTACTCAGGAGGCTGAAGCAAGAGAATTGCTTGAACCAGGCAGGCGGGCGAGATGGGACCACTGCCCCACTACAGCCAGGGCGACAGGAGACTCCTGAAAAAAAAAAAGAAGAATGTAAGTCAATCTTTAAAATTTTTACATAAATGTTTCAAGCTCATTTTAAAGTTTATTTCTGTGCATTTTATTATTTTTGTTTTTTTAAGTGTAATTTTATTTCTATATATTTTCTAAACAAAATAATTGATTTTCATATATTAATTCTCTCTAGCCTCTTTGGTAAATGTTTTCATTTTTTTGTAAAATTTTCAATATCCTCAGGTTTTCCAATGATACATTTCCTTCTGTATATACTATCTGTAAATAACAAAACCTTTCAACTGCTTTACAATTTTATTCACTTTACTAGTTTTTATTAGTAAATGCAGTAATAAATTTCCACAAATTTAGTGGCTTAAATAAGCAAAACAAAATTTATTTTCTTACAATTCTGAAGGTCAAACATTCAAAATGTTCTCATTGGGCCAAACTAAGGTGTTGCCAGCTGTGTGTTCCATTTTTGGGAACTCTAGGAAATAATTCATCTTCTCGTCTTTTTTTTTTTTTTTTTTTTTTTTTTTTTGAGACGGAGTCTCGCTGTCGCCCAGGCTGGAGTGCAGTGGCGCAATCTCGGCTCACTGCAGGCTCCGCCCCCTGGGGTTCACGCCATTCTCCTGCCTCAGCCTCCCGAGTAGCTGGGACTACAGGCGCCCGCCACCTCGCCCGGCTAATTTTTTGTATTTTTAGTAGAGACGGGGTTTCACCGTGTTAGCCAGGATGGTCTCGATCTCCTGACCTCGTGATCCGCCCGCCTCGGCCTCCCAAAGTGCTGGGATTACAGGCGTGAGCCACCGCGCCCGGCCGTCATCTTCTCGTCTTCTCCGTCTTCCAGAGACTGCCCAGTTCCTTGGCTCATTGTTAGCATCACTCTGACACTAGTTATTCTGCCCCCTTCTTTCACATTAAAAAAAAAACAAAAGCAAAAAGACTTCCAATTGCAATGACACGTCAGGATAATCTAGAATAATATCATTATTTTAAGGTCAGTAAAATATCAAACTTATTTGTGTTTTTAGCCTTACATCTTCTTGCTATGTACATGCTATAACATATTCATTTTTTTCAGAGATTAGACTATAAACGTTTTTGTGGGGCCATTGTTCTGTCTACCATAATCACTTATTATTTTCCCTTGTCTCTGTTGTTAGCTAAATCCAATTAATGCTAAAAATCAGGTGTGAAGGGGGTACTTCCTATTTTATTATATATATTATATATTAACATATAATATATAATATTTACCTGTTATATTGTACAGTCTATGAGTTTGGACAAATGCATAATGCATATTATACATTTATATGCATATTAAAATGCAAGGAAATATTGTATTCTAATTTTATTAGGAATTATATATACAAACTAGATATTTAATTTTAACCAATAAAACTTCAGTATCTATGAAGATATTAATTTATTTGTTCTTTTAGTCTCCTGATATGAAAGCTATATTGCTAGATTTTCTAATATAGTAATATCTCCTAATTAGCATTTTATTCCAAGCAAGAAACCATTTTGGCCTGGTGTAATGCTGTTTTAAAGATCTGATTTATGTTTTCTTATTTTTATTTGAGGTTTGTTTTATTAACATTTGTAGATTTTCTTGGTCTATTATTTTTTAGGACTATATTTACTAGTTTCATATCAATATTTACTTATTTTTGAGATAGAGTAAGAAACATTGTATTCTATTCTCCATACTCACGTAGCTGTTGCTATTAGTGTAGCATTGAGTTAGTTTCTTAAATATATGGTAGAATTCACCTGTAAAATAATTTGGGCTTAGTGCCATTTGAAGATTTTAAAATCTCTTTTGTGTTATTTTGTTTGATTTATATTCAATTATTTAATCAATTTCTTCAAGATTTTCAAATTATCAACAAATTTATGAAATGAATTAACTATAATATATATGTTTCTCAGTGCCACACAATCAACAACAGTTTCATCTGAGTATCTGAATTTCTGTATGTGATGTCAAAACACTTAAAATTTTGAACACCTGCCAATAACTCTGTGTCAAGGTTCTACATAATATCAGTATTCTGTTCTACTCAGAGAGACTGTACCTGGTGAGTATAGTTGTCTTTTATTATAATCAATAATAGATTTGGGTTGTCTTTTTATTTCAGATACTTAGAGGTAATCTTAACATTCTTTGACATGTATGAATTAAGTCTTAAAAGTTGCTAAAATATTAAATAGAATAAAATCTCAACAGATGATGAGATTGCTAATGTATAACTGTTAATATAATAAAAACACTAAACCAGAATTATTATTGTTAGTGAAGAGAAGACATTCTAGTTAGACATGATATTTTTGAGCAGAGTTGTAAAAATAATCTCATAATGGCTTTTTTCTAGAGCTAATGCTTTTCCATAGCAGCAAAAAATTCAAGTGGATTTTCAGGAACACCAGAGTTATCCATCACATATAAAATTGTGGTAATTTGGGTGGTATTATAAAACCTCACTGTAAAGCTGTTTGTTGAAATAATACATCCCTCTCTGGCTAGTTTGAAGAAGGTAGAGGCTAAAACTGATTTCTTGTTTCATGAAGGCAAATTCATTGCACCAAGTTGTTATTGATTGGTTGAACAGTTTTAAAATGACCTCAAGTGAATATTTGCTAACATGCTATGGCAAAACAATGTTTTCCTAATTTAGTGGCACATACGTATTTTCAGTCATCACGTTAGTTGCTTTAGGAGAAACCATCAAGTATTGTCCAGATCTTTACCCTGTTTTTGATTTTCTTTGTATTAAAGGCTTCTGTATATGAGGTTTTGGTAGATTTTGATTTTCAGCTTATGCATCCATCAGCACAATTTCATGCTTTTTTTTAAAGTAGAGTGTATATTTTAGAACAGTTGATTTTCCCAGAAAAATTCAGAGAATGGTACAGAGATTTCCCATATACCAACTGCCCCCATATATGCATAGACTTCCCCATTATCCCCCACCAGAATGGTACATTTTTTACAATTGACAAACCTACATTAACACATTATTGGTACTCAAAGTCCATGGTTTACATTAAGGTTCACTTATTTTGTTGTACATTCTATGTACAAATGTACAATGACATATATGCACCATTATAGTATTATACAGAGTAATTTTACTGCTCCAATAATCTTCTGTGCTTGCCTGTTCTTTCTTCACTCCTACCAATCTCTGAAAACTACAATTCCTTTTCACTGTTGCTATAATTCTGACTTTTTCAGAATGTCATACAGTTACAATCATACACCATATAGCTTTTCAGATTGGCTTCTTTCATTTTATAATAGGCATTTAGGTTTCCTCCATGCCTTGAAAACTCATTTATTTTTAGTGTTGAATAACAATCCATCTCCAGATGTACTGCAGTTTATTTGTCCATTTACCTACTGAAGGACATTGGTTGCATCTAAGATTTGGCAATTATGAATAAAGCTGCTAAACATCTGTATGCAGGAAGCTTTCACCTCCTTTGAGTAAAGACTAAGTGGCATAATTGCTGAATCAAATACGAAGAGAATGTTTGGTTTTGTAAGAAAATGCCAAATTGTTTTCCAAGGTGGCTGTATCATTTTGCATTTCCACCAGCAATGAATGAGAGTTCCTATTGTTCAACATACTCACCAGCGTTTATTGTTACTCTTCTAGATTTTGGACATTTCCATAGGGATTTGGTAGTAATTAACTTCGTGCATTTTCCTGCTTTCCAGTTTTCTTTTCACATGCTTGTCATCTGTAAATCTTTTTTGGTGAGGGGGCTATTGAGGTCTTTTGCTCATTTTGCAGTTTGTTTGTTTGTCTTCTTATTCTTGAGGTTTAAGGGTTCTTCATATGTTTTGGAGAATAGTTCTTTAATAGATATGTATTTTACAAACATTCTTTCCCAATTTTTGGCTTATCTTTATTCTCTTAATATGTCTTTTGCAAAGTGGAAATTTTTACTTTCACTGAAATTAACTTATCAATTATTTCTGTCATGGATGGTGCCTTTGGTGTCATACCTAAAAAGTAATTGCAAAACAGAAGGTCAATTATATTTTATACTGTTATCATCTAGGATTTTTTAGTTTTGTGTTTCACATTTAGGTCTAGAATCCATTTTGAGTTAAAGATCTGCCATTTGTGACAACATGGATTTCACTCAGGGGAATTCTGTGAGATAAACTTTTTTAGATTTCACCTCTGAGTGATAACACGTGACATTTGTCCTTCATTGCTTGACTTATTCCATTTAACATAATGTTCTCTAGGTTCATCCATGTTGTCACAAATGGCAGAATTTCATTCTTTTTTATGGAAGAATAGTATTTCATTGTGTATATATGCCACATTTTAAAATCTATTCATCCATTAATGGACACATAGATTGATTTCGTATCTTGGCAATTGTGAATAGTGCTGCAATAAATATGGGAATGCTAATATCTCTTTGATATATTGATTACTATATTATATATGTATACACACACACACACACACACACACACACACACACACACTCAGTAGTGGGATTGTTGGATCACATGATAGTTCCTTTTTTAGTTTTATGAAGAGTCTCCACACTGTTGACCATAGTGGCTCTACTAATTTACATCCTCACCAACAGCATATGAGAGTTCACCTTTTTCCATATCCTCATGTACATTTGATTTTTTAAAAATCTTTTTGATTATAGCTATTCTAACTGGATGAGGTGATATCTTTTTGTGGTAATAATTTTCATTTCTTTGATTATTGATGTTGACATTTTATCATATACTTGTGGCCATTTGTATGTTATTTTTGAAAAATGTCTATTCAGATCTTTTGCCCATTTCTTTATCAGAGTGTTATTTTTTTATATTGAGTTGTTTTGGTTCTTTATATAGTTTGGATATTAACCCTTTTACAGTTGCGTAGCTTGTGATTACTTTCTCTCGTTCTGTAGGTTGTCTCTACACTGTTGATTGTTTCTTGCTGTTCAGGAGCATTTTAGTTTCATATAATACCATTTTTCTATTTTTGTTTGCTTTGCCTGTGCTTTTGAGGGTTTAATCCAAAAAATCAATATCAATTGACTTGTTTATTGCTACCACGTAGGAAAGAAATAGACTTTTGTATATTTACCTTTTATTCAGAAAACCTGGTATGTTTACTTATTAGTTTGAGGTGTTTTTTAGTGTTGATTCTTCAGGATTTTCTTCAAAGATGATTATGTCATCTGTGAACAAAGACACTTTTAATTTTTTTCTTTCCAGTTTGTATACCTTTTACTTCTGTCTTGTCTTGCTGTGCTAGCTAGGAATTCCAGCATAATATTGAAAAGCAGTGGTGAGAGGGAACATCCTTCCCTTTATCTCATCTTCTTGGGAAAGCTTCAAGTTTGTCACCATTGAGTATGATGTTAGCTGTGGAATTTTGTAGAAATGCTTTGTTAAGTTGAGGAAGTTCACTTCTATTTCTATAATACTGAGAATTTTTATCATGGATAGATATTGGACTTTGATCTGAATTATATAAAAATATAATTCACTTATTCATCTACTTATAGATATTTTTATGCAATAATACTTTAAGAATTTTTTCTTTGTACACATTCTACCCCTTAAGCATTAACTTTAAATTAATATTTATTTATTTATTCTGGTGAGTATACTTTGCATGACAATTTCATATTTCTCAAATTAAGAAAAGTATTCTTTGATTACATATAATTAAGTTTCTTCTAGCCCACAATGTGTCCCAATGATTGTACATCCTGGTCTTTTTTATTAAAGGAAACTAAATTTTTTAAATGTAGAAATGACCTTTTACTCTACTTTTTAAGGAAATTCTCATTTTAAAAGATTTTATAAATTTTCTTAGTTCCAGGAATTTTTTTATTTCCATCTATTTCTACATTTGCAATCAAATTTTACAATAATTTAACAAGACTCTTTTATAAATTAATATAACTGGAAATTAAAATTAAGAAGTACAGTAAGGTCAACATGAATGAATTTAGACTAATGAGTGTGTATACATAAATATATATATCATAAATATATATAAATATATGTTTATATATTTCTGATATCTATATCTATATATCTATAGATAGATATATATAGATATCCACAGATCTATATCTATATATAGATATATATAGATATAGATCTATCTATATAGATATAGATAGATATAGATATAGATAGATATATATCTATATCTATCTATATCTATATCTATATCTATCTATATCTATATATATAGATAGATATAGATATATATATATAGATATATAGAAATAGATATCAGAAAATATACAATATACAATCTATTCAGCCCGGTGCAATACTTAGGTAAATTTACAACTACAAGCTAATAAATGAGTCTCAACAGATACTTATCAATCAATAGTGTATAAATTCCCTGACTGCAAACACAAATATACACCTCAATTAAAAAAAAACTTTAAACATCTATATGTATAAAAATTTATAAACTTAAATTACAATATTTCTCAGTAACAGCTGATTTACATAAGAAATTTTAATGGAAATTGGAAAATATTTTCAATGAATGGGCTATGAAATCCTACATAAAAACTTGTAGAAGATAGAAAAGTAAGTATTTAGAGGGAAATTTATAGCCTTAAGTGCACATATTAGATAAGAAGAAAATTAAAATTAATGAGCTAAAGTCAATTTTGAAAAAGTGTAATAGAAAAATGAACAAAAGTAGAAGAAAAAGTAAAAATTATTAAAAAATTAAATAAAAATCAAAGAAACAAGATTTAAATTATTACCCTTGAAGTTAATAGATTAGAAAAACCACAATGATGGTACATAAAAAGAAATAAGCAATATTAGAAATGAAGTATGGGCCATAATTAAAGATAAAAATAGAAATAAAAAATTATAAATTATTCCAATTAATTAATAAACTCAGAAAAGGACAATGTCATAGAAATTACAGAAAATGTCACAGCAAAATATTTATTGTGAAACATTTTGAGAACAATATCTTAATAGTTTTATAGCTATTTAATAAATTTAATTAGTTATCAAAATGCTAATCTGTGACCTAGGACCTAAAATTACATTAACATTTTGAATAATATTTAATTTATGTGAAAAGTTGATCTTCCAGGGTTGAAATCAACCATAGATTGCTTATGTACTGGAAAGGTATGGTGTTGTTTAATATTTAATTCATTTAGTTTTAAGTTTTTTTGAGTCCTAGTCAACATGATTGATTTTAGATATATTTTTAAAAATCATCTGACTTATTATTGGCAAATGAAATGATGGTTATCAGTAAAGTTCCACAGTCTAGTTTTTAAAAAAAAGCATGAAATTGACCCTTCATTATTCTTTAGGTTAAACTTAATTTCGAAGTAGAATAAGAAAGGACACTCCTTCTAAGTTATAGAGAAGAGAGAAAAAATTCACTGCCATCTGTTTAATGATACTAGCCATGATCACTTCACTCCCTCATGTGTAACGAGGGCTATAAAATAGTTATGCTGGCTAATGCACAGATGATCTCTCCTTAGATGAGTGATTTCCAATTCAATAATGTGCAAAATTACTTTCTTCATAATGAGAATATAAAACATCCATTAAATTTATGCCATATAGCAAGTGCCTAAGTGACTGGATCAAAAGAAAGCATTGTACATAAAGATTTCAGAAAGAAAATAACAATTTCAATTACATATGTATATATATATAGAGAGAGAGAATTTAGCTTACTATATTTATATGTAGAAATTCAAAACAAAAATGTATTGAAGGATTTCTTTGATCTTCAGTAATAATTATTTGATTCTATTTTGTTAAGAATGTTGACATTTCTCTATTGGAATGACATCTGTCCTTTAGGATTCTTGTTGTGGTAAGCCCAGGTAGTGATGTGGACAGGAGAGTATCAATGTTCCTGAGGAAAAATGAGCTTTAGATTCTCTTTTAAATCCTTTTGTGGTGCAGTTGACCACAAATTTTGGCAGGTGATGAACCTGCCAAAATGACTTATCATGTGTTCAATGTATGATAGTCACTGTTACTGTTGGTTGCTTTGCTCCTGAAAGAGGACTGTGTGTCTTCATCTTTTAATTGATAAAACATTTTATTTAGTGATTATGAAGATGAAATTATCAGTGCTTACTTAACTACTTTAATCACTAATTTATTTTATGTTGTGGTATTAGAGTAATATGTGTGAAATATTATAACTAGTTTCTAATTACTTTAATTCTCTCTGAAAACCTTATCAATAAGATATTTTAAATGTCTTCTAGAAATAAACATAAATTTTATATATTTTTTGTGAAGTGTAAGGTTCAAATCATTGTTCTTCCAGGAATTGTATATTTTCCTTAAATGTTGGAAATAAAGGGTCAGGATGAATTTTTATATATATATAACATATTGTAGAAGATATGTATTTTATTCACCTAAAACTATTATTTATAGCAACATATAAAACTTATCAAATAAGCATTTTACATTAAATGATATTCTAGAGTTACTCTATATGTTGGAGAGGAAATGGAACTATTTGATATAGCAAGATACAGGATAATAAAATTTTACAAGACATGACTGAAGCATTTGCATAAGTCATAAAGAAAGTCCACACTAAAAATTGTACATTTCACCACTTTTCACACTTGAGGAAATCACTTTTCACGAATGAAGATGTATGGAATAATAGTCCAGCTAGACCCAATATAGCAATATAAAACATCGTTTCTGAGGGGTTAGGACTCTACAGTGAAATTATAAAACATAATGTTTCTGTTTTAAGTAAAAATTTATGATACAATATTTCTTATGTTTCTTTAGTCATTTGTTTTTATTGTCATCAAACTCAAGCTTAAAAACCAAGTAGGTTTTTAAGACAATTTTTAAAAGTACTAATAATGTTGAAAATGTCTACAAGTTTATAAATAATAAAACATAATAATGATATTTTTCTGTTAGATATCTGTTTGACTCTGCAAAGTATATTCTCAAATATTATCCTATATTATGTCATCAGAATGTACATATTAAACTCAAAATTTTAAAATGTATATGTTCAGATTCTATTTTTATCAAAATATCCATCAGAGAGGCTAACTTAAGTAAAAGAAAAATAAACTAGTATGAAAGAAATCAAATTTATGAAATTGAATTTTCTAAAATCATGGTCAGAAATATTGTTTGTACAACCTCATCTGCACCTGAAGAAAAGATAATTTTAAATAACTAAATATTTGATCAACATTTATTGGGTGTCTGCTAATACCATAAAATATATGTTTGTAAAAAAAATTTTATAGAAAGAGTATCAATACTTTTTCACATATGTACTTTTCAGTGTGTTGAAAGCACAAAAGGAATTGTAAACAAATATATTTATCCTGTAACATAGCAATTTCCACCAATATTTTTGTCTTTTATTTCTTTCCATGAAAAATTTAATTATTAATGTTGTTTGTCTCTACAACTATTGAAATCCTATGTATAAACACACTTAATAATCTGGAAAATTTATAATTTTAATGGAATGGTTAAAACTATTTCACAAACAGCACCATTTAATAATAGTTTTAACTGAACAATCATTATAATTAAAATGTAAAAGTCATATAAATGAAATATGTAATATTTGTAAATGTAATGCATTATTATATAATATAATACAATGTATATTTAGGTAAACTTACTACAATGTGATATGTTAAATGTATATAAATGTTATATACAAATATATGAATAAATATTGCCCATGTCATCCAAGTTGCTAAACTAGGAAATTAATATAATAAATGTGTGATGGCAAACAATTGGAATAGTTATACCAAAACTACAATATTCTTGAATTGGAAATGTTCTGTCATTTTGACATAAATTTATAAAGAAATTACTCTGGAATATGTTCACTTTGATGATATCGATCACAAAATAAAAAATGAAAACAATTTGTCCTTTAATTTCCATCATCTTAAATATAAATCTTATAGCAAATAAATTCTGACAAATTTATTTTGAAATTATAAAATGATTAAAATGTAACTGATTCAAATATTGTTCCATATTTTAGCAAACATCAAATAAATATATATATACACATAGACAGATACACATAATCATATATAATCTATATCTTTAATAGATTAGAAATTATATTTTACAGTCATTTTCTTTATCATCATACTTCACATTTGCCAATAATTATTTGATCATATTCACATTTGACAGTTTATGAAAATTCATATAATGTGAAAGTAAGAAATGTTAAAAAATTAAATTAATACTCATTATTACAAGATGAATAATATTCAGTCCATTACTAGAAATATGTAATGTGAAGCATTAATTTGGAACTTTATATAAGTATTTTCTAATATGTAGGAAAACAAGTCTGAATAATGTTGAGATAGTAGTTTGAAAACAAACAAATTTAATGGAAATTGCTCTGCCAAATTAAGTCATGCTGAAAAAGGTTAACTATAATCTCTAATTGTAATTAAACAACACAAAATGTTGTTATCATCTGTGAAAATAACATTATGTAATTTATGGAAATTACTTTACAACTTTTAACTCTAAAATAAGAAATCTGAAGAGATTTCATCATATGAAAGGACCAGGCTTATTTTTTAAATCTACCTGGGGAGAAAACTGATCTTCAATGATCAAAGACATTTTCTAAAAATATAAGTCCAGCATCTTTTAAAGTTTGCCTCATTAAAACTCAGTAATGAAAATGGAAATGTATAAAACTCAAATAAATAATGAAAGAATAAAAAAGTTAGTATGCTGAAATGCAAAAAAAATTCTTTTCTTTTTGTTTTATGGGGAAGTTGTACAATTGCTTCAGTAACTAAATATTTACAAATAATTTAAATATCTTATAATAAATTTGTAGTGAAATATTCAAAACAAAATTAGGACCATTATTCTAATTCACTGTGGTGACAAAAATAAATAAAATATTCTGTGACCTTGGGCCAGTCTTCTTTTCTAAGTTTATATGTTCCTTCATCTGTGAAATATATCTGAGTCAAGAGGTCTGGTCATATACTCTCTAATTACTGGGTTTTATAAACTAATGGTGAATTTACTGTCACTGATTAATTGACCAGACAGCTGGTAATCACACTCAGGAACCCCCACTAATTTAAATTCAGACTTTTGGTGAACTAATTCTGTTTTAACTTTAAAGTTGTCTGTGTGTGTGTGTGTGTGTGTGTGTGTGTGTGTGTGTAGTCAAGGTACTCTAGAAAATATCTGTACTTATTGAATTCTAAACACTAAAATTAATGCCACATTGTTTCTTTATGTTTACATTTCATATTATGGAACATGACCACACAGTTCATCCACATAATTAACAAGAAAAGCAGAATATAGTCAAAACTGATGAGTTACAGGAAATGGTTCATCTAGTTCATTAAAATGCAGTAGAAGTTATTCATCACTCTCAGTTATAATCAAAAGTTGAAGATACATTTCCAATAGATTCTGAAGGTCTACTTGTCCTAACTTAAGTAGTTTATATAACTTAATATTGTATCACACAAATGAAATTAGAACAAATATAACAAACGGCATGCTAAAAACTAAATGCATATATTAATGAATATATATTATAAAATAAAATACAGTAGAGAGGCTATCTTTCATCTTTGTAAACACTGGAGACTCATGCTGAGGAAGAATGACAAACTCCAGAAATTCTATTTTTCTTCTTTCTTTTAGAACAACTATACTCTTCCTGAATAACAAATCAGTATTAGGGTCTTTTTAATGATCTGTAAAAGAAATGGTAAGAAAACATAGAGCACTTCTTTTTGTCTTGAGGAAAAATGCTTGTGCAGTTATTTGAGTTGTGAGCTGCATTAGCTGAATTTGTTTGCTTATTTTTGTATGTTTATTCAGATTCTGATTTTGGCAGATATATTCCAGAAAGTGTATAGCCAGTGTTACTTACAGGTAAAAACTTGGTACTCTTTGTTGTCGATAATAAAATTGGAGGCTTCAAGTGAAAATTAAAATTTTGGAAAACATATATGGCATTGTTTGCTGGAAAGTCTACCGATTCTTGTATGTTTTAAAATGAGATCATCAGTGATTTCAACAAATATGATCATTTTATATTGAATTATGATATATGTCAGCATTTTTCTTCAATATAAAACACACATATTTATTATTCAATAAAATTATTGCTGCTATATGTATAAGTCAGTGAACTAATATTTTCCAAATGATGAATGCATGATGTTGAACAATAGAACTTATGTTAAAGGCCATTAAAAGTGCAAGATAAACCAATGGGTTGTAAATTAATAGATAATACAAATTTAATCAATATAGTTTCAGATTCTATAATAACCACTAATAAATGACCACTTCCCTAATTGGGTATAGTATCAAAGTATATCCACAATTATCTGGAAAGGCTACTAATATAATCTATACTTTTCTTACTACGTAACTGTGTAACCAGATGTTCTTTATATACTCAACCAAAAAAAAATTACAACAAATTTAATACGCTTACATGAAAATATAGTGGTTGTCTATTAAACTAGATATTAAAAGATTGGTTAAAAAAAGAAAGTAAGAAAGAAGGTAAAGTATTATGAGTCTTCCTATCTTTTGGTTTTGGAAAATAGATTTATTTTTCAATTAAATATGTGATATACTTATTCATATTTGAATTTATACACATGTATATATATAAAATGCATCTATTATTGGTGTTTAAAATAAATGAATATATTGATGTTTTAAACTTTGAAAATATATTCATTTTCATGTCTAATGTAGTAATAGTAAGTGCTTATAAATATAACCCAAATATAAACTCACTGGGGTTCTGAATATATTTTGAGTGTAAAGGGACATATAATCAAACAGTTTTGAGAATAGATGAAATAGATAAAGCTACAGTGAAGTCACTATCTCAGAAAAATAATGTATACACACATATGTGATTATCTATATGAATAAAAGTTCTAAATAGTGCATAAAAGTGTTTGAAAGAAAGAAAGAAAAGAGAGGCAGGAAGGATGGGCAGAGAAAAGGGCCAGTTTCACAATGATATTTTTTTAATGTAAAAATAAATGCATAAAAAAATTCTTGTTAAGAGACAAAACCCTTGAACATTTCTGTAGCCATCTGTCAATAGTAAACAAAAAAGTCTTATCTAAAACAAATTCATTGCTTTATGTTTTCTTTTATTTTTTCCCAGCTTTATTAAGGTATAATTATCAAAAAAGCACATATTTTTAGGTGTACAATGTGATGCTCTGATATATGTGTACAGTATGAAATAATACAATCCAGATAATTTACATATCCATTATCTCGCATACTTACTTTTTTTCTGTTGATAACATTTAAGATCTATTCTCAGCAATTTTTAACTATATATACATAATTGTTAACTATATATTCACTACGCTGTAAAACAGATCTTCAGAGCTTATTCATGTTGCTTTGTGAAACTTTGTAACCTATGACCAACATCTCCCTCCCAGCCCCTCAACTCCTGGTGACCACCAATCTACAACGCATATATAAGTTTAAGTTTTTTAGATTCCACGTATAAGTGACATCAAGGATTATTTGCCTCCCTGTGCCTGACTTATTTCCCTTGGCATAATGTCATCCAGGTTCAACCATGTTGTCACAAATGCCAGGATGTTCTACTTCTTCTTCTTTTTTTTTTTTTATTACACTTTAAGTTTTAGGGTACATGTGCACATTGTGCAGGTTAGTTACATATGTATACATGTGCCATGCTGGTGCGCTGCACCCACTAACTCGTCATCTAGCATTAGGTATATCTCCCAATGCTATCCCTCCCCCCTCCCCCCACCCCACCACAGTCCCCAGAGTGTGATATTCCCCTTCCTGTGTCCATGTGATCTCATTGTTCAATTCCCACCTATGAGTGAGAATATGCGGTGTTTGGTTTTTTGTTCTTGCAATAGTTTACTGAGAATGATGATTTCCAATTTCATCCATGTCCCTACAAAGGACATGAACTCATCATTTTCATGGCTGCATAGTATTCCATGGTGTATATGTGCCACATTTTCTTAATCCAGTCTGTCGTTGTTGGGCATTTGGCTTGGTTCCAAGTCTTTGCTATTGTGAATAATGCCGCAATAAACATACGTGTTCATGTGTCTTTATAGCAGCATGATTTATAGTCCTTTGGGTATATACCCAGTAATGGGATGGCTGGGTCAAACGGTATTTCTAGTTCTAGATCCCTGAGGAATCGCCACACTGACTTGCACAATGGTTGAACTAGTTTACAGTCCCACCAACAGTGTAAAAGTGTTCCTATTTCTCCACATCCTCTCCAGCACCTGTTGTTTCCTGACTTTTTAATGATTGCCGTTCTAACTGGTGTGAGATGGTATCTCATTGTGGTTTTGATTTGCATTTCTCTGATGGCCAGTGATGGTGAGCATTTTTTCATGTGTTTTTTGGCTGCATAAATGTCTTCTTTTGAGAAGTGTCTGTTCATGTCCTTCACCCACTTTTTGATGGGGTTGTTTGTTTTCTTCTTGTAAATTTGTTGGAGTTCATTGTAGATTGTGGATATTAGCCCTTTGTCAGATGAGTAGGTTGCGAAAATTTTCTCCCATTTTGTAGGTTGCCTGTTCACTCTGATGGTAGTTTCTTTTGCTGTGCAGAAGCTCTTTAGTTTAATTAGATCCCATTTGTCAATTTTGTCTTTTGTTGCCATTGCTTTTGGTGTTTTGGACATGAAGTCCTTGCCCACGCCTATGTCCTGAATGGTAATGCCTAGGTTTTCTTCTAGGGTTTTTATGGTTTTAGGTCTAATGTTTAAATCTTTAATCCATCTTGAATTGATTTTTGTATAAGGTGTAAGGAAGGGATCCAGTTTCAGCTTTCTACATATGGCTAGCCAGTTTTCCCAGCACCATTTATTAAATAGGGAATCATTGCCCCATTGCTTGTTTTTCTCAGGTTTGTCAAAGATCAGATAGTTGTAGATATGCGGCGTTATTTCTGAGGGCTCTGTTCTGTTCCATTGATCTATAGCTCTGTTTTGGTACCAGTACCATGCTGTTTTGGTTACTGTAGCCTTGTAGTATAGTTTGAAGTCAGGTAGTGTGATGCCTCCAGCTTTCTTCTTTTGGCTTAGGATTGACTTGGTAATGCGGGCTCTTTTTTGGTTCCATATGAAGTTTAAAGTAGTTTTTTCCAATTCTGTGAAGAAAGTCGTTGGTAGCTTGATGGGGATGGCATTGAATCTGTAAATTACCTTGGGCAGTATGGCCATTTTCATGATATTGATTCTTCCTGCCCATGAGCATGGAATGTTCTTCCATTTGTTTGTATCCTCTTTTATTTCCTTGAGCAGTGGTGTGTAGTTCTCCTTGGAGAGGTCCTTCA
This sequence comes from Homo sapiens, assembly GCF_000001405.40. NCBI lineage: Eukaryota > Metazoa > Chordata > Mammalia > Primates > Hominidae > Homo > Homo sapiens. Next base: position 43,374,579 of record NC_000014.9, on the reverse strand, counting down.
CATCCCTTGTAAGTTGGATTCCTAGGTATTTTATTCTCTTTGAAGCAATTGTGAATGGGAGTTCACTCATGATTTGGCTCTCTGTTTGTCTGTTGTTGGTGTATAAGAATGCTTGTGATTTTTTACATTGATTTTGTATCCTGAGACTTTGCTGAAGTTGCTTATCAGCTTCAGGAGATTTTGGGCTGAGACAGTGGGGTTTTCTAGATATACAATCATGTTGTCTGCAAACAGGGACAATTTGACTTCCTCTTTTCCTAATTGAATACCCTTTATTTCCTTCTCCTGCCTAATTGCCCTGGCCAGAACTTCCAACACTATGTTGACTAGGACTGGTGAGAGAGGGCATCCCTGTCTTGTGTCAGTTTTCAAAGGGAATGCTTCCAGTTTTTGCCCATTCAGTATGATATTGGCTGTGGGTTTGTCATAGATAGCTCTTATTATTTTGAAATACGTCCCATCGATACCTAATTTATTGAGAGTTTTTAGCATGAAGGGTTGTTGAATTTTGTCAAAGGCTTTTTCTGCATCTATTGAGATAATCATGTGGTTTTTGTCTTTGGCTCTGTTTATATGCTGGATTACATTGATTGATTTGCATATATTGAACCAGCCTTGCATCCCAGGGATGAAGCCCACTTGTTCATGGTGGATAAGCTTTTTGATGTGCTGCTGGATTCGTTTTGCCAGTATTTTATTGAGGATTTTTGCATCAATGTTCATCAAGGATATTGGTCTAAAATTCTCTTTTTTTGGTTGTGTCTCTGCCCGGCTTTGGTATCAGAATGATGCTGTCCTCATAAAATGAGTTAGGGAGGATTCCCTCTTTTTGTATTGATTGGAATAGTTTCAGAAGGAATGGTACCAGTTCCTCCTTGTACCTCTTCTAGAATTCGGCTGTGAATCCATCTGGTCCTGGACTCTTTTTGGTTGGTAAACTATTGATTATTGCCACAATTTCAGCTCCTGTTATTGGTCTATTCAGAGATTCAACTTCTTCCTGGTTTAGTCTTGGGAGGGTGTATGTGTCGAGGAATTTATCCATTTCTTCTAGATTTTCTAGTTTATTTGCGTAGAGGTGTTTGTAGTATTCTCTGATGGTAGTTTGTATTTCTGTGGGATCGGTGGTGATATCCCCTTTATCATTTTTTATTGTGTCTATTTGATTCTTCTCTCTTTTTTTCTTTATTAGTCTTGCTAGCGGTCTATCAATTTTGTTGATCCTTTCAAAAAACCAGCTCCTGGATTCATTGATTTTTTGAAGGGTTTTTTGTGTCTCTATTTCCTTCAGTTCTGCTCTGATTTTAGTTATTTCTTGCCTTCTGCTAGCTTTTGAATGTGTTTGCTCTTGCTTTTCTAGTTCTTTTAATTGTGATATTAGGGTGTCAATTTTTGATCTTTCCTGCTTTCTCTTGTGGGCATTTAGTGCTATAAATTTCCCTCTGCACACTGCTTTGAATGCGTCCCAGAGATTCTGGTATGTTGTGTCTTTGTTCTCGTTGGTTTCAAAGAACATCTTTATTTCTGCCTTCATTTCATAATGTACCCAGTAGTCATTCAGGAGCAGGTTGTTCGGTTTCCATGTAGTTGAGCGGCTTTGAGTGAGATTCTTAATCCTGAGTTCTAGTTTGATTGCACTGTGGTCTGAGAGATAGTTTGTTATAATTTCTGTTCTTTTACATTTGCTGAGGAGAGCTTTACTTCCAAGTATGTGGTCAATTTTGGAATAGGTGTGGTGTGGTGCTGAAAAAAATGTATATTCTGTTGATTTGGGGTGGAGAGTTCTGTAGATGTCTATTAGGTCTGCTTGGTGCAGAGCTGAGTTCAATTCCTGGGTATCCTTGTTGACTTTCTGTCTCGTTGATCTGTCTAATGTTGACAGTGGGGTGTTAAAGTCTCCCATTATTAATGTGTGGGAGTCTAAGTCTCTTTGTAGGTCACTCAGGACTTGCTTTATGAATCTTGGTGCTCCTGTATTGGGTGCATATATATTTAGGATAGTTAGCTCTTCTTGTTGAATTGATCCCTTTACCATTATGTAATGGCCTTCTTTGTCTCTTTTGATCTTTGTTGGTTTAAAGTCTGTTTTATCAGAAACTAGGATTGCAACCCCTGCCTTTTTTTGTTTTCCATTTGCTTGGTAGATCTTCCTCCATCCTTTTATTTTGAGCCTATTTGTGTCTCTGCACGTGAGATGGGTTTCCTGAATACAGCACACTGATGGGTCTTGACTCTTTATCCAATTTGCCAGTCTGTGTCTTTTAATTGGAGCATTTAGTCCATTTACATTTAAAGTTAATATTGTTATGTGTGAATTTGATCCTGTCATGATGATGTTAGCTGGTTATTTTGCTCGTTAGTTGATGCAGTTTCTTCCTAGTCTCAATGGTCTTTACATTTTGGCATGATTTTGCAGCGGCTGGTACCGGTTGTTCCTTTCCATGTTTAGCGCTTCCTTCAGGAGCTCTTTTAGGGCAGGCCTGGTGGTGACAAAATCTCTCAGCATTTGCTTGTCTGTAAAGTATTTTATTTCTCCTTCACTTATGAAGCTTAGTTTGGCTGGATATGAAATTCTGGGTTGAAAATTCTTGTCTTTAAGAATGTTGAATATTGGCCCCTACTCTCTTCTGGCTTGTAGGGTTTCTGCCGAGAGATCCGCTGTTAGTCTGATGGGCTTCCCTTTGAGGGTAACCCGACCTTTCTCTCTGGCTGCCCTTAACATTTTTTCCTTCATTTCAACTTTGGTGAATCTGACAATTATGTGTCTTGGAGTTGCTCTTCTCGAGGAGTATCTTTGTGGCGTTCTCTGTATTTCCTGAATCTGAACGTTGGCCTGCCTTGCTAGATTGGGGAAGTTCTCCTGGATAATATCCTGCAGAGTGTTTTCCAACTTGGTTCCATTCTCCCCATCACTTTCAGGTACACCAATCAGACGTAGATTTGGTCTTTCCACATAGTCCCATATTTCTTGGAGGCTTTGCTCATTTCTTTTTATTCTTTTTTCTCTAAACTTCCCTTCTCGCTTCGTGTCATTCATTTCATCTTCCATGGCTGATACCCTTTCTTCCAGTTGATCACATCGGCTCCCGAGGCTTCTGCATTCTTCACATAGTTCTGGAGCCTTGGTTTTCAGCTCCATCAGCTCCTTTAAGCACTTCTCTGTATTGGTTATTCTAGTTATACATTCTTCTAAATTTTTTCCAAAGTCTTCAACTTCTTTGCCTTTGGTTTGAATATCCTCCCGTAGCTCAGAGTAATTTGATCGTCTGAAGCCTTCTTCTCTCAGCTCGTCAAAATCATTCTCCATCCAGCTTTGTTCCGTTGCTGGTGAGGAACTGCGTTCCTTTGGAGGAGAGGCGCTCTGCTTTTTAGAGTTTCCAGTTTTTCTGTTCTGTTTTTTCCCCATCTTTGTGGTTTTATCTACTTTTGGTCTTTGATGATGGTGATGTACAGATGGGTTTTTGGTGTGGTTGTCCTTTCTGTTTGTTAGTTTTGCTTCTAACAGACAGGACCCTCAGCTGCAGGTCTGTTGGAATACCCTGCCGTGTGAGGTGTCAGTGTGCCCCTGCTGCAGGGTGCCTCCCAGTTAGGCTGCTCGGGGGTCAGGGGTCAGGGACCCACTTGAGGAGGCAGTCTGCCCGTTCTCAGATCTCCAGCTGCGTGCTGGGAGAACCACTGCTCTCTTCAAAGCTGTCAGACAGGGACATTTAAGTCTGCAGAGGTTACTGCTGTCTTTTTGTTTGTCTGTGCCCTGCCCCCAGAGGTGGAGCCTACAGAGGCAGGCAGGCCTCCTTGAGCTGTGGTGGGCTCCACCCAGTTCCAGCTTCCCCGGCTGCTTTGTTTACCTAAGCAAGCCTGGGCAATGGCGGGTGCCCCTCCCCCAGCCTCGCTGCCACCTTGCAGTTTGATCTCAGACTGCTGTGCTAGTAATCAGCGAGATTCCGTGGGCGTAGGAGCCTCCAAGCCAGGTGTGGGATATAATCTCGTGGTTCGCCCTTTTTTGAGGGGTCTGAAAAGCGCAGTATTTAGGGTGGGAGTGACCCGATTTTCCAGGTGCCGTCTGTCACGCCTTTCTTTGACTTGGAAAGGGAACTCCCTGACCCCTTGCGCTTCCCAAGTGAGGCAATGCCTCGCCCTGCTTGGGCTCGCGCAGGGTGCACGCACCCACTGGCCTGCGCCCACTGTCTGGCACTCCCTAGTGAGATGAACCCGGTACCTCAGATGGAAATGCAGAAATCACCGGTCTTTTGCATCGCTCACGCTGGGAGCTGTAGACCGGAGCTTTTCCTGTTCGGCCATCTTGGCTCCTCTATCGGTGTTGTACTTCTTTAAAGGTGAACAGTATTCGTGTGTGCGTATATGTGTGTCCATTGTGTGTGTATCCATTTTTCTATTGACAGACACATTTGTTGTTTCTGTATCTTTGCCATTTAGAATAATCCTGCAATAATCATAGGAGTGCAGATCTTTTTATATATCTGTTGGCCATTTGTGTGTCTTCTGTTTATGTTTGTTCATGTCCTTTGCCCATTTTGAGTGGGGTTGTTTGGTTTTTGCTATTAGGTTGAATTCTTTATATATTTTAGCTATTATCTTATTTTCATATGTATGGTTGGCAGTTATTACCTCCTATCCTTACATTGTCTCTTCACTCTGTTTGCGTTGTTGTGCAATACCTTTTGTCTGTTTATCCTTTTATTGCCTGTGCCTTTGGGGTTCCATTTACAACAACAGACCAAAGTCAAGAAGATTGTCTGTTATGTTTTCTTCTAGCTTTTTTATAGCTTCGGGTGTTACTTTTAACTCTTTGATATATTTTTGGTTGAGTTTTGTGTATGGCTTGACCTAAGTATCCAGTTTTATTCTTCTGAGTATGAATATCCAGTTTTCCTAACATCATTTATTGAAGAGAATGCCCTGACTGTATATGATACTGAAATATATTTTTCTATAGTTACTTTTTTTCTATCACTTGCAAGTGCAGAAAGTTTTTCTAATTATAAATAACTCTCCAAATACAGTTAGGAAAAAAATTGATGTATATGATAACTTATAAAAGGAAGGCTTAAACATGATAAAAAGTCAAATTAAAATGACAAAATATGAAAAAATCAATATTTATTAATGAAATCAAACATAATAGCTGTTATATACATTTTATAATAGAGAATAAAAAATAAATAGTCTGGTAGAAATGTGGGAAGGAAATAGAAATTATTTACAATAAATAATTGTCAGTGGCCTTAAACATAGAAAAATATACTTGAACTCACATAAATAAGAAGATTTAAAATTACAACTACATTGATATTTTATTTGTCACCTAAATCTGGACCTATATTCAAAGTTTGATAATGTACTCAGTTGATGAGACACTGTGAGAATACACACTCTTAAATATTGTTTATGATAATACAAGATGGTAACTTCTCCTATTGAGAGGAATTGACCAATATCTAGAAGACAGACTTAGACCCAGAAATCTTACTCCTGGAATCTATTTCAAGGTTACACTAGCAAAAATACATTTTGATCTTTCAAAATAAGCTTTCTTGCTTGCCAACATTGTCACATAAGGCACATCTATTTCACCTGTTGATATCTTAAAATACCATTTCTTATTAAAAAAATAAAATCTCATTTTTGAATTGGTTGATTTTTAAGGCTGACCCTGGAAATATCCAAGATAAGCCTGCAATATTTTTCTATTGCCAAAAGCAGGGGTGCTATTAAAGACTATTCAGGCCTTGTCAAATTGATTGGGGAAACATTTTGAAATGATTTCCTGGCCAAAGATGGGGTAGTTTTAATAATAATGATAAGAATAACCATAATGGATTGAACACTTTAAATATGCAAAATCCATAAGGCCATAATATATTTTTTTAAAGAAAGGAATAAACAACTCATTTTTATCTGTGTATGATGCTAAGTAGCCAAATCAATATTTCCAAAACTAGTAAATAACGAAAAATAATCAAGCATTTATCTATACATTCATGTCATAATTTTATCAAATAGTCAATAAGGGAAAATGTCTGCTAAAAAAGTACCTGGTTAATAGATTTAAAAAAAGGAATAATTGAGTTAGAACTTTGCCGTTTTTTTTTTTTTTTACAAGCAATTGAATGATTACTCTAGGCAATGGTCATCAGTGATTGCTAATGTCTCAAAGCATAAACTACCCAGGCATTTTGTGTATCCTGACAGAGGCACAGAATGCATATATAATTTTTTTTTTTTTTTTTTTGAGACAGAGTCTCGTTCTGTCGCCCAGGCTGGAGTGCAGTGGCGCAGTGGCACCGTCTCGGCTCACTGCAAGCTCCACCTCCCAGGTTCACGCCATTCTCCTGCCTCAGCCTCCCGAGTAGCTGGGACTGCAGGCGCCCTCCACCACGCCCAGCTAATTTTTTGTATTTTTAGTAGAGAGAGGATTTCACCGTGTTAGCCAGGATGGTCTCGATCTCCTAACCTCATGATCCGCCCACCTCTGCCTCCCGAAATGCCGGGATTACAGACATGAGCCACCGCATCTGGCCAAAAATATTTTTAACATGAGTCATAATAAGAAAGCAGATATAGCCAGTAAATTGCAAGAAATGTAAGGAATGACAGTATATGTTACAGTAAAACACAGATAGTCAATTGGTAAAATCCAGATTGTGAAATTGAAGAACAAGTGATTGAGAATAATTCAATAAATAAATTGTGAAGACACAGGGATAGAGATTCAAGAGTCATAGCAACCAATTGTGATTTGTAAAGTCTGTTTCAATCCTAATTTGAATAAATAAATTTTAAGAGGTTTAGGAGGACATGGAGTGAATTTGAGCAGTACTAGATATTTCAGGAATTAAGTGTTATCATTTTTAATTAAGCTTTGTATTTTGAGATAATAAATCTGCATGCAGTTATAAGAAATTATTAAAAGGGATACAGTGCTCCGTTTACCCAGTTTTTCCACTGGTAATATGTTGCAAAACTATAGTTCAAGTTCACAGTAACATATTAACATTGTCAAGAAAAAATATTTTCATCACCTCCAAGTTATCTCAAGTAGTCCTTTTGTGGCCACACTCACTTTCCTCCCTCTCCCACTTATTCCCTAGCACCTGGCATACATTAATATGTTCTTCATTTATATAACTGTGTCATTTCAAGAATGTTATATAAATGCAGTTACACAACCTATGATCTTTTAGATTGCCTTATTTCATTCAGAATAATTCTCTGCAAATTTAGTTAGGTGGTTGCTTTTGTCTGTAATTTGTTCATTTGTTGTTATTCATGTACATAATCTGTTTAACCGTTAACTCTGAGGACATTTGAGTTGTTTCTGATTTTTGCTATCATGAATACAGCCGTGTGAATATGTGTACAGGTATTTGTGTGAATGTGAGTTTTTATATCTCCTAAAGACAGAGCAAGAGCATTTAATGTTAATAATGTTCACTTCATCAATTTTTTTCTTTCATGAATCATGGTTTGGGGATTTTACCTAAAGCCTCATCACCAAACTCAAGGACACACAGACATTCTCCTACTTTTTTTGAATTTAGATCCGTGATCCATTTTGAGTTAATTTTATGAAAGTTATAAAGTCTAAGTTTATTTATTTTTTATGTGAATATCCAGTTCCAGCATCATTTGTTGAAAAGATACATTTTGTCCATTGAATTACCTTTTCTGTTTTTTCAAAGATCAATTGACTATATTCATGTTGGTCTATTTCTGGAGTTTCTATCTCCCAGGCTGGAGTGCAGTGGTGCGATCTCGGCTCACTGAAGCTCTGCCTCCCGGGTTCACGCCATTCTCCTGCCTCAGCCTCCCGAGTACCTGAGACTACAGGCATGCACCACCATGCCCAGCCAATTTTTTGTATTTTTAGTACAGACGGGGTTTCACCATGTTGGCCAGAATGGTCTTGATCTCCTGACCTCGTGATCTGCCTGCCTCAGCCTCCCAAAGTGCTGGGATTACAGGCATGAGCCACTGCGCCTGGCTGGACTTTCTGTTCTATTCACTGATCTAGGTGTCTTTCATTCATTTACCAATACCATGCTGTCATAATTTATGTAGCCATACAGCAACTCTTGAAATTGGGCAGTGTGAGTCCTCCAACTTTGTTCTTTTGTTCATTACTTTGTGGGCTATTGTGTATTTCACTTTTTCATAGAAATTTTAGGATTAAGTTGTCAATATATATAGTGTTTTGCCTATTTTTGTTAGGATTTCACAAACATTATAGAACATATTTGGAAGAATCGACGTCTTAACCCTATTGAATCTTTGAATCCATGAACATAGAATGTCTGTTTTATTCAGATCTTGTATTTCTTTCAACAATTTGTAGTATTCTGTATATAGGTGATACTATATATGAATAGATAACTTGTTAGATTTGTATCTAAGTACTTAATTTTTGCTGTTATTTATACAGTGTTTTTAAGTGTACATGTGTTCATTGCTAATATATAGAAATGAAATTGGTTTGTTTATATTCCTATTGTATCTTGAAACATTTGCAAACTTATTAGTTGTAGATTAATTTTTTGTTAGATTCTTTAGGATTTTCTACATAGACAAACATGTCATCTGATAATAAGAACAGATTTTTTTTCTTTCAAATCTGTATGTCTTTTATTTTATTTTCTTATTTTATTTTTACTGGCTAGAACTACAAGCACTAAGTTGAATAAGAGCAGTGAGAACAGATACATTTGCCGTGTTTCCAATTTTGAGTAATGCATTCAGTCTTTTCACCATTAAATATAATGCCAGCTGTAGTTTTTTCATAGATACTTTCTTATCAAATTAAGTTCCACTCTATTTCTATCTTTTTTCCCTGAGGAGTTTATTCTGAATAGGTGTTGAATTCTATCAAAGAATTTTTCTGTTTCAGTTGAAATCGTCATATGTTTTTCTGTGGTCTAATAATATAGTGGACTGTATTGATTGGTTTTCAACTTAAACCAGCATTGCATCACTAGAATAAACACCACTTGGTGATAGTAGAAATTCCATAATTTATTAAGAACTTCTGTGCATATATTCATGAGAAATATTGGGGTTCATTTTCTAAATGTGTTTGTCTCCTCCAGTATCAAGATAATATCAACTTTGTTAAGATAAATTCAGTGTATTTCCTCTTCTTCTATTTTATAGCATCTTAAATTACATTAAGTGTACATTATTGATTTTATATAGAATAGTGATATTCTCATACTTCAAAAATAATATTTATATTTTGGGGAAACGTACTAGACCTTTTTAAAATATAAAGGTATGAATTATTGGACTTGACTCAAAATAATTTAGATTTGGGGGAGGATAGGAAGATAGATGATTGTTCATGAGTTGAAAAACTTTTTTAACTTAGGCATTGGGTGTACTAGGGTTTATATTTTCTGTCTCTCCATTTTTTAATATATGTAAATTTTTCTTAATGCAAATTTATTAACCAACACTTCTTTATCATTAATGTATATCGGGTTTATAATTTATTGCTCTAGATTATATTGGGTCACCAAATGTTAAATGACAGTTGTTGTACAATTGTTTAAAATGTAATACCATTTCTGAAATAATTTTCACTTTACTTCTTCTTTTGATAGTCTTTTCTAAATATATTCAACACAGTTATGGGGAGAAAAGCCATATGGTGTCTGTCATATGTGTTTTTTTTTTTAAAGGCCATTTAATTTATTCTCTTCTGCTGTCACTTGTTTTGCACAAGAATAAACATGACAGATTCATGGTTGGAGGACACAGGAAAAATAACTTGTCAGTCATTTTCAAGATGCTATCTATCTTGTGTATCAGTACACAGAAGTTGAATTGTTGTGAAGGTTGTTTTGTAATATCACTAAACGTTATTTATTGATGTTTTGTATTTTTAAAAATATATAAAATTATTAATTAGAAGCACTCAAATCAACCTTATAGGAATGTAAATTTTATTTAAATATTACATATAATATTTATCTTATTGCATTTCTCTTTTTCTTTTCTTGTCTTTTTATTTTGTTTTGTTTTTTGAGACAGGATCTAACTTTGTAACCCAAGCAGAGTTCAGTGGCACAAACATGGCTCACTGCAGCCTCGACCTTCTGGGTTCAAGTGATCCTCCCACCTCAGCCTACCAAGTAGCTTGGACTATAGGTGTGTGCCACCATGCCTAGATAACATAGTTTTTTTTTCTTTTTTCTTTTTTTTTTCTTTTTTGGTAGAGATGGGGTTTTGCCATCTTGCTGAGGCTGGTCTTGAACTCCTGGGCTCGAGAAATCCACCCACCTCAGCTTCCCAAAGTGCTGGGATTACAGGCATGAGCCACCATGCCCAACCTACGTTTCTCTTTTTCAGGATTTTCTTTTGTTCTCACCCACACAGACAAAACAAAACCTTAGACTAATTAAATAAATAAAAATTTAAGGAGAAGAAGAAGAGAAATTTGGGTTGCAGTCAGTAGTCCTACCTGTGCCAAAAAGGAAAAAATCTATATTTGCAAAAATACTTAAACTGAATTTTCCACTTTTCTTTACTTCACTCTACCCACATATTACAGGGTAGTTATAATAGCTAAATATATAACATTAGAAAACAGGACAATAGAGATTACTTTAAATTAGAAGATGCATTGAGAAAAGAACATAAAATAGATTTTTTAAACCGATTAGAATAAACGATGAGATTAATAAATGTTTGCATATTAGTCAATATTGGTGAACCTTAAAGCTGTTTTGATTTACCTGCTCAAACATACGTTACATATGATTTTCTTTCAAAATACATACATAAAACAGAAAGTTTGAAAATCTGGTCTGTGTAGTAGCTTATGCCTGTAATGCCAGCATTTTGGGAGGCCGAGGCTGGAGGATCACTTGAGCCCATGAGTTGAAGACCAGCCTGGGTGACCTGGAAACACCTTGTCTCTACAAAAAAAAAAAAAAATTAAAATTAGCCAGGCATTTTAGCCTCCCTTCCTTAGGTGCGAGGATAGCTTAGGCTGGGGAGGTCGAGGCTGCAGTGATCTGTGTTTGTGCCATTGGACTCCAGCCTGGGAGACAGAATCAGATTCTGTCTCAATAAAAGAATGATTCAGTCAGTAGGTCACGACTCTGGTAAGCAGCCATAAACAACAAAATAATAAATAAATGACCTATCTTTGGGGAAAAATAGAAAATTTAAGTTTCTACAAATGTATCAGGAACTGAAATTATATTACAGGTAACTTGTTCTTCATCTTCAAATATATGATGGCATGTGTCTAATAGCCACTATTTTTTGTATGGAATACATAAAATAGAAATCCATGAATAGAATATAAAATAGCAAGCATGCTGTTGACTATCATTTAAGAGGCCTGCCAATATTTTTTGGAAGGAATTAAAAAAAATCTGCTTAGTTTTAACTCTGTGGTTTAGTTATCTGGAATCAAATGTTTCATCAATATTGCAAGTTTAACCAAGTACATAAGACAACAATAATCATTAAAATATAATTTAGATAATTATTTTGTGCACATATCTGTATAATATTTATTAATATGATTTCACTGGGAGCATTAAATATATATATTTAATTTTGTGAATTTAAATGGCATTACTATTCTAGATTTTAAAATATATGCTCTCTTGTCTCTGATATTCATATGTATTACTGTAATAATAATTTTTAAAAACCCTCTAAGGCAGTGGTCCCAAACCTTTTTGGCACCAGGGATTGGTGTTTTAAAACACAATTTTCCCATAGATGTAGGGGTAGGGCTGGTTTCCAGATTAAACTGCTCCATCTCAGTTCATCAGGCATTAGATTCCCAGAAGGAGAGCATAGATCCTTCACATGTGGAGTTTACAGCAGGGTTCTCATTCCTGTGAGAATCTAATGCTGCTACTGATCTGAACAGAGGCAGAGCTCAGTTGGTAATTTTCAGTTGCCCGCTGCTCGTCTCTGGTTGTGCGGCCCAGTTTCCTAACAGGCCAATGGGCCTGCATGGGTCAGTGGCCCAGGGGTTGGGGACTGCTGCTCTGTGGTCCATGTGGGTGGTGTGTGTGTGTATACATATACACACAGAAATATATATATACATACACAGATATATGTGTGTATATAAATATAGATAGGTATTTGACATATCCCTAACAGTATAATACTGCACATTTGTAAAATATAAATATATCATTCAGTTATAATTACTATTTTTACGTTATTTGAAGACCCAGGAATCATTTTTGAAACAAGATAATGTGCATTTGTGTGTATGTGTGTGTGTATGTGTAAGACAGACTGTGTGTTTCTGTGAGTTTGGGTGTATGGCATAATCTTTTTACTGTATTTCTAGAAAAGTTTACTAAGATTTTTACTCTTGACCCCTTAATATAAAACTAAAGTGATCATTTCAAAATATAAATCATATCATCGTAATCTCATGCTTCAAAGCATTGTTGCCTCTCCATTTCACTTAAAATAAAATCCAGAGTAATTATCATGGCCAGCATATTCTTGAGTGACTCAATACTCTTTTACTTGGTGAGAATGCAAAATGGATCAGCTGTTTTACAAAACAGTTAGACAATCTCTGAGAAAGGTAAACACAACTACCACATGACCCAGCAATTTCATGCCTACTAGATATCTACCCCTGGGAAATAAAAATGTGTTCATAAGAAGACTTTGACACAAATGTTTATGACATCTTTATTCTTAATCACTGAAAACTGTGAAAAACACAGATGTCCTTCAACTAGTTAATGGACTAACAATTGTAGTAAATCAATTCAATAGAATACTAATCAGCAATACCTGAAGAACAAACTGTTAATTCACACATGAATGAACATTAAAAATAATTTGTTTGAAAGAACTTA